>NC_000009.12:70720552-71345552 GCF_000001405.40 Homo sapiens
TAAATGCCCACAAGTAGAACTAGCATGGAATAAAGCAAGCTGTTAAAGAAAGTCGAATTCCAAAAAGTTGGCTTGGTAAAATAGCATGAAAAGGTGTATATTTTTAGCTAGAAATTACAAACCTGCTGCATTTAAGTGAGGCAACAGTTGCACAAAGTACAACGTAATTATTTTCTGTCCCGTGCCTGTCTTTGAGTCTGTCACTTTGCTATTCACTTATGGACATCAGTGAGAGATGTTTCTTTCCTTTTTAACCTCTCCCTTGTCAGTCCATTGCAGGAAAGTACTCCTTAGCTTGAAAGTTATGTACAGGTAGAGGCATACAAACATTCGAGAAACATTCAAATGCTTAGTCCCTGTCTCATACAAACCCTGCACTTCAGCTGGTTATGTTTTCTCCTTCTTTATTTCTTCCCGCCCTTTCAAATGTATTAACGAAGAGCCTTTAAAGTGTCAGGCATTGTGTGAAGGCCTGGGGAGACTGTGTGTGTGTGTGTGTGTGTGTTTGTATACACTGTGCCTGTCTTTAGGATCACTTGTGCCCTTTATCTCAAATTTTGGATGACTGGGTAGATACTGGGTAGATGAAATTTAATCATCCCTTTTTTACTAAACTTTAAGGACACCATGATTTTTTGTTTCTACACAGTAGAAACTATAGGTAGGTGAAGCTCAAAGTTTATAACCTCAAAAATTTCATTATTACAGCAATTTTATTAGCTAAAAGAGCAAATATAATTTTTAGGTGATGAGTAAGATGTACCTAATAGAGACATTTTTGGAGCCATGGTTATTTCAAATAAAAAAATAGGATTTTTTAGTAGCTAAATTTAGCAGTGAGGACAATTACAAAATTAAGTACTACTCAATAGGTCCCTAAAATTCTGAATGAAAAGAAAATTCATGGGTTTATACCAGGTATAATAGACAATTCTAATTCCTTGAAAATAAATGAGGTTTCGTTTTTATTCACTCTTTAGAAAAGAAAAACCTAGCTTTTATTAGGCAGTAGGGTCTGTTTGAGAAAATACCATTTTAGTGGCTCTTCATAATTATGGTGTCAGTCTAAAAAGCAGCTAATGCCACGTTCTAGCCAAATATGAGAACTCCATGGGCTTAAGGCTTGAGACAAGTAAGGCAGTCCCTAAAATAAATTGGGTAACTGGAAGAAGAATTCTTTTTCAGAAGGAGAAATATGTGAATGGTAAGCCCTATAATTGCTGAGGACATTAACTTATCAATTATCTCATCATCTTTTAAAAACATATATAATTAATTTTTTAAAAAAGTAGAGATGGGGTGTCACTATGTTGCTCAGGTTGGTTTTGAACTCCTGGGCTCAAGCGTTCTGCCCTCCTTGGCCTCCCAAAGTGCTGGGATTTCAGGTGAGAGCTGCCGCGCAGGCCCATCTCCTCCTCTTTAAACGAAAGGCTACCCAAAGCATAACTACCATGCTGCCAGGGACTAACAAGGAAAACAACCCACAGCCACAAGCATCCTGGATGCTTTGAAAGAGGGGCAGGCTTGGGGACATTTTCCAAGTTGCTTGGTGTTTAGAACCTATCCATCAGGCTAGTTCAGTTCCTCCAAAAATTCCCAGAGGTGAGAGGCAGTCAACAGCTTTGCTGGGCATGACAAGTTTCATTTCAAGGAGCCCAGCTTGTAATTTCAAGCAGACTGCTGTTGTAGGCCCAATCAACTCAGAGTTTCAATTGTTTTTCAAGCATTGCTTCATTGAACACACTCAGCAATCACAGAACCACCCGTGTCAACGTGGCAAGGACTGGGAAAGAACTCACAAGTCACTTAACAGAAAAGCATATTTTAGCAGTTTTCTGAAACAATTGTCCTAAACATACCTTTTTACAGTGACTGATCCTAACTTTCTGATATGGACTTGGAAAAAAGACATTTCTGGAACTGGCATACAATCAGGGAGGAGCTGGTAATGTACAAATACTGCCTTGTGAAAGAATATTGGATGCTCTTGTTCTCACTCCTACTCCAAATTGTTATTGGGCTTTACCTATGGTTTCTAAAATCATCAGGTTTTAAGAAGTCATTTTACATTTACATTCACACACACTTAAACACACATCAAATACATTTATCACATATACACATTAAACACACACACACACACACACACACACACTGATGATAAAAATGGAATTTCCCGGAATAATCCCCGCTTCAAATATTCTCTCCAGTTTTTAGCTCACATCCAAGACCATCTATTTTAAATTTTTAGCTTCCAAAATATGGTCACTGAATCAAGATGATCCATATTATGACTCTAAGACTGAAATTCAGATTTTGATTCAACAGATATTTTCTTAACACTTTCTTCAGATGTGGGGATGATATTTCAATGCAATATCTTATGAAATCAGAGGATCTTTATTACATGGAATATAGCATATTTTGTCCTTGATTTTCCTCAGTAACATATAATGGACCTATTGCGATACTCTTGAATGAAACAGACAATGCATAGAAGCTTTTAGAAAAATGGATTTCTGTAAAAATAAAAAATAAACATCATATGTTGAAACTTATGTTTCAACATATAATATTTATTATTTCTTATATAACAATATAATTTTATTATAATATATATTTAATATAATTTAATATAAATAACAATATAAATAATATAATAATGTATAACAATATAATATATCAGGCCACTTAAGTGGCTCTTGCCTTGAGCAAGTCATCTAACTTCTTGTTTTCCTTTCTTTTTGAGACAGGGTCTTGCTCTGTCATCCAGGGTGGAGTGCAGTGGTGCAATCATAGCTCACTGTAACCTTGAACTCCTGGGCTTAAGCGATCCTCTTGCCTCAGCCTCCCTAGTAGCTGGGACCATAGGCATGCACCTCCCTGCCCGACTAATTAAAACAAAATTATTTGTAGACATGGGGTCTCACTCTGTGGCCCAGGCTGATCTTGAACTCCTGGCCTCAAGTGATCCTCCAGCCTTGGCCTCCCACAGTGCTGGGATTATAGGTGTGAGCCATGGTGCCTGGCTGTAACTTCTTGTTTTACAGATGAAAACACTATCTCCTTCATAAATTGTGAGAAAAATAAATTAATATGCACAAAAACAGTTTAAAAAGACCCTGGTATATACTTGGAGAAATTGGACTAACTTAATAGATGGGCTTAAAAAGTAACCTGGATAATGAAAGTGTTCAGTAAATGTTGTTGCTATTGTTGTCATTATTTAAAGTCCCAGTTTCCTCATCTGTAACTGAAGGGGTAGATTTAATCTTAATGATCTCTACAGTTTCTTTCCTTTGGTGATGCTCTGTTGCCTGTCCTTTAAGTTTCTATGAAGTGACCAATACAGAATATGAGTTGGTCAGGTTAACATTTAATATAAATAAAAATTTACCGTGAGGTGTTAAGAGCTGATAGCAGAAACAGGAGCATAAGAGTAACTGTTTTGTCTTGTTTTATGCAAATAACTTCCCTGTGTTTGCTTTTTTATAATGACAAAATGATGAAATGGTAATAAGCAGGCAATTTCCACCAGGGGCTTAAAAACTTGGCCTAGTTTTGAATGTTTTAGGGTCCAGAAGGAGAGAAACCTAGCTCAGCCTTAACAGGAAGCAGAACAGCTTGTCAATCGGTTGTTTTAGCTCCCTGGAGTCTCATTCTGATATGGTAATTTTGTGTTATAAATCTGGGAGAATGTTGGACAGGCTGAGGTCCAGTTATTCCAACAACTGCTACTGTAAATCCTTCATTCCCTCAGTAGTTGCCCTCTTCCTCAAATATCTTTCCATGCAGAGTAAATGCTAGTTATGGGGGCTATAAACTGCTTAAAATTAGGCTTTGGGCTAGAGAGTGTGTCTTCTCCTGTAAAAACAAGCTTTTCCTTATATTTTCCAGTATTTTGGCTCCAACAAAATCCAAGGGCTATATTTCTTGCTCCCAAATGCATAGAAAAAGTAATTTAAAAAATTTTTAAAAATGTAAATACTAATGAGAGGCAAAGCAGTCAAGAAGATACCATTTCTCTAGGTACCAACAGTTCAAACAATAAAAATATACTTATTTATCAATAATTTGATTTCAATAATATTTTACAAAATGAACCACTTCTGATCAGATATAGATTTATTGGTAATACTGCTTGCAAAACAATTCAAAAGGAAAAGAAAGACAAAGTGAAATAGAGCTTGTATGAGAGAGAGAATGAAAGATTATCTTTGGTGGTTCTAATTGATTTCTGACATTGTCCCCAACATAGCTTTTGTTGCATGTAAAGAATACTCTGTACAGTGGCCCAAGGCTACTTCAATAATAGTTCACTGTTTTGTTAGTCAACAGCTGGCTTGTATGTGACCTTGATGTTTGTATTATACCCAGGAAACAGGAGACTTACGATGGGACTTTGACCAGGGCCAGCATTATAACCACATTAATGGAGAATGCAAATTCAAATTGAGGTGGGGCTGGCAGGAGTTCATCATTGAAAGGCTGCATTCATCACAGATGTCAAGTACAGGCTGGGTCTTCATATTTCTTTTTCTCATACAATGACTTCTTCTCCTGTGGCTCTTTCACATGGACTGTGTATTCAGGGGACAAAGCTTCTGCAGTAGGCTTTGAGTAAGGTCAAACTCCATGGTGCCTAAGAGTCTAGGACACTCACTAAAATTGCCCAGTAAAATGTCTGGACATTAAATAAATTGTATTATATGAAATTCATGAGTGGGAAGGGCAAGCACTAAGGGTCATTTCTGTATTATGGTATTTAACAATTGCTTCCATTCAAATGCTACAATATTATGCAGTCTGTAGTAGATGTCCATGCACAGCATTCACATTCAACTTTAATATTTAGGAAAGCTTTTGTTAGGCAGACGTGGGAGTGGTATGCTAATCAATATGAACTTTTCTCAAGTGTTCTTAATAGGGTAATAACACTGATGCCAGGATAACCTTGAAGTTTATATTTGCCGAGGTAGATATCCTGCAGAAAGAAGTTTTGAGAACTATAGTAGAAATGGAAGAAAAATATATTAATAGCATAGACTTGGGTATCCTTATAACCAGATACGTACTCTTTTCTAAAACCATCGCTAAAAGGGCTTAGGTGCTATTGGTAACTTCCTCCTAGTTTAAAACTCAGCCTAATGTTTTCAGTGGTGGGGAGGGATCTGACTCTATGAAATAATGAATTGTTCAGCCTTAAAAATATGTTTATAAACAGCATGAAAAAATGTAAATATTTTATGGCTAAATGAAAACTTTCACTGTATAGATATATGCAACATGATTACCACTGTGTTCAAAACAACGTAAAATAAACCTAAAACCTTATACACAGAAAAAAATACCTTAGAAGAAAATTCAGCAAAAGTCATTGGTGTTGTGGGGCTGTGGAAGATCTTTTTCCTCTGTTTATATTTTGATAGTTTTAAAATTTTCTATAATAAGCATATTTCTAATTAGTATATATTACTTTCACAATAGAAAAAATAAACTGGATCAAAGCTATACTCAACTTCAAGATGACTGTTCACTGAGAAATGTGAAATTAATATGAAATATGAAAGAAAACTCTTACTATGTAAATGAATCACAGAATCCAAGAAAGATGTGCCGGATGGGAACTAGAGGTCATCTAGATTGCATTCTGTCTAATCAGATCATATGAAGGTAAGATTTCTGGGCTGAAGAGTTAAAAGTGTATCCTTCTCACATTAGAAGAGAGAAATGGAAAGAATCCAAGCTTTTTATTCAAACAAGGCTGGATTTAAATTTTGATGCTGCTTCTTAACTTTCTGTGTCCTTTGGGCAAATTATTTAACCTCTCTAAGATTTAGAAAAGAAAGATGGCAATAGTGCCTACTTCTTAAAATGGTTTTTAGATTTAAATGAGAATGGGGAAGATAGATACGTAGGTAGGTAGATAGATGTAGATACATACGTACACATATTGCCGAATACCTAATATGCAGCTTTTTAGCATTATTATTATCAAAGCCTCTTTTATTCCTCAGTGGCCATTGGCTAGAAATATTTTGATATCATTTCTTTTGGGTTTAAAAGAGAAGGAAGATAACCACTGAAATCTCTTTGTCCTTTTTTAAAAAAAAGCATGGTAAGCACATTTAACATGAGATCTACCCTTTCAACAGACTTTTAACTGTGAAATACAGTATTTTTAACTACAGGACAAATGTGCAATGGATCTCTATAACTTACTTATTTTGTGTAAGTTCCTGTTAACTAGCAACTCACCATTTCCCCCTCTCTGCAGCCCCTGGCAACCACCACTGTGCTGTCTGCTTCTACAGGTTTGACTATTTCAGATTCCCCAGAGTCGTGTGTCTTCCAATACTGATAGAATAGTATTGAAGACCATGGTATATTTTTTTATGGACAAGAGTATTGTGATATCATCTCTTGCTGTCTATTCTCCTTCAGCTTCTTCCCTTAGTTTTTCTTTTCCTATAGCGCAGAATCTCTTCTGTGTCCTTTCTCCAGTCTCATTTTCTGTTGAATGGCCTCTATTCAGGATTTGTTTCCGTAACACTACTGAAACCGTACTTCTCAGGGTCATCAGTGAACTCCATCTTGCTAAATCTGGTGGCAAATTTTTATTCCTTTTAGTATGTGATATATTAGCACAAGATGGTTTCCTTCTCCTGGAAGTTCTTTTTTCACTTAGCTTCTAGGACATCACATCTTTCTGGTCTTCTTTCCATCTCACTGGCTGCTTCTTTTCAGGTCTCCTTTGTGGGGCCCTCCTTCTCTCTCCCATCTATAAATGTCACAGTGCTTGGGTTTCAGCTCTTGTTCCTTGCTCCACCCACATTCCCTCCTCAGTAAGCGCATTATCTTCCATGGTGGGAATACAGTCTATATGCTAATTGGTCTCAAATTCGTATCTCCTACTCCGATTTCTCCCTGAAGTTCAGGTCATAAATCCAACCGCCTCCTTTATTACTATCTGGATGTCCAGTAGGCATCTAAAAATTATCATGTCCAAAACAAAACTCTTGTTTCCACTTCCTCAAAAATCCACCCCTTCCCCATGCTTCCCTGGTTTATTAGAAGGCAACTCCATTTTCCCCAATCACCCTTGAAATAATCCAGAACTCTTCTCTTTACCTCATACCCATCATCTACAGCAAGTCCTGTTGCCTCCACCTTCAAACTTGATTTCCAGTCCAACCACTTCTCACCATCTCTTAGCTCAGCCCACAGCACCTACACTGGACTGGAGTGTAATGCCTGCATTACTTTGTAGTCTCCTAAATGATCTCCTAGTTTATATATTTGGCAGGTGCCAGAATGATCCTTTAAAACTCTAAATTAGATCATATTATTACTCTGCTCAAAACCATCTAATGGCTTCTCATCCCACTCAGAATAAAACCTAAACTATTTATCATGTTCTGCTTCTCCAGCATCATCTCCTATCACTGCCGGCCTTACTTGCTTTTCTCCAGGCACACCAGCCTTCTTGCTGTGTCTCAGACACGACAGGCATGTTCCTGCCTCAGAGCCTTTGCACCCACTCCTCCGTCTCCCTGGAATATTTTGCCGTCAGATCTTTGCTTGGCAGCTGGCTCCCTCACTTAGTACTAGGTTCTCATCTTTAAGTATCACATCTTCAGGGAGGGCTTCTCCAATCCCCCTTTTTATACTCTCACTCACTCTGAGCTAGGTGCTGTTCTAGGTGTTGGGGGAACAGCAGTGAATAGAGAGCTCCTCCTCTCTGAGGTTTACCCCACCTCGTCCTATCCCATCCCATCTCATTGCTCTGCACCTATTAAGTTCTTCTTTTAATTTTTTTTCTCATTGTACATATTATTGCCTGGTACCTTTCCATATATTTATTTTCTTCTTTATTTACAATCTCTTCTCTGTTAGAATGTAGGCTGAATGAGGACAGGTACTGTTGTATCCCTAGCCCCTAGAATAGTGCTTGGCAGGTGGCAGGCACTCTATAAGTGTTTCTGGAATGAATGATTGTAGAAGTAGTTTGATAAATAGAAGTCTATTGCAGGCAATAGGCAGAGACTTCATCTTGCCATATGTGACTTAGAAGGGATGTGAGTAGAATATGAATGAATGTTTCAAGCTGAAGCCTACTTCATGGATGTCACTAGCAGTTCCTGAGTACATCCTAGATGTCCATTCAGTGTTCTATACTTTATAGCTTTGAATGATGATTTGGCTTTCAAAAGATATACATGTCCATCTTGAATTTTTCGCAGTGAGTTTCGGTTGCATATGCCCCGGTTTATTTGTGTATGATATGTGCTGTGCCTGGCATCTGCTCTGCTTTCTGGCCCTCTGTGTGCCTGTGCCCAGAGGACATCTGAGAGTTAGTTGGCATATTATAAGGTAGTATCAGAAAACCTTTGCTCTGAGCCCTCTGACTGATCCTATTGGGGTTGAGAAACCTATCAAGTACTGCTAAGCTGGCAGAATGACAAAATCAACTCACACAAGGAAATAAATCAGGCGCGGTGGGCATGGAGAGCCTTGAGGACCAATGGCAGAGGAAGACAGAGATTATGGCTCATGGATGGTAGATGATTGAGGACTGGATAGAAACTGGGTTGTCCAGAAACACTATGTCTTAGCCAGAGCTGGAACATTGGCATTTGAAGCTGAAGACTAGTCCTGGCACTTTCAAGCTCTATCTGTGTTAGGATTGGGGTCCTCTCCTCCAGTCACTTTTCTTTTTGTCCATAATGGAAGTTGCAAGTTGACACTTATAAGCCCAGAGTTTTGAGATGCTGGTGGGTGTGTTTTCTGGGCAGAGTACCTTTCCCCCAGTGCTCTCAGCCAGTCCAGAGGCATCTCTCTGATGATGCAGGGTTGGGTATGATGTGCCTACACCTGCAATGAGGCACCGGAAATATAGGCATTAAGAGAGGAGATTTCCATGAGAGTCATAGAAAAGAAACTTGCCATTCAAAGTGGCTTTTTGACTTCACTGTTTCCAGGAAGTGCTATCTCTGACAGGAATTATTTCCTTGCTTTCTGCCAGTGATCGTGCATGTTTTTGGCAATGTGAAATGTGGGTGCTTGGAGGAGAAATGCACAAATAAAAGGAGAGGAAGGGAGATAAAGTAAAGGCATCATTGTTGTTCAGTTCTTCAGAAAGATTATCCATCCTCTCTAACAGTGTCTTTTTTTCCTTAGTGTCACAGAGTGAAAAGAGCAAAAACTTTGGAATTAGACACATTTGTGCTTAAATCCTGGATATTTCAGTTATGGTGTTGGCTTAGGCAAAAAATCTTAATTTCTCAAATCTTAGGTTATTAATCTGTAAAACTGGATAAATAATATCTATGATATAGGGTTGTTTTGAGTCTTAAGTGAAATAGGTGCAAAGTACAAAGCATAGGGCCCGAAAGATTCCTCTATAAATAGTAACTTTAAAAAGGGGAGTCAGGAGAGAAAATACCGCATCAGATATGAACGACCTGGGCTTCACTTATTAATTTATTGAGCAAATTGTTAAACTGAGCATCTTCTTTGAATCTAGAAACGGGTGATATGATGGGCAAGATAGATATGCCTCCTTAGAGGCAAAAGGTGCAGACAGGTAAAAACACATGCAAATGTAAAAATATAAGAGAAGTGCTAAGCATGATAAGTGTCACTATGAAAGGAAGAGAAGAAGGAAAGGGGAAACTGCTTTATATAGAGTGATCAGGGAAGGCTTCCTGGAGGAGGTGATGTACAAGCTGAGAAAGAAGAATATGAAGGAGCCAGACATGTGAAGGCTGGAGGGAAGGGTTCCAGGTAGAAGAAAGGATGTTAGCAAATGTTTGAGGCCAAACAAAACTTGGTGTGTTTGAGGTACTGAATACCAGAGTGGCTGAGATGAGAGACCAGTGCCAGAACACGAGAGACACATAGGATGAAAGGACTGGCAGTTATTCCTGGGGAAAGTCTCTCTTGAGAACCTGTCACAAGAACATGCCATGTTGTAAGAAGGTTTCTCCCTTTGGTTATTAGTCTTCCCCCAACAGTCTTGGAAGTAAAATGAAGCTATTTTGTTGTAATGCAATAGTTTGCCTATATTGGAATCATTAGCATTCGATCATATCTTAGTGTTGCTCTGTGAGAGGATGGTGCATTATGGTGAATTATCTGCTGTTCTCCACAGGAGCCAAAGCTGTCTTCCTGTTAGCTCCAGAGTAAAAGTAGCCTGCAGCCCACACCCTGGGGTCTGATGAAAGGACTCACACTCCAGTCTGCATTCCTGCTGCACCTGCCAGACCCTGCTGACAAAATTTCTGTTTCTCCATTGACCAAATAAAACTGCAGTGTGGCCCCTTGGAGGGTTCCAGGAAAACTGAAGCTCCACTTCTCGTTTTTTAAGTTAGCCTGCTGCCACCTGGAGCTGAAAGCTGTAATCCCCACTCACCCTGGTGGGGACCTGACCTCTCTCCCACTGGAACCAGGTTGGTGGGAAGTAGCAAGAGAACTTGATTTCACTCCTATTTAGAGAGTCTATGTTCTCTGCTTCTGGTCTCACCTTCAAAATTAGGGCAGTGGTCTTTGATAGGATGATAACAGCAAGACAGGAGAGGTAGGCATCGGCCAAACCATGCCACTGAATGACATAACAGCTGAATGACCTCTAGCAAATTATTTATCTTCTCCAGACACTTTTTTTTGTCCCTAAAAATAGGAACAACATTATCTATCTCTTAGTGTTGTGGGGGAAGATATGAGTACAAAAAGCAATTGGCATGCTAGGTGTTAATTTATTCTTTCTTCCCTTTTTCTCTTCCCTTCCCTTCTCTGGTCAGTGAGTGCTTCTCCCTCTTTTCTGTCTCTTATTATTGAATATCTCATCTTTCGTATGTGATGTGGTGGTGAATCCCAGGTGGGCATTCTCACCACTTGTTATATCATGGCCAAGTGCTTGGAGAAAGATGTGATCACAATATTGAAAATTAAGTCATTTAGAGTCAATTTCACTTAATTATGCTCTCTCTCTCTGCCCCAACATCCACCAGGCCTGCTCTCAATGTGCAATGTTGCTTCATTTGGTAGTATCCTTGGAAAATGAGGGGTTTCATATAAATGAGTTTTTAGAGCTTTTTCAAGAAAAATTAAGCCCATCTTTTTGTGGCAAATTGTAGCAGGCCTTCTCTTAGGCCCAAAGGCACAGTAGCAAATACAATGTGTAAGTGGTAATGGTGCTGATGCAAGAATTTTCTTAGATCAGAAAGTCCCACCTGGGGAGATTTTAACATCTTTCACACTCAGGCCATACCTCGGGCCAATTACATCAGAATCTCTAGGGGTGGGATCCAGGCATCAGTATTTTTTAAAGCTTCCAGGTGATTCGAATGTGCAACCAAAGATGCGGAACCACTGCTATTCAGTTTCTTAACGCTCGAAACCTCTGAATGTGTCTATGTTTCTATGAATTAAAAAAGAACACTATAATCATGTGTTTGCTGCAGGGCAACATTATGGCCCACAGGGATGGGGGTGAATGAAGCCTCAGTCAGAAGCAGACACATCTTTATGGAAATGACCATGAGAGGCCAGCTCTGGCAAGGCATGAGTATTGGCCACCACAGCTGATAGCCATGTGCCCATAACAAACAGTGGAATTGTGCCAGTTTTCAAAGGGAATTCTTACAACCATTGTGGAAGACAGTGTGGTGATTCCTCAAGGATCTAGAACTAGAAATACCATTTGACCCAGCCATCCCATTACTGAGTATATACCCAAAGGATTATAAATCATGTTGCTATAAAGACACATGCACACGTATGTTTATTGTGGCACTATTCACAATAGCAAAGACTTGGAACCAACCCAAATGCCCATCAATGATAGACTGGATTAAGAAAATGTGGCACATATACACCATGGAATACTATGCAACCATAAAAAAGGATGAGTTCATGTCCTTTGTAGGGACATGGATGAAGCTGGAAACCGTCATTCTGAGCAAACTATTGCAAGGACAAAAAACCAAATACTGCATGTTCTCACTCATAGGTGGGAATTGAACAATGAGAACACCTGGACACAGGAAGGGGAACATCACACACTGGGGCCTGTCGTGGGGTGGGGGGGAGGAGGGAGGGATAGCATTAGGAGATATACCTAATGTAAATGACGAGTTAACGGGTGCAGCACACCAACATGGCACATGTATACATATGTAACAAACCTGCACATTGTGCGCATGTACCCTAGAACTTAAAGTATAATAATAATAGAAAAAAAAAGCCAGTGGAATTGGGCAGTAGAATAAAGGAAACACAGAAAGTCAGATGAGAAGGTGAAAGAAGAGAAATGGTATTTAATATAAAGGAGAGGTTAGCTGGTAAAACATTTAAATACCCTTCAAGGGAGAAGATGGTTAAGTAAAACAGATAAAAAGCCAAAGATAAATGATAAAGTGATTGATAGTCTTTAGGCAGTATACATATATCTTCCCCAATTAGGATAATTTTCTCAGATCAAGGTTTGGGTTTGATGAAGGTAGGTAATATATTGAGAGACTGATATATTGAGCTCTACATCAGGCCAACGCACTTGGCTGAAACCTTGAAATCTGATGAATGTATTCATTTACTAAGCATCACCTCTAACAAGATGAAGCATAAATATTGATATAGAAGAAAGTGTAGATGAATGTATTCAAATAATAGGAGGTATTTTATGTCAACTGATTAGCAAGGAAGAGAAAGCACAAAGTATCTGGTTTTCAGACACCTGGCTTACAAGTAATCTATGCATATAGATAGTTTCCCTAGCTCCTTCCTGTCTATTTTCTTCTCAACCCTCTACTAAAATACAACGGGTGAAAAATGCAACAAAACTTATAGGTTTGAACAAATATTGTGGAATCAGAAGTGGAGAAAGGGAATAAGCTGGAAAATATCTGTTTATTTTGGAGCAGTGATTTCCAAACTTTAGTTTTGTGTCCTTTAGTCAAATTAGTTTTACTGGGAAGGGTTAGAGAACTAAAATAAATTTAAAACAGAAGAAGAGTGGCCCAGGGTCCTTTATGTTCAGTCTCCATTATTCTCCTTACCCTTACCCACACTGGAGATGCTGAAGGAAGCAGAGTTTGGGAATGATTGGAATATGAGTTGCATAGAAGGAGATTGCTAAGAAGATTCGGCATTTTATGTGGCATTCCCACCCCTTCCTAACCCCTCTGACCTGTATTTCCCCTTGACTTTGTCATACTGCCTTGACCCCCAATCAGTCATTCCTTTGGATCAATATGTGTCCTCTGCTGAAAGTACAAGCACATTATGAGGTCAAAGAGCCATCAGTCCCACATACATGAGTGTGAACTTAATAATGCCACTAGCCTCCAGATTCCTAGGTGAGTTCGTTTGTGGTGAGGAAATGGAGCTGCAGGACGTGGGAGACGGGTAATGCTGGGGAAGGATGATGGGGAAGTCCTGTTAGTGTGTCTCTAGGGATTTTGGGGGTACCCTGGGAGCAATGCTGCAGAAGAGGGAACAGGTTCTGAAAAGAAACATTGCCTATTATTTTTTATTTTCTGGAATCAATCCTGTCCCGAGGAAGGGGGTGGCAATCTCTTTCTTCTTCCTACCACATTTCTTGGTTTCTTGTTCCCAGTGTCTTTATAGCAAATGAGACTTTTGCTTAATTATTTACATTGCTTGATGAGAAAATTGATTCCGGTTTGTAAATAGATCCCTGGATCACAGCCCATTTATAAGCTGATGACTTCCTAAAATGCACAATTGACTGTTTTGTGTGGAAGAGATTACCTCTAAAAAAACTGTTAATGAGAAATGTGTACGTTTGAACACTTAAAACATGCTTAAAGAACATTAAATATTTATCCAAATGTGGCACCTCTGAGGACTATGAGGAGTTTATGGCTTCTGTGATTTTAACTTAGTTGCTACCACGGAGAGGACCCCAGAGCAGTGGTTCTTAACTCTTGAGAGTTATTGATACCTTGGGGAATCTGAGGACTGTATTCATCTTCCTATGATATGCAAGCACACTCCAAATCTTGCATGCATTTTCAGAGGTTTCACAGAACTCCCTAAAGACTTTTGAGTTTTCAGGGTCTTTGAGCTAAGAATTGTTACTCAATTGACTGGAGGAGTAACACTGGCCTGTGTATATGAGAAAAATCCCTATTTGGGAATAGGTTGTCACTTAGGATAAGAGAGTCTATCCCTATCCTATAGGGTCTACTGTATTTAACAACTGAAAAAGGAGTCAAGGGCTTGTATATCTCCCAAACAAATACATTGGGGAGTCTGTGTTCTGCCCCTTATACCTGGGAAATTCACCAAGAATCTATAGTGCTATAAAGATTGAAGATGGGACATCCCTACAATATTCTTTCCTAATGGAGGATTTAGGAAAGACTTATTTATTCTCATTCATTCTTACTACATCTATTGAACACCAATTTTGTGGAAAGTCACTGTGCTAGGTGTAGTAAGGGGACACAAAAATGTATAAGGCCTGCTCTTTTTTTAAGTTGCATGCCATTTTGTAGCAGACATAAACTTTGTATCCTAATAGTATAGGGCTCAGGAGAGCATGCTCTGAAACTTACTGTCCCTTTCAGCTGTGTTCCTTGGGGATGTTACTGTGCCTTGGTTTCCTCATCTGTAAAATGCAGATAATAGCAGGATGACCATATAATTTATAATTTAAGTCAGGATACCTTTGTAAGTGGAGGGCTGCTATTAATAGTTACGCTGGGCCACAAGCACAAACTGGGCTATCTCAGGAAAATGAGGACCATGATCACTCTAGTGTGGAAAGATTATCCTAGGGATTGAAGAAGGCAATGCATAGGACATTATCACATCATGTCTGTGGCTGGGCAAATGTTATCTGCTGTGATTGGTGTTATGGGTACCTAAAAGAAAAAGTGATATTTGAATTTATAGGGGAGACGGATGATTATTTCTTAAGACCAACATTTATTATATACTCTTTATGGGCTATTGGCTCAAACCAGTGAAAGAAAACAATAAAATTAGAACTCCTTCTGCAAAACAGTCCTTTCATGGGCATGATAAGTATCTCCACTAGCTGCAACATGTTTCTATTCTGGTCCTGCTTTCCTGTGCATTACAGTCCCATCCCTTTACCTGTCTATCAAAAGTTTTCTTCAGTTCCTCATAGTGATCTTTGATTCAATATATATCTGACTGAAACAAATGGTGGATAGGAGGCAGGACAAACTTGCAGCTCCTGTCAGACAGATAGAGAAGTGTGTGGAGACTCACACTGTGAGCTTTTGCTCCAAGAACTACCACAAAAACACATCAGGAAAGCTGACAGCATCCACAGACCCTTTGAAGGAAGCAGATTGCTGCTGCAGGCCCATAGAGACAGCTGAAAAACTCGAAGACAAAGGGCATAATCTCTTGGGAACTCTATGGGCCTGCCCACCACCTGATCTTACCTATACTACCGCAGCTGATGCTCTCTTGAAAGCACCACCTCCTGGCTGGAGGCCAACCAACACAAAACTAGCACAATAAACAAAACTACAGCCAAGGACCCTCACAGAGTTTACTTCACTCCGTTGCCACCCCACCTGGAGCAGGTGCTGGTATCCATGACCAAGAGATCTGAAGACGGTTTACATCACAGGACTCTGTGCAAACACTCCCCAGTACCTGAAGCCCCATAGCTCTGCTGGGCGGCTAGATCCAGAAGAGAAATAACAATGACTGCAGTTAAGTTCTCTGGAAGCCCCTTTCCTAGAGGAAGGGAGAGAATACTATATCACGGGAGCACGCTGCGGGACAAAAGAATCTGAACAGCAGCCCTTGAGCCCCAGATCTTCCCTCTGCAATAGTCTACCCAAATGAGAAGGAACAAGAAAAACAATTGTGGTAATATGACAAAACAAAACAAGTTCATTAACACCCCCAAAAGATCAGCAATGGATCCAAACCGAGAAGAAATCTGAATTGCCAGAAAGAGAATTCAAAAATGTCAATTATTATGCTAATCAGGTAGTCACCAGAGAAAGGTAAAGTCCAACTCAAAGAAATTTGAAAAATGATATAAGATGTGAAGGGAAAACTCTTCAGTGAAATAGATAGCATAAATAAAAAACAAAAGCAACTTCTGGAAAGGAAGGACACACTTAGAGAAATGCAAAATGCACTGGAAAGTCTCAGCAACAGAATCAAACAAGTAGAAGAAAGAACTTCAGAGCTCAAAGACAGGCTATCGAATTACCTTAGTCCATTCAAAGACAAAGAGGAAAGAATTTTTAAAAAATGAACAAAGCCTCCAAGAAGTTTGGGATTATGTTAAATGACGAAACCTAAGAATAATTGGCGTTCCTGAGGAAAACGAGAAATCTGAAAGTTTGGAAATCACATTGGAGGAAATAATTGAGGAAAACATCTCCAGCTTTGCTAGAGATCTAGACATCCAAATATAAGAAGTTCAAAGAACACATGAAAAATTAATCACAAGAAGATCATCACCTAGGCACATCGTCATCAGGTTATCTAAAGTCAAGATGCAGGAAATAATCTTATGAGCTGTGAGGCAAAAGCATCAGGTAACCTATAAAGGAAAACCTATCAGATTAACAGCAGATCTCTCAGCAGAAATCCTGCAAGCTAGAAGAAATTGGGGCCCTATATCTAGCCTCCTTAAATAAAATAATTATCAGCTAAGAATTTTGCATCTAGCGAAACTAAGATTCATAAATGAAGGAAAGATACAGTCTTTTCCAGACAAACAAATGCTGAGAGAACTCACCACTACCAAGCCAGCACTGCAAGAACAGCTAAAAGGAGCTCTAAATCTTGAAACAAATTCTGGAAAATACACCAAAAGAGAACTCCTTTAAAGCATAAATCTCAAAGGACCTATAAAACAAAAACACACTGAAAACAACAAGAACAACAATAACAACAACAAGGTATTCAGGCAACAAACAGCATGATGAATATAATAGTACCTCACATCTCAATACTAATGTTGAATGTAAATGGTCTAAATGCTCCAATTAAAAGACACAGAATGGATAAGAATTCACCAACCAAGTATTTGTTATCTTCAAGAGACTCACCTAACACATAAGGACTCACATAAACTTAAGGTAAAGGAGTGGAAAAAAATATTCCATGCAAATGGACACCAAAAGCGACAAGGAATAGCTATTCTTATATCAGACAAAACAAACTTTAAAGCAACAGCAGTTAAAAAATTCAAAGAGGGACATTAAATAACGTTAAAAGGACTAGTCCAATAGGAAAATATCACAATTCTAAATATATATGCACCTACCATTGGAGCTCTCAAATTTATAAAACAATTACTACTAGACCTAAGAAATGAGATAGACAGCAACACAATAATAGTGATGGACATTAATGCTCCACTGACAGCACCAGACAGGTCATCAAGACAGAAAGGCAACAAAGAAACGATGGATTTAAACTATGTCTTAGAACAAATGGACTTAACAGATATTTACAGAACATTCTACCCAACAAAGGCAGACTATACGTTCTATTCATCAGCACATGGAACATTCTCCAAGATAGACCATATGATAGGCCACAAAACAAGTCTCATAAATTTAAGAAAATTGAAATTATATCAACTACTCTCTCAGACCACAGTGGAATAAAATTGGAAATCAACTCCAAAGGAACCCACAAAACCATGCATGTACATGGAAATTAAATAACCAGCCCCTGAATGATTATTGGGTGAACCATAAAATCAAGATGGACCCACCAACTCATGGGTGCAGCGCACCAGCATGTCACATGTATACATATGTAACTAACCTGCACATTGTGCACATGTACCCTAAAACTTAAAGTATAATAATAAAAAAAAATCAAGATGGAAATGTAAAAATTCTTTAAAGTGAATAATAGTGACACAACCTATCAAAACCTCTGGAATACAGCAAAGGCAGTGCTAAGAAGAAACTTCATAGCATTAAAGCCTAGATCAAAAAGTCAGAAAGAGCACAGACAATCTAAGGTCACACATCAAGAAACTAGAGAAACAAGAACAAACCAAACCCAAACTCGGCAGAAGAAAAGAAATAACAAAGATCAGGGCAGAGCTGAATGAAATTGAAACAAACAAAATATGAAAGATCAATGAAACAAAAAGCTAGTTCTTTGAAAAGATAAACAAAATTGACATACTATCAGTGAGATTAACCAAGAACAGTGAGGATTCAAATAAGCTCAATTAGAAATGAAACTGGAGATATTACGACTGATATCACAGAAATACAAAAGATCATTCAAGGCTACATGAACACCTTTATGTGCATAAGCTAGAAAACGTGGAGGAGATGGATAAATTTCTGAAAATATACAGCACTCCCTAGATTAAACCAGGAAGATATAGAAACTATGAACAGACCAATAACAAGCAGCAAGATTGAAATGGTAATAAAAAAAAAATTGCCAACCAAGAAAACTTCCAGGACCAGATGGATTTACAGCTGAATTCTATCAGATATTTAAAGAAGAATGGGTACCAATCCTATTGATATTATTTCAAAAGATAAAGAGGGAATCTTCTCTGTATTATTCTGTGAAGCCAGTATCACCCTAATACCAAAACCAGGAAATGACATAACAAAAAAGGAAAACTACAGACCGATATCCCTGATGAGCACAGATGCAAAAATCCTTAAGAAAATACTAGCTAACCAAATGCAACAGCATATCAAAAAGATAATACATCATGATCAAGTAGATTTGATAACAGGGATGCAAGGATGGTACAACATATGCAAGTCGATAAATGTGATACACCACATCAACAGAATTAAAAACAGAAATCACATGATCATCTCAATAGATGCAGAAGAAGTATTTGACAAAATCCAGCATCACTTTATGATTAGAACTCTCAGCAAAATTGGCACACAAGGAACATACCTCAGTGTAACATAAGCCATCTATGACAAACACACAGCCAACATAATACTGAATGAGGAAAAGTTGAAAGCATTCCCCTGAGAACTGGAACAAGACAAGGATGCCCACTTTTTTATTATTTATTTTTTTTTTTGAGTCAAGGTCTCACTCTGTTGCCCAGGCTGGAGTGCAGTGGCACCATCTCAATTCACTGCAACCATCTCAATTCACTGCAACTTCTGCCTTCCAGGTTCAAGTGATTCTCCTGCCTCAGGAGGGATTCTCCTGATTAGGTGGGATTAGAGGCACCTGCCACCATGTCTGGTAAATTTTTGTATTTTTAGTAGAGGTGGAATTTCACCATGTTGGCTAGGCTGGTCTCGAACTACTGGCCTCAAGTGATCTGCCCGTCTTGGCCTCCCAAAGTGCTGGGATTACAGGCATGAGCACCAGGCCCAGCTGGATGCCCACTCTTACCACTTCTATTCAACATAGCACTGGAAAGCCCTAGCCAGAACAATCAGACAAGAGAAGGAAATAAAGGGCATCCAAATCGGTAAACAGGAAGTCAAACTGTTGCCATTTGCTGATGATATGATCATATACCTAGAAAACTCTACAGATTCCTCCAAAAAGCTCTCAGAACTGGTA
This sequence comes from Homo sapiens, assembly GCF_000001405.40. NCBI lineage: Eukaryota > Metazoa > Chordata > Mammalia > Primates > Hominidae > Homo > Homo sapiens. The sequence goes on from NC_000009.12 coordinate 70,740,107, forward strand.
AATGAATTAAGCAAAGTTTCAAGATACAAAATTAATGTACACAAATCAGTAGCTCTGCCATACACCATCAACGACCAAGCTGAGAATAAAATCAAGTGCTCAACCCTTTTCACAATGGCTGTCAAAAAAATAAAATACTTAGGAATATACCTAATCAAGGAAGTGAAAGACTTCTACAACAAAACTACAAAACACCGCTGAAAGAAATCATAGATGACACAAAAACATAGGAACACATCCTATGCTTATAAATAGGTAGAATCAATATTGTGAAAATGAACATACTGCCAAAAGCAGTCTAAAGCAGCCTAAAAATTCAATGCAATTCCCATTGCATACCACCATCATTCTTCACAGACCTAGAAAAAACAATCTTAAAATTCATGTGGAATGAAAAAAGAGCTTGCATAGCCAAGGCAAGACTAAGCAAAAAGAACAAATCTGGAGGCATCACATTACCTGACTTCAAACTATACTCTAATGCCATAGTCACCAAAACAGCATGGTACTGGCATAAAAATGGCACATAAACCAATGGAACATGATAGAGAACCCAGAAATAAAGCCAATTGATCTTTAACAAAGCAAACAAAAGCATAAAATGGGGAAAGGACATTCTATTCAACAAATGATGATGGGATAATTGGCAATCACATGTAGAAGAATGAAACTGGATTCTCATCTCTTACCTTATACAAAAATCAACTCAAGATGAATCAAGGACTTAAATCTCAGACCTGAAACCACAACAGTTCTAGGAGATAACATCGGAAAAACCCTTCTAGACATTGGCTCAGGCAAAGACTTCACGACAAGAACACGAAAGCAAATGCAACAAAAACAAAGATGAATAGATGGGACTTAAACTAAAAAGCTTTTGCACAGCAAAACAAACAATCAGCAGAGTAAACAGACAACCCACACAGTGGGAGAAAATCTTTGCAGTTTATACATCTGACAAAGGACTAATATCCAGAATCTACAAGAAACTCAAACAAATCAGCAAGGAAAAAACAAACAATCCCATCAAAAAGTGGACTATGGACATGAATATACAATTCTCGAAAGAAGATATACAAATGACCACCAACACATATGAAAAAATGCTCAGCATCACTAATTAAAAGGGAAATGCAAATCAAAACCACAATGCAATACCACCTTACTCCTGCCAGAATGGCCAAAATCAAGATTTTAAAAAAATAGATTTTGACAGGGATGTGGTGAAAACAGAACACTCTTAACACTGTTTTAACACTGTTGGTGGGAATGTAATCTAGTACAACCACTATGAAAAACACTGTGGATATTCCTTAAAGAACTAAAAGTAGAACTACTATTTGATCCAGGAATCACACTACTGGGTATCTACCCAGATGAAAAGTCATTATACAAAAAAAGATACCTGCACATGCATCTTTTTAGCAGCACAATTTGCAATTGTGAAAATATTGAACCAGCCCAAATGTCCATCAATCAACAAGTGGACAAAGAAATCGTGGTATATGTATATATATCACAGAACGCTACTCAGCCATAGAAAGGAATGGAATGATGGCATTCATAGCAACCTGTATGGAATTGGAGACCATTATTCTAAGTGAAGTAACTCAGGAATGGAAAACAAAACATCTTACATTCTCTCTCATAACTGGGAGCTAAGCTGTGAGGATGCAAAAACGTAAGAATGATACAACGGACTTTGGGTACTTGGGGAAAGGGTGGGAAGGGGGTGAGGGATAAAAGGCTATACATTGGATACAGTGTACACTGCCCGGGTGATGGGTGCACCAAAATCTCACAAATCACCACTAAAGAACATATTCATGTAACCAAACACCATCTGTTCCCCCAAAAACCTATTGAAATAAGAAAGAAAACAACAACAAAAATATATGTGGCTTAAGCCTGCACCTGACTTTCCTTTTGTTTTTTAAAGTTTTTTAATTTTTTAAAATAAATAAATTTCTGAAAAGTTATGACCTATTACTTGTTCATTAAGACCACATTTTAATGACATAGGAACATAATTATGTATGTTATTAAGTGAAAAATTCAGGATATAAACATATATGTAAACAATATCTCAATTATATACAAATTAGTATAGAAAAAATGGAAAATGCACCAAAGTTATAATCATGATTATTTACCTTTCTCATGTGTTTATTTATTTTCTATATTTCTACAATGAAAATTTTTTTAAAAATAGATATATAACTACATATTTATGGGATACATAATGATGTTTTGATATATATAATGTATAGTGATCAGATCAGGGTAATTAGCATATCCATCACATCAAATATTTATCATTGCTCTGTGTTGGGAACATTCAATGTCCTCCTTCTAGCTGTTTGAACTATGTGTTATTAACCAGTTATCCTCCAGCGGTATAGAACACTAGAACTTATTCCCCCTACCTAACTGTGATTTTGTATCCTTTAACAAATCTCTCTCTATCCTTCCCTTAAAACATTTTTATAATTAGAAAAATAATGCAATTATTATTAGTATTAATTTAAGGAAGGTTAAGGCTTATGTTCTATTTTTGCTGTCTGGAGCTGTGTAGACTTAGACAAATCTCACAGCATCTTTGAGTTTGAGGTCACCACAAATAACACATACATAGTAACAGTTGTCCTGCCTACCATGAGAGGTTATTTTGATGATGAAATCTGAGAGATAATAGACTTGATGAGGCTTTATCAGTTGTAGTCATTCCACACATGTATTATAATCTTCTTCCTAAATCAAGTTCCATTCCTGGGCTTCCCTGTATTGCTCAGTGGAACTATCATTCTTGACCACTATCTTTCCTTAGCCACCACAATCAATCACCAATTCCTTTGAGAGAAACTATTTTTCATTGTGGATTTCTGGGAAGAGATCATGAATGAGGCAGCCTTCACACTATATCTGGAGGGTGGATAGAGATGGAGAATTATAGGGAGAGGACATTTTGACACAGAGAACACTATGAACAAAGTCACACAGGTGGGATATTCACAGATTTTTCAAAAAGTACATTTGGTTAGACTAGAGTACAAGTAGTACTTCGAGTTGTGGCTGGAAGGATAGACTAAGTCTGGATCACGGAGGGTCTTGAATGTCTGGCTAAGGAACTGAAACTTAATTCTGAAGGCTAGTATGTTCCAACCTACAGTCATGCTTGTATAATCTTCACCTTTTTGTCATATTGATATACCAACACTACAAGTAGATATTTTTCTTCAAATTAATTCCCCTTTGAAACTTTTATTTATTTAGGTCTAATACCCTTGGCTTTGTGTTTTATTATAATTATTTCATATATATGCAAATGAAAACATATCTCGGAAAACAAAAAGATGAATTTACATTCCACCTAAAATGATCTCCTATGCAATCAGTGATAGCCATTCCTTACCTTGGGAAGCACAGCGAGGGTAATGTGGGTTTCCGATTGGGTGGGAGGTTACATTATGAGAGTTGCTCCTTAATGGGAGTCATCCAGCTGTCCTGTTTCAACTGGAATGGAGAGACTAGGGGGCACTGAGGTCAGCCAGGGATGGGTAGTTTAGGCAGGCCTGGTGAGATTCTGCCTAGGGATGCAGAGTGGAAATGCAGAGTAGGTGTGAGATGTACTCCTCCAGTCTCTAGGAAGACCTTCCTAGAGTTAGAACTCAAACTACCAATTGTCATGCAAATTATTTAGTAAGTAAGCTATTAAAAGGAATAAAATAATACAATAATATTTTATTTTTATTTAATTGATTGTATTACTTTCATTAATTTTTCTCAGTAAAAGAGAGTAGTTATATTTTTCCACTGCCTCTAATCTACCAATATTTTTTGAGGAATATGGCTGAAAAAGGCCAGAGGTATTAAAATTCTATGTGTGTTCATTGGTTATGAGAGAGAATTTGAGGCTTGGCTAGTGGGATTGAAAATCAAATGGGGCCGGGCACAGTGGCTCACGTAATCCCAGCTCTTTGGGAGGCCAAGGTGGGTGAATCACCCGAGGTCAGGAGTTCGAGACCAGCCTGGACAACATGGTGAAACCCCGTCTCTACTAAAAATACAAAAATGAGCTGGGCATGGTGGTGGGTGCCTGTAATTCCAGCTACTTGGGAGGCTGAGGCAGAAGAATCACTTGAACCTGGGAGGCAGAGGTGGCAGTGAGCTGAGATCATGCCACTGCACCTCAGCCTGGGTGACAAGAGCAAAATCTCTGTCTCAAAAAAAAAAAAGTAAAAAGAAAAAAGAGAAAGAAAAAGAAAATCAAATGGATATTTGCTCTTCATTTGTATAGTCTTCCCCAATCTGTTTCATTGTTCTGATGAGCTAGCATAATTCTTGTCTCATTGTTATGCAGCTCAAATGACACAAGGAATGGAACAGAGCTTTATACACTATAAGCATTATTACACATCAGTAGATGAAAGGTGTTATTATTATTATTATTGGCTGTTTTGGAATGGAATTGTGTAAATTACATTTTCTTGATATTTGTTTTTCACGTCAATGAATATTTTGTGAGACTACAGGGTGGTCTGGACACTGTGCCTTCATTTTCCTTGTAAATATAATGACTGGTATATAGGGGCAGAAGGTATTCCAAGAATACCAGCCAACAAAATGGTCTTTTCTTTCCATGTGAATCTCACAGTTTAATATTCATTCAGATTGTTCTGGGAATAAAGAGAAAATGGGCTCCTACTTTACCGTCATTTTAACTTGATCATACTTAATAATTAGAATATTGAATCAGATGAAAAAAGGTAGAAAGAGCCCAGGATTTGCAGAAAGATGCTCTTGGTTTAAGTACAAAGTTGCTACTAACTAAACAAGCTTGAACTTGTAACTTATTGTCTTTGAGTCTTGGTTTCTCTCTGTAAAATGGAGATACTAATACCGACCTCAGCAAGGTTGATTTTTGTATCAAACAAGATAACATGAAAATGATCTGTGCTAAACATAAAGTGCTATATAGACATCATCATCACCATTGTTACAATAAAAATATTTATTGAGTGCTTATTGTTTTTTGCATATGTTAACTCATTTAATCCTTATAAGTAATGACATAATATTGGTATTATTATTATCTAAATTTTCTGGAGGTGAAAACTAAGACATACGGAGGTTAAATAACTTGCCCAGTATTGTATATTAAATGGCAGATCTGGGATTTGAATCAGGCAAATTGACTATAAAGACTGCATCAACCTTATTTCTAAAATAATGATATTCTAATAATTTAAAAGAGTTTCAGAACCTCAAAAATTTATCAGTGACCCACTGTATGTTGAAAACTCATACGGAAAACATTTTGAGTTGAAAAATTCTTCCTCTTTATCTTCTTTCCACTATTTTATTTAAAATGTTTGGACTTGAATTATGTTATTAAGATGATATTCAGATAACATTTAAAAGGAGTTTTGGTACAATTCAGTATCTATCTCAAAGAACATTTCAATTTCTCCCCAAACATTATGTTGGAGAAAAAACTTTTCTAAACTTGATGCATGACTCTATGACTTTGAGCCATTTGGTGTAAAAAAGTCCCTTCCCATCTATAAAAGGCTTGATTCCTCTTATGACTATAAGTAGGCCAATTGAGCTTGTTTTGTCATTGGTGTTAAACAGGGAAGGCATTGGCTTGCTTCTTTCTTATCATCTGGGAAATTATATATGCTTCCTCTTAATTGTACCCTGTCCACTAAAATGATCAAGAAGGGAAGATGGAACCTGAAGATGAAATCGAAAGTCCTGAAGTCAAAGTATGCCCTACTGACAATTTTAACTAAGACTGGATAAAATATGAGAGGAACAAGAAACATCTGTGTTTATAATCTAATGAGTCCCTGTAGTTATATGTAGAATAATTGTAGTTACAGTTAACAATTACTGAGTGCTTCCTAGGAGCCACACACTGTGCCAACATTCTTTACACATCAGAGTTAAATACTTAGCTCTCCCAGCAACAGGGTGTTGGGTACTGACAATTCTGAGGAGTAAATCCTATGTGGTGCTGACACCCTGACCTGACAAGTAACACTGACCATCTCCTGCTTATGGTAGTAAGAGACTACCATTTTTCTAAGCAAGAAACATCTTCGACTTTTTGTTCCTTTCTCAGATACAGACAGGATGCCCATTTGAAAAACAAAAACAGAGAGAGAGAGAGAGAGAGAGAGATGAAACTTATTTAAAAATCATGCTTGCTTGGTTTTTATGAGTCTATTAAGGGGTAGGTAGATAGTTGGCCTTCAGTTTCCTAAATGTGGAAAGAGAGTTGTCATTGGATGCCAACATCAGCTTCACACATACTCTCATAAACATAATAAATCTCCTTGTACTGGGAGGTAGTGGAGTTGGCCTCCAGAGACTTATCTGTAAGGCACAGACAATAGCCCTCTGCTGTCTTCTCCAGTGTCTAAGGGAAAGTCGTCAGCTCTGTAGCCTGAGGGCCTGCAGAGAATGGGAAGCCATGTAACATTGGGATACTTCTTGGCCTTGCAATTGGTAGGGGATACAGGGCATGTGCAACCCTTGGATCAAAATCTTCTGGTATAACTATATTTATCACATTGGGGTAAAAAAAAATCAAACCATTGTTTCAACCAAAAGGAGGAAGCCCCAAGTATGATAGATTCCAGAACACATGGGAATTATCACTCTATTTTAAAGCTGAGGATCCCAGGGCTCAATGCAGGTTAAGCTACTTGAGTGATGAAGGCAGAGTTGGAATCCAGGTTTGTCTGCTTCTAGTACTTGGTTACAATTGCCACATTAGATTGCTTCCCATGGGTTGCACAATTTAAGTGGATGGGCCTGGATCAAATCCAAGCCCATAAACCAAATTTATGACTCCCTAAGGAGCTGTGCCTCTGTGTTAGTAGAGATTTTAACAAAATTTATAGATACTGAATATGTATCAGCCCCATTAATGTATATACATCTGAATTCATTCATTCATTCACTCACTTATTTGTTAAAGATTTATTGAGTGTCTGCTATATATATGCTATGATATTAAGCACAACTAGGCAAAAGTGAGTACAAGAGAAACATAGAATAATGAATCAGACAGATTCTGCTCTTAAGAGCTTGCATGGGAAGTTAGAGATATACATAAATAAAGTATAAATGACAAGCACAAGAAAGTTACAAATAAAGGAGGCAAATGGATTCCAGGTGTGTGTGTGTGTGTACACATGCAAATGCAGACATGTGCACGGGTTTGGTAATTGAATATGACTAAAGAGAGTGCTCTAAGCTTGAACAATATCAGGGAAATAGAAAATTTAAAAATGACTGTAAGGAGATCTGTTTGGTTAGTGTGATGAATCCATAAAGAAGCAATGGAATTTTGGACTGAAACTGCAGGCAAAACATTCTACTTTACGTTCAAAAGAGTGATATGATTGGTTCTGTGCTTCAACAAGGGCTATCAGGCATTTCTATGGCAAGGGGCCAGCAAACCACTGCCTGTGGGTCAAATTTGTTTTATGGTCTGTTTTTCTGTGACCAGTAACCTGAGAATGATTTTTACATTTTAAAGGGTTGTTCAAAAACAAGAAAGCAAACAAAGAACAGTATGTGACAGAGACTGTATCTGGTATGCAAAACTTGAAATACTTACTATCTGCCACTTTACAGAAAAGTTTGCCAACCCCTGCAGTGTGTAGGATGCATTGTTAGGGGGATATTGGACTAGGCGACCAAGTTCATAGGGAATAGCAATAGTCTAGGCAAGGAAGAATGAGGGTATGAGTGAGAGTGGAACTTGGAAATGCAGGAGCCAGGGGAAAGCAAGGCTAGATATTTGTGCATTTGGGAATTATCTTGATTAAAATGGTAATTGAAGTCACAATAGTGAATGAAAGGGAAAAGAGCCAATAATTGATCATAGTTAAACATTTATTTTTAGAGTGGTGAGGAAGAAGAGGATCTAACAATGGAAAAAGAAAACAAATGGTAACAGAAGTGTTAAAGAAACAGAAAATTGAGAGTCTAACATGAAATTCACAGGAAAGTAACTTTAAGAAGAAAGAGGAAGTTGATAGCCTCAAATGCTATAGAAAATTTACTAAAAAGGTTGCAAAAGTTATGGCCTAATATCTTTGCTTCCATTTATTCCATTAGCACAATTTGTAAGTCCTTGGCTTTTGCTTGCCTTATGCTGCCCTGCCCAAGAGAGAATGTGGTGTTAATGAGGTATTAGAGCCATAGCTGCCAGGGTACAACAGTGACCTAGCCCTTAAGTTTAGCTTCTCATGTTGTATGTCTATTATGTTCTAAATAAAGGTAGATGCCAAGTCTCTTCTAACTCTCCTCAAAGTACTTCTTCTCCATGTCAACTGGTGGATATGTGATTGCTAGGATTTGAATATTTGTGTCTCCTTCAAATTCATATTGACTCTTAATCACCAAGATGATAGTATTAGGAGGTGGGGCCTTTGAGAAGTGATTAGGTCCTGAGGTCTTTGCCCTGATGAATGGGATTAGTGCCCTTACGAAAAAGGCCTGAGGAAGCTTGCTTGCCCCCTCCACCACATGAAGATGCAGCAAGAATGTACCATTTACGAGAAAGTGGGCCCTAACCAGATACTGAATCTGCCAGAGTCTTGATCTTGGACTGTCCAGCCTCCAGAACTGTGAACAATAAATCTCTGTTGTTTATAAACTACCTAGATTATGGTATTTCATTATAGCAGCCTGAACAGACTAAAACAATGGTCCCTGGAGACTTCTTGACTGACGAGGGTTAAGAAAAAATTAGTTTATTTTGTTTTTTATTTTTTTGAGACAGGGTCTTGCTCTGTCCCCTGGGCTGGAGTGCAGTGGTGTGATCTCAGCTCACTGCAGCCCCAAACTCCCAGGCTTAAGAGATTTAGCTAGAACTCCGGTTGCATGCCAACACAACCAGTTCATTTCTGTATTTTTTTTGTGGAGATAGGGTTTTGCTATGTTGCCTAGGCTGGTCTCAAACTCCTGGGCTCAAGTGATCCACACTTCTCAGCCTCCCATTACTAATATACAGTCCCAATGTCCTGGGACTATGGGCATGAGCCACTGTGTCCAGACAAAAGTTGGTTTATTTTCATTCTTGTGTATCCTGAATTGATGTACTGAATAAACAGACTTAGTACTCTAGTATGCAATGTTTGCTTCTTGATTTTAGAATCATTATTGCAAATGAGAACCAGCTGTAGGGAAGTAGGAAGTCCATGTTACCATACTATAAAGTCTGCGAGGTACATTACAAAAACCCCCAAGATATAGTCTAGGAATTAAGACGTTAAAGTAATTTTACCACTTAAATTATGATTAGAAAGCTATTTTTTTTCTTTTTACATTCAGGCCATGAGTGCACCAATAAATACTCAATAACTAGCACAAATCCAAAATAAGCCATTGGACAACTATCTTATTTTGGAAACTATAGGGCAGAGTTAAGAAATAGTAAATAACATCCTGCTTATTAAAATTGTTAAAGCAATTTACCAAAAACTGTGTAGTAATAAAGTCAGAAAACTGAAATGTGCTCTAGGTTCTGAGATAAGAAGAATAAAAGTCAGATTATTTCCTATATTTCATAAACAAGTAGTACTAAAATGAAGTCATCCTGGAGAAGGCAACAAATTGGTATAAAGTTATTCGTGCTTTATTTAATTTTTATCTTCTAACATAATTAAATATGAGCTAACATTTCACCTTTATGGAAAAAGAAGTCTGGCATATGAATATTTCATTTGGTAAGAGAAGCATAATGGATAAAGTCCATTTGACCCAGATGTAGATTCAATGGCTAATTATTGAAATCTCTCTTCCTTTCTCTTTCTTGACAGTCACTGCATGTATCTCATTTAAAATAATTACTATTTAATCTGGGTTGTGATAACCAACTAATTCTAGCAGAGGTTACGCACATCATAAATAGTGTCAGGGTCCCTACAGAAGCAACGATATATAACAGCTTTCACCAACACGCAGCTTAGACATAGGCTACTAGGCTGTACTGTAAGATTGTACTATGCATTTTTCTGTTGAAAATCAGAGTAAGCAGTTGTGAGATGTCATAGCTGGATGCTCGCAGTTTCATGTGATCATGGAAGTGGAAATGGCAGCAGAAGAGAATCTTTTCCCAGATGAAAGAAAGTATGGGAGTTTGGAAAGCCTAAATTATAGGCTGGGAAACAGGGTGGTAAAAAGAAGTAATTGAAGTGTGGGGATTCATCCAGACTGCATTCAGACTGTGGAGGGCCTCAAAGCCACATTAAATAGTTTGGACACTTGTTAGTAGCAAAAGCAAGTCCTTGAAACTATCTGAGCAAATAAGTTAACAAGTCAGGCCTGGGCCTCAAGCATCAAGCCTGGAGGAGTGTTTGGAATAGCTTGGAGGACAGACAACAAGGTTTCCTTTCTGGGACTAGGTAGGAACACAGAGTAATGGCCCTGGTGAAGAAAACTGAGGCTCAGAATGAGGATGATGGCACTGGAATCGAAGTAGAGCAGGCAGATGTGAGAGACACTGCCGAAAGAAACTCAGAATAACTTGGCCACAATTGGCTGGTGGCGGTGGCAATGAGGATAGGGGAACTGAAGCTTTCAAGACTGAGAAAATGAAACGAGAATTGGAAGGGGAAACATTGTGGAGATGTAGGGCTGGGAAGCACTGGAGGATGTTGGATAGGCTGATTTTGTTTCTGGACATGTAGAACTTGAAGTAATGACGAGACAACCAGGTGAGACATCCAAGCGCAAGCTGTAAGTATGGTTGGAGAGATTGAGAGAGCAAGGTTAAGGCCAGAAATAGTTTTGTGAATAATCTCCAATGAGGTTGTTGGTGAAGCCAACAGGAGATGTATGATATTACCAAGAAAAAAAAAAAAGGTCTTATAAGGAAATACCTAAATGAGACTTAGCAATTGAGACTATCTTACTGAATAAATGAATGAAATTTAAAATGTATTCAGGGTAATTAGCACAGAATACATGCAATTAGACTAATTTACCACTAAAAATAGAGCATCTAATATGACGTTAAAAACAAAAGCTATATATAATTTTTAAGAAACTCATCTAACATATAGGGTGCAGAAAAGCTGAAAATAAAAGGAGAAAAAGCATGAAAATGTCCTATATTGGGAAAGTACGAACTAAAAGAAGTTGATGTAAGTGGATTAATATCAGATGAAATGAAATGCAAGACAAAGCATTGTCAGGAATAAACAAAGTCTCTGAATAATGATAGAAAAATATTTCACCAGGAAATATAGCTAGTCTAAAAACTTATAAGCCTAACAACATCATCTCAAAATACATAAAGCAAAAATTTGACAGAATTTTAAAGAGAAATTGACACAATCTCCCATGATAGGAGACTTAAAATTACTTCTTCAAAAAATGACACAAAGAACAAAAGGACTGAGAAAAAAGAAGTTTCAGGTAATGTCCACATTATGGATGAAAGTAATGAGAAACGTAAGGAAAAGAGGAGGAGAAACAGAAAAGTTGGAGGACTAGCAGAAAAGTACAATGTCATTGAAATTTTAGGAAGGTAGAAAAGACAGAAGTAGAACCCAATGCAGAGGGAGTAATAGAGTTACTGTTCAAGAAATGTACATTTTCTAGAGAAAAAATTATGGAGGAAATGCAAAGTGATGGGATGTGTTGCCTGTTTAGAGAATGACTGTAGAGAAGAAGAGGGGCACTACTTCCTCTGATACTACATAGAAAAAAAAGGCATGGCTCAAGATATAGTCACACTGGGATAAAGGAGAAGAAAGTAGAGGAGCTTACATTTATGACCTTTGATTTCCTTTAAGGAGGAGTCTTCTGTTGAGCATGAGGAGAATGAATCTTTAATTTCAATGCAGTTTCAATCCACATCTCAACAGTGTGTGTGTGTGTGTGTGTGTGTGTGTGTGTGTGTGTGTGTGTGTGTGTGCGCGCGCGCGCGCATACACATGTACATGCAACCTGAAAGGCTGAGTTTAAAATTTATCTATAAGAGCAAAGGGCTAAAATAGTTGGCAACTCTGGAGAAGTGTCACAAGGAGTGTGACTTGCCCTATCATACATCAGGGCTTATTATAAAGTTACACTGATTAGAAAAATAGGGCACCAGGGAAGGACTAGACAAGTAGGGAAGCCAGAAAGGCTCATGTATAGGTGGAAACCTGCTTTATGAAAGAGCTGGCATTATGCGACATAAGGATGGACCATTAAATAAATGACGCAAGGTCAGCTAGTCATCTACATGGATCTCCACTTCATATCATACACAAAAAAAATCAGTTATGGATGGGTTACAGGTTTAATGTTGAAGGTGAAACTAGACACATTTTAGTAGAATATATAGAAGAATATCTTTTTGATATTTTGGTAAAGAAGAGTTTATTAAACATGAGGCAAAAAGCACAAAACATAAAAAAGGCTGATACATTTAGCTGCAGTCATAGGCTGCATAATGACGTTTCAGTCAATGATGTATTGTGTATGTGACAGTGGTGCCATGAGATTATAATATTGTATTTTTATTGTATCTTTTTATCTTTAGATATGTTTAGATACACAAATACCTAACATTGTGTTACAGTTGCCTACAGTATTCAGAACTGTAATATGCCATTCAAATTTGTAGCCTAGGGACAAATAGGCTATACCATAGAACCTAGGTGTGTAGTAGGCTATGTTGTCTAGGTTTTTAGAATTACACTCTATGGGCTGGGAGTGGTGGCTCATGCCTGTACTCTCAGCACTTTGGCAGGCCGAGGTGGGCAGATCACCTGAGGTCAGGAGTTCAAGACCAGCCTGGCCAACATGGTGAAACCCCATCTCTACTAAAAGTACAAAAATTAGCTGAGTGTGGTGGTTGGCACTCCCAAAAGCTACTTGGGAGGCTGAGGCAGGAGAATTGCTTGAACTTGGGAGGTGGAGGTTGCAGTGAGCCGACATCACACCACTGCACTCCATCCTGGGCGACAGAGCAAGACTCTGTCTCAAAAAAAAGAAAAGAAATACACTATGATGTTCACACAACAATGAAATAGCCTAATGACACATTTCTCAGGATATATCCCCATTGTTAAGTAATGCCTGACTGTACATTAAATTTGAGAATTTCTATTTATCAAAGTACATCAAAAAAAGTGAAAAAACAAGCCCCAAACTGAGAAAATGTATCTGTAACACAACCAACAAAAGATTAGTATTTAACATATATAAAAAGAATAAGAGGAAGTGGCTGTGGTTTGAAACTTGGAAAGAATATAAAAGATTTAGAACAATGATTGTAGGGAATAGGAGAGCCTATTGACTAGAGATAAATACGAGGATTGGCTGGTGTTATTGAAAGCCTAATCCAATTAGACTGAATGACTCAGCTTTGGGAGTGGTACGAGAAGCATCAGGCACATAGAATAGAGTAATTGACAGGTGAGGGAACCCAGATGGGAGCAGGGAGGGTGGAAAGACATAGTGCAAACTCTCAACAAGGCACAAGGTAAAGAAAACTATTTTGAACATGTTTTTACACAGATTGCTTGAGGCGTTTGATCTCAGGCTCGTGAACAGAGAAGCCTGGCATCCAGGTTCAGGTTCAATATGAATGAAGTGGTGGGAGGGGGGAGGTAGGGCAGTTATCTTTGGAGTGGGGAGTAGATTTTAAAGTCTTAGATTTTGGAGCAGCAAGGCTTTGAGTGGAGGCATGATTCCCAGGTGTGACTGGGAAGAAATGGAAAGATGAACTGATTGGACGCTAGGAGGTCTGGCCGCTGTCAGGGGAGTAGAGTGAATGATAGGACTCACCAGTGTGGAAGCAGAAGGTGGTGAACTAGGAGCAGGGCTGGTGTTGTCATCACCATGACTTGTTTAGGGCCACACAACCATGGGGCTTACAATGCCAAGTCTAAGTGGTCCTCCTACACTCCAGGGTATCAAAAGCAAATGTACTGCCCCAGTCTGGGGTTGGTGGTTTGGCAGTGGCGATAGAGGAAGGCTTCTGCAGGAGCTCAGAGGACAGACAGGAGCTCCAGGAGGCAGCAGCAGAAAAGGAGCTGGCACTGCCCTCTGGAACATAAGGCTCTTGGTTTCTATGCACATAATCAGCCTCACTGTGTGCATGGTCACCTGTGTCCCCTTTTCCTGGTCTTGATATTCTTTATGACCAAACCCCTCTTGAGGAGGAAGATAATAGAGAGACATCTGATCTGTGACATCTGTTCCCCAATGAATATGTTGCAGATAGTCTTTATCTCTTTAATTTCTATTCTTTACCTGAAAACAATGATAGAACTTAGGTTATAGGTTGATTTCTAGAAGGACCTATCTTTTTTAAAGGGGACAGGTTTTGAGTAAGCAGAGGAGTGAATTACTTCAAGATCTATATGAAATGAGCAGAAAGTACAGCAGTATCTGTGTGAAGATGTCGTGAGGGGCTGCCCCACCTAGCTTGAAATTGCAGGCCCAGGGAATATTTTTCATGAGGCCACAGCACCCAGAGGCCCATCCATAGTGCAGGCTTTATTATGTAAGTCAGTTAAGTGCTGGGATGAGAAAGATATCACATCAACTCTAGAACCAAATAGCTTAGCCAAACTTGGCAACGGTTAGACTGGCCTCATAATATTATACCCCATATAGTTTGTAAGGGGAATCAAAAGAAACTTGAAGGATACAAGAGAAAAGAGAAACTCTATGACGATGCAATGCCTCCTTGTTTTGTGTGCTATGCTATGGAGCCTAATGAGTAGAAAACACGGGGTCTGCAGCAAGACAGTCCTAGCTTGGCTCTTCCTGGCTCTGTACATCTCCCCACCTCTCTTAGCCTCAGTTCCTTTCCTTGTCTCTGCAAGAGGAGAAAACAATGCCTACTTTGTGTCTACCTTATTTTCAAGGCATCTGGTACCGTCCATGTACATAAGTAGTCCCTCAAAATTTGAAATTATAGTTATACTGTAATTTTGATTTAAAAATTTCTAACTTATTTTTGCCCGGATGTGGAGATAAATTGTTGCTTCTTAAGAACACACAGGCCAACATTCAAATTTAGGAAATACAGAGAACACCACAAAGATACTCCTCAAGAAGAGCAACCACAAGACACATAATTGTCAGATTCACCAAGGTTGAAATGAAGGAAAAAATGTTAAGGGCAGCCAGAAAGAAAGGTCAGGTTACCCACAAAGGGAAGCCCATCAGACTAACAGAAGATCTCTCCGCAGAAACCCTACAAGTCAGAAGAGAATGGGGGCCAATATTCAACATTCTTTTTTTTTTTTTTGGAGATGGAGTTTCGCTCTTGTTGCCCAGGCTGGAGTGCAATGGCATGATCTTGGCTCACTGCAACCTCTGCCTCCCAGGTTCAAGCAATTCTCCTGCCTCAGCCTCCTGAGTAGCTGGGATTACAGGCATGCACCACCATGCCCGGCTAATTTTGTATTTTTAGTAGAGACGGGGTTTCTTCATGTTGAGGCTGGTCTCGAACTCCTGACCTCAGGTGATCCGCCTGCCTCGGCCTCCCAAAGTGCTGGGATTACAGGTGTGAGCCACCAGACCCGGCCATCGACATTCTTAAAGAAAAGAATTTTCAACCCAGAATTTCATATCCAGCCAAACTAAGCTTCACAAGTGAAGAAGAAATAAAATCTTTTACAGACAAGCAAATGCTGGGAGATTTTGTCACCACCAGGCCTGCCTCACCAGAGCTCCTGAAGGAGGCGCTAAATATGGAAAGGAAAAACCAGTACTAGCCACTGCAAAAACATACCAAATTGTAAAGACCTATTGACACTATGAAGAAACTGCATTAACTAACGGGCAAAATAACCAGCTAGCATCATAATAACAGGATCAAATTCACATATAGCAACATTAACCTTAAATGTAAACAGGCTAAATGCCCCAATTAAAAGACACAAACTTTGAGACTCATCGGTATGCTGTATTCTGGAGACCTATCTCACATGCAAAGACACACATAGGCTCAAAATAAAGGGATGGAGGAATATTTACCAAGCAAATGGAAAGCAAACAAAACAAAACAAAACAAAAACAAACAAAAAAAACAAAAAAGCAGGGTTTATAATCCTAATCTCTGATAAAACAGACTTTAAACCAACCGAGACCGAAAAAACAAAGAAGGGCATTACATAATGGTAAAGGGATCAATGCAACAAGACAAGCTAACTATCCTAAATATATATGCACCCAATACAGGAGCACCCAGATTCATAAAGCAAGTTCTTAGAGACCTACAAAGAGACTTAGACTCCCACACAATAATAGTGGGAGATTTTAACACCCCCATTGTCAATATTAGACAGATCAATGAGATAAAAAAATAACAAGGATATTCATGACTTGAACTCACCTCTGGACCAAGCAGACCTAATAGACATCTACAGAACTTTCCACCCCAAATCAACAGAATGTACATTCTTCTCAGCACCGCATCACACTTATTCTAAAATTGGCCACATAATTGGAAATAAAACACTCCTCAGGAAACTCAAAAGAACGGAAACCAACAGTCTCTCAGACCACAGTGCAGTCAAATTAGAACTCAGGATTAAAGAACTCACTCAAACCATACAACTACATGGAAACTGAACAACCTGCTCCTGAACGACTACTGGGTAAATAATGAAATTAAGGCAGAAATAAACAAGTTCTTTGAAACCAGTAAGAACAAAGACACAACGTACCAGAATCTCTGGGACACAGCTAAAGCAGTGTTTAGAGGTAAATATGTAGCACTAAATGCCCACAGGAGAAAGTGGAAAAGATCTAAAATCGACACCCTAACATCGCAATTAAAAGAACCAGAGAAGCAAGAGCAAACAAATTCAAAAGCTAGCAGAAGACAAGAAATAACTAAGATCAGAGCAGAACTGAAGGAGATAGAGACACGAAAAACACTTCAAAAAAATCAATGAATCCAGGAGGTGGTTTTTCTGAAATGATCAACAAAATAGACTGCTAGACAGACTAATAAAGAAGAAAAGAGAGAAGAATCGAATAGACACAATAAAAATGATAAAGGGGATATCACCACTGATCCCACAGATGTACAAACTACCATCAGAGAATACTATAAACACATCTATGCAAATAAACTAGAAAATATAGAAGAAATGGATAAATTCCTGGACACATACGCCCTCCCAAGACTAAACCAGGAAGAAGTCAAATCCCTGAATAGACCAAAAACAAGTTCTGAAATTGAGGCAGTAATTAATAGCCTACCAACCAATAAAAGCCCAGGGCCAGATGAATTCACAGCCAAATTCTACCAGAGGTACAAAGAGGAGCTGGTACCATTCCTTCTGAATCTATTCCAAAAAATAGAAAAAGAGGGACTCCTCTATAACTCGTTTTATGAAGCCAGCATCATCCTGATACCAAAACCTGGCAGAGACACAACAACAAAAAAGGAAAATTTCAGGCCAATATCCCTGATGAACATCAGTGAGAAAATCCTCAATAAAATACTGGCAAATCAAATCCAGCAGCACATCAGAAAGCTTATCCACCACGATAAAGTCAGCTTCATCCCTGGTCTGGTTCAACATATGCATATCAATAAACATAATCCAACACATAAACAGAACCAATGACAAAAACCACATGATTATCTCAATAGATGCAGAAAAGGGCTTTGATAAAATTTAACACCCCTTCATGCTAAAAACTCTCAGTAAACTAGGTATTGATAGAATGTATCTCAAAATAATAAAAGCTATTTATGACAAACCCACAGCCAATATCATACTGAATGTGCAAAAGCTGGAAGCATTCCCTTTGAGAACTGGCACAAGACAGGGATGCCCTCTCTCACCACTCCTATTCAACATAGTATTGGAAGTTCTGGCCAGGTCAATTGGGCAAGAGAAAGAAATAAAGCGTATTCAAATAGGAAGAGAGGAAGTCAAATTGTCTGTGTTTGTACATGACATGATTGTATGTTTAGAAAACCCCATCGTCTCAGCCCAAAATCTCCTTAAGCTGATAAGCAACTTCAGCAAAGTCTCAGGATTCAAAATCAATGTGCAAAAATCACAAGCATCCCTATATAACAATAACAGACAAACAGAGAGCCAAATCATGAGTGAACTCCTATTCACAATTGCTACAAAGAGAATAAAATACCTAGGAATCCAACTTACAAGGGATGTGAAGGACCTATTCAAGGAGAACTACAAACCACTACTCAAGGAAATAAGAAAGGACACAAACAAATGGAAAAACATTCCATGCTCATGGATAGGAAGAATCAATATTGTGAAAATAGTCATACTGCCAAAAGTAATTTATAGATTTAATGCTATCCCCATCAAGCTACCATTGACTTTCTTCACAGAATTAGGAAAAACTACTTTTAATTTCATATGGAACCAAAAAAGAGCCCACATAGCCAAGACAATCCTAAGCAAAAAGAACAAAGCTGGAGGCATCACGCTACCTGGCTTCAAACTATACTGGGAGGCTACAGTAACCATAACAGCATGGTAGTGGTGCCAAAACAGATATATACACCACTGGAACAGAACAGAGGCCTCAGAAATAATGCCACAAATCTACAACGATCTGATCTTTGACAAACCTGACAAAAACAAGCAATGGGGAAAGGATTCCCTATTTAATAAATGGTGTTGGGAAAACTGGATAGCCATATGCAGAAAACTGAAACTGAACCCCTTCCTTACACCTTATACAAAAATCAATTCAAGATGGATTAAAGACTTAAATGTTGGACCTAAAACCATAAAAACCCTAGAAGAAAACCTAGGCAATACCATTCAGGACATAGGCATGGGCAAGGACTTCATGACTAAAACATCAAAAGCAATGGCAACACAAGCCAAAATTGACAAATGGGATCTAATCAAACTAAAGAGCTTCTGCATAGCAAAAGAAACTATCATCAGAATGAACAGACAACCTACAGAATGAGATAAAATTTTTGCAATCTATCCATCTGACAAAGGGCTAATATCCAGAATCTATACAAAACTTAAACACGTTTACAAGAAAAAAACAAACAACCCCGTCAAAAAGTGGGCAAAGGATATGAACAGACAATCCTCAAAAGAAGACACTTAACGCAGCTAACAAACATATGGAAAAAAGCTCATCATCACTGGTCATTAGAGAAATGCAAATCAAAACTACAATGAGATAGCATCTCACTCCAGTTAGAATGGCAATCATTAAAAAGTCAGGAAACAACAGATGCTGGAGAGGATGTGGAGAAATAGAAACACTTTTACACTGTTGGTGGGAGTGTATATTAGTTCAATCATTCTGGAAGACAGTGTGGCATTTCCTCAAGGATCTAGAACCAGAAATACCATTTGAACCAGCAATCCCATTACTGGGTATGTACCCAAAGGATTATAAATCATTCTACTATAAAGACACTTGCACAAGTATTTTTATTGCAGCACTGTTCACGATAGCAAAGACTTGGAACCAACCCAAATGCCCATCAGTGATAGACTGGATAAATAAATTGTGGCACATATACACCATGGAATACTATGCAGCCATAAAAAAGGATGAGTTCATGTCTTTTGCAGGGACATGGATGAAGCTGGAAACCATCATTCTCAGCAAACAAACACAAGAACAGAAAACAAAATACCACATGTTCTCACTCATAAGCTGGAGCTGAACAGTAAGAACACATGGACACAGGGAGGGTAACATCGCACACCAGGGCCTCTCAGGGGGTGGGGGGCTAGGGGAGGGATAGCATTAGGAGAAATATCTAATGTAGATGATGGGTTGATTGGTGCAGCACATGTATACCTATTTAACAAACCTGAATGTTCTACACAAGTATCCCAGAACTTAAAGTATAATTTTAAAAAATAATTTTTTTAAAGAAGAACTCATTTCCTGAGCCTGGAGCTAGGAATACCTCACATTTCTTATAACAAATAACTTGCATAAAATGCAGTTAACTTTTTCAGCAGAGACCACGATTAAACAACATGAAATTTAGGCAGAATTCTGCAAAAACAGTCCCATGAAATACCTAGAAAAGTTCATTCAGCCTCATTTGGTTTTATGACTTCCCACTGGTTCCTAGAATTTTGCTCCTAGCTGCCTTTCTAGCAAATTTGCAGGACTGCTGAAATGTATAGTCCTGGTAAGGTTTGTCAGTTAGAATTGGCCTCAGCATTGGAAAAGCATCAGTACTCAGAAGATAATCCCTACTGTGGCATGTAGAAGCTCAGGGCTTCAGTGCCTCCCTGGATAGAGGAAGTATTCGAGCTGCAACACCATGAGCTAACGACATCCGAGATGGGAGGATGTCACATGTGGGTGGTACCTTCGTGCGTAGTAGAGTTCTCCTGG
Organism: Homo sapiens; assembly: GCF_000001405.40. Taxonomy (NCBI): domain Eukaryota; kingdom Metazoa; phylum Chordata; class Mammalia; order Primates; family Hominidae; genus Homo; species Homo sapiens. The sequence goes on from NC_000009.12 coordinate 70,760,468, forward strand.
AATGACAGCAGCCATGACCGTGTGCCCCACCCGCTCGCTGGCTTCTATATATGGGGCAGCCAGACTGTGTACCTAGGTATTGTCCTATTCTTCTCATCTTCACTCATCTCATCCCAAACCTGGAAGCTGCTGAAAGGTTTCTCACAAAGGCTGTGTGGATGCTTTTTGGAGATGGGTCTTGCCCACTCTAATCAATTCCTTTTTTTTTTTTTTCTAAACATTTTGCTATCTCTCTCAGCAGTTGGGTTTAACTGACCTTTGAGAATAGTCTCTCTGGCTGAGGCCTGGGGGCATCTACCCAGAGTGGGTGATCCACTGCATTGGCTTCAGTGAGACACTTTCTGAATAAAAATACTCCATACAGAGGTTAAACATCACTGGTTTTGAGTCTTAGCTCCTCATTTACTAATCAAATGAGCCGGGTTTCCTCATCTGTAAGATGAGGGTAATAATTGTACCTCTCTCATCAGGACAGTTGCAAAGGTCATATGAGTTTATATGCATAAAGATCTTGCTCCCTGCTTGGCAGATAGCAAGTTCTTGTTAAATGTTTGAGTAAGCAGAGAACAAAATCACATGATTTTGTTCACCCTAGCAGGGTCTCTGATCATACCACATTTGTAAGACATTTTGCTCTGATTTTAGAAACACATTTTGCTCTGATTTTAGATTCCTCCAGGATTTCTTATGTTTCTCCGTTTTCTACCTGTACAGATTAGTGTAACAGCCTGGACCCTTTGTCATTAAAGCTATTTGACAGAAAGCACCTCAGTGGTTCATGACTTCCAAGCAAAATGAAATCCGAAACCTAAGAAGATCAAGCTGAAGCGTTCTCCAGGAGGGGACCAATTTTATCACTTCAACTCATTTTGTTGAGGCAGTCAGAGCGTTTGGATGAGCTCCAAAAGGAAATGATGCTAAAACTCTGCTGCACACACCTTATTAACTCGAAGGCAGTAAAAGCAGTGTCTTAGTTACTTAGGAGAGGAAGCTACTGGAGCCAATGGAGCCTGAGGAGAGCTGTAAGCTCGGCCAGAAAGAGAGAATGTTGCATGATTTGAGAAAATGTTGTGTGATTCAAGAAAATGACTGAAAATGTGGAGACAGCTGGCCACCCATGCGGAATTACCTACCAATTCCTTCTTCTTCATGCACTCCATGAGGATGATGAACAGATGCTGAGCTTGGGTTCGAGTGTATGTGAAAGTCTTCTGTATAGTCACCAACAGCTGGTCCCTCAAAGATTCATTTATCAGTCTGCAAGTAAAAACAATGTCAAAAGCAGGTCAACCAACTCCTATTCAGCAAGTATTTCTGAGAAATACAGAGCTCAAGAGGAAATAATGAGGGTTTACTTTAGATAGGAGTTATTTCTGTATTTTTCTCACAAAAGGTATCCCGCCTGTGATAATTTAAAAAGCAAGGCATTTAAAAATAAATCAATTTTACTCTCTCAGAAACCAACAGTCGAAAGATTGATTTACATATTTTAATTTTATTTTTCTGTTTTTCATATGGCATGTGTCTAATGCCCTTTTCCTCAAGTTTGCTTATCAAAAATTACCTTCAATTAACCATCTGCATCTTCTTGTTAAGAATTTGCTATAGTACTGTTCTTAACAGTACTATATAAATCTCCTAACAGTACTGCAGGAGATTTAAATTGCAGCGTCATGTCTAATTGTGGAAATAAAGACAGTATTTCATTAATAAGTTTTTGAACATCCATAAGCAGAAATAGGAATTATGTTTTCCCAAAAATCATTTCATGTAGGCAGCAGCCTGTCTGGCCTATGATTTAGGTATTCATTATTTACGTCAAGCTTTTGTTCTGTTACAGTGAACAGTAAGACAGTATAGTATTAGCTGCCTGATTAAAAGATACTTTTATGCTATAGAAGAATAAATGAAAACAGGAAAGAGGCATCATATCTAATCAATGCTCAATTATGTCTTAAATATGAATCAATCACAACTAATTTTTAACTTCTTTCTCATTACCCTGGTGAGAACAGGGCTTTCTCTACTAGCCATTAAATGGCAGGGATGGAAAACTCACTTTATTAATAACAGATACTATTTAAATTCAGGAAGACAAAACTGCTCTCAAGGACCAGTGGCAAAATTACCATAATTTACCTAGTATTTTACAGATTACAAATTGCTTTCATAATTAAAGTATCAGCAACTCCTAAATAAAATAGTAAAATAAATTATCTCAGTTGCTGATTACAGGAACTCTATAGACAAGGGATTTGTTCTATTTCACAGGCAGGACATTTTAGCCAGAAAGAGCCCAATGTTTAAGTTCACGCAACAAATAAGTGACAGAGTTATCAGAATCAGAACCTAGTTCTTCTGAATATTTGTCCAGGGCTCTTTCCACCACACCATGTTGCCTCTGTTTACACCAAGTGGATCACACCACTGCCTCTCTTCATCACTGTGGCTATTTGAGCAGGCAGTTGTGGAGTTTCCTTCAACATGAAAGCAAGAAAAACTTTATTGCTTAAAAGAAGGCAAGATGGGGAGCCAGAAGATGTCTTCTTATCAGTGACCTGCTGTGCTCCAGTTTATGTGAGGTTCATCTGAACTCACTAGGTTGGATATTATGATGGCCCTGCTTTGAGGAGGGTGGCATTCCTCATGACAGGACTATACCAACGATCCTGGAAGGTCACTCAGCTGGATGAAGGACTGGGTCACCCCTTCCCCCACTCCTACAAAGTGTATATTCTATATCAAGAATATACACATTTAGGCTGGGCACTGTGGCTCCCACCTGTAATCCTAGGACTTTGGGAAGCTGAGGCAGGTGGATCACCTGAGCCCAGGAGTTCGAGATCAGCCTTGGCAATACAGTGAGACTTTGTCTCTACAAAAAATTTAAAAAGTTAGTTGGGCATGGTGGTGCATGCCTGTAGTCCCAGCTACTTGAGATGCTGAGGTGGGAGGACCACTTCAGCCAGGGAGGCAGTGAGCCAAGATCACACCACTGCACTCCAGCCTGGGTGACAGGGCCAGAACCTGTCTAAAAAAAATTTATATTTAGAAAAAGAGGATGGTTGAAAAAAATAATGCCAAATCCTCTCTTAAGATTATCTTAATTATTCTGAATGATTCTGTGGTCTTAGCTGTGGACCAGATTGAAATCATTTATTCATTCATTCATTTGTTTAGTCATTCAACAAATGCATAGTGAATGTCTACTTAGTGCCACACACTAGGATGTGCCAGGAACAGAGGAGCTATATATGCACTCCCAGCCTTCAATGAGCTTATGCACCAGTGGAGTAGAAAGATGTGAATCAGCAATTCAACCATGATTGTCAGTGGAAAAGAAGTAAAGAAACTTGTGGCAAATGAATTTAATCTAATCTAAGGGGTTCAGGGAAGACTCTTCTGAGGAAGTGCTGTTTTATCTGAGACATGAATGAATGAGCATCGGCATAGTTGGGGTTGGTAGGGTTGGGTAAGAGAATTAACAGCAGACGAAATGGCATGAATGGGCCCAGTTTGGAAAAAATAAAAGGTCAGTATGGCTGGAGCTGAGAAAGCAAATTAAAGAGTGGAACAAAATAGGGCTGCAGAGGGAGTGAGCAGGAACAAGATCAATGGGGACTTCGAAGGTGACGTTATAGAGATTTTAGGTTTTATCCCCCAGACAATGAAAAGCCATTGAAAGATTTAAGCAGAAGGATGGCATGATCACATTTGTGTTGCCAATTAATTTTCTTGAAAAGTAAAGACATGCACACTCAGACCTAGGCATGTGTCTACCTGACAGGTAACCCAAGTGGATGAGTCTATAGAGCTCTTCAGTATCAAGCATCCATTGATGTTGTACATGATTAACAACAGAAAGGATTCTCCTGATTAGCCACTTGATAGATGTAATCATTCATCTGCAGGTGTTTAATTTTGATAACAACTCAAAATTTGTTTTCTACTACCAACCATCTGTAATGAAATCCCAGCTCCCCAAGGTCATTATCTGCATGAGGGATCTGTCTGACACTTGTATCCAATCTGTCACTTTCTAAAAATTGAGGAATGATGTGCAATTTAGCTGATTATGGGTTTCAGTGGTTAGGAAGCTGAAAGACAGTAAGAATCTTATCCTTTGAGCCCAATTTCCCAGTTGCTGAAGTTGTGGCTTTGGCTAGATCATTTAGTGACAAGAACCATAGAATTCTAGAAGTGGAAGGATTCTCTAAGGTGTTTTCCAAAGTGTGGGATACCTATTACAGGTGGAACAAAGGTGATTTGATCCATTCAAAGCATAAAGTTAAAGAAATTAAAATTAAATAACTGCCCTTTCTGATTCAGTTCTTTTTCCATCCTTCTGATTGCAACAAGAAGAAAATCTGATTTTTAGTGCTTTCCTGCCTTTAACAGCTCCCCAACACTTGTAGATCTCCCCTTTTAATGAAGAAAAGATATTAGGTCTCATGCCTTTGGCAAAAAGAGTTTAATAACATTGTTTTAAATAAGATCCCACAAAACATTTGATGTGTCTGTAGCACGTCATGGTTTAACATACACAATGGACTTCACAGATAATCTCATAACAATCTATGAGGCAAGTGGGATTAATTTCATTTTGCAGAAGAGAAAACTATGCCCTAAGGAGGTTAAATGATTTGTGCTAAGTCATACTGCTTGATTACCTCACTGTTTGAGTTGAGCCTATTGACTTCAGCCTTGCCCCATGGTGTTGCTCTTCCTGATTATATTCTAAGTCTTTCATAGTTTCCTAATCCGTATCAGGGATGATAAGGGGGAACACTAAATGAAGATAATCACAAAGTGCATTAAGTAGTTTGAAGGGTATATTTGCGGGCCGGGTTTGGTGGCTTATGCCTGTAATCCCAGCACTTTGGAAGCCAGAGGCGGGTGGATCACTTGAGGTCAGGAGTTCAAGGCCAGCCTGGCCAACATATTGAAACCCCACCTCTACTAAAAATTCAAAAATTAGCCAGGCATGGTGGCATGTGCCTGTAATCCCAGCTACTCAGAGGCTGAGGTGTGGGGATTGCTTGAGCCTAGGAGGCAGAAGTTGAAGTGAACTGAGATCACGCATCACTGCACTCCAGCCTGGGCAGCAAAGCACGACTCCATCTCAAAAAACAAAAACAAAAAACAAAAAACAAGTATATTTACTTCTAATTTTTCATAAGTATTTGCTCTGCTGAACTAGATTTCTTCTGTTTGGGTACAAAGGCTTACTCTATCTTCTCTGAAGATCCTTTCTTATTTTGTAACCATGTTCCTTAGGATATATGGAAGCCTGCTTTCTTAAAATTATTATTGTCTAGTTCTTCCCATCTTTTTCTGTGCAACATTGGAGTGATTTAAAATTTTTTACTGTAATAGTTAATCATCATAAAAATTAGAGATGAGCCTATTTTAGATTTCTTTTTATGGCACTAGAATATTGATTGAAAATTTCTTGACATCAAAATACGGTCATAGTATTATGTGAAATTTTTATTTTAGAACTGAGCCTTGACAAAGTCATCTTATTTATGGAAACTGTTAATTTGTGGCTTTGTATCTACCCATGTTATTTTTGGTACATCTCAAATTAGAGGGTTTTGTGATAGGAGGTGTAGTCATTGAAGTGAGGCAGATCTCTATACTATGGCATTTGTGTCTCCATTTAAATGCTGTACTTATGATCTGGAGCTTTGTAGATGAGTCACAGAGTAATTTAAAATAGGCCAATGTTCAGCCAGTGCTCAGGGTAACCATCAAAACGCCCCACAGTTTGCTATTAGTATTCTGTTCAAATGCTCTCAATATAACCCACACATACAAATATATTTCTCAGAATGAATTTAATTACCTGCAAATTACCTGCAATATTAGAGTTTTGTTCCTAGATTTAAAAATTAGGAAATGCATTTAGAATTCAATGGGAATCTAAGAGCTAACCTTAGGTTAATGACTTTCAAGGAAGAGCCCTTCCTGTGACCCCCATAGATATTTTCTATTAGTTTATTCAGACACAGTATGAGAAAATTTTAGCTATATAAAAAAACTTGTTAATAACACCACAATTTGGCACTTAAAAGACACAATCACCCACAGAATATCTAATTCTCTAAAGAAAAATGAAATTTTATCATTTGCTAGAAGCCAAAGCAAATTACTAAATGTTATATTAAGAGCACATAAAGTTGCATGTCTTGCCTGAGGTCACAGAGAATGGCATATTTTTCTCCTGCTTTTTTTGTAAAAGTTGCCACTTCCTCCCCAAATGTCATGACTCTGGTAACATGACAAGTAACACCATGATTCTTCCCAGAGAGGCAGGAAGCATTGTTAACAACAGCATTATGGCCACCAGGGCCAGGCTGTCTGGATTTAAGCTGTTACCTGTTGGCTGTGTGATCTTTTGTAAGTTAGTGTTGATGTTCTATTTTTCATATATGTAAAATGGGAACTATAATAGTACTTATCTCATAGGCTTGTGAATATTAAATGAGTTAAGCTTTGTAAAAGGCTTAGAAAAGTGCCTGACACATAGCAAGTCCTGCACAAGCGTATGCATTATTCAGAGAGTCCTACGATGCTTTTTAGGAAAGAGTCACTGACGTATTCCTTCTCACGAAGTAGCACAACTAGTGGGCCAGGGCCTCTATGTACAATGCAGAGTTCTCTCCTGGCGTTAACAGTGCTCTGCACATCTGGTGAGTCCGGTGGTGTAAGGCTGGAGAAATAACTTTCCCACTTTAGAGAGGTCAGAGACCACCAGTTCTTTCCTATGTTTGGGAAATGGAGATACTTAGCAGCTTTAGGAGGCTTAATTATAGTAGAGTCTTGCAAACACTCCATGCAGACATCTGCTTGCTCATTCATTCATTCATTCAACAAACAATATTCATGCCTTCTGTGTGCCAGGCACTAAGTTAAATATAGAGATATAAATAATATTCAGTTCTAGCCTCAAGGAACTGAAAAAGTTGTATGCCATGTATTCTGTAATTGATGGGTATTACCCTCCAAAATTTATTTATGTAAAACAGCACTTATTTGTTGTGTTGATAATTTTGTGGGTCAAGAATTTAGGCAGGCACAATGGGGATGGCTCATTTTTCTCCAGCATACCTAGGGCCTCAACTGGAATAGCTGGAATGGCTGATGAAGACTACAATAGCTCAACTGTGGCCATATGTTTGGGGCCTCAATTCTGTTCCATGTGGCATCTGTTGAGGCTAGAATATCCAAGATGGCTTTCTTACTTCCAAGTCTGGTACCTGGCCTGGTCTGGCTAAAAGAGCTGAGGGTTGGCTTGCATTGCTCTTTCCCTGCTGGTTGCAGGGTAGATGGACTTCTTACACGGAAGCTGGCTTCTCTTAAAATGAGGGTTCCAAGAGAGAGCATTCAAAGCGACTCAGGCAGAAACTACAAGGCTTGTTGGGACTTAACCTCAGAAGTCCTAGCATGTCACTTTCTTGTACTTGATTATTGTAACAAGTCACTAAAAGTAGCCCAGAATCAAGAAGATGGAAGGAATAGACTTCACCTCTTGATGACAGCATAAATATACACTGAAGGAATATATTAATGGTGATCATCTTGGAGACAAGCAATGATATCAAGTGATTCTGTTCAGATGAGGCATAAACTGCTCTTTTCCATATTTTGGTGATAAACAGCCTCAATTGCCTTACTTTGAATTTTCTCTTCTAACAGATCATTATAATGAGAACCACCATTTCCTTTAAAGTAATACTCCAACTATTCATAAATATTTCTAAAATATTATTACTGATTTGTGCATAGAACCTACAAATAGTTTCTCCTTTTGATCCAGCTGCCTATTTACATTTATTTGGCATTTAGTGTGTACCAGGTATTTCTTTTAGGCCTTGGTGCCTGGCCAGAGACTTTTTTTTCCATGGATACTATCATCACATTTTGTGCCTGTTAAATGCTGCATATAAGGGACATCTTCAGTAATATGTGTGTATGCTTGGGTCAGCCCTTAAGGCCCAGTTTAAGTCACCACCAAAAACAGTTTTTTTTTTCTTGATGTCTTAATTTCACTTTGGGGTCTGTTTGGAGAGATAAAGCAACAGCAGCACCTGTTGATGTTGCCAATTTCTGCTAGAAACTATCTTTTCTTTTTTTTTTTAAACTCAAAGAATGTTTGGAAATGATTGGGCCAGGTGTGGTGGCTCACATCGATAATCCCAGTGCTTTGGGAGCCTGAGGCAGCAGGATTGCTTGAGGCCAGGAGCAAGAAGTGAATTGGCCACCCAACTCAAAAACGTATATTTGATTCTGTTTCTGGATACTACTTTATTCCCCCTTTGAATTGCTTTATTTACTAGTGAGGGACCTGAGACAGGTTATTTGATCTCTTTAAGGCTTCATCTTCTCATCTGTTAAATAAGGGTAGTGTATGTCTTTTTAGGTCCATGTATTTTGGAAAAAGAGATCATGCATGGAAAGCACAAAATTTGACTTCCTAAAATATTTTTCCAGTTTTCCTCATTCTCTATCTACTTTGGTTTTCATCCTCATCATATCTTATTCAGATGATACCAACAGACTGCTAATTGGTTTCTTCTCTATCCTCCTCCAGTCCATTTCCCAGTGTTAATTAAATGGTTCTACAGAGCAGACATGATTCTATTGCATCCTTCTTAAACCCCTGCAATAGCTTTCCATCACAAGCAAGATAACATCTCTACTTGCATACAGAATTTAAGATTTGTCTATGGTCTTGCTCCACAGCTAGGCTCATCTCCTGCCACTCTGTCACACATATCCCATAAATACTGAATCTCCCAAGCCCACCAGACTCTTGCATGCCTCTATATCTTCAGCTTGCTATATCTGCTACTTGGACTATTCTGTAGTCCTGACCTCATCACTCAAAACTCATCATTTAAAACTCAGCTCAAACTTCACCTCCTTTTTCTTTTTTCATCTTTTATTTTAGAATCAGGGGGTACACATGGAGGTTTGTTACAAGGGTATATTGCACGTTTCTGAGCTTTGGAGTACGGATGATCAAGATTCAGTTGTAAGACTATTAAGCTTTAGTGAAGACATGCTAAAAAATTCACTTGATTTAATCATCCCACAATGTAAACATATATCAAGACATTGCAGTGTATCCCATGTTATTTGTCAATTAAAAATAAAATTTAAGAAAATTAAAAAAAATCACCCTCATCTCCTATGTGAAAGGCTCTGATTACTGCTCCCTTGGTGCTCTCAAACCACTTGATATATATTTCTATGATTATTTTATTGCATGGAAATTATTTGTTTGTCTTACTCTAGTAGATGATGAACTTTTTGAAGCAGTGATTGTTTCTTTATTCTGCATGTGCCTTAAGTTCTAGAAGAGTGCTTGGTTCAATGTTAGCTATAGAAGAATCTTTGTGGATTGAGACTGAGTAGCTGCTTGCTTTAGGTGGGTGACCAGGCGGTCTCCCCCATGCCTCTTTGTCCTCATGGTGGGATGTACTTCAAGCCTATTTGGGAGAATGGGAGATATGGCATAAAGTTTTACAATCCAGCAATTTGGTTTTCTTGATCCTTTTCCTTTTAATCAGATTATCTCTAAGAAATATTATTGGTCTCTATCTTTATCTTTCTCTTGTTGTTTAAACTCAAAGGGTGTTTAGAAATGATTGGGCCAGTGGTGGCTCACACCTATAATCCCAGCACTTTGGGAGGCTGAGGTGGCAGGATTGCTTGAGGCCAGGAATTCAAGAAGTGAACTGGCTGCCCAACTCAAAAACATATATTTGGTTCTATTTCTGGATACTACCTCATCCCTCCTTTGAATTGCTTTGTAGCTCTTGTCAGGAACAGACAGATTCTTATTCATTTGCATCTCCCCCATAATGCTTAGGGCAACATCTTGCCCATAGAAGTTCTCAATAGCTGTTTGGGGATGTTAAGAGTTTCAATGATATCAAGGTAATTTCCCTCACTTAGATGTTGGTGGTTTTGACAACACAAAGTAATTATATCACATAAAAACCAACACAACATACATCTACATTTTTTCAACTAGTTCCAAGTCATACATTGAAGTGGTGAGGCCAGTTTCACAATCTGCTATAGGAGATGGAATGACATAGTTAAGATGCTATGGTATGGTGCCTTTGGCTGTAATACAGCTCCTTTATTTACCAGTGAGGGATCTGAGACAGGTTATTTGATCTCTTTAAGCCAATATCTCCTCATCTGTTAAATAAGGGTAGTATATGTCTTTTTAGGTTGATGTATTTGGGAAAAAAAGAGATCATGTATGGAAAGCACCTGGCACTGTTCCTGGCACATAGGTGTTAAATAATTGGCAGTTGTTATTATTAAGAACATTAGGGGCTTTTGCACCTACAGGAAATCCCAATGATGCCTAGCTCAGAGCTGAAGCAAGGTAACCGGCATGCATATTAGCTGGAGGAGTCCATCCCTATGGGGGAGATAGATTTCAGTAATTCTATGAAATTCGGATGAAGTAGGCCTGTGAATAGGATGGGAAAGGCCACATTTCAAAGCCACTTAGCTGGGGTATCAGTGCGGACAGCTCATTAGCTCTTGGATCATATTCATCAAAAGTCATGCAAACTAGGGTTGCTAAGATGCCTTGAAACCATTACGCTCAGATAATTTTATGCCATCCTGAACTCAAACGGGTGTTAGGATAAGAATTCATACTTGGCTGCAACCTCCTACTTTAATATTTTTGAAGTCTGTATGTTCTAGAGAAGGCACAAATCAGCAAATTCTACTGAGAGATTTGATATTTAGGATAAAAGAATGATACGGTTTTAGAGCAACCATTCTATGGATGAAGGATCCAAGGTCTGTGAAGGTGAACTGATTTGCTTAAGATGATATAGCTGGTAAGCATTAGAGCTGGATTTAGAAGCCAAGAGAATCAGGCTTCTCTTGTTTGTTATTTTTTCTTCATTCTCTTCATTCTTTTCCTTCTTTCTTTCCTTCCTTCTTTACTTCCCTTTTCCTTCTCTCCTTCCCTTCCCTCTTCTTTCCTTGTTCTCACCTTAGACTCCTGAGCCAGCTATGGTAAAACAGAAGGCTCTGATACATATCAAAAAGGAAACTGAAGGTGGGTGGTGTGGTGGGGGTGAAAGTGGTAAGAAAGGTATTTAGTCCCTTCTATAAGACAAGCTTTGTGCTGTGCATTTTACACATGGCATTTCATCAGACAGATTAAGAAAATCCTCACCAGGCTGTAAATCCTTGGATACCTGGACTGTGCATATAATCTCTTCTCCCCTCCCCTCAGTGCTAATCAAGGTGCAGAAGACAGAGGCTTTTCTGCCACCGCTTATCTTGATCTCCCTTACTCTGCTTTCTTACCCCATAGCATATATCTTCTAAAATATTATATAATGTGTTTATGGATTGTGTTTATTACTTTTGTCTATCTAACCCTGCTAAAATAAAGGCTCCACAAAGGCAGGGATTTTTGTCTATTTGGTTTACTAGTGTATTTTTGCCAGTGCCTAGAATAGTGCCTGGAACATAGTAGGTGTTCAAAAAATATCTATCGAATGACTAAATACATAATGCTGACTGGAGGAAAGAATATAATTAAAAACAGGGAAAATGTCAAATAATATTTGAGATCTATCAGACATTCAAGGCTTCTCAGTTTGGTGGAAACCAACTGCAGAAATGCTAGAGCTCTGTTATCCAATATGGTAGCTGTTACTCACATGTGGCTATTTAATTATAATACAATGAAATGAAATTTAAAATTCATTTCCTTTGTCACACTAGCCACAGGTCAAGCACTCAGGGAGTCTCTGGTTGGATATCACAGATATGGAAGATCTCTGTCATCACAGAGAGTATTTTTTTTTTTTTGAAGCAGGACCTTGCTCTGTTGCCCAGGCTGGAGTACAGTGGTGCAATCACAGCTCATTGCAGCATCAACCTCCTGGGCTCAGGTGATCCTCCCACCTCAGCCTCCCAAGTAGCTGGGACTTGGCCTCCTGAGATGCCACCACACCTGGCTAATTTTTCATATTTTTTGTAGAGACAGGGTTTCGCCATGTTGCCCAGGCTGGTCTCGAACTCCTGAGCTCAAGGGATCCACCTGCCTCGGCATCCCGATGTGCTAGGATTACAAGCGTGAGCCACCACACCCAGCCATATCATCAGAGAATTCTGTTGGGCAGTGCTGCTCTGGAGACAGGCAGGGCTGCCAAACTCTCCATCTTAGGCAGGGACAAGTGGGACATTTAGATGAAAAATCCTGAACAATGTTGGCTGTGTCTCTGTCATGTCTCTTCTTTCCTTTGCCTTTGGTTATGAATGTGCACAACAGTAGAAGTGAAGTGCTGCCAAAGGATACAGGGACTGCCACATGTCAGGTGGATTCTCTGCTGCCAACATTGGAAGGAAATCACACTCTCTGAGTTCATTCCAAGTGCAATCCCATCAGCGAATATTGCCATAGCCCAGGCAAGAGGAAAAGTCAAATTTTTTTTATTGTTTTAGGACCCATATAAAAGACAGAATCCGAGCTGGACTGAATTTTTGGGGCCTCCAGGCAGACTACAACACTGGCCTCCTGCAATTGACTGGTCTTACACATTGGTGCAACACTTACTCACAGGAGAAGTTACCCAGCATATGAGAGAAGGGAGAGAAGATGGAATCTGGGTGCCACTTCCTCTGCTGTCTGGAAAGCTCAGCTCTGGGGCAAGCAAAATAAACCTCCTGCAGTTACTGGGTCCCACCTTCTTAGAGGACAACATGGTATAGCTGCTAAGGGCCTAAGCTCCAGCTCCAGTCAGTCTGGGCTGACCACTCTCTAGCTTTGAGATATTTAGCAAATTACCTAACCTTTCTGTCCTCAATTTCCTCATTTATAAAATAGGGATAATAATTATAGCCACCTCATGATGTTTATGAAATAAAGTGCCTAGATCAGGCTGATGCATGTAGAAGCTCTAAAAAATATTAATTTCAAATTTTTGAGCATGCTGCTGGGGAGAGGGTCAGAGGTGTGGGAAAAGGGGAGGGATAAGTTTAAATTCTCTTTCAAAGTAATTTCTCAAAATATTCCTTTTATTCTTCTCTATGAAACACTGGGACAAATATAAGTGTCTCTATTTTTGTTACATGTTTATGATAGATTTCTAGTTTTTCAAAAAAATTTCTCAAGCATTTTTCATAGGCAATTGCTCAATTAGCTTGTCTCTCAGTCCAGATCCAAGCAGTAACCTACACTAAAGCATTTCTCGTTCTTCATCTCCTGTGTATTATGTCTGTGTGGAAAGGCTCATATGATGGATAACTTAAACACTGTTGTGCCTTGCAGAGTCGACGAAAAAATGGACCATTTCCTTTGTTCTATCTTCCAGACAGCTGGATGTCTTATTTTTCCTGTTGGTTTCATGATTCGATGCACTACGTGATGATTGCCTGGTAGTCTTATAGCTACAGGGGTATCTATAAGATTTTGGCTTTATTTCAGTTCATGAAATAACAAATAAATTCATGGCATGTTGACTCCAAATTCCTATCTTTGCCTCAGCAGACATTGTTAATCTATCACAGTACGCTTTCTTCTGCACTGAGATGCAATCTTAGAATCATATTAATACATCATTCCAGGAAGCCTCTACCAATTTATTGGAGTTGACACTCAGATTTAAACTACAGTTTACCCTTGAACAACAGGGGTTTGAACTGTGCGGGTTCACTTACACTCTAATTTTTTTTCTTCCTCTGCCACCCCTGAGATAGCAAGACCAACCCCTCCTCTTCTTCCTCCTCCTCTTCAGCCTATTCAATATGAAAACGACAATGATGAAGACCTTTATGATGATCTCTTCCACTTAATGAATAGTAAATATATTTTCTCTTCCTTATGGTTTTCTCAATATTTTCTTTTCTCTAGCTTACTTTATTGTAAAAATATATTATACATGTAACATACAAAATGTATGTTGATATGTTACTAGTAAGGCTTTTGGCCAATGATGAACTATTAGTAGTTACGTTTTTGGGAAGTCAAAAGTTATACATGGATTTTTGACCACATGGGGGGTTGGCAACTCTAACCTCATGTCATTCAAGGGTCAACTGTATTTGTCATCAATGCATTAGAGATAATAAAATCTCAAATTTACTATCAAATGGCAAAAACCAAGGAGATGATAGGCTTAAACAACTCCAAATTTTAAGTTTGTCTCCAAGACACTGAATCATGGTTCTATGGATTTAGAGGAATGGATTATTTACTGCTTACTCAAGACTTTTAGAGGTTTATGCTCATGAATGGACACTTGCTTTGCATGGAATATCCCAAGAAAACATAATAAATATGTACATCGACTCTAAGAGAGTTGTCCAACAATTAGGATAGTGCAAAAAGATGTTATTGAAACTGAATGGAGACTTTTCTAGACAACAGTAGTGCAGACTTGAGTTAATCTTGAAATCCTACTTTAATGCATTTTTAGTGTTTCTCTGACTGAAGAAGCTTTTATAGCATGTGTTCACTGCTCTATATAGTTTTCATAAATCCTGTGGTCCGTGACCAACATCTGAGAATTGCATGAGGAATCTGGAGAAAATCCATTAAAAACATCCCAAACATTATTTATTATTAATAATACCACTAGGTAAGGCATTAATCCACTGTATCCCTAGCAGCTGTAGATCCTAATGTCAGCCAGGTTGATTCAGAATCTATTTCCTCTAAAGGAAAGGAATGAAACACCAGTACATTTTATTATTTGCACCTCACTCAGATAAATTTGTGGGTTTTAAAGCCCTTACTACATCTTTTTGTGAGAGAGGCTAGTTTGTGAAACTTCAGAGAAAAATTTACTAGAAATTAAATGGGTAAAGAAATGCATTTGTGCATCTCATGGTAAGGCAGAGAAGCCTTGTGACAGCAGGAAGTGCTTGGAGAACAGTGGGGAGGACAGCTCCATTGGGTTGTAGGGTGAATGGAAGGTTTGTTGAGTGAGAGCTGGCTCTAGAGAAAAGCTGGGGCCAGGATACAGTGGATCTTGAGTCCAAGCAAAGGAATGTGATCTTGACCTGTAGGTCAGGGGTCTTCAATGGAGTTTCACAAAGAAGCCCCCGGAATTTTGAGGAGGAGCTCCACAGCTGCCTCAGAGCTGCCTTTGTAGGTGAGAGCCAGGCAGAAAGGAGGCCCTAGGAAAATAGTTCTGAAAGTATCGTCTCTGGACCAAAAGCATAGCATCGCCTAAGTATTCCTTTGAAATGCAAATTACCTGACCTCAACCAGATTTATTGAATTAGAAAATCTGGGGGTGGAGCCAGCAATTGTGAGATTTTTTTTTTTGTAGTTTTTTCCTCTTATTTTAAAAAATGCATATCTAATTGACAAAAATTGTATGTATTTATGGTATTTATGGTATGTTTTGATATGTGTATACACTGTGGAATGGCTAGATCAAGCTAATTAACATATGCATTAACTCACATACTTTCATTTTATTATGGTGAGAAAACTTGAAATCTATTCTCAGCAATTTTCAAGTATACAATATATTGTTATTGACTATAGTCCCCATGATGTACGATACATCTCCTCAACTCGTTCCTCCTGTATAGCCATTTATTTTCACAAGCCCTCTGGGTGATTCTGATGCAGAATAAAATTTGAGAATCATGGTCTAGGCCTCCTATCCCAGCTTTGACAGAGTAAACCCGCACCTTGTCTGTATTACATATTGCACCTCTACCTGAGATTTCACTTGAGGAAGAATTCAAGGACTTTAAAAAAGTAAAAATCAATCAAGACAAGTGGGAGGTTAGGACTCTTTAAAGGCTGTTCATTCCAACTGTAAAGTCGAAGGAAGCTGGGGTAGGACACTGCAGATGCTGAGCTTCCAATGCTGGCCCCTGGAACCCTGCCTCTCAGCTGAGAGGACCGTCATTCGCCATCAACTAGCACCATTTCACTTCTAAATACCTTTGCTTTCCTCTTCCTTTTTTCTTTCTCTTTTTAGATTGGTTATATATTTTGAGCTAGTCAAAAAATGATTTGCAAAAGAAACAAGGAAATAAGTAAACTGAATGCCCTTAAAAACTCCATGTAAATAAAAATACTAAGCAATAAATCTGTCAGTCCTGTCAAAATGAGTATTTTTATGGCACAGCTTGCTTTTCAGGGAAGAATGTTCAAGTCTGATAGACGTTTGGAACAAAGTACAGCTGTGGGAAAGAGAGAAATGTGGTGATTGATGGTAAATATGTTTTTCAAGTCAACTGGGTTTCAAAGACAAAATTTGGCAGAAGGTACAGAGGGCTTGTGGTAACAACGCAGTGACTTGTGAGGAGAATGCAGGTGAGGCCCAGAAACCAAGGAAGGTATTTTTGAAAACATCAGAGAAGTGTGGACCATAGGCCACTCTCAATGGAATCACCTGGGGTTTGGGTTTCATATACAGTTTCGTGGGCCCCACCCCACGTGCATCAAAGTCAGGATATTTAGGGGGAGCTGGATCTCCCAAAGCTCTCTAGGTGATTCTCAGACATGCTGAAGTTTGATAACCACGTTTATTTGGATTTTTGTTGTTGTTGTTGTTGTTGTTAAACAAGTAGCCAAGAGTTAGCTAAGGAAATCTCAGAGGAATGTAATCAATAGAGAGCTTTGAAATCATCACTTGGCATTGATGCACTTTCTGAAAGTTGTAGATGATGGTTCTTTAGAAGGGATTTCTCTATCATAAAGAATTATGCAACTATGTTTTCTCCGACATTTGCTCTTTATGTTCAAGGACACTCTTTCCTAAAGAGTTTTGCTCAACTCTTTAGAAAATAGTGTGGAGCTGAGCAATTATAAAGCAAATTTAGTCCATGTAGGGCACTGATGAGCCAATTTAGATCAATGAAACTTTTCCTCTCCGTGGTGCTTTCTTCCCTGAAGAAGAAACTCTGGATAATTTTTTTTAAAGTCAATGCTTCATTCTTCCCATGTTGACACAACATGAGGGATAAAATAGGGAACTCTAAGACAAACGTATTTATTTTATTTCACACTTTCTTAAATACATGGAGCTACTCTAGCCTTATAGAGCTTGGATACAATAACACAGGTGGCAATATATCTATGTCTTTATATATACTACAGAGGCAAAAACTGCCGTGGTATTTTCTCCATGACACTTTCTCCATTTACTCCAACCTATGCTTCCTTCTGCCTTCCCAGAATTCAATAATAACATCTAATTGAAAAATTATTTGTTAGTATACTAGTTCAAATAAGATTATGTGTACATCTCTTGAGGAAAGTTATACTACTTTTCATAGCACCCATAGTACCTAAAACAAGCATTCAAAAAATACCTAAGTGATTGATTGATTTGAAAAGTTATATTATCAGTTCTATCTTTAAGTCTTCACTTAAATTTTAAGCATATATATACACACAGATAATTATAGGGATTAGGGATTAATATATATACTTATGTATACGTAAAGTAATCTTATTGGATTAATTTTATTAGTGTATATAAATTTAACAGACACAGACACACACACACACACACACAAAACACTGCCACACTGTTTCAATGAATTTGTCCCTTTTACCAATTTTCTTCAATCTTATTTAGATTAATTCTTTGTCTGAGTTGAGTTATATAAGGGAGGGTCAAATATTAGCTCCTCTCAGTCATCCAGGCTGACCCTCAGCTTAGATCCAGTTTTTGATGGAAAAGGGGAAGAGGAAAAATAGAGTCATTCTATTGCCATTTTTGTGGATATTAACATACACTGTTCCATTGATAGGATTCTCGTGAAGAATGCGCCACGCATTTATTTTACCCTCTGTGCTCTTGTGACCTTTTGTGCCTTTATCAAAGCACACATGACCTTCTAGTTATCTGCACTTGTGTCTATGTTTTAGTCCTCATTATAAAGTTCTTGATAGCTAGGGCCCTGCCTTATTCATCTTCCAACAGGCCCATGCATATAGTAGGCACTCAATAAATGTTAACTTGGAAAACAGTTTACAAAAATAACCCTTTTTATAGATAAAACCACCAGCGTTCTTTGTCTGTACAAGGTGTTTCCAAGGTTTCCCTTCTGAGAAAGTTATAAAAAAGAATCAAGTTTTGACATGATTTCTCATAGAAAATTTTAGAAAAGAGACAAGGTAAGATGAAATTTACAAAAACTATAATGGATACATGAAGCCAGCATGCTTGATATGTCTTTTTTCTCACTTGACATTCCAATTATGTCTAAATCATGCTGGAATACAAACCACTGAGATCAATTACGTTCTTTTGGCAGGTCTTATAGAGACAAATGATAAGGGTTTGACACCCTTCAGCTTTAGATGGAAATCTCTGGAGCAGCAGGAGAAAACAATAGTGACCACTGCACAGAATGACAGGCCCTAGGGATTACAGACTACACTTCGGTTTCTAAAATGTCTAGGTTTCTGGTGACTTTCTCATACCTTTGGTCATTTTGATGTATATTTGCAGAGAAACACGCTTTTGCCACATCTCTACTAGGAATATATAGTTACATAATTTGAAGCCATACAACATTTTTTTTTTCATCTGCAGTTAGCATTCATTTATGCCTTTGCCTCAGCTAATCAAGTAATGTAGGGACCCTTATTAAACATCCTTTAAACAGGAAAGTCAAATTTTTATTAGAAATCTATTATCTATTCTCCTGCTCCCAAGCCATTGCTCATTTATTCTTCACAATATCCAATACAAATTCCACTGACACACAAAAACGTGAACAGTCTCTTGGTATTTTCCCCATTGATAACTTCCCAAAAGTTAGTAACAGATGACTAAAAAACTTGAAGGCTTTCTGCTACCAGAAAGCTCTGCTTTTTGTCCTAAAGTATCTAAAAATGGTAAATACAGATGATTATCTCTGGAATGAAGATGCCAAAATAAACATAAAAATCCGTAATAAAATTTGGATGAACGAGGAGCACCATTTTGGAACACAAACGCATTTGGATGCCTTTTTCACACTGACTTTTTTTATGGGTGAAGTACTTGCTCACTGATTGACAAGTGACAGGCTAGACAACATTTCTCTGCAGTCTGACACTTCGGTTGAGCATTATCAGGCAAAGTAATCTCTGATTTCAATGTCAGGAGTCTACATCCTGAAAGGTATGGTATCCCCAACTATGAGTACTACAGTTCATATTGCTCAAACACAAAAAGTAGAATCCTAGTATTAAAAAACTTAGGTGATTTAATTACTATTTGGGTAGCATGAATCTCTTTAACTTTGTCATGTTTAGTCATTCATGATTTAGAAATAAAATTTGATAATATTTCTAAAGCAACAAAATTAATTACGGAAAGTGACAATTTTCATTAATTAGTGACTCATTCTAAACTATGACAGATGAGAAACAGAAAATCCATTATGCCAATGAGAAAAAAAATGGGAGTTTGACCATTTCTTCCAGGTACTATATGCCATAGAGCAGAGATAGGGAGAAAGAGACTCAAACAAGAATTTAACTGCAATTATCTCTTAGTTTATCCAAACCCATTTGGATTGTGATAGATGCAGTCTGTCTTTTTCTATCCTAAGTAATCTCAACTACAAAAACTAATCAGTTTTGTCAATTACAAATTACTTCCAAAGTGATTGTCTTTTAAATTCACATTCTAGAAGGGAATTCAAAGATAAAACATAAAGTTCACACAGGTTAAAATGTAAGGCTTTTTTTTACTCCTTTAAGATTATAAAATGGAAGTCTCTATAGCTGAATAGTTCTTGGATCTGTATTATTTAAGAATCTTTAAATTAACTTAAAACATTTTTAATCATATTTAAGTTACCAAAGTAATTGAAAAGATACTGATGCAGCCCTGAAGTAAAGGTTTCATAAACAGGATGTATGTGTTCTCTATATCCAATTCTATTTGTACAATGGTGCACATTTATATAGATTTGTTTATATGATCACATAGTTGTAGATTTACATTTATTTGTAGTGAAACATTTCCAACACTGTTGGACTTTATTAGAAATCAAAGAAGAAATCCTTCCTGGTGAATAAGGTCTAGGTGGGCCATTTTTTTTTTCTCTTAACATAAAGCACACTACTGCAAGATAATGTTATTTGGAAATGATTTTTAAAATTGGCTGCACATGTGTGGCTAGACAATTTCTTATCAAGCTAAATAAACATGATTAAATTCTTGAAGTTATTCAGGTGGCACAGAGAAACATTCTGCCTTCATTTTATCATGATGAATTTATAATTGCTTTCCTGGAGCAAGAGCACACTTTTATCATAACACTACATATAAAATACAAAACTTCTCTTTAGACTTCTATTTTCTTAACCATTTCTAAATATTTCTTAAAATTTTTAAAGTTTTAATTTTAAAACGTCTTAAGATCAAAAATTATACTTAATTCTTTACCTCTGCACTAGTTATGTGCATAAACTCATATTCTTTGATAATCAGCCATTGTTCACAGTTGGTGTAGATCCCATATAGATTGTGCTTTTGCATATTTTGACTATAAAAAATTACAACAAAAACTGCTAATTAAAGTTAAAAGAGGATGATATTTTTGGCTGAGCGTGGTGGCTCACACCTGTAATCCCAGCACTTTGGGAGGCCAGGGTGGGAGGATCACGAGGTTAGGAGATCGAGACCATCCTGGCTAACACAGTGAAACCCTGTCTCTACTAAAAATACAAAAAATTAGCCAGGGGTGGTGGCAGGTGCCTGTAGTCCCAGCTACTTGGGAGGCGGAGGAAGGAGAATGGGGTAAACCCAGGAGGTGGAGCTTACAGTGAGCTGAGATTGCATCACTGCACTCCAGCCTGGGGGACAGCATGAGATTCCATTTCATAAAAAAAAAAAAAAAAAAAAAAAGAAAACATGATATTTTTGACTCTTAATTTTGGGGTTGTTGTATAATGGCCTAGGTAGGAAAAGGGAAAGAATCCCCATGACACGGGGTTGATCAGCTTGGACACTGGTTTACAACCAGGAATGCATTGCTTTTGATTTCTTTGGAATACCAATAGTAATAATAATAATACTAAAGTATAATGAAAAGAGGAAGCTGAAGACAACTGAAGTGCATTTGAATATTTACAAAACAATATCACTGAAGTACTATATGAGGAACACTACAGCACATACCATAAAACACATTTCAGTACATGTTCATGATATACCAGCAGGGATTCTGGCCTGGGATCTTGGGCTGTGTGGCTTTGGACAAAGCGCTTAATTTAAATAATCTTAATTTAAATAATAATTTAATTTAAATAATCTAGGTCCCACCCAGTTCTAAAATACATAACCTTTCCTCCATATTAAAGCAGGAAGGGCAATCTAAGTATTTTAACGTATTTATATTTAACTTATTAAATATTTTAACATTTTCAAGGTAGACAATCCAAGATCATGATAAATAATAGGCACTTAGTCCTGGCTTTCATTGTGTATACACCTGAGAAACCTGAAATGCTGAGGTGAACAGTGTACTTTTCCATGAGTTTTCTGAAAAAACAAACAAACAAACAAAAAAACCCAGAAAAACAAAAGGTGCATTCTGAATGCAAATTTGTATCTACTTTGTAGGAATACCATAAAATAATTTGCAAACTAAAAAGTAAGAAAAAAGCCAAAGCTAAAATCTGTATTAAAATTATTAAGTTTATTTCTGAAAAATAGAACAAATTGCTAGACTTAGAGAAAGGAGAACCTTGGTTAATTTTTTTTTTCTTTTTTTTTTTTAAGACAGAGTTTCGCTCTTGTTGCCTAGGCTGGAGTACAATGGCACAATCTTGGCTCACTGCAACTGCAACCTCTGCCTCCTGGGTTCAAGCGATTATCCTGCCTCAGCCTCCCAAGTAGCTGGGATTACAGGCACATGCCACCACACCTGGCTAATTTTTGTATTTTTAGTAGAGATGGGGTTTCGCCATGTTGGTCAGGCTGGTCTTGAACTCCTGAACTCAAGTGATCCACCCGCCTTGGCCTCCCAAAGTGCTGGGATTATAGGCATGAGCCTCTGTGCCTGACCCTTGGTTAAATTTTTAACAAAACAAAGCACAATTCAGAATCTTAAACTCTGGGTTGGTTGTAAACATAGAGAAGTTTGGGTACATATTCTCTTTTTAGGTTCTGAGCTATAAAGTGGACCAATATTTACTATAAAATATAATAGTAATTTAACTAAATTTAAATAGTTCTGAGCTATAAAATGGACCAATATTTACTATCAAAATATAATAGTAATTTAACTAAATTTGCCAGTAAACTCCAACTTAGAGTTTATAAAAATTATTATTATTATTATTATTATTTTTTGGTTTCAGAGCTTTCGGGTTTGCAGTGTTAAGCTGGAGGCTCAATGCCTCTTGTTATTCCTCATTTCACAAACATAGGTTCATCTACTAACTAGGTAGGCGTACTGTTTTAATGGCTTATGTGGAGTACTGGGCTGCTGTCAAAGATGAGGAAGGGGATAGGGAGAGACGGGATGGTACTGACTTGCCATGCTCAGTCTCTATTTAAATAAAGCAGGCTGGGTACAAGAGGGATGGGTACGAGAGGGATGGAGGAGGGAGCATCCTGCTGTAGGTGAGCTCACTTGTATTTTTGTTTTGTAATACTTGTCTACTTACTAGACTTACTGTGAGCATCTTGAGAGTGGCAATTAATTGTACGTTTTTCTTTTTTACATCTTAATGTTTGGCCTAGTACATGGCACCCAGGAAACACTTAATGTATATTTATAAAAGGCATGAATAAAAGACCATCATCTCATTTGGGGCTTTCCCCTCCCCACAAATTTCATGTGTTAGGGGAATTGATTGGATTAGGAAGTTCCTTACTTAAAACATCAATGGCTTCCCTGGGTTTTACCCCCTCAATCTCACTCACACCTTAGGATGGTTTATTTTGATCTAATAATCTGCAAGAGTGCCTGGATTTCAGCATTTGCTCAGTGGGAAGTTGGATTGGAGGGGAGTGCTGTGAAGGGGGAATCTTTTCTGGGGTTGGGGGCTTTGGGCTGTTGAAAGTAGCATTAAGAGCCTAACAGACCAAGGAAAGGGCATGAGGGGTTCAACAGGAGTTTACAAAGGACCAGAGTAGTTACCATTACAGAGATTTGACTTTCCCAGCCCGTCTAGAGAAGCCTGATGGCACGATCTACCACATATCTTCACAGTGGCTTCGCAATGCTGGTGTTTGGAGGCCAAGCCTGGAAGCTGAACAACCCAGCTTCTCTGAAGTTACCAACCTGAACCATCTGGTACAGACTGGATGTGCTTCATGTGTTAAAACTCAATTCCTGCTTCTCCTTACTGGGAGGAGGAGAAGGAGATACGAAGAGAAGAAAAAGGAGACCACAGCCTATGACCTCCTCTCTTTTCCTCACCCTTTTTATTATCCGTGTAGCTTTCATAGAATTTCCCACTTCACAGGACATTTAGAATATGTTTCTCTGTTCTTCACCACAGCCCTCCCATGACAGACATTTTTTAGACAATTTGTTCATAGCTTGTTTTGATTTGAGGTCTTGGTTGAGCTACTGAAAACATAATCCACTCATACCCTCGTTTCCAAACAGGCTTTAGGGTTCTTCCATGGGGCCTGGAAAGTTACCTACCCGCCTTCTTCTGAGTATTTATGCCCAAAGGCCAGGATGTCCGATGCCCGTCCACTCCCATCACAGACAACCACTGGCACGGGAGGGGTGTCTCGAAGGTACTCCAAAACAATCGAGATCACATTGGGTCCTCCTTCCACTATGAGTGCCACCACAGGAACACCTTGACCGATTCCTGCATTAAAAAAGGAAAAGAAAAGGAAAAAAAGAGAAAAGAACACAAAGCCAGCAAACCAAAGAAACAAAAAGAGAAACAAAAAGCACAAACTAAAATTACTGAGCACGGGGGAGGTAGCAACATATGAAGGGATATGGTACTGAGCAAAAATTTACAGAAAACCCTTCAGCCAAATTTTCCCACCAGAAAGTCTATTTGACTTTGCCCTCTCCCCTCAACTCTCAGGATGCTGGGGTCAGTGAAGGCACGGGGTTCCATACTTTACAGGGGAGGGCCTGGGGTGAGGAGGGAGAAAAAGGAATTAGTCAACAGACAAAGCACCAGACCAGCAACCAAGAGCGTGGAAGCTGAACATGATCTGAAGCAAGTCTTTTATCTTTCCAATGAGTCTGTTTCCTATATGAAAAGTAGGAAGTTAAAAAATGCCACCTCCCTGAAGTTATCACAGGGGTAAGAAAATCCCTACATGGCTCTTTTTATTAAACACTATCAAAATCAGCTGGGGACATATTTTAACTTGTTGAATCAACTACTGGCTGAATTCTGGGTCTGTCTTTGACCATAGATGATCAGACTGATTATTAATTTTTTGTTTTTGAGATGGAGTCTCACTCTGTTACCCAGGCTGGAGTGCAGTGGCACAATCTCAGCACACTGCAACTTCTGCTTCCCAGGTTCAAGCAATTCTCCTGCCTCAGTCTCCCAAGTAGCTGGGATTATAGGCACGTCCACCATGCTCAGCTAATTTTTGTATGATTATTGATTCTTAACAGCATGATTGTCATGTTGAATTACCCAGGAGATATGGTATCTGCCATCTGCCATTATTGCATCTGCCACTACTGAGCAAGGAGCTAGGCACGTGATGTGAGTTCAGTAAACATTTGTTGGATTCAGTTGAATTGTTTCCCAAAAGTATTTAAGCTATTTATGCTGAGCCAGAAGACATTGCTGTTTTCAGGTGAAAATTGCTTTAATTGCTGTATGCATCGTTCAACCTAACCTTAAAGAGAAGTAATAAAATCAAATGTCCATGAGAGACATGATGACAAAGAAAAATTCATTTTTAAGTGACATTTCAAGTATGATTTATCATTGAATAACTTCCTTTTGTTCAATTTGGTATCACATTGTATTTTTTCTCTCTGCTGCCTCAGAATAATTAAGGAATTGAGCAGTACCATAAAAGTGAGCTGGTCTTAGAGGGCGCACACAGCAGTTATCTTAAAAAAGAAATAATCAAAATTCTGTACTACTTCCATAAATATAAACTAAAATAAAACAACTCTTGGACATCTGAGTTCTCCCTTTTACTTCTTTTGCTATGCTTTTATCTGATATCAAGAAACTGCTTCCCCGTAATGAGTAATAGTTTAGGATTTGGTTTCTTGCTCGGGTAAAGGATATTTTTGACTTATGTGACCTGTTTTACTTCTAAAGCATAAATACTTTAGTCTCCTAGGGCTTTATCTCCTTTAACTTGATGTTTTTCCTGGTGTGATTTTCATCTTAAAAGAATGATCCAAAATGCCAGTTACACAAAAGTGGGTGCTGTTTTGCATGTCCACTTAAAACACGTAAAAGAAAATGATGATTGTTGATCAAGGCAAGATGCCAAGATTTCTTTCAGTTCCTAGAGGGAACTGGGAGAGACAAGTGACCTGGGGACCCATTCGTTTTCTGTGGATGGGGAGGTCTTGAGAATTACTCTTTCAAATCCAAGGAGAGGGAAGTGAAAGGCCTTGCTGTTCTGTTTTGACCCAGGAGCCCTTAGTGACTCAAATGCTAGGTCTCCTTAAGGCTCTCTTCAGGTGTCTGTAAAGGAGACAGTTTCCTTATTGCTGCCTATTATGATGATTGAGTAAATTCCTGTTGAAAGGTACTTTAAAGATTAAGGGCTGGCCAGGCACAGTGGCTCATGCCTGTAATCCCAGCACTTTGGAAGGCCAAGGTGGGCGGATCACCAAAGGCCAGGAGTTTGAGAACAGCCTGGCCAACATGGTGAAACCCTGTCACTACTAAAAATACCAAAAAAAAAAAAAAAAAAAAAAAATTAGCTGGGCGTGGTGGCAGGCGCCTGTAATCCCAGCTACTTGGGAGGCTGAAGCTGGAGAATTGCTTGATCCCGGGAGGCAGAGGCTGTAGTGAGCCAAGATCACACGATTGTGCTCCAGCCTGGGCAGCAAGAGTGAAACTCCATTTCAAAAAATAAAATAAAAACAAAAAAAGATTAAGGGCTAACTTGAAATGTTAACACAACATTTCTCTTTGGGAGGAGAATTTGCTCTCATAAAAATATCCACCCCATAGGGATTTGTATTTTATAACATGCCTTCAAAAAGGTAGCCTATTTTCCATTGTTAAAGGTTATTTTATGAAGTATTTCCCAAAGTATTACGTTGGTGCAAAAGTAATTGTGTTTTTTGCCATGCTATTTATTTTTTCCCTTGATTTGCTTTAGCATATGCTCCTATGTCATTGACTTTGTATTAAGGAACAATACCCTATACCTGCTGTTTTATATCAGATGATATATTTAGACCCCTTCTAGGATCTTCTAAGACATCCTAGAATTTGCCAAGTTCTAGGACTCTTGGATTCTGTCGGTGGAATCTTTACTCCAACTCACAGACCAAGTGTGATCCACTCAGTGTTCTCGTGGAGGGAGAAGTACTTAGCATGGACCTTCTACCATGTTCCAGTGATCTGGCATCTACAAGACAGCAGGAAAGATGGCTGGAAACCTCCTCTCCCTTTGAGAGCATACATAATGAAAAGACCAAATCTCATAGGCTGATTTGTTTGAGAGTAATACATGGTCAGTTTATTCTCTGTCAATATATTTGTCAATGTATCAAAATATTATAACTTCTAGAAGTACAGAAAGATTTTCAGGATAATGATTTCCTATATTTGAACTGAAACTAATTACCAATTAAAATGATGAAAACAAACGTATTAATCCAGAGCTGAACACACACACACACATTTAGTCAAATTTGGTGCCAAAAATTGAACGGAGCAAACTGTCATCTTTTTCATAAACATTGAATATATCTATGCTTCCAAATTCTCTCTTATTTTTTTCAGTGATAATACACGGACATTTGTTCCATGGATAATAAAAGCCTTTATAGGGTACAAACAAAAGCAGTTTTGAATTTCTTAGTTATGAGAGGTAGAAAATCAAACTATGCCTAAAACTATCATGCTTATTGTAAGTTAACCAAGATATGTTAACATTAAACCTTTCTGTCAGGTCACACACACACTTACTTACACACATAAACGTATTGTCTTTATTTCTGGCAAAAGAAAATGACATCAGATAACTAGTAATGACCTGAAGTAGTCTGTAGCCTATTCTTAGAATATGTTTGTGAATTTTATGAAAGCTAGGGACCCTTTCTCCAGAAAAGTAAACATACATGTGGGTAGACACAAAAATGTTTCTATGCAATTTCAGGGACTTTTTGGATTCTTTTTTTTTTTTTTTTTTTTTTTGCTTTTTATTTTTTTATTTTATTTTTTTAATGTTTTAAATGGTTTATTGAAGAATAACATATATACAGAAAAGTACACACATTATCTCTAACAACAATACATATCCACATAGTGAACACACTCATGTAACCTCCACCCATATCAAGAAATAGAATATTATTAGAACCCTAAGAGGGCCCCTTGTCCCCGCTACCAGCTACTACTCTCTCACTATCCTGACTTTTTTTTTTTTTTTTTTAATATACTTTAAGTTTTAGGGTACATATGCACATTGTGCAGGTTAGTTACATATGTATACATGTGCCATGCTGGTGCGCTGCACCCACTAACTCGTCATCTAGCATTAGGTATATCTCCCAATGCTATCCCTCCCCCCTCCCCCCACCCCACCACAGTCCCCAGAGTGTGATGTTCCCCTTCCTGTGTCCACGTGTTCTCATTGTTCAATTCCCACCTTTATGGATTCTTGAAACCTACCTTAGCTGATCATAAGCCTATGAATACTTTGTTAATGGACCCTTGCAAAACCCCACCCTAAATTAAGCACATTGATACATCTGCAAAGGGCATCTGTTTGTGTTGTTTTGTGAAACTCACTGAGGCCTCTGACACAAGTTCTAGGATAAATTCTTGAACAAAATTCTATGCCCAGGAGGATTATATCACATTATTACTGCCCAGTTATATTGATTGGCTAAACCTTCCACAGTGAAACACTGTGTATAGCAGTGGTCTCCAACCTTTTTGACACCAGGGACTGGTTTCATGGAAGACAATTTTTCCATGGACGCCGGAAGGGGGATGGTTTTGGGATGGTTCAAGTGCATTGCATTTATTATGCACTTTACTTCTATTATTATTACATTGTAATATATAATAAAATAATTATACAACTCACCATAATGTAGAATCAGTGGGAGCCCTGAGCTTGCTTTCTCATCTAGGGTTCCCATGGTCCCATCTAGGCATGATGGGAGACTGTGACAGATCATCAGGCATTAGGTTCTCATAAGGAGCACGCAACCTAGATACCATATATGCACAGTTCACAATAGGGCTCACGCTCCTATGCAGCTGATCTGACAGGAGGCAGAGTTCAGGTGATAATGTGAGTGATGGGGAGTGACTGTAAATACAGATGAAGCTTCGCTCACTTGCCAGCCGCTCACCTATGGCCTGGCTCCTAATAGGACATGGACCGGTACCAGTCTGTGGACAGGGGATTGGGGACTCCTGGTTAGGATATCACCCCCACTCTCTCTCCATTCTCCTCTTTCTTTCTTGTTTTTTTTTCTGTTCACACTTTTTTTCTAAATTACAGCTCAAACACAGGATATTTAAAAAACTCTAGCAAGATTCACAATCTTACAAATTAGAATCTGCAGGATAAGACTTCATAGAAAAGAAACAGCTTTTTAGAATGTCAAGAATGCTACATTTTTTATTTGTGACATAAAGAAAACATTTTGGGAATCCACTGCATATCCAGCTGGGCTGGATTCATAGGGCTCACTGCCATTTTCTTTATGCTCATAAAGAAACTGATGTAAGTTCCTTTGAAGAGCCTTACAAATTTGTGTCTCGCTCAGCTAAACCTACTGGTCATTCATTGAAAACAAATGAATAAAATAAAAGGTTGTTTAGATTTAATTTAAAAAATACAGTCTGTAGGAAAAAAAATTACCTAGATTCTCCCAGGTCCCTTTTTTGGTGAATACTTGTTCTTTGGTTTTGGAATGAAGTAAGCCAATTCCTTAGTTGATTGCAGTCATTTTTCATTTTCTACCATCACCAAAGACTTGTCATAGCTCTCAGAACTTTCCATTAGAATTTTATTTGAGAGCAATATAAGGTTGCTTTAAGCAGGAATAGGCAAGATGCTTGCCACACTCTCCAGCTTTTGCAATTTTGGAATAGGAAACATTAGAGCATACGAAAATGTGAGCTTGAGTAACAGATTTAACAGCTCTGCGTTCTACAGGGTTTTAGGTTACCCTAGGGCTTTCTAATTACATACTGAACCCTAAGTCCTTGCATAAGATAACCTCTTAGACTTTTGTCACATTTTGTTTCAACTGCTAGGCAATTCAGCCGGGGCTCCCAATAAAGCTAAAAGTGTCTAAACTGCCATAAGAAAAGACTGGGAGAGGCATTGTGAGGGAGAGAGGTGTCAGGAATGAAAGAATGTCTTAAAATTCTAAGCAGTCTTTCTTCTTCTTCTCTTTATTAACAGCAATTAACTCTCTCTGCTGATATGAAACCATAATCTATGATCAGCTTAGCTATTTGTGAAAACATTTGGTGTTTAATAGTAAAATGCCTGGGTAAAATTTCAATCAAACTAAATTAACTGTTAGGTTTTATGTCAAGGTCACCCACAGATGATCTAAAGTGCGTATGGGTCTGAAGGATAATCTATTTGCTGTTGGAAACTGGCTCATATTTACATGGAGATAGAGCATAGAAGATCATTCTCTACCTACATCTTAATGACTATAGGCCACAGATCATGATTATTACAGTATAGGTCACTTAAAAAGGGGATTTGCACTTTAAGTGAGAGATAACTTCCTGAAGATCTTGAACAATTCAATACTAAGTCTATCAGTGGTGGCTAGATACTTGTGTTTACTAGCTAAAGCATGTCCCAGTAACATGAACACAGTTAGCAATTCCTTGCCTTGCCAGCTCCAGGGTTATGTGATTTTTGTTGATTTAAATGTCTGTGTAGAGAATTCATGTACTTTGACATTATGCATCCATGGAGAGCAGGCAAGCTATTTTGCCTCATTTTAATGGGTAACAAATTAATACCTACTTGAGAAATAATGGCTGAAGTTTGCACACTACCGCAGCTCTTTACAAATAGTTTCAGAATTCGATTCTTGATATCTTTAACTAATGCATCTCTTCTGTGGTCTGGAAAGTGTGAGATGAATTTATGAAAACTACATAAATCTGATAATCGGTTGTGCCTGAAAACATTCAAAAGTATTTTTTTTTCTTAGTAAGTTTAAGGTGCTTCTTACAATTAGGAAGATTCCCAGTTGTGAATACATGAATATTCAGGTACAACTGTGGAAATATTATTGTACAGACAGAGAATATTTTAATACATTATATTTTTGCAAAAGGAAATGTGACTAGAAAGCTTTGAGCTATTGAGGAGCAGAGTGAGCCCAAGAAAACATCTAGGGGTGACATTTGAAAATAAATGCATCTCATTTTAACTAGAATGTCTCTTAGGTCTTCTATGGAGGCAGGTATTTTGGATATTGCCTTCACGTTATAGAGTTAGGATAAATTATTCAAGACAGCCTAACTATAACTGGAATGTGTCTGACCTTACTTGTAAATGGGTAATAAACTCAGATTTCTTTTATTGAAAATCCATGAGGTACCCAATTGGTGAATGCCAGACCCAATGCAAACCAATCCTGTACGCTATACATTTTTTTGCCATTATAATCTTGCACCTAAATTGATGCTCAGGAAAGCATTTGGAAATAGGAAGTACCACACAAGTTATTAAACAGTCGACACGCAACAAAATGTTTCACTTCTAAATACTTATGGTTCTCTAGACAGAAAGAAATTCCTTGAAAGATAGCTTGGGTCCTTCCCTGAGGTTGGAACTTCCCAAGGCATATGTTTCCAACCCACTTTGGGACTAAGCAAGGGTAAAAATAACATGAATTTCTTAAATGTCTTTTTCTCTTATTACCAGTTTCTATGGCAACTCCCTTACTGATAGTTAACTTAATGAACCCCCTCTATGTACAATCTTTTCATATTTAAAGCTAATAACAATACTCCAGAATAACATGCTTGTATCTTTTATCTTGGCATGTGAAATTTTAGCAAATTTGGCTGGAGATATGGGGATGTCAAGACACTGAAAATATAGAGTTTGGATTAATTAGAATGCCTCCCTCACACAGTGATAAAAAATTGAAAACTGATGGTGCATAGTGTATCTTTTCCTAGGGACTGAGAATGCAGAATATATTAAATTAATATGGCAAACTGTATTTTTTTCTGTTTGTTTTCAATACAGCTAAACAAATCTATTTTGTGCATTCTCAGTGCTCGAGGCATTTTCACAGCAATCCTGTATTAATGCCCATCGACTGGCCTTCTTTTGGGGCATTGCCTTCTTGCTTTGCTTTTCTATCTAGTAATCGGAGGACAAAGGACAGAAGCTGGGCAGTGGATGAGTAGATTGAATGGGAAATCCTTTAAGCTGGCCAAAGAGGTCACTGTGGCATGTGTACTGAAAACTCTCATGGTGTCCGCCCTATCCCCTCTCCCCTGTCAGAGAACAGACCCATCCACTGCATAGAAGGCGCAGCCCTGCTTGACTTTTTTCAAAGCTGGCTGGACTTACATGGATGTCAGACCTGCAGTGAGCCAGATTTGCTTTCCTGGGATTGAAGTGGAGATCCTGAGCCCAAGGCCAGTAACTGGGAGATGGGCTTCCAGGGCATGCATACTTGGGGAATGAAGCCTCTGTTAGTGGTGGTCCTCCAGACCAACCATGTGAGGAAGGTAAGCCAATGAACAAAAAAGCCATATGCAGGTAGAAAACAAAGGAGCAGAGGGTACCATGGAGGGGAGAGATCACATGGCCCCAGGAAGAGGGAAGGAAGTGGTATGGGGGAGGAAGGAGAGAGAGAGGGGAGAGAAAAGAGAAAGAATCTATGAAAGAGAGGGAAAAAGAGGGAGAGAGAGAGAATAAAAGAGAATGAAAGAAAGCAGAGAGAGGGCATCTGTGAAAGAGAGGAAGAGAGAATAAAAGAGGGACAGAGGAAGAGAGAAGGGAGGGGAAACAAAGGGAGACAGGAGAGAGAGAAAGAGGTGGAGAGACAGAAAGACAGAGAGAGAGAGAGAGAGAGAGAGAACTGATATAGCTGGGATTATTGGTAACTTTTCAGGCCTATTTATAGTCACTTGTCCATGGTTCCTGCAGAGAGTCCCCTATTCACCAGGGGTAGATAGTTTTTTGCGTAAAGGCTACATAGTAAATATTAATATTTTAGACATTGTAGGCCAAAGGGTAAAATAGAGAAAATTGTGCAGGTGCTTACATAATAAGAGAGAAAAAAATTCTACTCAATTTTGTATAATTAAAATTCAAAATACAACTGAATATATATATATGTTTTAAAATACAGGCTTACTAATAAAAATGGAATTTTTGTATAAATGCTGACGTTTGAATTTCATTTAGTTTTCATGCCACAAAATATTATTCTTTTATTTACAAACATTTAAAAATATAAAATAACTTCTTAGCCCATGAGCTAAATAAAAATAGGGTGGGCTATAATTTGCCAACTCTTCCTACAGACATGTTTCTGCCTCCTTATAAAGAATACCCATTTATGGTTGGGCACAATGGCTTATGCCGTAATCCCAGCTCTTTGGGAGACCGAGGCGGGAGGATCATTTGAGCCCAGGAATTCAGGATCAGCCTGGGAAATATAGCAAGAACCTGTCTCTACAAAAATATTTTTAAAAATTAGTGGGGTTTGATGCATGTGCCTGTAGTCCCAGCTACTCAGGACCCTGAGGTAGGAGAATCACTTGAGCCTGGGAAGTCGAGGCTGCAGTGAGCCCTGAGGGTGCCATTGCACCAAAGCCTCAGTGACAGAGTGAGGCTTTGTCTCAAAAAAAAAAAAAAATATATATATATATATATATATAAAACACATATGTATATGTATGCATATAAACACATATAAACATACATACATATATACATACATATATATACCCCTTTATGTACTTTGCATGAGATTATCATGATCAAACATTCCTCTTCCCGGCTGCCACTCTGCTTGCTCTAAGGCAGTCTTCACCTGTCTTTTATCCTGAAGGTCCACATGAGCTGTTTTGTAACTATGAAAACCTGGCAGGAAAAGAGTCAAGACAGTCCCTCACTTAGAATGATTCAACTTGCAATTTTTCAACTTTGCAGTGATGCAAAAGTGATACATATTTAGTAGAAATCATACTTCTAGTACTCATACCACCATTCGTCTTTCATTTTCAATAAATTACATGAAATATTCAACACTTTGTTATATAATAGACTTTGTGTTAGATGATTGTACCCATGTGTTGGCTCATGTAAACGCTCTGGGTACATTTAAGTAAGCTAGGCTGTGCTACGATGTTTGGCAAGTTGTGTATTAGCTGTGTTTTCAACTTAAAATCGTTTGATTGGACATAACCCCATCATAATTGGAGCAGCGTCTGTACTTGGACTTGAGGGTCCTTCATATGAGAATTTGGGATAGCAGATTTTTTTTTTTAAGTGGGACTTTAAGATGAACTATTCAGGTCAATGCTGAGTGCAGTCCCAATACCCTGTTTAGTGTCAGGAGGGGCTTCCTTTCCAGCATAACTCATGATCGTGTGGGAAGACTGTTTACTATATGGGAAGCTACTCTCCATCTCTCACGTAAAGAGAAAAGGAGTCACCTGTGTGGTTTATCAAGAAACTTCACCCTGATAATGAAGGGCTTAAATCAGGTCTTTCCAAAGGTCTAAGACCCAGGGCAGAGAGAGCAATCACTCCTCTCTGAATATCCCCAGCTTCTGGAGAGCAGCACCACCTTCTACATTCCAGTGAGGCTTGGCCTTTTGCCTGCTCCCTTCCTGGCAACATGGACCCCAAGACTTGCTTGATTGCAGTGGGCCTTCCTGAAGGGCTTTGCCCCTCACCACTCCCATCTCCATCCTGCACTCTGGAAGCCTTGGCTAGTCTCACTCTCTCGGAGGAGGCTTTTCCTTAGGCTTTGGGCTGCCTGTTTGCATCTGGGCAGAATCTTCTGTATTCTCATTCTCAGTTTCTGCTTTCTAGGTCCATGATTGTCTTTTTCCCCATGTGCCTGCTGGCTCCCGTCGACTCCCACTTTCCCTGATTCACTCTCAGCATGTGCTGCTCTATCTATTTTATCTCCCTGCTACTGTAAACCCCCACAGCCTTGCTGGACTTTACAAAGCTAACGACATATAAGCTGGAGCCATTCACATCCTAGAAGGGCAGAAATGCATCTTGACATATGTTGATACATAAAAAGTATACAGTTGGCCTTCTGCATCCGTGGGTTCTACATCTGTGGCCTCAACTAACAAAAGATCAAAAATATTCTGAAAAAAAATTATTCCTATACTGAATACATACAGACATTTTTCTTTGTCCTCATTCCCTAAACAATAAAGCGTAACGACTATTGATGTAGCATTTACATTATATTAGGTACCATAAGTAATCTAGGGGTTATTTAAGATATCTGGAAGGGTGTGCATAGCCTATATGAAAACACTATTTTATACAAGGGACTTGAGCATCCTCAGATTTTGGTATCTGTGGGAGATTTTGGAACCAATCCCCCATGGACATTGAGGGGTGTTTGCATATTGATATTCTATACAGCATTTAATACACAGAGTAGGTATATAATTCACAAAACTGTTTTGAATAATACATGAATTATTATTTATAAAGCACTTAGAGCCTGGCACTTAAGAGTTTTATGCTTAAACACAAATATAAAGATGCTTATTTATATCTATTAAGCTTATACAAAGTTTCTCGTTTGAATGTATAAATGATTCATGAAGAGAAAAGAAAAATGAATGCATTTTACACATTTAAACTGAAAGAAGGCTCTGGCAAACAAATAATTTGAAATAGCCCTCTCCAAAGTTTGAATACCCTCTTATGCAGACTGATAATATGCCAAATTATCCAATTCCCTTCTCGTGTGTCCAAAAGGCTAACTCTTCCTGCTTTGGGATAGGTGGCCTTTTGCATCACGCCCCGAACGTCTTCCCCCAGGGGCCTCTCCTTATTCATCAACCAGCTTGTTAAGTCTTTCGAGTTCTGTGGGTTGGAAGGAGATGTAAATGCTAAATAACAAAACCCATAAACCAACTCCAAGTGTATTATATACCCAGACGATAACTTAGCTTTTTACATAATCAATGGGAGCTGTTATTCCCTTGTGGCCAGATGGCTCTGATTGAAATATTCCGCTATTAATGTCAATACATTACCAGGACATCCAAGCAGCATTCCTCTGAATAATTTCAATAGAAAAAGGATGGCCAATCCCTTGGGCTGTAAGACAAGTATTATTTTCATAAAAGGGAAAAGCCAACATTATTTTCTTTGGAGCCATTGTTTGAAGGCTGAATCTTTTAATGTAATCGATCTAAGTCTACAAGAAAACTCTCCCAAACAAAGCTCTAGTCTTAGTCTCTGCTCTGTGCAAAACCCACATCAAAAGTCAGATGTTGCCTTCTCAGATGTAATCAGGGTGGTTTTAGCTCATTTTACTTTATAATACGCTACCCATGTTCCCCTGCAAATGTTCCAGGATCTAAGTCCATAGCCCATACAAGTTCCTTGGCTTCTTGACAAAATTAATAAGGAGCAAAGCAGCTAAGGGAATTATGGATCGGAAAATCACAGAAAAGACCTGGCCCATGTTTCAGGGACGAGCTAGGCAGGAAGGTGGATGGTTGCAGTGAGGGAAATGTTGCTGGTGGTATGCATGTTAATTTGCTTTTTTCAAATTATAAAAATAATTTTTGTCTTTGTACCTACTGAAAGAGACAGCAATTACTTCTACCTGTCCCAAATGCAAAAAGCTCCATTTTCTCTTCAAGGAATTTTGTTTTTGATGTTGTCTCTGCGAGGAACATATTCATCCTTCAGGTCCCAGGTTCAAAGACATTCTCATTGTGTGTTCTCATAGCATTTTCTTTTTAAAAGAAGCACATGCCAATGAACATCCTTTATAAATTTGTCAATCAACTATGATGGTATTAAAGAAAAACTTCTTATAGTGCCTTACATATAGCTTTTGAAGTTTTATCACATTAATTACATGAGTAATGACTTTTGATGTGGGTTTTGAACAGAGCAGAGATGTCTAGGCATCTCTTTTCTCTATTAGGTATTTATTTCTGTATTACCAACATATCATACAATGCTCTACATGTCGTAGTTGCTCTCTGACATTTGGGGTACAAAGGAAGGCAGGGGGCTGGGCATGGTGGCTCATGCCTGTAATCCCAGCACTTTGGGAGGCCTAGGCAGGAGGATCACTTGAGCCCAGGAGTTCAAGACCAGCCTGGAAAACATAGGGAGATCTTGTCTCTACAAAAAAATTTAAAAGTTAGCTGGGCATGGTGGTATATACCTTTAGTCCCAGCTACTTTGGAGGCTGAGGTGGGAGGATTGCTTGAGCCCAGGAGGTCGAGGCTGAAGTGAGCTGTGATTGTGCCACTGTGCTTCAGCCTGGGTGATAGAGTGAGATCTTGTCTCTTGAAAAAACAAAAAGGTAGATAGGTTAAATGACAACGTAATTATTTCCACGTAAATTTTAAAATTATTTATGATAGGAGTAATTTTCTCCTCATCAACTGACCTGAGATGCAAAGTAGACAGATGCAATTTAAATTCTCATGAAATCAGGAATTATACCAAATGCCCAGCGTCTGTGCTCATTGGTTTTCCTGTGGGCTACTGAGATTACTTCCTACCTGACTTCCCTAATATAATGATCTTCACTTAACTGCTAGCTGTCACTCACAATTACAGTCTTTCTGTAAAAATGTAGTGGGTTTTTAGGAAAGGCCCATTGTTTTTAGGAAAAGCCCACTCCTTTAGTGTGATATACAAGACTCTCCTTGTTCTGCACCCAACCTTCGTCTCCCCATCTCTTCCAGAGCTCTCTCTCTACCTGATCTGAGTCTCACCAGACTATCCTCACCATCTTCCATGCAGGATGATTTTTAAACTTTCCTTCAGCCACACCAATTTTCAGATGAGTATCTTTCCTCACTCCTGGTTTCAAGAGAAGGAATTTTTCCTATGCACACCCTTGGACGTTCTCTGCCCCTTTACTCACTTGGCCACCCGGTGAATTTGAAAAGACTAACGGTTTGCTCAGCTCTGCCTGGCTCTGCTTCTTCTTGGCATCTGCCTACTTTCAGAGAACCTGAGATCCCTCAGCTCCTCCAGGAACCCAGACCCTGAAGATGTGCAGTGAGGTGAGCAGGTGAAGACTCACCGTGGGATTCTGCCCAATTTTGGAGTGTCATTAAACCCACTTGGCCAATAAAACTAAAGTCCCATCTGTTCACTTGTCCACTATAAGTAATTTTCAGTCATATCTTGGGTTCCACCAAGTACTTCTTTTATTTCTCAAATTGGTCAGAACTTGGATGCAGAAAAGGAGTACTATTTCTTTCTTTCTTTATATCTTGAGATAGGGTCTCACTCCATCACCCAGGTTGGAGTGCAGTGGCATGATCTTGGCTCACTGCCGCCTCGACTTCCCAGGCTCAACCGATCCTCCAACATCAGCCTACAGAGTAGCTGAGACCACAGGCAGGCACCACCACACCCGGCTAATTTCTATATTTTGTGTAGAGACAGAGTTTCGCCATGTTGCCCAGGCTGGTCTAGAACTCCTGGGCTCAAGTGATCTGCCTGCCTTGACCTCTCAAAGTTTTGGGATTACAGGTGTGAACCACCATGCCTGGGCCCCTCGGGGTACTATTTACTTTAGCCCCTCAGAGACCCCTAAGTCAAACTTCATAGTTCAAATATTACCAGTTCCTGAGGCCCTTTTTAACTTCCTCAGCAAGTATTAATTATTCATTACTTTATGATCCCATTTTTTTAAAAGAATGTCTTTTGGTGATTATTGTATTCTGCCTTGCTTTAAGGAGAGCTTCTTCCACTTAACTGTAAGTAAGCTCATTCTGACAGACTCCCCAGCCCTCTCAGATAACATTCTGGTTCTTACAGTGCCTCACACTCAAAAGGTAGTTTAAATACATGCTTGTGAAGTAAAACAAAAATAAAAAGGTACAATGCTTAGGATCATACCTTAGGACTAGAAGAGCTAAAGGGACAGGAATAACGTGATAATCATTAAGGGGTTGCCTGTCATACCTCAACACTGTTGGAAGGTATCCTGCTGAAATGGAGATGACAGCCATTTGGGTGGCTTCATGGTGTCCTTTTACAGGCCTTAACTACGGGGCCTCAGCAGTGGTCAGAGACCTAGAGAAGAACATGCTGAGTGCCTTGGGTGGGTGTTTCCATTTCACCTGTCCATCTGGATTACATCTGAAAGAGCCCAGATTCTTAGGGACTCGAACAGCCAATTTCAGTTCAGCTGTCCTGCACTTTTAAATTGAAGCCTCAAATTGAAGCCTCATTGTTTCTCAGAATTGAACCCAGCTAAAGCGACAAAGTATCTCGGTCACCAGGGAGAAAACATTAACAAAGGTTTACATTCTTCCCCTTGCTGGAAGGATGTCTACAAAACTATTATTTCCTCCAGCGGAAATGAACAGGAACTATATGACTGAAATGGAAACCTAATTCTGTTCCCACTGAGGTGATTGGTATGTTTTCACAGCTCAAGTGCTGTAAGCTAGGGGTGACCTTCATTCACCACCAAGGTCATTAAAGTAACCATTATCATAGATGAGACAAAGGAAAGGCAATGATTATTCTGGATCTAGTAATGGTATTTCATCCAATTTCTGATCCACAGTTGGGAAAAGTGATAAATTGTTATTTGATTATCTGGACATCTTTTGAGAAAAATAACTTGTTAAGTCTAATCTGATCGAATCTTTCCTGTGACTAAATCCTCAGTGAGAAATATGGGTGACAACACTGTGGGGAACCTTCTTTCCTCTGGAAAAGGAGCTCCCTCCTTGTTTCCATGTGCAGGGAGCTCCATTAGAATGGCACATCTAGCCTCTTGTCTTTCCTTTACTTCTCTCCACATATAGAATTGAATAACCTGATAGTTGGTGACTATTGTGTTTCTTGATTGGATAGAGCTAATCCTGCAGTAATGGGAAAATTAGCTTATTTCTTCCTTTCCCTCCAGGGACCAGTGCCAGTCAGTCATCTTGGTAAAAAATGTCTGCTACAGACCCATCTTTCTTCTCTGGTGGGGTTTCTTGGAGCTGAGGCAGGCCAGCAAATCCATTTGACCCTCACACTAAGTCATTAACTCCAACAACTTCATCATTAATAAAAATGATATTTTGATCTCCACCTGCCTGACTCTCTAGCTCTCAGTCAATTTGAAGACTTGATACTTGATTGTATCCAGTCAAGAGTGGGATACAGTTTACTGGGTCTCTCCAAACTCCAATACCACGAACTGCAATACAGTCATTTCTGTTTCTGACATTTGCTTTGCAGCAGCATTGAACAAAGTTGAGCCTCTGGTTCAACACTGAACATGAACTATTTTTTTCAAGTACAAATATGACTTTCTCTGAAAGACAATTTTTTCTTGATGTCCTTAATACATGTCTTAGAAAGAAAAAACAACTGCAACATGGCAACATGTTAAAAAAGGTCATTACAAATGGAACTAAAACAAAGTTGCTTGTGAATTTCTGGGTTGTAGTGGATGATTTAATGTAATGAAGTCCACTGGGCCAGTTGAATGTAGATAGTTTATACCTGTCATCCCAGAGTAATTATTCTGGATGAATTAATATTATTCTCTCTCCCTAAGGGGAAGTAGCCATTGCTGAGCACCTGCCGGGTGTCAGGCACTCAGCCAGGTGGGTTGCATATCTTACTCAATCTGCTCAACAACCTTCTGATAGAGATATAGTTGACCCTTGAACAACATGGGTTTGAACTGCATGGGGCCACTTATATGTAGATTTTCTTCTACCTCTGCCACTTCATGAGACAGCAAGACCAACCCTCCTCTTCTTCTTTCTTCTCAGCCTACTCGGTATGAAGATGATGAGGATGAAGACCTTCATGATGACCCACTTCTACTTAGTGAATAGTAATATATTTTCTTTTCCTCTTCCTTATTATTTTCTTAATATGATTTCCTTTAGCTTACTTTATTGTAAGAATACAGTATATAATATACAAAATATGTGTTAATTGGTGGTTTATGTTATAGATAAGACTTCTGATCAACAGTAGGCTATCAATAGTATTTTTTTTTGAGAAGTCGAAAGTTACACACGAATTTTTGACTAACCCTCTAAGGGCAGCATTGTTCAAGGGTCAACTCTATGGTTATTTCCATTTTACAGTTAAGCAAACTGAGGCATAAAGGATAAATTGCAAAATTCACACAACTAGTAAGTGTCAGAAATGGGTTTCAAGCAAAGTCCTGTTAGGAAATCTACAGTCTGAATTCTTGGTGCTCTACTGAGTTGTCTCTCACTGAGGTGACCACAGAATTTATCATACAATTAGGACATACTTGCAAGTGAAGGGGTCATTATTAATAATTACTCTGGGATGAAAGGTATAAACTAGAGTTATTTGATCCTGAACAAATCAGTATATACAGTCACTCTACCTTGCTCATACCTTAGGGTCTCAAACTGGTTTCTGGTAGCTTTTAAATATAGATACAAATCTCAAATATTTAAAAAGGGACCTGAGTTTATTCATTGCTTCTTGTCTTTCTGGCTTAAAAGGGCCAAGGCTCACCGTTGCCCCTCCCTGGTTTCCTGGGATCAAGTTTCTCGCTCCGTCTAAATCACAGCTGTTCATTATCAGAGCTATTTCTTTCTCTAGCTACATGGAAATGAAGCTCCAGGGAAGGATTAGATCATTAAGCAAAGGAAAACAGCAGCAATACAGCAGCACCTGCATAAATCTTATAAGGGGAAAATATAAATTAATTCTTTTTTTCATGTTCTAGCATATCCTTGATGGTGCTGGAAATAAATCCCTTCTACTTTTCTCTCTTATAAATGAATGCCTCATCCAGAAATGAGATGATGAGGCATCAGGAGACAGTCATGGCCTAGAGACATGCAATGGGTGCTTTGGGTCCTTAATCACTCGAGTATTTAACCTCATATCCTACTTTGTCTTGTCTGTGAAACAGCTACTTGCTTCTTTCTACTGCTGCCACCAAGGATCTATTTGATTGCAACAATAAGGGCTAATACCATTACTGTAGAAAGTAGACTATCTTAATGTTATAAATAAGAAAGTGGCACTTTAAGGACTGCTCTTAAAACCCCGATTCTAATGTGCAAAAACTAATTCGTTCACTGAAAACTATCCCAAGAAGGGGTGTGTAGAAATCTCCACTTCAAATGTCTCTCAATTTTAGCATGCATCAGAATTCCCTGAAGGAGGAGCTATTAAAACACCCACACTGCTGGACCCCACCTCCAGAGCTTCTGATCAGCAGGTCTAGAATAAGACCTGAGAATGTACATTTCAAGGAAGTTTCCAAGTGATGCTATTGTTGCTGGTCCCAGGACCATACTTTGAGAACAGTGTCCTAGCGTAAAGCTGCAGGGAAAGGAGATTTTTGCCTGTGAAAAGAAGTGAAATCTAAAAAGTGCTTCCTGGAGCAAATTAATGCAAAAGTCCATGGAATGAGATTGAAATAACCATGAACAATATTTTTTCCAGAAGTCTATTTTAAAGTCTAAACCAGGCATCAGCAAATTTTTTTCTATAAAGGGTCAAATAGCAAATATTTTCTGTTTTCAGGCCAGATGGACTCTTGTAACTACTCAACTCTGTGGTTACAGTGTGAAAGCAGCCAGAGACATCACATAAAGAATGAGCATGACTATGTTGCAATAAACCTTTACTTACAAAAACAGATGATGGCACGCTGGATTTGGCCCACTAGTTGTAGTTTGTTCACCTCTGGGTTTAATGTGATAAATTACATAAGGAAACATATATTAGTCTGTTAAGTCTGAGTGTGCCTGTGATCAATGAGAAACTAACCAAGTTGGAAATCTGGCTGTATAAGCCAATTTTTGATGCCTATTTTGGTTGTACAGGATTGATACAATAAGCACTCTTATTATAGAGGCAAAGAGTGGGAGACATGCACCATTCTTGCAATTCAGTCCCTAAAACTAGCCGTTTGGGACTATTTGAAAACAAACATGCTACGATTCGACCCTATTTTAATAGGGATTTCACTGCACTAGTAAAATTTGCCTAGCTATATATTTAGTACATTTACTATTTGGTGCTTTGCCTAAAAGTAAAGAATATATTTTCTGTGTAGCAGGCTAATTTATTGAGCTGTTAATTAATTCAGGTTTTGTTTTCCATTTGTTTTTCCTTCTTCTCATTTCAAAAGAGGCCACTAGGGTGTCTATTCTCAGGAGAGGTTTGTGTTGCTGGCCAGAGCTGCTAGAAAACAGAACTTGCCTGGAGAAATTTTGTAAAAAAAAAAAAAAAAAAAAAAAAAACAAAGGCCCAACTCCACCAATTTTCTGAAGGGGAAGAAGAGAAGGGCAAGTGTCTTTGATGGGGGAGAAGTGGGAGCAGATGAGATGCGGAAGAAATGATCTGAGCCTTGGATGGGGGGCAAGAAGGGACTCGCAGCATCCTTGCATCCTTGACAGTCAGTCCCCAGGTCTCTTCCTACTTGGCCCGTCAGTAGCATTAGACACAGTTGACCATTTCATTCCTTCCTCTTGGAAATACACTCTTCACTTTGGCTTCCAGACAGTGTTGAAGGAAACCAGAATATTCCATTCTAAAATATGCCTCTTTGACATAAATATTTTTATGATACAATTTTTTAAAATTATAGAAAGGGCTGCCTGAGCTCCGCCCCCCACCGCCACCGTTTTTGTTGTTTTTTTTTTTTTTTTTTGAGACGGAGTCTCGCTCAGCCTGGGCTGGAGTGCAGTGGTGCGATCTCGGCTCACTGCAAGCTCCGCCTCCCAGGTTCATGCTTTTCTCCTGCCTCAGCCTCCAGAGTAGCTGGGACCACAGGCGCCCGCCACTACACCCGGCCAATTTTTTTTGTATTTTTAGCAAAGACGGGGTTTCACCGTGTTAGCCAGGATGGTCTCGATCTCCTGACCTCGTGATCAGTCCGTCTCGGCCTCCCAAAGTGCTGGGATTACAGGCATGAGCCACCACGCCCGGCCGAGCTCCCCTTTTTTACCTATAGCAAGCCACAACAATTCCTGGAGTGCTTCTGCCTTGCCTCTGTTTACCTAAAAGCAGAATTACGAAGACAAAAGGTCTTTCTACCCTCCTCACTCCCACCTCTCCCACCTGAAAATAAGATAGAAGTTCTCTTTGAACAGACCTTTATCACCTCAGAGAGGAGCTAGAGTGAGGAAGTCTTACTCCCCATCAATTTACCTTCCCACATTTTCCCACCTCTAGGAGACTAGGACTGCCTTCCTCTTTGCCTTGTCCCTTTCTCAAAATGTACTGTTCTGGCCAGGCATGGTGGCTCATGCCTGTAATCTCAGCACTTTGGGAGGCCGAGGCGGGTGGATCACTTGAGGCCACCAGTTCGAGATCAGCCTGACCAACATGGCAAAACCCTAGTTCTACAAAGAAAAAAAAATTAACTGGGCTTGGTGGCAGGCACCTGTAACCCCAGCTACTTGGGAGGCTGAGGCAGGAGAATC
This sequence comes from Homo sapiens, assembly GCF_000001405.40. Classification (NCBI taxonomy): domain Eukaryota; kingdom Metazoa; phylum Chordata; class Mammalia; order Primates; family Hominidae; genus Homo; species Homo sapiens. The sequence goes on from NC_000009.12 coordinate 70,804,245, forward strand.
CCTTGAACTCAGGAGGCAGAGGTTGCACTGAGCCGAGATTGCACTACTGGGCAACAGAGCAAGACTCCATCTCAAAAACAAACAAAGAAACAAAACAAAACAAAACAAAACCCAAAAAACTACTGTTCTTTATTGGATATACTATGTAAGTAGACTTATAAACCACTGCTTTTGAACACATCCCTTGTGTGGTGTGCACTGCATGTGTTAATAAAGTTGTTTGTTTTTCTCTTTCTCTCATTAATTTCTTTTGTTATAGAGGTTTGTCTCAGCTACAAACTTACAAGGGTTAAAGAAAATTCTATTTTCTCCCCTTCAGTGCTCTCTCCCAGTTTCTCTGTTACCTCACTAGCTGCTCCTTCTTCCTCTTCTTTGCTATTTCCTCCTTACCTACCTGACGTCTGACACTAAGACTGTCCCAAAACTCAGTTCTTGGTTTCCTTTCCTCCCCTCCCCTTCCCTTCCCTTCTCTTCTCCCCTTGTCTTCCCCACGACTCTATTTGAAATTTCGGCTCCTACTCTGCACTCCCTTTCTGCCTTCTCTTCTTTCTATCTCTCCTTAGCCCTTACCACTATTCAATACACTATATATTTTACTTATTTTCTATCCCCTCCCCTGCAAATGCAAGCTCCGTAAAAGCAGGAATTATGCAGGCAACTTGTCTGACAGGGACTGCTGTGAAGTCCACCATGGCATGCTGAACCTGAAGCTGCTGAACTCTGCTGGCCAGTGATGCCAGCTGCAGCCAGGGTCCCACTGGTTTTACTTTAGCATGGGAGTACCAGAGCCACCCACTTTGCAGAGATCAAGCAAGCTTGGACAATTATTTTATCAGTGGTTACTTTGGCTGACAAAAGTTAAGAGGCTCTATCTTAACATTCCAAGTACTCTGTAAGCACGAGAGAAGGAGCATGATCATGAAAGAGAGGGAGAAGAGAGGCAGAGGAAGGAGGAGGGTGGGGTGAGAGAGAGACTGGGGTGGGGGAGGTGGTGGTGGGGGGAGACAGAGAGAGACAGAGAGACAGAGAGAGACAGAGAGACCTAATGAAGGTTAAGATTGACTTTACCTCACGAGGTCAGGAGATCGAGACCATCCTGGCTAACACGGTGAGACCCCATCTCTACTAAAAATACAAAAATTAGCCGGGCATAGTGGCGGGCGCCTGTAGTCCCAGCTACTCGGGAGGCTAAGGCAGGAGAATGGCGTGAACCCGGGAGGCGGAGCTTGCAGTGAGCCGAGATTGCGGCACTGCACTCCAACCTGGGCGACAGAGCCAGACTCCATCTCGAAAAAAAAAAAAAAAAAAAAAAAAAAAAGATTGACTTTACCACAAACCAGGTGGAAAGGGTCTTGGAATTGGGTTTATTTGAATAAAAGAAAATGTTTACCAAGTGACATTTCCTACATACCTAAGTTTATGAACAATAATTCATACACCCTATAAGAGTTCTTATTACTTGAATAATGAAAAAAATAAACAAAAGAAAACAAATCCTGCTTTACATGTGCAAAAATAGAATCTAAGAATGGAAATAGAAAGATGAAGTGAACTTTCTACTTCTCCCCAAACTCTTCATGCAGGCACACCATGTTTAATTGCTGCTTATTTCTCAGCCTCCCCCAGGATTTTATAATAAATTCTAACATGCACCAGAGTCAGTGTGCACTTCCTCTGTTCTCCCTTTGGGTGGAAGAAATGCTGCTAATGAGGAAGGGCTCAGCTCAGATTTGTTTGATGACCAGAAAAGCTGACTCTTCAATCTTCCTCCCTGTTTTAGCACAGGCACACCTGTTTTTTCACCCTGCCTCGTTCCAGCAGGAATTGCCCAGTACCCCATGTGAACCCAGCGACGCCAAGGCTCCTTAGCCAATGAGAGTTCTTCATTCTTCTGCCTGCGATTTAGGACTTGAATGTTTGCCTGCTGGGCTGCAGCACGTGAAACTCATTACGCAGCTTTGAAACCTGGCCTCCAACACAGAAGGAGAACAGCCTGTTCATGAGGAGAAGTGCTGTTTGTTTCAGCTATGGGTGCCAAAAAAGAAAAAAAAATCAACTGTTCCTTATTTGGCCATTTTAGGGCATAAAATCTCTGTTTTCCTCATTTGCCTCAGGGGCTCATGATCCTGAGCTGGGATCTTAAGGGGTTCAAGGTTAACAAGTTTTTGGCCGGGACGGTGGCTCACGCCTGTAATCCCAGCACTTTCGGAGGATGAGGCAGGTGGATCACAAGGTAAGGAGTTTGAGACCAGCCTGGCCAATATGGTGAAACCCAGTCTCTACTACAAATACAAGAATTAGCTGGGCTTGGTGGTGCACGCCTATAGCCCAGCTACTCGGGAGGCTGAGGCAGAAGAATCGCTGGAACACGGGAGGCGGGGGTTGCAGTGAGCTGAGATCATGCCACTGCACTCCAGCCTGGGTGACAGAGCTAGACTCCGTCTCAAAAATAAAATAAAATAAAATAAAATAAAATAAAAAGAAAAAAGTTTTTATTCTGTTAACAGCTATGACAACTTTATTAGTGACATCTGGGAGCACTATTTATAGTCATTTCCCAAGACTATATGAATGATTCTTCAGTTTTACATCCATTAGTTTCAATGACTTGACATGATCTAAATAATAATTTGAAGAGACAAATAATTATAAATCCTAAGAAGGGACTTTGAAGGGTCCTATGATAAAGTCCCTGGTTTTAAGATGATTATCTCAAGCAAATTAAAATCTCAGCTCACTTTTCTTTAAGATCCCCAGGGAATGAGACACCTTATCTTCCCTAAATATATCTCACTATAAAACTGTTGATCATGGCAGAAAACTGCTCGGTCAGCATAAGTTTTCCCATTAATTTTATGTGTGTCTAACTTTCTAAAGTTAGCCATGCACTTCTACTAAATGGAATGATCCTGATCTGGACTGAAAAGCAACCATGGGCAATTATCATTTTGAATAAATGGAGGAAAATCAATAGTTATTTCTTTTTCCATGGAAATGGAAATACTGAGGCCACGGTGCACTGGCTGCTGTAAAATATGTATCATTAGACTCTCTAAATTCATAAGATATAAATGATTTACAACAATCATAATTCAACAGGAACACAGTCAACTTTCTCAGACTAAATGCTTTTATGCCCATGAATTGGAAGTATGCATGATGGTCTTTGCTTGTACATGTTGCTATTTATTTATCCTGAGTCTTTCTATGTCATTATTGCTTTATGATTTGTCCTTTTTTATAGCTTTTTAGTATCTAGTCGCTTCTATTACATCTTTGTGTCAGGTTGAAAATCAGAGCTAAAAATAAAGCCAGGGAAATCAAACAGTGATGCTTATAATAACAAGTTATTGAGCACCTACTTGCATAGGCTAGGCACTATGCAAGGTTTTCAGAATGACCACAATGAATAAGACACAGGCTGTGCTCTATAGGATCTCACAATCTACAGAAGATGAGAGACTGTGAAGGCAGATGGGAGACTATGAAGGCTCCATTCTACCAAAAGGAGCTGTATGTGGGAGAGGCTGATATAGAGCACAGCAAGAGCATGGAGGATGAGGTGAATGTGGGCCCAGGAGGATACCAGGGTATGAGCTGGAGGGAATACTAGGGATGGGAGTTGTGGTAAGATTACAGAGAGGAGAAGATTTTTAATCTGAGACTTGAAGGAATTTAGGTTTTGGCCAGGTAGTTAGAGTGAGAAGAGAATGAAATTTTAGTAAATGTCAGAAAGAGACAAAACCACATCCAGTAGGGTATATCATTTAAGGGAAACTGTAAGTATCTTGAAATGGATGGGACATACGATCTACATGGTGTTATGTTAGGAGAAGCTATAAAAACAGATGAAAAATATGAAAGGTAGTTAGCAATGAAATAAGGAAGATATTGGGTTCCATCAAGATAACAGGTTCCTATGTTATGCTAGGAACCTATTGTATCTGACCAACAACAGTAAACATTGCTGACTTTGAGACCAAAATGCCAGTCAAACATTGGCAACCCAAATCTTTCTAATCTGAAAAGGGAGCTCAAAATTCTTCCCTGAATGTAAAAGTGTCTAAGAAGTCTTAGAATGGTGGACAGCTCTCCTGTTGGGACCTACTTGTTTACAAGAACTATCCCAGTCCCTGAACAACTAATTCCAATGTAGAAAAGTCTCTTTGCTGAAAAAAGGGAGGTCTTTAGCTTGAATAGGAAAATGGGTGAGATAAACATGACAAGTCAATACCAAGAAACCAGTTTCGCTAAAATTTGCTCTGTTCCCTCAAAGTTATTTTTTTGGCTTCATTATTACCTTTATTGACAAAGTAACTTTTCATTAACAAGCATGACAAATATTTCAGTTACACAGCCAACTGTGTCAAGTCGTTTCATATAATGAAAAAGCAGGGATATAGATTGTGTTGTTTATTCCTCACAAATTATTCTTTAGAGGGAAGACCCTCTAAAAGGCGGAGAAAGCTTTAAACATGTTTACTTGACAGCACCTGAAAAATGATGTCATTACAGTCTAAAGTGAACTGATCATCAATTTGGTATTTGTGTTTTGGAAGGCCTTTCCCTTGACTGTTTGAGGCAGTAGAAAGTTTGCATGATTGGGCTGAACAGATTGTAGCACCCACAGAAGGAAATAAGATGTTCTTGATATACAGTCATGTGTTGCATAATGACACTTTGGTCAATGACAGACCACAAATACAATGGTGGTCCCATAAGGTAGTAATAGAGCTGAAAAAGTCCTATCACCTAGTGACATCTTGATGATTCTGACCCTGTGCAGGCCTAGTTTAATGAGTGTGTTTGTGTCTTCATTTTTAAGAAAAAAGTTTAAAAAATACAAAGATAAAAAATTTTAAAGACAGAAAAAAGCTCATAGAATAAGCAAATGAAGAAAATATTTTTGTATAGCTGCATAATGTGCTTATGTTTTAAGCTAAGTATTATTGCAAAATAGTCTAAAAGTTTTAAAACGTTAAAAAGTTTACAAAGTAAAAAAGTTACAGTCAGCTAAGGTTAATTTAGTTTTGAAGAAATAAAATTTAAAAAATAAATTTAGTATAGCCTAATTATACAGTGTTTATAAAGTTTACAGTAGTATACAAAAATATTCTAGCACTCACTCAGTGACTCACCCAGAGCAACTTCCAGTCCTGCAAGCACCATTCATGGTAAGTGCCCTATTAAGGTGTACTATTTGTATCTTTTATACTATGTTTTTATTGTGTCTTTTCTATGTTTAGATACACAAATACTTACCATCGTGTTACAGTTGCCTACAGTATTCACTACCACATAGTAACATGCTATACAGGTTTGTAGCCTACAAGCAATAGGCTATACTATATAGCCTAGGTGTGTAGTAGGTTATACCTTCTAGGTTTGTATAAGTACACTCTATGATGTTCATGACAAAATCACCTAATGATTCATTTCTGAGGATATAGTAACCCCATCGTTAAGCAATGCATGACAGTATATGTAACCTGTCCAGGGGAATCTTTGCTTCCTTTTCAAGTCACATGGTTTGGACCCAGAACTATTAGTCTTTGAGAGTATATTTCACTCCTTCCTAATTCCAGAGCTGCTTGGATGAAGTTCTACTATGACCTTTAACATACAGTGTTTTTCATCTCTCTTATGGGACAGTTATGGGCCCAATGATGGAAAATTTCATGTCATGGTTATCCCAATGCATTTGATGATGGTGCAATGATCAAAAAAGATGCCAGTGATGACAATTGAACGTCCCTTTGCCTTCCCAGCCTCCTTCATATATTCTCAGGCATAGGATGACAAAGGGAAGTCCACGAGTCACATGAAGAAAGACTGTAGCCATGGGTACGCGATCAGGAAGTCCTCTGCTTGCCTCCACCCCCACCCTCCTTTCCATCACCCTGTCCTATGGGTACATGATCAGGAGGTCCTCTGCTTGCCTCCACCCCCACCCTCCTCTCCATCACCCTGTCCTATGGGTACATGATCAGGAGGTCCTCTGCTTGCCTCCACCCTCACCCTCCTCTCCATCACCCTGTCCTGTGGGTAAATGATCAGGAGGCCCTCTGCTTGCCTCCAACCCCACCCTCCTCTCCATCACCCTGTCCTATGGATACACGATCAGGAGGTCCTCTTCTTGCCTCCAACCCCACCCTCCTCTCCATCGCCCTGTTCTATGGGTACATGATCAGGAGGTCCTCTGCTTGCCTCCATCCCCACGCTCCTCTCCAGCACCCTGTTGTATTTCTTCCTAATATTGTTTCTCCACCATCTTGCAACTAACCACCATCTTCTTCCCAAAGTTTTGCTTGATGACTCATTCCAACTGAATCAATGCTCAACCTATATTTGGCACAGAGTTGGTGCTCAAATAGTTGCTGAATGGAATAATGACCCTCAAACTCTCCAAGGTAACCAAACTTTAGGGGAGCCTTTTTAAAAAAATGAGATAATGCTTCCATGTGTAGGATGAAAGGAGAAAGTATTTTGGAATTATGTCAGCCTAGGTTTGCACCCAGCTGTGCCACTAATTGGATTTAAGGCAAAGGCTTAACCTCTTGGAGGTGCCATTTCATCAACTGTATAAAAGGAAGAAAATAATCCCTATCTTGAAGGGTTTTTGTGAGTATTAAAAGAGATAGTATATATGAAAATGCCTAGCATGGTGCTTGGAACCTAAATAAATGCTCATTCCCTCCTAGTAGTATCCCAATAGTGCCGTCAAGCTGTCCTATATGGTATCTTTAGGATGATAAATAATAGGGAGTAACTAATTTCTGATGTGGTTGAATGTCAGAAGAGATAGAGATAAAACAACAGTCATAGGGAGTGATACTGTTAGGAAATTATAAAGGAAATGAAGACTTCTGTGGTTAATTTCTTGGAGTTTAAGAAGAAATTCACATTTTCCATTAATTATACTTACCAACTGAGTCTAACTGGCAACTACCCCAAAATGAATAAAACAAGCGGGAGTCAAGAGAGAAAAACGGCAGGCATCCTGTCAAAAAATAAAATCTTTGAAATTTCTACACCCTGTGGTTGCATACACATTTTATTAAAGCAGATGGATTACCCAATTTACATAAATTTATATACGTGATGGCAACTCAAGTTGCACAGTGAAACCTATGTAGAGCATCATCCAGCCCTTCTGCACCAGCTATATCTTGTCTTATCACTCCTTCAACTGGACAGGTCCTTAAAAATCATAGCTCTTTGCTGGAGGAAGTATCATTCTTTATTCTCTTCCAGCCTAGATAGCTTCTGTGGTGTGGAAAGGGTCAAATGAGTTAATATCTGTTAAGTGCTTGTACTGATGCTTAGAACTTAGTAAAACCTCAAGAAATCTTAGTTGTTGTTATATTAATTATAATGATAATTATGAATCTTCCAATTCTGTGTTTTCCAGGAGACGATAGGAATTGAATTCTTTCCTTCCCTCCTTTTAATAACATTTTCCTGATTTCTAGAGAAATAAGTGTTCTAGTTTCAAGTGTTTAGCTACTTTTGACTTAAAAGAACTATCCATTTAGAGGCTAATCTACCCAGTTTCTTTTCTTTTCTTTTTAAAAGAGGAATTGAAACAAAGCTAACATGTTACTCAACATGCATAATATTATTAATTGGACTGATTCCTCTTTCTCTCTCTGGCCAAGGTATAGATATAAATATATCTACATCTATGACTATGTCTACATATCTTCCAAAAAAGTCATCAAAACCATTTCAGTATAATTGGCAGGTTTCCTACCAATTTGGTTATTGTTTCCCAAACTAGGAGATAAACTTAATGGTAATATCATATTTCTGGAGTTGCTAAGCAAGCTAGCCTTTGGTCAGATGGTCTCAGAGGAGGACCCCATGAGTATGAACAGCTCTGCTCTGCCTTCATTTTGTTCCTTCCTTAGAGACAGCATTAAGGGAAGATCCCAAATCCTCAAGTTAGATCTCTAGACCCTAGCTTCCTAGGATCAAGCTAGACTTTGAGAGCAGCCTCACTTGTGGCAAATATTGGGAAGTAGGAGTTTGGCAGCTGGTAGCTGGCTGGTGAGAGGCATGTAGGAACTCACCCACTTTTCATGAAACATCAACATCACTTGGTTATATGTCAGCACCCATACCCTGGCAAAGCTGCCTTCTCATAAGAATGTACTCACTGGGGAAAATGCAAAGCAATATCACTTGAAGCACAGCCTCTAAGGGTTGGTTCCTCTGGATTCTCAATAGTTTGTAAAATGGCCAACCAAGAGCAACTACTGTACATTTTCCAGAGAGTTCCTAATTAATGTGTTTCTGAGGACATAAATTCGGCTTTTAAGCACATACTCCCCAGGCCATTCTAGCACTGTGTATGGCAATTAGACTGCTGGCTTAATACTATCAGCAAAGTTTCAAATAGACAACACCACAAACCCTCCTGGAAATTTAGCACAAGCACTTGTTAATGGAACCAAGCACAACATTGGCTTAGCTATGTCTTTCCTGCAGAGTGAATGGCATGCTGGTATTTTCAGCTTCTTTTTCCCCCATTTATCAAACTCTAATGAAAAAAAATTAAGTAATACTTTAGTGAAGGTCAAGTGGGGTGAGATTAGTGGTACTATGGTTAAAAATGGAAATCTCTGGATAGCAGGTATGTGTTATGTCCGCAAATTGTCTCAATATTTTCTTAATTACCTTTCAGGACACAATAGAAAAAAATGGTCTTAAGGGGGAAAATTAGGAATAAAAAGTGAAACTAAGGTAGTGACACAAGGCTGGGCAAAGAAGAGCAGACAAGGAGTTTAGAGTTCAGGTTCAGATAAAAGCTCTACCAAGGTAATTCACGTAATGAATTTAGTCAGAACACGTGACTGTGATTTTTTTTACAAGTGGCTTTCCTATCTGCAAGATGAAAGCAATGCGCTAAGTGATGCTCATTGTCTGAATTCCTGTAGCACTTTATATTACTAAAGGGCACTTAACATCTACTGCTTTGTACTATTCACAATAGCAAAGACATGGAATCAACCCGGGTGCTCATCAGTGGTGGATTGGATAAAGAAAATGTGATACATATACACCAGGGAATACTATGCAGCCATAAAAAAGAATAAAATCATTATGTCCTCTGTAGCAACATGGATATAGTTGAAGTTGGAGTCATTATCCTAGGCAAATTAACATAAAAACAGAAAACCAAATATCACAAATTCTCACTTATAAGTGGGGGCTAAATCTTGGGTGCATACAAACATAAAGACAGAAATAATAGACACTAGGGACTCCAAAAGGAGGCAGGGGCTGAAAATCTTCCTATTGAGTACTGTGTTCATTATCTGGGGTGATGGGATCAATAGAAGCCCAAACCTCAGCATCATGCAATATACGCTTGTAACAAAACTGTACCTGCACCTCCCGAAACTAAAATAAAAATTAGAGAAAAAAAACACTTGCTGCTTTATAATGCAGCTCTTTGCATACAGAGAGGCTGTAGAGCACAGTGGTTGAGGCATGGGCTAAGAGGCATACTTCTTGAGCGTGCTATTTACTAGCAGTCTGACCTTGTGCCTCTTTGTGCTTCATTTTGTTTCTGGTAAATGGGAGTAATAAAGGTATCCCCTTAAGGGTTGTCATAAGAACTAAATCAGTTATTTCTTGTAAATTGTTTACAATAGCACTCAATCAACACTAGTTGTTATTAACTTATTTGTAAGACTAAGCTCTTCAAGTATACAGCTATACCTTATTTATCTTGCTACCCCTACAGTGCCTTGAGCATTACAGATGCACCAGCAAATACAGTAGAGAAAGCGCTTAATAAAAAGTACTGTCAAGAGAAGATATAACAGAGAGCAGTCACAATTTATTTTAAATAACAGATATTTTGAGTTCTTATTTTTGCCACATCTTAAAAAGCTGAAGAAGTTTGACATGTGTTTAGCTTCCACATGAGGTGTCTTAGAAGTTCAGTGGGGTGGAGTACAGAGAGAAGCACGTTTTTCATGGTGAGCACACAGACAATATTGACCGTGAAACCAGCGGTATATGAGCTGCACCATAACGGGTTGTAGGACACTGGGGAAAGGGAGCTGGACTTTGGGGTGCCTAGGAACATGATGAAGGAGCACGATGGACAATTTTAGCTCCACTAGATTGTTCTCATGATATGGATGTAAACATGGGACATTTTCAGTATCTCCAATATAATAGTATATCTGGCTACAGCTAAGAATTGGGAATACACCTAGGCTTTTAGTCATTCACCAACCCTAAAGGGGTAAAATAATTTTGATTCTGATTTCAGCCATTATAAAATGTAAGCATCAAATGTATTACATTGGTCTCATCAGTTTTATACACATCCTTTATATGTGATTTGAAAATACTGTTCTCTCTAATGTCCTTAACCAGCCTCTCTTATGTTTCCTGACCTGACTCTTTCCTTTTGTTTTAAAAGGAGAAGCGGATTGCCAGAAGTAAGCAAGAGAAAAGAAGGTATGTCAAACACAGCTGTGGGGGCACTTGACCCACAGGTCAAGAATGATATCCATACCCTTGAGGGAGAAAGGCACCCAACTCCTAGGCCCTGTGAATAGACTACTTTCAAAGGTTTTCTTCCCTTCCCTCTCTCCCTTCCTGCTTCCCTCCCTCTTTCCCTCCCTCTTTCCCTCCCCCTCCCTTCCTTTCCTTTTCTTTCTTTTTTCGTTATAAAAGCAATATTTTCTCATTGTAAAAAACAACATCAAGCAATTTTTAAAGGTATAAAGTGAAAAGTGTCACTCCCTGTATTTTTTCTCCCACCTCAAGTCTCACTCCCTGGAAACTGTAACTAATCAATGTTCACCTGTGTCCTTTCAGGTATTTTTATAAGTATATATATGTAATTTTAAGAAAATATAATATGATTATACTGAACATACAGTTGTACTATGTACAACTTTTAACTTGAGAAAAGAACAAACATACCCTTGAATATCTTTTATGTGAGCCCAACAGCGGTATTACATTATTCACAATGATTTCAGAATATTTCACTATATATTGACATATAATTTGTTTAGTTGCTTACTGATGAATCTTTAGGCTATTTCCATTTTATTACTGTAAACAATATTGTGGTAAATATATGTAAAATGAATTCCTAGAAGTAAAATTATGGGGCTAAAGGGTACATATATTTCATATTTAATAGGGGCAGCCAAATTGTCTTCCAAATAAGACTGCGCTATTTATGCACCCACAATAAATGTGTAAGTACATATTTCTATATATACATAATGACACTCAATATTTTTAATCTTTGGCTTTTGCCAATTTGATAGGTTAAAAAATTGTTTTAATTTTCATTTATTCAATTATGAATGAGGTTGAGCACTTGTATTTTCTTTCCTATGATCTTCCTGCGGATAGATTTTGCTCACTTTCCTATAAGGATTTTAATATTTTTCTTTTTGATTTGTAGATACTCGGCATATTATGGAAATTAGCTCTTTGTCATTGTTGTGAATATTTTCTTTGCATTGCCACTTGTCTTTTGCATTTGTTCACTGTATTTTCTAATAGGGTTTTTTAACAGTTAGTTTATTTTTCTATGGAAGCTTAGCTTGTGTGAATGAAAAAGTTACAATAGCTATGAGTTTGATATTATGAAATGATGGAGGAAAAAGATGTTAAGCCAGAAGCTGAGCCAAGAAATTGTTTTACAAGAGTACAGCGAGAGAAAAGTCAAGGTTTATTTTCAAAGTGCTTGCTTGTGGTTTCACTAAATCTGTAAGACAACAGATACTCCTAGGCTTTGTTCACTTAACAAGATGGAAAGGAAATCTCAGCTGTCTATAGAGCTACCATTTAGGTTTCATTGAATAATGCAAACTAGAATTATATGAAAAAAACTAACTAGAGTTGGATTCTCTGTATCTTGATCTCTAAAACAAAGTGACCCAGTTCACTATTTATTGAGAGAACTCTAGCTAGTAATTATCTTTTCATAATTGCCATCAGCAAACACATCCAATTATATATTTACTGGCATTCCAAAGGCGTCAAGAGCCCTTCAGGACTGTCTGTATCTTGCCAAATCATTAGTTATCACTTAGGTGTTATTAAAGTATAAGAATGTCAAGTTAGATAATTGGTGTAAGAATCCTTTAAATCCCTCACAAACCCATCTGCTCATCAGAGCCTCCTAAAATGTTTCAACAGAGTCAGAGGATGGCTGCTTTTATTCCCTGAGACAGGTCTCTTGTTCTTTTCCCCCAAGAGGGCCAAGGCCCAGTTATAACCTTTTTTTTCCAGGATAGATTTGAGAGGCTGGCCAACCTCCATTCTACCACCTGCTGCCAAGATTACTGGCATGTGTAGATGACATTAGAATTATCTTCCAGGATTCATCTTAGAAGCATTAACATCAAAAGTACAGTGTCATAGAAACACTTCTATTTATTTTTAATATTTTGGAACTTAAAATGTTACGAAATGATGTGTAACAAAATATGTGGTAAAGGATCCATTAGAGAATGCACATGCATTAATGCATGGTGCTGCATATGCGATTATTATTTTGAGGCTAAGGGGATCTGTTTAGGTTTGTTAACTTAAAAAGTTAACTAAACCAGGATGGTCTAAAATAATCCATATCTTTTTAGGCAGTTTGTCTTAATCTGATTTCCACAGCTAGTGCAAGACTTATCACTAAGAAGCTCACAGGTAAAGAGCAAAAGGGCAAGATATGACTTGCAGCTGCAGGAGCTATTTATGAGTGAGGTTCTTCAATGAGCACGTTAGAATACACAGACATATCTTATTTATGAGTGGCAGATAAATTTTATCTCATGTGCCAACTCCAGCCAACTCTTAATGACCATCTGTCTCTCAATATCTAGTCTTCCTTTCCTTCATACTGATAGGATTTTAGCTGGCTATGCATTTGTCCAGGATAAAGACTACATATTTCTAATCACCTTTTAGTAAGGTGTTAGCATGTGACAAAATACTGACACATAAGATGTGAGCTAAAATGGTGTGTGTGACTTCCTCACTGTGCCTTCGAAAGGAAGGGCAGGGCCTCCCCTTGCTCTTTTTTCCTGATTGCTTCTGGCCAGAATGTAGATGTGACAGTGGGCTCTCATGGACCATGCAAACAGGAATGCCAGAGCAAAGGAGATGAAATGAGTCCTCACAGGAGTGAGGCACCCACATCAGAGCTGAACTCATGTTCAGAGTAACATATGAATAGGAAAAATTCCTGTCTCATTGAAGCATCTATTATTTTGAGTCATTGTTACTGAGGCAGAACCTGTGTCCTAACTAAGGCTTTATGGTTATAAGGTGTATCGAGATTCAGCGGGGAAAGTGTCATGCTAGGTTGGCAGTGTTGGGTAAGAGACCGGAAGATCTCCTGCCAATCTAATCTCTTACTACATGAATACACAAGTTACTCCAAAATGGAAAACTCCCCAGAAGAAATTCTCATTAGAAACTCATACCTAACTTTTGTCATCTTCCTATCTCTCTGTGCTACTACAGACCACCCAGTCTTGGCCTCTCTTTATTTAGTATAAATGCAAATAAATGAGACTTATCTAACCATCATAATAAGAATAAAAATAAATATGTCATATTTATTATATATTGTTTATTCATATATATAATCTTTAAAAAAAGCTTCCCAGGAAACTACATGTTTATTTCAATCATGTTGACGTTACTAAAATATTTTTGGTTTTTTTTGGAACTGTTATTTCTGTTATAATAAAGTGACTGGGTCAAGTCACTTAAACTTTTTTGAACATTTGTTGTGCACAACATTAACGTCAGTGTTGGCGTCAGAGACATTGGTAAATTTATTGAGGATGTCAGTGGTGCTCGCTAGATAACCTCTGTCAGATTCCCATGACAAATTGTCTTCATCATTTAACAAGAGAAAACTACTAACACATATAGGGTTTTTACTATATAGTCCAGGGAAATGAAAGACATATGCCAGAAATGGAATGTGAATTTTTGAAAAGCATGATTCATGAATTTATTCATTCACTCAAGATTTATATTAGCCCCCTGGCCTATTTTCAAAATAATTCTCAGTAATTTATAGATTATATGTTAGAGTTCTCTTTGCATTCAATTTAGTAACTCTTTATTCAGCTAGAAACTTGATTTATTAAATGATATCCTGGGCAATGCCCTCGAGTTAGAAGGCTGTCCAGAGACCCGCAGGTAAAGCGCCCACATTTCTGGGCCCTTGCCTCTCCCCAAAGTCAGCTAATAACTGTGGACTGTAGGATTTCTCTGCGCATCAAGGACTCTGACAGGAAGGTGCTCAGCTTTGAGCACATTTCTGGAGTCCCTTAGCCTGAAACATATAAAGCAGTGGTGCTAAGAGTGGGTGCGGCCGAATTGGAAATTCTGATCTAATTTACTTCATGAGTTAGTTCTGCCTGTTAAGCAAGTCAGTGTGTCTCTTCCCATGAAAAACAGCCTCCTACAGCTATAATGGAAGAAGGTCAATTTAAGTATATTTAGTTTTCAAATATGCTGAGAGCTCTAATACAGACAATGACTTTTGTCCTCATCTGGGAGAGAACAGGTTTAAGATTCAGTGCAAGTGAAATTAGATATGAGGAAGAACTTCCCAATAGCAAGTGGCATTAGGATTTGAAGGAGGTACCAGGGCTGATGTCCGGCTTGCTGTGGATTTAGGACGCCAGAGCCTTCACAGGTTTGTTAAATACATATTTTGAATCTCACTGCCATTCACTAGTAACATTTCCTCTACATATGTCTTTACACTTGTATAGGCTACCTTAGAAGGGTATGGTCTTGACAAGTGAGGAGAGGGTTATGGGAAAGATTTAGAAAAAACAAAAAGAAAACTCAGGGTAACATGCTCCGAGTAGTGTTTCCTAAGAGATGCTGTTGGTATCTGGGCCAGGCGACTCTTCATGTGAGACTGTCCTGCATATTGTAGGATGTTAACATTCCTGGCCCCTCTCCCATGCCATTAATAAGCACCAGAAATTGTGACAACCCCAAATCCCACCTCTCACATTTTAAAATGTCTCCCAGGGGAGGCACATAATCATAGATATATAGGTGTGTTGGCTTAGGAACTTTATAATAAAACATATTTTTGCAGATATTTCTAAATACCAATATCCTCAAATACCAAATTTGATTATATTTTATGAATCCAGCAATCCTTTCTGCTACTTGTTTACTTAGAAATGCTAAGCCCAGTTTAATCTGCTGCTTTAGAGAAAGGTACTCTAGGTGGCTTCAACAGATGAGACCACACTCAAATGTCAGATATTACTATAGGGTAAAGAAAAAAACAGAGCTTCAAATTCTTCTCCAAGCAAACTTTGAAAGTAGCAAAAGCACTGGTTATGGAAATCAAAACCTACCCAGACACTCCATCAATTAATATTGCAAAATAGGTATATCTGTAAGGTCTGCCATGGGGAAATAATCCCTTAGACTAGATTACATATGACATAGATTTCACTTTCAAGTAGGGAGATAACAAAGTCAGAAAATTCTAGCCTCATAATGAAATTTCCTATACCCAAGGTTGATGTTCACAATATAATCAGATGTGCAATCCAAATAAAGTTTCCATTCGGCCTAACCTAAAATATAATTCAAAGACAAAGGAATAACACCTCAATCAAATGGAGCCTGAAGACAACTAGATTTCTGTCCTCTTCTTCTAATTTTTTTGAATAAAATGGTAAATCACAAGAAAAAATCTGATATTGACTCAAATCTAATATTTCAAAATATAGTCTCGGTCAATTCATATTCAGCTCAAGTTCCTACACCTCCAACAAGTCGAGTACTCAAAAATCCTAGTGCCATTTATGACTACTCTAAGACACTGATACAGCTTGGATTTTTAAAGAAAGCTTAATTTTTCTCTATTATTCTCTGTTTACTGAGGCAGGAGGGACAACTACAGTTTAGAATATATTTCTTATTGCTGCAGTGACTAAGAAATTAAATTACTCTGTAACAAATAATAGAGGCATAATGATATGCAGCACAATCTAATTTTAAGCCTCCACTTTTCCCTTTGAACCTTTCTGTAACTAAAGAGAGTATAAGACTTCTCTTTAACAAGCAGAGCCAGGTTATGATTTGTTATAGGACTTTTTTTGTTTGTTTGTTTGTTTGTTTTTGAGACAGAGTCTCGCTCTTGTTGCCCAGGCTGGAGTGCAATGGTGAATTCCTGACCTCAGGTGATCCGCCCACCTTGGCCTCCCAAAGTGCTGGGATCACAGGCGTAAGCCATTGCGCCGAGCCTGTTATAAGACATTCTGATGAACACCTTGGGCTCTGATGGGCTTTGAGAGAGAAGGTCCAAGTCTCAGGTTGGAACCTATGGCAGTGAGGCTGTGTAGACATGGCACATGGCACTGAACCGCCAAGAAGGCAGGAAAGGAATCAATGTTTTTGAACTGCCACATGACAGAATCATATCTCGACTCCTTTAATCACAACGACTCCTTTAATCACAACTCCATCTGTAAGCTAGGGAATTGTTATCCCTAGCTTACAGATGGAGAAATAAAGTCAAATACGGTAACTTGCCCAAGGTCACAGAGCCCTGACAATCTCAACTCCCAGGCTACCTGCCACTGTTACTTTATGTCACTAGCAACAGACAAAGACTTCCTCTTCTCCCAAAAGTTATACTCTTCTCTTTAAACCCTTAAAAGAAAGTCACAATTGCTGAAGATCTTTCTAATCTTGAATTCTAAGAATTGCAATGTAATATTCATTTTAAATAGTTTTTGGCTAGCTGAAAGTCGAATTTGCAACCAGAAAAGATGACTGTTAAATCTTTAAGATAAATTTCAGCATACAATAGTGTATTTCTTAATTTTTATTTTTTGAAAGAATTGTTAAAAAATTCTTAGACTAATATTTGCCATGATGCTGCTACTGAGTTAAAGAAATATTTTTAAGATCTAGCCTATGTGTGGCCAACATTGGTTTAAAAAATGCTTTTGTACTGAAATATTTATAAAGGAAATGATACGCTGTCTGGATTTCCTTCAAAATTATTCAGAGGTGGAAGTAGGTGGGTATATGGATAGAGAAAACAAGATTGGCCCAGGGCTGATAAATATAGAGGCTGGATGATAGCTGTAGGGTGGCTATAATAACATTTTTTAATAATAACAATTTTATAAGATTTTTAAATTCTTATCAGGATACATAGATGCTACTTTCTGGAGTAGTCCCTTGGTATCCACTCTTTAAGCTAACACATGTTTATTAAGCAGCTACTATGTTTCCAGCAATATATTAAGTTGGTCGAACTTATATAAATATCTGAACAGTAAAATAAATATTAAAAATTATTTATTATGAACCTGTTTACTTAAACACTTTCAAGGTGTGAGTCACTTTTGATAATTTACTTAACCATCTCTCTGTACATCAGTCTACTCTTTTAGATTAATGATTTTATGTTCTTTTAAATGTCAGGCATAACATTTTTTTCATTCATAGACACTGATGGTACTTTAGGGATACAGATATACAGAGAATAAATCAGTTTCTTTCTCTTGCTTCTCCATCTCTCTTTCCTACTTGCCAGGTAAAATCCCAGATTGATGCCTATTCTACCACTGTAACTGAACATGGCTGGAAAAAACCATACAACTCTGATGATTCATGCTGCTTTAAATTTACAACCACAAATACCAACTGTGCTGCATGAGAATTCTAAATTTTCCTAGTCTGTTCATTCTCCCAGTCTCTAAACTGACTGTAGTTGTTTTCTGTCCCTAATCTTCAACACCTTCTCCTCTTACACACTCCTAGCCAATAAGCTCCTGTATTATTTTATGTAGATATAGAAGCTATGTTTAGAGAATCACCTTATCTTTCCACCAGAAAGTGTCCCTTCCTACCCACATCTGTGCCCGTAATTCTCTGCTTTTCCTCCTGTTCTTCATTTGTGCATGTTCTTTATTTCTGCGTGGAATCTCACCGCTTCTCAAAAACTTTGTACAAATTCCCTAGAGACTAGTCCTCAGTCCCTTTCTTTTCTGTAAACACTCCTTAGGGGCTTTCATGTTGTCCCATTGTTTTAAGGACACAGTGGTGTCTCAAAGGATGACCATGCATCACTCTTGAAGTGTCTATTCCTTATCCTGAATGCTCAATTCAATAGCAAGCCCTCTTGAGCTCTATTTTCAAAATATATCTTAGGACAAAGATTTTATAATGCCATTTATATGAGGTACCTAAAATAGGCAAATGCATAAAGATAGAAAGTAGAAGAGTGGCCACTAGGGGTTGGGGGAGGGGGTAATGTGTAATGGGGAGTTAGTGTTTAATGAGTACAGAGTTACAGTTTGGAATGGTGAAAACGTTCTGGAGATGAATGGTGGTGATCATTGCACAAAAACAATGTAAATATATTTAAGGAAACTGAATTGCACACTTAAAAATCATTAAAATGGTAAATTCTAGGTTATGTATATTTATTTTACCACAGTTTCAAAAACAAAGATTTGTCTTGTGTGTGTGTGTGTGTGTGTGTGTGTGTGTGTGTGTTCCCCAAAGTAAGTCCCCTGGTATTTGGGTCTGTGCCTCTCTCCTACTTCGTACTCCAGACTTCTCCCTAACTGGGTCCTTGCTTGTCAATATGCCCATGTGTCACTACCCACCTTGATAATCTAGCAAGGGCCCGGTGTTTTCATGAATGGGATGTGATGTGTCCCTGACAATCTACCCCAAAACTAGCATCTGATGGTGGCTTCTCCAGCATCTCTGGCATCCTGACCATCTGCCGTGGCCTGCTCTTCAGCTCTGCACTGCTGGCCTCTCCTCCTCACGGAGGCTAGGCTGCTGCCCATGAGCCTCTCTGGGCTTCCCCTGCAGTGCTCCCCCCGACCCCACGCACACACACATACACACACACGCAAAATCCAACCACTTTCTACTACCTCCACTGCTGCCATCCTTTTTCAAACCAGTTATCTCTCACCTGCATTATTGCAATAGCCTCCTGAAGGCATTTCCTTGTTTTTAATCTTGCTCTCTACCTCAGTCTAATCTCTACGTACTATAGCAGAGTGATGTTTTAAATAATTAGGGAGACCCTGTAATGTCCCAGATCCAGTCTTGGTTAGAATAAGCTCCAACTCTTTACCAAGCTTTCCCCCGCTCCTCACTGAACACCTGGTGGCTTAGTTCCTGCTTTCACTCTCCACAGAATGCTCTTTCACAGCCAGCCGCTTGCTTCATTCAGGTTGTTGCATAAACGATACCTCCTCATAGAGGTCATTCCTGATCACCTAATAGAAACTGTCCTCCCAATGCACACGTGTGCATGCACACAAGTGCACTGATAGATGCTTTACTCTGCTTTATTTTTCTCGAAAGCACTTTTTAAAAACTATCGGCCATCACACAGTTAGTCATTTTCTTACTTATTACTATGGTTGCCCCCCTTGATGTAAGCTCAATGAATTGTTAATTGTTGCTATTCTAGACCTTAACCATGACTGGTACTTAGTAGGAATTCGATAAGTATTTACTTACTAAAGGAATGACTGAAATTGTTCCTTGCATATTAAATTTGAAGTTTAAAAAACTGTAGATGGAAGAGCATTGTGAGGCAGGTAACTGCTCATGTCTGAAAGGCTTCTCTTTTATAAACAAAGCCCATCACTAACTGATGATGATGTTTCAGTCCTGACTGTTGGCTGTAGGAATGCAATGGGAGAGGAGGGACAATGAAAGTCAGAGTGTGGAGAAAAAGGTCAAACACTGGTGCTTGGAGTATGTTTTCAGTGATCATTGCCATGTTGATGAAAAAGCATTTATGAGTCTCCTGAACAGGATTCATTTAATGTTTAGGGGAAATATTCTTCAGAAGATTATACCATTTATGTAAGAAAACAGGCTCGTTGATAGGATACTACAGTATGCAGGTCACCCCTAAGTGATGAGGGGGAATGGAACTTTAGCAAGGAAATGCTGAGGGGCGTTCATACCTCCCTGGGGCCATCCTGAGTGTAAGAGGTGGTAGACACTGTTATTGTGGCATAGTGTTTCATTTTCAGGAAATTGAATTACACATTTGTAAATTAGATTTCCTAAACATCTGAAGCAGGAAATGAAAAAGTAAATGGAATTTTTAGGATAAACTTATGGAATAAAATTTTATCCTTTTAATTTTTTTATTTTATTTTTTTTTTGAGATGGAGTCCTGCTCTGTCGCCCAGGCTGGAGTGCAATGGCATGGTCTCGGCTCACTGCAACTTCCGCCTCCAGGGTTCAAACAATTCTCCTGCCTCAGTCTCCCGAGTAGCTGGGATTACAGGCACCCGCCACCATGCCCAGCTAATTTTTGTATTTTTAGTAGAGACGGGGTTTCACCATGTTGGCCAGGCTGGTCTCGAACTCCTGACATCGTGATCCACCTGCCTCGGCCTCCCAAAGTGCTGGGATTACAGGTGTGAGCCACTGTGCCCGGCCATAAAATTTTATTTTTAAAAGGAAGAACCACAAAGTGTCCATGTTAGAAAGTAGATTTGCTGTTCTAAATTGCTGACTGAGGATTGCATTAAAGGTTTGTATTCTTCTGCCGTTTTTCATGTTAAGACCAGGTCCGCTTTTTGCCTGTCTTTGTGTCTTTGTCAGTGCTGTTCTAGAGGCCTTTGTGTTCTCAGTGAGCATTTTTTGCTGTTAATTGAATGGAGACCTCAAAGGTCCTGCTTTACCTACTTCAAAGAGCCTGGGTCACTCCCTACCCTCTAAGGAGCTTGCTGCTCCATCCGACTTTGGGGGCTGAGTACAGTAATGAGGGAAGTTGACCTAATGACTTATGAGTCACTCTCTTGTAGGGCGACCCATTATCTCAGTTTGCCCAGACTGAGGGGGCCCAGGGATTTGGGACTTTCACGGCTAAACCTAACAAAGTCCCAGGCAAACTGAGACAAGTTGGTCACCCTACCACTATTAAGTTCAGGGGTAGAACTGCTATAGGAGCTAACTCTTGACATTCACTACAGCTCATGCACAAATTCCTTACCTTGGGCCTTTTTACTTCCTGTGACTTCAGAATTTCTCTTGGGCTTTTATAACTCTCCTCTTACCATTTAATTATTAATATATTCACTGGAAGAGGAGCCTGTGGGTCTCTATGAAGCCACAAATACAGTCCCAAAAGTAAGTCCCGTGGTACCTGGATCCGTGCCTCTCCCCTCCTTTGTACTCTAGACTCCTGACGGGCCCCTGCTTGTCAAGTGCCCATGTGCCACTACCTGCCTTGATAATCTAGCAAAGGTTTGGTGTTTCCATAAATGGAATGTGATGTGTCCCTGATGATCTACCCAAGGACTAGTATCGGGTGGTGACTCCTCCAGCATTCCTGACATGCTGACCATCCACCGTGCCCTGCTCTTCAGCTGCGTGCTGTTGGCCTCTGCTCCTCAGGGAGGCCAGGCCACTGTCCATGAGCCTCCCTGGACTTCCCCTGCAGTGCCATCCATATATGCAGCAGCTCTCCCATTTCTGAAGAAAGTCACCCCTTCAGGCACGTACATTGCAAAAGGGTACTCCCTCTGGGATGATCAATTAGAAAAAGGAACCCCCTTCCTCTAGGCATTCTGGAAGGTGCCAAAGTTTGACTAAAACCTAGGCTCTGGCTGGGGTTTTAACTCCAGCTCCCATCCCCTTTGCTGGGTGTGTAACTTACACGAACACATCCCTAGGCCTGCTACCCACACTACTGGCTAACCAGCCCAGCTGCCACCAGGGCCTGCCACAATGACATGCTTTGCCTCTCTGGACCGATTTTGTCTTATTACCAAGTACTGAACTTGACCCTGAATTTATTCCTTGTTTCCTTGCTCTTATCCTCTTCAGCTTCTAGCTCAGTCCTATTTAAGCTCTCGTTCTTAACTTGATGGTGTACAGAAAGTCATGCTGCAGCTTATAAAAACCTAAATAGATAACACTGATTACATAACATTTGCCCATTCTATCAAGTACTGTAATGGAACTCAATTTTAGTATTTACAGTAAAACCTACCACCCATTGATCACAGTGCTTTGTTACATTTGATCTCTGCTGGTCTCTGTATATTTTCTAGTCTTTTCTACTCTTTTTGTTTCCAGAAGATGTTCACCTTGGGATAATAACACTTGTGTTTCTTCTTTCCAAAGACAGTTTGGGAAGGAAATTTCGTAATATAATTTTTATTTCAGACCTAGGACAAAATTTATTATTTCAGGTTTCACTGTGAAAAATATGAAACCATGAAACATGACACTTAAACAGTAGCAGTCCCTAAAAGGTGGGACCAGAAAAGAGAGTGTAGGAAGGAGAAGCTGTGGTCTGATAAATCTAACATCCCTGTTTTTGGAGGAAGGTGGCGATGGCAATGAAGACCCATTTGGGACAGGTGCAGAGAAAAATCTAGAGAAGGGAAAAGTCATTTGGAAAAGTTGAATCACAGTACATAGAACCTCTGAAAACTCATCTAGCCAAAGGGAATCTTTTGTTCTTTGGAACTGTAGACTTTGGAATTTCAATCAATTAGATCAAAGTTTCCCTGATGGGACATCTAATTACCACAAAGTTTGAGCTTGCCATGCATCCTCACCTGTTACTTTATAAAAACAAATAGAATTTTATTTTGTGAGGCGGGACGGTAGATTGCTTTCATACCTAAATTGCATTTAAATGCAAGCCACTTAGTGATCTGGGGAGCATTGCTGTTTTGATGATGCTACCTTTCACAGTTAAAACAAATGTTTACACAATAAATACAGCAAATAGAGATTCCTATGCGCTTAAGAGATAATATTAGCGTAACTATGTACTATGTGGTTCACATATACATCTATCTATATCTAAATCCATATGTATCTAGAGACAATGAGTACATACTTAAAATTCAGACAATTAAAATTTCATGAAGATAGTTTCACATGATGCTTTAGCTTAGAGAGTGAATGTTCAATTTCTTTGAAATGCCTTTGCACAGCTAGATCGTTGCTAAGTTCAAAATCTGATTCTTTTGCTTTTCTGTTTAGCCACCAAAAAAAGCTTAATAAATAGAAACATTGTCTCTTAATAAATAGAAACATTTCTGTTTAGCCACCAAAAAAAGCTTAATAAATAGAAACATTTTCACATGATGCTTTAGCTTAGAGAGTGAATGTTCAATTTCTTTGAAATGCCTTTGCACAGCCAGATCGGTGCTAAGATCAAAATCTGATTCTTTTGCTTTTCTGTTTAGCCACCAAAAAGAGCTTAATAAATAGAAACTTTTCTCCTTGGAGTACCATGCAGATGATGAAGGAAAAGTCTGAAGAGAAAGCTTATCTGCATACACATACCCCAGATGGAGTTGAATTTTTCACACATGATACATAAGCTGGAGTCACTAATTGTGTAATTACTTCTTACGCCTCCAATTGTTCTCCTCTGGATGGCTTCCTCTCATTCTAAGCTCTGGCCCGGTAGAAATAATGGTTCATGTTTAAAACTTGCTCAAGTTTTTATTACATTGCTGCATGGTGTACTTAAAGTTATTCACTTTCAGCATACCTCCTACGAGCCATGCCAGTGGGAACAACCGCTACTTACTTGTGTTTATCTTCTGGAGTGAAATATGCTTTTCCAGTTGTCTTCGAAGTTTCACCTCTGCTCCATATTTTCCAGTGGTCCCGTTGTCAGCCAGAATGAAGTGGGAATGCATGCTGTTGAGAACAGTGAGCTTGCTCATGGGATTGGACATGGTCTGGTATGGCCGGACAACCTGCAGGGTATCAAATGGAAGAGGCAGAAGTCAGAAAAAAAGAACACAAGATATGAAAAGGAGAATCAGACAGAGGAAAGAGAGGAAGAAAGAACATCAGTTCTGTGGTACAGTGAAAGTACAGTCTACATCTTCTTCTTAGTATTGCTTTGGATAGAGGCAAGATTTATGGCAAAAGTTATTCAAAGCAAGACTGTGCTTAAATGAGTATTTATTTATTTACTGAAATGGGGCAGAAAATAGAGATGGTGCTCTCATTGTACTAAAAAACTGGCATGCCAATGATTGTTTCATTTTGAAGTCAACCTTGTATTTGCTAATGATCCCAAAATAATTTTACAATCTAGTTATTTTGTTTCTTTCCTTTCTCTATCATGTCCATACTTTAACAGGCACAGCAGAACAATTATAATTCTGGAGATGGTGGCGGGGAGCTAGGAGAAATGTGATTCTTTCTGTCAATCTCATTCAGTAATTTGAAGGTCTCTTATTTAAAATCAACATTATTCTTACTAGATACCTTATTTAGGTGGAAATCTTGAATATAAAATAATTGTCTCATGAGATAGATATGAATCAGGCCCAAAATGTTCAACTCTGTCTCATTCTACCTTTTTTGTTATTTTAATTTCATGGTGAATTACACTACTTAAAATAGAGCAATTTCAGTGTGGCCTTCCAGATTTTTTTTTTTTTTTATAAAAAGAACAGCAATACCTATTGCGAGCTAGTTGCTCTATACATGTTATCTATATTCCTTGCGACGATCCTGCAAAATAGATGCTATTGTGTTCATTTTGTAGGCGAAGAAACTAAGAAATGGAGAGGTAAAGTAAGTTTTCTGAGAGTCTACCACACACACAATCAGAATTCATACCCAGGACTGCCTGATTCCAAAATCTATGCTTATTTTTCTTTCCCATACTGCTTAGACCCAGTGGAAACATAAGATGATGGGTTGGAAATCTACTCCTAAAATATTTAGGTAAGAACTGCCCTCAAGACTATAGAAAGAGAATATTCAACAGGCTAATTGCTACATGGTCTTAGTACAGCTATCACTGTATTGAATCATCAAAATTGACAGGAAAGAAATAAATGCTACCGAATTTTTATTTTTGTGCCTTTACAGAGTGTGTACATTAATTATAGAATTGAGATGCTCTTGTTCTTTTTCAGTATGTAATAACACACTATATAAAGCTGTAGTAAGATTGAGTAGTTTGTTAAAGGAATTACAAAGTGATTTATAAGAGCAGTCCTCAATAGTGAAGAACTCATGTAAGTCATTTTTTTAGACCTTGATTCTGATTCAAAATCCCACATTTCTATGTGTCTGGCAGATAAAATGTACTCAATAAATAGTGAATGAATGAATGAATAGGCAAACTTGAGACAGACATGCTTTTGTTCAACATTGAAAAAAAATCCTTTCTTTTCTGAATTGAGGATTGATCTCATTTAAATATAAAATGTGTATATAATTCTGAGCTTCTGAAAAAGGCTTCAGTCCTATTAATATATAGGACTTTTTTGTTAATGTAGCATTAATTTAATGTAGTATTGCTATAATGTTAATTTGTCAATGTAGCATTAATGTAGCATTTGTTAATGCAGCATTAATATAAGGTTAATTCACAGCTTCATTTAGTTGGCTCTTATTGATAAAAGAAGTCTATAACTTTTTGATTATTGTCTCTAGTAATTGCATGGAGCAGTAATCAATTACTGCTTTGTCTAGATGATTGCGTAAGAGTCCCCCGAAACACAGAGACAGTGGTTTGCTAATCCCATCCTGAGCTTGTTATCACTGGAAGAGTAGGTTGCTTGTGGTTAAAATTTCCATTTTGTTGCTACTTGTTTTTTATCATAAAACATTCATTCTACAGCAGAGTGCAAGTTAATAAATATTAATGCTTTATTGAAAGAGGCTCAGCAGAAAGACTCTCCTGTTCTTAAAGTGCCTCTGCATTGTGCTTGTAGACAAAAGAAAATGCTTTAGTTACTGTTCTCTCTTTTCTAGTAGCAGTTCCTGCAAGAGTCCTTGAGAAGGAGGGGTAAGACCAAAGCAGTCTGTGAGAGGCAGGGGACAGTGGGTTTTCGAGAGGTTAAACTGTGTGTAATAGTGAACACCGGGCATTTGTGCTGGCTGAGACGTAAGCCCATGTTTTTTAATTCCTATGAACATATTTAAAGACTATCAGTGAAAGTGAAATTTTCAAATGAATAAAGGAATGAAAATAATTCTCAGCCAAGCTGATGTATTCACCACAATCTAAGAATAAAAGAAGAAAATTAAATAATCTATATTCTATATACAGTATCTGTATTCTAAGGACGTGGGTGCTCCAGTCTTCTGACTTTTGACTTTCTTTTCTTGTGAAACATAGCTCAGCGGCTCTTTGGGAATACTGCACATCTGAATTGGTCATGGCAAAAGGGTCAAATTTACAGTTTCACTCATGAGTTTCAATTTCTTCATCTTACTGATCCCTATTTCTTTTGATCTTATGTGGAAGCCAGTCAAGTGTGGTCATATTTTGGGAGAGAGTTTGTCTGCTGAATAATAAGGGATAAAAATTGAAAAATAAGTAAAGTGTCCTAATTTAGTTTTCAGTCATCATTGGAGAAAGATGTGCTGAATCGTGGAATAATTCTGAACATATGAATTGTGGAAATTTGTTTGAATCTCAGTTTTGCTAATGACTGTGTGAATCTGAGTCTCACTTTTTTAATCTGTAGAAGGAAAATGATAAAACCACTTACCTCTTGGGGATTAGTTGAGATTATATGTGCAAAGTACCTGGCACTATGCCAAGCTCATAGCAGGCATTCTATAAATGTTAATTCCTTCTCCGGCTCTGCTCTATTTTACCAACTATAAGCCGATTTTTCAATTGTAAACTAGTGATCAAAATAAAATGATATGAGACAAATCAGTGACTTTTGTTTTGCACGAGATAGAAATCAATGTAAGTAAAGAAAAAAAAATCAGCAGTCTGTTGGCAAAATATGCAAAGTGCTTTTTCTTTGCCATGTCCTCCCAGGCATCTAAGAGGGTGATGGTCTGAAACTATTTGCTGATTACTGAAAAGTTAGAAATAACTTCCCAAATACCTCAAAGGAATACAGTTTGGTCTAACTTGCCTACAAAATCCATTTAATATTCTTCATAGCAAACGTACCAGCAATCTATTTTTGTTTGAGTTATAATTTACATATCTAAAAAGATTTGCTGATCTTCCCGTTATGCTTTCCAAATTAAAAAAATAATGTATTTTAATAACATGAATACAAATGAATTTTTTCTTCTGAAAAAATTTTGGAAGTAATGAAGCCATTTTCATTGTTAAGAGATTGTAAAATAGGACTTTTTTTTTTTTTTTTGGAATTGTGTGTGTGTGTGGTAAGAACAATTTGATGTGTTCATAATTTGTAAGTGTACTGGATTACTGTGGCATGTTTCTCAGCCAGGCTTTCCTGAGAAATTAAGTCCTACTGCCCCGCAGCATCCATTGCATGTAATGGATCACTTTCTTTCCCAAGAACATAGGATGATCCAGGTTATGTACTATCTTTGGAGAATCGAGAAGACAGTCACTCAAACAATTTCCTGTGTTGCAGTTCAGATAAGAAACCTGAGTTGAGAAAGGCTGAATGGTGTCTGAAAGGGCTTCACATCAGGTGAGCTTTTATAGTTGGTAAATACAGTAGTATGATGGGTAGAAAAAAAAATAGAATGAATAAGACCTACTATTTGATAGCACAATAGGATGACTATAGTCAATAATAACTTAATTAAATATTTTAAAATAACTTAAAGAATGTAACTGAATTATTTGTAACTCAAAGGATAAATGCTTGAGGGAATGACTACCCCATTCTCCAGGTTGTGCTTATTTCATAGTGCATGTCTGTATCAAAACATTTTATGTACCCCATAAATATATATATATATATATATATATATATATATATACCTACTATGTACCCACACACATTTTTTCAAAATTAAAAATTAAAAAAAAAAACCAAACACCGCATATTCTCACTCATAGGTGGGAATTGAACAATGAGAACACATGGACACAGGAAGGGGAACATCACACTCTGGGGACTGTTGTGGGGTGGGGGGAGGGGGGAGGGATAGCATTGGGAGATATACCTAATGCTAGATGACGAGTTAGTGGGTGCAGCGCACCAGCATGGCACATGTATACATATGTAACTAACCTGCACATTGTGCACATGTACCCTAAAACTTAAAGTATAATAATAAAAAAAATAGTAGTATGTATATCTAAAAGAGAAATTTGCTTAGAAATGGATTTTAGACACTTAGTACTCTCTGAGCATTGTGGGCCCGAATACCTGTAAGCAATGACATTTGCCTCTCTTTCTTGTCCCTTAAGAGTAAATGAGAGAATTCTTGCCTCATTAATCCATTGTACACCTTTTAATACTGGCTGACTGATAAAATTC
The DNA here is from genome assembly GCF_000001405.40 of Homo sapiens. Classification (NCBI taxonomy): domain Eukaryota; kingdom Metazoa; phylum Chordata; class Mammalia; order Primates; family Hominidae; genus Homo; species Homo sapiens. Next base: position 70,832,501 of record NC_000009.12, read on the forward strand.
TGGTTCTGTATACTTTGACTTTGAAACAAAGAGGCCCTCTGAAGTGAAATGAGAGCTGTTTAAGAGGTGAAAGGAGGCAAAAGCCCTTTTATAGAAGGCATTAGTATGGACATCATCATTCCCAGGAAGGGACTGATTCAGAGACACTATGACACAACCTTCAGTCATGGGCTGGTGGCAGAGTGCTTCATTTGTGTTTTCTGCATGGGCTTAAATCAGTGATTCAGAAGCTAATCTAAGAAAACTGCTTGAGTTTTCCTAGCTATTTTCAAGCATTTTTGGTCTCACCCAGAAGTAGTAAACAGGAAGTCAGGAGATGGGTGTTCTAGCTCTAGTTCTTCTAGTTACTAATTTCTAACATGGGGCAAGTCTGTGAATTCATTCATTTGTTTACTTATTAAGAATTTCTTGAGGAAATATAGTGTGTGATAAATATTCTGCTGGCTTGAAGAGACATACAATCATGCATCTTGGTAATATCTCACAATAAATGTTCAAAACAGATTCATTGAAAGAAACTTTTGGACAATAGTTTTTCCATCTATAAATTAGAGGACTTGACTAATTTCTGTTTCCTGCCTCTAAAATTGAGTCTGGACAGCCTGTGTTAAACAGTGCTTTTGCTCTTTTCAAGTTAACGCAGAATAGTGACCTTTAATGTGTGTTGGCTACAGAAAGAAAAGTAGTTCTTTCATGTCCTGTGGTCTCTTCCATTTTATGGTGCTTTCTGCAATGCGAGGGCAGTTTGATGACCTGGGACTACTTTTCCAAACAGAATTGAATTGGACTACGTCAGGTTTTTGTGCCATCAATCACAGGCCTTCTGCAATCCCAAACCTCATTACCTACTGAATTATGAACCAACATGCTCCAGACAAGAGGCAGGGTAGTGGATGTGTGGCCCAAACAATCATTCTTTCCTAATAGCACCATCATTTTAATTTAGGCTGAAAAATATTAGCATTTATTGATCACTTATTGCATGCCAGGCACTGTGATGGACAATTTCCCAAGGATTAACCCATTGACGGCATACTTTATAGGTGGGAAGAATTATAGGGGCTCAAAGAGGTGAGGTATCTTGGTCAAATTTGCCCCACTAATCCTACTCTTTTCTCTAAATCCCATGTAGATTTTAAGAGGGAAGGCAGAGGACCCAGTCTGATTGTAAATTTGTAGAGGATATTAGGGTTGGTTTTGCTGCTGGACATTTTTATCAGTGGCTCAGCTGGATATGAAAGTCCTTCTAATAGCTGATCAGGTTATTTCCAGATGAGCCATCTAGAACTGTATGTATACAGAGGTCAGGAAAGCCACCAGCAGGCAGCAAAATGGCATTGTGCTTTGGAGAGAGAGAAACAAAAGGAGTGGGGGGATTCTCTTAGGATCACGCATCTGTTTCTGGGAGGGAAGATGGGATACCACTGAGAAGTGGGAAGGAACCTCTGCGTCTGAGATAAAGGAACATGGGGGCTGAGAGAATGAAATGAAAAAAAAGAAAGGATCTGTGGTTCCTCACAATTATAGCGAGGCCAGAGCTAGCAGGGACACTGGCTAGTTACTTCCCACTCAGGCACCTTGGCTGTAAGGACAGGTGCAGAGCAGGGTCCTGTTGAAACCCAGATGCCGCCTTTCAGCTCGGCAATTCAAACAAGAGACCAGCAAACCCAGGGATCCATTTCCAAAGACTGCCCAGATACATTAGCAGTGTGAATCCCACTGAAATCCATGGGTGGAACAATTATGTCTTTCTGCAGCACTTTGAAAATGTGTCCCTTAAGTTGCACACTGCAGAGCAGCACAGTCCTCATTTCATGCTTTCCACACAAATGGACTTGCTCCCTTTGCCCAGTCCTGAGGGGAACCCTTTACCATTCAGCTACAGAACCTACTGGCAGTGGGAAAAGGCTGTTGAGTTCTGAAAGACGGTTACATCCTTTAGAAATCACCATGTATGAGTGGGGTGATTAAAAAATATCTCCAGCAATTCTTTGAAACTCTTTCCTAGTCTAGGTTGGACTCAGTGACTCACTTCTAAGGGATAGAATAAAACAGAAGTGATAGTGTGTGGCTTCCAAAACTGGGTTATAAAAGGGTTTCTCTTAGCTCTCTCTCACGTTACTTACTCTGGGGGAAGCCAGTGGCATGTGTGAAGATGCTGAAGCAGCCGTGTAGAGAGGTCCACATGGCAAGGAACTCCTGCATAAGTCATCTTGGAGGAGGATACTGCAGCTTGATCCAAACCCTCAGATGGTGCAGCCCCAACTGCCATCCTGGCTGTGACCTCAAGAGACAGCCCAGGCCAGAACCACTCAGACAAGCCACGCATACATTCCTGGCCCTCAGAAACTGTGAGATCATCAATATTTGTTGTTTAAGCCTGATATAGTTTGAGTGCTTGTCTCCCCGAAATCTCATGTTGAAATGTAATCCCCAATGTTAGAGGTGAGGCTTGGTGGGAAGTGTCTGGGTCATGGGGTAGATCCTTCATGAATGACTTGGTGCCCTCCCCACGGTAATTAGGGAGCTCTTGCTCTGTCAGTGCACATGAGAGCTCTTTGTTTAAAAGAGCCTGACATTTCTCTTGCTCCCTCTCTCGTTATGTGGTGTGCCAGCTCCCCCTTTGCCTTCTGCCATAAGTGGAAGCTTCCTGAGGCCTTCACTAGGGGCAGATGCAGGCATTATGTTTCTCTTACAGACTGCAGAACCCTGAGACAAATAAACCTCTTTTCTTTATAAACTACCCAGATTCAGGTATTCCTTTATAGCAATGCAAGAATATACTAATACAAAGCCATTACTTTTGAGGTACTTTTTTTTTTTACGTAACAATAGCTAACATAATAATGTATTAATATTATCATTATTATCTTCTTGCTTCTTTAAGGCTTCGAAATGTGTCTTCTTCCCTTTATTCTAAACTGGTGGATGCATCATAGTTTCATAACCTCTAGTCCCCACCCCCTTGCCACCCTGAGTCCTCTGCTTGGCATTCCTTCCCTGGGCTCTAATCAGTTCTGGTTTCTGTTCCATTGGGGTGACTAACATCCTCCACTCACTCTCCTCACACCTTTGACCCGAATACCATCCCTTCTCCATGTGGCAGGTGATCCAATTCCTGCTCCTACACGCTTGCCAGTTGGGTGACCCTAAGCAAGTTATTTATCCTCTGTGTCTCACTGTCTCCATATGTACATAGAGAATAATAATAATCATCCCATTGAAGTATTATAAGGCTTAACTGAGATAGAAAACTCATAGAACAATGAAAATATGATCTCAAGTAAATAAGAGCTGTTATTAATATAGAGAAGCAGTATTGGTCTCTATACTGCAAAGGATAATGGCTAAGAATATGGTCTAGGGAGCTAGGTGGCCTAGGTTTAAATCCCAGAAACATCCATCACCAGTTATAGAACATTGGGAAGATGATAGTAATGCTAAAAATGATGACTTCTGAATGCCACTGTGAGAATTAAATGAGTTTATCTATGTAAAAGTGCTTAGAAGGGTGCTGACAGTGAGCTCTACAGAAATGTGAATATTATTTTAGTTGTTGTTGGGGCTATTATTATTATTTCAGTGATAAATGATAAACCTCCAGGTTAAAACTCCTTCAACATCCTGACACCAATCTTCCACATGTGTACTCTCTCCCATTCTCCTTCAGTGACAAGTGTACCCACAGTTGATCTTTCCTCCTTAGCTCTGGGCCCCATCACCTCATGGCCCTTCTAGGAGTTATTCATCACTTATCACCTCTCTGTCCCATGTCCCTTTCTGCTATCAGCACATAAACAAACTCCAGTCTCCCCCCATCTTAAAGGAAAAATTCCCTCACACTGTGGCTCCCTTTGGCTACCTGGATCTCTCCCCCTCACAACCAAAACCTCTAAGAGGTCTCTGCCAACTCTGCTTCTCCACTTCTTCCTCCTGAACCCATTGAAAAGTGCTGCCTTGTCACCATTCTTCTGAAACAGCTTTGACCAGTAATGCCAGTGATATCCATCTTGATGAAATGGATGGGCACTTCCAGGTCTCTGCCTTCCTTAGCCTCTTGATAGAACTTGGCATTGCACTTCACACTCTTCTTCAGAAGCACACTCTTCTTTTGGCTTGCATGACTCCCTCTGACTTTGCTTCTACCTCTCAGACATTGCTTTGGTCTCCTTTGCAGGCTGCTTGTCCTCTGCTCATCCATTAAAAGCTGGAGACCATGAGGATCCCGGGGTAAGCCATCCTTTTCCTCATCTGAATACTCTCCCATCCACCATAATGACTTTAATTGCCATCTGTATGAGATGCCTTCCAAATCTAAGCGTGTAGCCAGATCGTGCTTCTGAACTTCTATCTCACATACTCACTGGCCTGCCAGATATTTTCATATAGGTAGATATCTCAAAGGAAAGTCAAAATCAACATGCCCAGATCCAAACTCATCACTGTTCTCACTAGAACCGCATTTCCCACGTAAGTGAATGTGACTAAGGCAGTTAGCTCCAAAGCTGAGTGTGGTCCAGGCTCAGCAAGCATTGGCTCTGTCTGGTATAATTATAACAGATTTGGGCGGGTGTCCTTGTCTCCGACCTTTTCCTCACACATCTCCCCAGATACATCTTATCTAATCTAATCGTAAAAATCCAATCAACTCCATGCCAGGGCCACTCCTGGAAAGTTTTCTGAGCTTATAATATGAAGTCATATTTGGCTTGCCTCAGAAATAAGTAACAAATGTACTGACTTGGTAACTACATTAAATTAGCAATCAATTGTGTTATTGAACTTGATGTTTCCTGGCTTGAAACATAAAGATGGCATCAAAAGAGCACTTTCCAATTAAACATAAGAACCCTTACAGGCTATAAAACTTGGAGAAATAAATCTATAGTTTAGGGAAAATAGAAGACATCATTGAATGTGAAGATAATTTAATAACCACACAAGATGATGTGTTGTAAATCTACCCAAACACAATTTCCATCCTCAAGTTAAAATGGAAAGTGCTTTGTCTTTTGATTATGTCTGGGTTTTTAAATTGTTATGTGTCTTGTTAATCTAGATTTCAGAGAAGACAAACAATCAAGCCTTCAGAAACTCTTCATTTACCTGACACAAATCTGGTCAGATTGTTTTCTAAAGTAGGAAATCTAAATTCAAACTGTGTCATATGAAAATTATATTTCACTGGAAGTTCCTTCTTGACTTTATACTGGTGATACTTTCAGAATCCTCTATCCAGGTCAAGATTCTCTAGGGACAAAGAAAGGGGCTCCGGTCATGCATCGAGTCTGTCTCTGAGTTCGGTTTACAGTCACAGATATGTGCCAATATCTCAACCAACAATAAAGATACTCTATCACTGAATATTTTCTTACATCTTACTTGACATACATATATTTAAGGAAATGGGCATTAGAGACAGTTGGATCTTGGTTTTGATCCTGTTTACTCAACTGTAAAGGGGGTATAATACATACCTTGTAAAACTAATATATGCAGTCGCAGAGCACAGTCAAATAAAAGCTCAATAAATTATAATTACTATTATTGTGGTTATGCTCATAGAAGTTGTATGAAGACAGGCAGAACAAGTGTTTTTATAGAGATGAAGAAACCAAATCTTACAGAGTTTAAGTGGCATGTCAATATGTCATGTTCATACAAACTATGACATTAAGGGTTAACAAGAAATAAACAATTCAGTCCTCATTTTGGGGAGTTTTTAATTAAGTTGGTACAATGGACTGAATGTTTATGTCCCTTCTTCACCCAAATTTATATGTTGAAATTCAAATTTCCAAGGCGATAATGAGGAGAGGGGACCTTTGGAGGTGATCAGGTCATGAGGGCGGGGCCCTATGAATGGGATTAGGGCCTTACAAAAGGGACCCCAGAGAGATCCCTATCTCTTTCTACCATGTGAAGACACAGCAGGAAGGGGCTGTCCAGCCTCCTGAATTGTGGAAAAATAAATTTCTATTGTTTATAAGCCCCCTGGTCTGTGGCATTTTGTTATAGAAACCTGAAAAGACTAAGACAGCTGGGGAGGAAGAAGACAGCTGTGGTAACATTACAATCAGGGATATGACGTTAAGGGTGAAGTTAGTCAGGAAAGATGTCCTGGTGGAAGTGAGCCTTGAGCTAAATTTGATGAAGTGTAGGATTATGGATAGTAATAGAGGAGAGGGATGGTGGAAATAATATGGAGAAACCACAGAGGTGGAGCCAACCTCAATAACTGAAACAGTGTATGTTTTCAGGCCTAAGTGGCAGGGGATAAAATGATTACCATCTCAGTATTCATAGCCTTATTCCTCACCAAAATCTGTTGTTCGATCTATTAATTGAGAAAAAAAGGGCTTGGTTAAACAGAGTGGACAATATTTAAATTTAAAACATCAAGATTAGTGCTGTCCCTCAGATGGGTAGATCACACATCTTTCAAAAGCTTTAGAGAAAGGCCTGTTTCCATCCCACACTGTTTTACCGCCACACCCAACAGGCCGCTCCCTCACCTTCCACCTTCCACCTTGAGTTGCTATCTAAGAAAACAGTTTTACAGCCAGATGCTTGGTTAAAAAATGTCCCCACTGTAGTCACAATCATGTGATGCAGCTTGGGGGTAGGATTAGAGATGAAGTTGTGAAGTAGGTAAGATTTATCATTATCTGTTCCATAATACTTATTTTCCCTGTAGCTTGAATCTCATCATGCCCAATCCATCTTCATCAATATTTACTGAGCACCTACTAAGTGTGAGGCTCTAAGTTGGGTTCTGAGAATCCAAAGACAAATGCTCTACACTTAAGTAACATGAAGCCCAGCTATGAGATGAGACCTGAAGGGAGGTGAGTGTTTCAGAAGATTTAGAAGCACACTCAAGGACAAGTAAGTTTTCTTCTTTATTTTTAGGACTAGTATTTGCCTCGCTAGTGCCATCCTAAAGGGGTTAAGATGAATAGCAATTGCTGCACTCACTACTTCTATCAATAAATAAAATAATTCTAGTAGTACTTGAATGTTCAGTTTCTAAAAGTGAAGCTTCTCATCTGAGAGCCAGCCCCACAAAAATAACATAATTTATATTTTCCATCAGTTTGGAAATAAATTTACTGCAATAAAATATCAGGCATAAGAAATGGAGCCTTTCTTTTATCCTTGGATTTATTTCCAATACATTTCCCAGATTTCCCTTGACATTTATTTTGTACCTCTTCAATATTATTCTGGAGTATAAACAGACTTGACCAAAGATGCAGCTATTCTATTTTTTCAAATGATGGCATTTTGATAGAATTCTGAAGTGGTAAAGATTTTTAATAATACATTGTTTTGTTTTTCTCTGCTACCTGATGTCTAATGCTAAAAGGTTTATTTTTTGATGTTTATTACATGTGATTTTTATTATATAAAATGGAAGAAAAAGGACAGATGGCAGTACATTAAGCTAGCTGAGAAAAGAGTTGCGACTGTGTAAGAAGCTTACCAGATAATATTTTTAATTTGATAATTTTGAGGGGAATCTTCACTAATGACCACCATCATTTTATTCAAACACCTCTTTTAATGGCAACCTAACATCATAGTACCTTTTAGCTATCATATTGGAATAGTGAACACATAGAAAAATTTATCTCAAACTATGTCATAAATCCTGTACACCAAAAATAGTACTTTCATTCCAAATAATTTATAACTTGAAAAACTAACTCTATTATCACACAAGAGCCTGAGAAATCTTAGGTATATTCTAGTTCCCTAGTTTTAAGGGAAGAAGGTAACAGAGTGGTCAAAATTCAATAGATCCCTGTGAAAGATTTATGGAAAAAGTAAAATACAACTGTCTTTCCTGTGTTCTCTATAACCTGCCACTTTTATTTCCTTTTTGCAATAGTCTCTCCCATGGTCCACCTGGTTCTTTGTGAGCTGTGGTTTGCCTTTACGAGACCCTCGGGAACAGGGATGATGGATGCACACATTTACTGAACATTTTTCTGCCCTCTGTGCTAGGATCAAGACTATGTTCAGTTGGGAAGGCAGACAATGTCAGTAAGTCCCATTGGAATGCATAAGTTTCTAGTTGCATACAACCAAGAAGAAGAATGGGAAGAAACAAAAGAAGAAAAAAAATGAGGAGTGAAGGGAGAAGTTGAAGTCAGAGAAAAAGTTGGAATGGGAGGTAGAAGAATCAGAAGTGATTCTCCCAATTCAACAGATAAGTAAATGTAATAGAATTACTGTCTTTCTGCAATCTTATAAAATTTATAAGATGAACAAACAAAATAATACAAAGAGCCAGTAGGCCAGCATTCTCTGCAAATGCTTAGGCAACTAAGGAAATTATTTAGTTACTCTATCTTGCATAAATAAATAATCAACTGCCATTTATTCACAGTTCATCTGAATGAGGAAGTTCAAAGTAGTGTCCCCCTTCAAATTGAAAAATAATAGTTTGAGTTTACAGGAGAGATCCTGAAGCTATGAACATTTCAAAATGACTTTTGAATCAACACATTTTAAAGAATTAATTTATGTATTAATATGCATTATTAAATGATTTTGGTGCAGAAATGATTTTGGTGCTGAAAGCATTTTGGCATATTCTAATTCTTTAAGACACATATTTGTTCTAGTGCAAAATCAACATACAATTAAAAGCCAATTTGGAATCTAAGTATTACCCCAAATATATTACATGAAAGACTAGCCTCAGATACTTTGAAGAAATCAGTAACACTTACTTTTCCAGTCAGGTCTGCCTATATAACACTTAGGAAATTGTTGCTGAGATATTCAATTTGTACGTAATATGAAACAGCCAATAAGTTTTAATTAAGAGAATATTAACAGTAACAAAACTGACATCTCATTCCTTATCCTATGTATCCTGGATAAATTAGCATTTATACATGGAATCTGATATCATTGATGTGGACACTTGTTATCACTTAAAACAAAGGTTCTAATGGATTTAAAGTGTTTTTTTATTAAGGAAAATAAATCATTATATAAAAAAGACACCTGCACTTATATATTTATTGCAGCACAATCAACAATGGCAAAAATATGGAATCAAACTAAGTGTCCATCAATGGAGGATTGGATATATATATCTATATCCCACTATATATATATATATATATATATATATATATATATATCCCACCATATATATGTATATATAGATATATCCCACCATATACATATATATCTCCCACCATATATATATATATATGGTGGGATACTGGCCAGTCATAACAGAGTGAAATCATGTCTTTTGCAGCAACATGGATGGAACTGGAGGCCATTTTCCTAAGTAAAATAACTCAGAAACAAAGTCAAATACTGCATGTTCTCACTTGTAAGTGGGGGCAAAGTACTAGGCACACATGGACATACAGAGTGGAATATGGACATTGGACACTACAAAAGTGGGAGGGGTGAGGGCTGAAAAATCACCTGTTGGGTACGATGTTCACTATTCAGGTGATGGGTACACTAAAAGCCTAGATTTAATCAGTATGCAATATACATACATAAGACATCTGCATCTGTACTCCATAAAGATATTTTTTAAGGCCAACAGAGTTTGTTTACTGCTTGTGTTTCATGACATTTAGTTTTTTTGAAACATACATTTTATTTAAAACTGAGAAGAAAGTGTCTGCCACTCAAATGCATCACAGTCTGTCCCATTTAGGTAAATTTTCAGGAGAAATGCAAGCCCCTGGGGAAAATATCTCTGCTCAGGGTCAAATGGATCCTACCTCCTTTTTTAAATGCCTGCATTGCCATTGGTAACTCATACTACACATTTTAAGATTTGCAAAGGGCAGGACAGTGAGCCCTATGATGACATTTATTTTTTAATTCAAAGTATTTTGCATTGCATTTTAAAAAATTGCATATATTGTGTTGGATTAAAATAAGATGGTTGCATTGTATTGCATAATAGAAAAAGTAGTTTAAGACCAATTAATTCTTCGCCACTTTTAAAAAAAATTTTTGTGGCTCAGATAGACCTCATGGTACTTTGAAATGAAAAGAATCTCTCTCTGCAACTCTCAGGAGCTAGGTGAAAGATACTCAAATTATAAAGATGCTAGAGCCCTGGGGTGCGGAGAGTCCGTGTTTACTATATCTGTCAATGAGTTCATGTTGCCGTATATTAAGTGGTGTTAATTAATCTTAATATCACTATACCAAGAGTAATTGCAGGATTTGATGGGTGAAGAAAGACCACTGCTTGATTTAAGCAGAGAGGGGGTAGGTGGTAAGTCTTACTTTGGACCTTTCTTGATCATAAGAATTGACCTGGAGTTTGCCTAGAGATTTTAGAAAATAAATATTTTCCCAAGATACCATTCCTTAACATGTTTCATTTTAGTGAGTAGAGACCCAAAGAATACTATAATGTGCACATTTTGAATACTAATTTTATTATACTTTTCTGATATCCCCTCTAGGAGAAGTCATGGAAAGCGACAGCACTCAGGACTTACATCTCTTCCAATGAGGTCCTCCTGGTTTTCCACAATTCCCCAGGGGGCAATACCTATGGTGCATATCTTTCCTCGAGACTTAGAGGCATGATCCTTCAAGGCATCGCCAACATGACGAATAACACCTAAAAAAAAAAGAGAAGCATTGATTTTTTCTTTTAAAGCAAATACCTTTTCATCATTCTAAAGAAAACTGTGGTAATGGTTTCTCCCGAGGTTAAATAAATTGAATATAAAATTTTGACACATTTCTATACAAACTACTTGTATTTAGGAGAAAACATAAACTCATGGCTGTAATGCCAGATGCATTGGCCAGATTTGTATATGAATTCTAGCATTGCATTTCTTACTCCAATTCATATGAAAAAACAAAAAGCATCCAATGTCTATAAAAAGAATAAATACAATTTTTTTTAACTAGAAACTCTTTTTCTTATAAGCATAATAATTTGTTAGTATGATTAGGAGCCAATAGCTTGACTGTGTCATGTTAAAAGCACCATGTATAATGGTATGTTAAATCTACACCACAGTCTGTATATGAGTTAAATTCATTCAAAGACATGAGCTATTTAGTTTGAGATTTTGTTAACCTTTATGAGAACCTACTCGTAAAGACAATGTTGGATTATTCTGTGGAAAATTTATGTTAAAATATATAGACACACCTTTTAATCTTCATCATTCTAATTATTTTCCTCTTCTGTTAAAATGACCTTCCCCATCATAGTTAAGGGTGAGAAAATTCAGTTTACAAGATGTTAGGCGGCATAACTCTTACCTTTTTAAAAACCATTTAAAGAAGATGCAATTTCTAATTCTCTTAACCTCCCTCTCAAATGATCATTTTTATAGGAAGATGTATAAGATATATCCTCTACGAAAAGATGTTTCTGCTTATCAAAATTCCACCCACTTCTCCAGGAAAAATTTATACCTAGTGCCACTTCCTATATGAATGTTGAGTTGGATTTGATTTCTTCTCCATTTGAACATATTGCAGTTTGTCAATTTTGAATAGCTCAGTATGTCACTTAACATGTTCTGCAGTGATTCATAATTATATGTGAAGATGTCTCTTCTAACAGTAAAACTGTTTGAGAGGGAAGTTGGAGGGTCAGTGCCTTATTCATCTTCCTACACCTCAGGGGCTAGCCTAGAGGAAGGGCTCAGACACTGTGCGCTAAACTAACTAAACACATGAAACACACCAGGCAATTTAATCATGGGAAAAGACATGTGTATTTAAGTAACTCAATACTGAAATATTCATAAGATGAAACAGAAAGAATCACTGTTTAAAAAGCAAATAACAAAACGGTGTAAATGGCCATTAATCATGTTGAGCTATTCAACAGTGTTGGAAAGAATATCATTTTCACTTATTATCTTATCTATGAATCTTCTGAGTGAGAGAACTGGTAAAACAAACAAACAAACAAACAAACAAAAACAGACCCGAACCAAAAAACAACAAAACAAAACTCCCCCAAAAAAGGCTGTGAATATTGATATTAAGTTGTTTCCAATTGTTTCCAATACAAAACTCCTTTCAGGGCCAGCCCTGGACAAGAAGTTTAACGTTATGGTATGCTCATCTGTCTGCACAATTCTATCAATACTTCTTACCTAACTTTAACATTTTATTGTTAAGAACCTCACTTTGGGTATTGGATTGAACACTAAGCCTGGAGTGAGGCAGAGATGAACTCATGGGTTTGTGGCATGTAGGCTATAAATTCTTCTTTTGATATTGAATGCATTTTATAAAAGAACAAAAATAATAAACAATATTCCAAGTTCTTAGAAATAGAGTATTGGTAAGACTTTCTTTTGAACCTGTAGAACCCTTTGAGTTGGTCTCTATGTGACAGGAATGCAATAGACAATAATCACAAGCCAATGAGGCCTGCTTAGTTGAGAGGGAAACATGGAGCCCAAAACCTGAACAGTCATTGAAAGAAAAATTGCTCTGTAGATATTTGATTACTACAGGATAAGGAGTAAAGAGCTAAGCAGGTCATTCTAAGATCATGTCAGTGTATGGGCTGAGTCAGAATTTCACATAATAACATTGAACATGAGCAGTCTGCAGACTTCATCGCTGAAATATCTTTACGTAGCTGTGTGCAGAATGTTCACAAATTCTAGGTATTTAAGAGAATTCTCAGTGTAGGTCTTACTCAAACAGCATCCAAACTACGAATGCAAAATTAAGCAACATTAAGATAACGTGTTATTTTTGTTTTTTGAGACAGAGTTTTGCTCTTGTTGCCCAGGCTGGAGTGTGGTGGCATGATCTTGGCTCACTGCAGCCTCCACCTCCCAGGTTCAAGCAATTCTCCTGGTTCAGCCTCCTGAGTAGCTGGGACTACAGGCACCTGCCACCACGCCGGGCTAATTTTTGCATTCTTAGTAGAGACAGGGTTTCACCATGTTGGCCAGGCTGGTCTCGAACTCCTGATCTCAGGTGATCCCCCTGCCTCGGCCTCCCAAAGAGCTGGGATTACAGGCATGAGCCACCATACCTGGCCCGAGATAATGTGTTATTTAAAACTAACTGGTCCAGAGTTATGTTTAGAATATTCCATTAATTACGAATGTATCCACATGTACAGACTTTGGGGCTTGTAATAAGTTTGCCTAACTTATTGCAACATTACCTCTACATTTCCAATTGGCACCTCAGACTTCAGGCTGGGGGAGTATGCCAAAAACATTTACAGGCATCCATTCCATTATCTGGTGCACATTAAAAATGTTCTGTAAATAAGCACTTAACTATAGGTGGGCCAGTAAGAACTGATTTGAGAATGCGTCTATATCACAATATAGATGGCAGGAAGCAAACATTCTTTGGAATTCAGAGTGAGATGTGTCTTCCATTGGCACAGTGAGGAGTTAATAAAATATTTTAAACAATAAACACGTAATGCCCTAGACTTTGCCTTTATGTCCCAGATGGAAACGTCATTTTGTAAAAATTAAAGCTATTTGGTACCAAACTTGAAATTGTGTAAAGGACAGAGGTAGGGCTTCCAATTTAAAGCAGAAGTCATTCCCTAAAGAATTATTGGCAACTTGAGCTATTTAAAAATATCCTGTGAAATTCCATTAGTCATGTTTATGAATTCTGTATAGTCAACTATTAAATATCCCAACCCATTTCTTATGTGTAAGTAATTCTTCTTGGTTAAGAAATAACTTTACAGTTCTCATTTAGATAAAGGAGGGAGTGATAACCAGCAACTATGGACCCATGGGTAGGGATGAAGTGGGGTGATATAGAAATAATTAATCTTAGCAGAAAATTACATCAGGCACAACATTCCCATGGCCTATGTTGACTTTCTCTGTTCCACTTGCAATTACCTGTGTTAACCCCTCCAGTGAATATCCACGCTCCAGTTGTCATTGCTGCTTTGATGAGCCCTTTCCCAAAGACTTGCTTGAGTTTTGGCTGGAGTTCAAAGTTCTGCAGGCCCCCATGGACAGAGATGAGAAGCTTGGGAAGCTCCAACTGCCATTCCTTGGTCATCAGGTGTAAGAGGAGATCAGGTTTTGTATCAAAAGATACTCGCACATACTGGAAGAAGAAAGGACATCAATTAGGGAGACAAGGCAGGACTGGCTGAGGCTGGTTATCTTTACTGATTGCAATTATATGTGTAGTTATGTGACAAAAACGTCTCATATAAAATCAGATTTTTTTAAAAGGGGTGATCATTTGCTTTATCAAAAGAGCCTTCATTAGACAGAGTTCATATTTTTAAAGGCTTTCTTGAAATTATGATAATTCATTCTGAAATTATTAGATTTTCTAAAATGCTGTGCAAGCATGACTTTTCCCAGACCGAGTTCTTTGCTCAAAGGAAATCATTTTTATATTTCACCACCCTTTACATGTGTACAACAGTTCAAATGTTTCTAATATTTTTCATATCTCTTTATATTAACTAGATGCACATATTATTATTTCTGTGACCCTATTATTTTAAGAGGATTTGAAAGATTCTAGAATTCTACATAATGTAATGAGAGTTTTAAAATAACATAATAGTGAATTACATTTATTTATAGCTATAACAACTGCATACCAAATGTAATGTTTCTGTATCTTTTGAAGAAGACAAGTAACAAAAGGCAGGACAACTATTCTTGAAGAATAGTTGAAAATTTGAGTGTATAGCAAATATCAAGGTGTTACCAGATGCAACTGGAAATAAAGTTATAATAAGTCTATATAAATGAAATACTATAAATACATGCAGTAATAATTATGTATATAACCATATATATAGATACTCATTTAGGTCTCAATGTAAGTATGTTAAAAACTTCAATTTCTAGCTGGAAACAACTGAAAAACTGGGCAAATATAGAAAGTCCTTTGAAATAGGTTTCTGAGTTGGCATGAAAAAAGAATTATTGAGACTCCTAAACAAAGAAGCAGTTTAGAACCTCAGGAAGTTAGGGAGTACCAAAGCAGGATTTGACCCTGAGTGTCTTTCCTAAACCCTGGAAGACCTAGAGCATCTGATTTAATGATTGCATGCAGGGGGGAATTGAATGATTTTATGGGAGAATTTAATATGGGATCCCACATAGGGCTGGTATACTTCAAAGGGCTCATCCTCAAGTATAAGAAAGAAAAAAATTAAATAAGCCTGATGCACAGAAGAAGATGGCAAGAAAACTTGCCTACCTCAACCTTGACTCTAGGTGGATGAGGAAAAAATTTCCCCTCTGATTATTTTTGAACACAATCAGGCCCCCACACAGGCCTTGTCTATATTCACACTATCAGTGTGGTTTAAGAATTGCCAAGCAGTGTTTAATATGTTAAATAGTTCTGGCTGGACGATGGTTCCAGATAACTGGTAGAAGTAAATGGAGATTCTCTGTGGAAGAATGTGTCATCAATCCATGCCTGAAATAATTCTCACGGGGAAATAAGTATTTCATAGTAAAACCATAAAATAAATTATACAGGAAATAAGGCAGCATGAATGAGAACCAATAGAAACAACAGGCACCAAAATAAGATCCTCAAAGTCATTGAAATGATAAGATACAGGCTATAAGATAACTGTTAATATGTTAAAAAGCATAAATGAGATGACTGAGTATAAGAGTCAGGAGTAAGAAACTAAAAAATGACATATACGTGCATATATATACATCTGAAAAGAACCAAACAGAACTTCTAGTAATTAAAATGTAATAATTAAATGAAAATTAAAATGGATAAGTTAAATTAAATATTAGATATAATGATAATAGATCCAGAAGATAAATGAGATGCAGCCAGGAAAACAAAGGATTTGAAAACATGAAAGGAAAATAAAGGAGCTTGGAGGAGATAATCAGAATTATAGGTAGAAGTAAAAGAGATGATGGGGAGGAGGCAATATTGGAAGAAATATTGGCTGAGTATTCCTCGGAATTATAGAAAGATACCAATTCTAACATGCAGAAAGTTCAGTGAATTCTAAGCAGGATAAATGAAAAGAAACCTCACTTACATACACATCACATGTAACACCAAAGGGAGGGGAAATTCCTCAGAAGTGGCTGGAAATAAAGACAGATCATGTACAAAGAATAGTCATTAGACTGAAGACCTACTCCTCAACAGCAACAATAGACACCTGAAGCCAAAACCTTCCATGTGTCAAAAGAAATTACCTGGCCGGGCGCGGTGGCTCACGCCTGTAATCCCAGCACTTTGGGAGGCCGAGGCGGGCGGATCACGAGGTCAGGAGATCGAGACCATCCTGGCTAACACGGTGAAACCCCGTCTCTACTAAAAATACAAAAAATTAGCCGGGCGTGGTAGCGGGCGCCTGTAGTCCCAGCTACTCGGGAGGCTGAGGCAGGAGAATGGCTTGAACCCGGGAGGCGGAGCTTGCAGTGAGCCTAGATCGCGCCACTGCACTCCAGCCTGGGCGACAGAGCGAGACTCCGTCTCAAAAAAAAAAAAAAAAAAAAAAAAAGAAATTACCTGTCAGTCTAGAATTCTACATTCAGCAAAACTATCTTTTAAAAATGAGAGCAGATTATAGATATTTTCATACTGCCAAAACTGACAGAGTTTACTTCTAGGCACCTTCACTGAAGGAAGTTGTTTTTGTTATTGTTTTTGTTTGTTTGTTTTGAGATAGAGTCTTGCACTGTTGCCTGGGCTGGAACACAATGGCATGATCTCGGCTTACTGCAACCTTTGCCTCCTGGGTTCAAGCGATTCTCCTGCCTCAGCCTCCCAAGTAGCTGGGATTACAGGTGCCCACCACCAGGCCCAGCTAATTTTTTTGTATTTTTATTATAGACGGGGTTTCTTCATCTTGTCTAGGCTGGTCTTGAACTCCTGATCTTGTGATCTGCCCACCTCGGCCTCTCAAAGTGCTGGGAGTACAGGCGTGAGCCACCACACCTGGCCTGAAGGAAGTTTTAAAATATATATAGGAAGCAGGACTTATGTGATCCAAAATGGATGATCTGGGTTGTAAGGTAGGAAGATAAACTAAGATATTAGTTAATGTAAGGTAAATCTTAAAAAGTATTGGGTATATAATATAAAATAACATCTAATTTACAGTGGAAAGTGACAGAACTAAAACACTGGACAATACAGCATATAAATGAATGGTAACAATTAGAGTTATGGCATTCTAAAGCCTATGTTGTGTGGGAAAGAAGGGAAAATAATTAATTCTGGAATTTAAGTATGAATGTTAAAGTTGCATAACCACAAAATGAATATGCCTGCATGTAATCATACAAACATATGCTTTTTGATTTATATAAGATTATCCAGGAGATGACAATTTATTGCCATGCTTTCGGGTCTGGAAAACCCCATTGTTTCAAAGCCTCAAAAATTGTTTCTCTATTCTTTCGTTAAAGTATATTTGAAATATATTTAGCTGAAACATGAGGCAAAAGCACGCAGAATATGAAAGCAGCTTAATAAAATAAACCGCACCATCAAGAGATACCAAAGAGCTAAAGTTTCCTGAACATATATATGCCAGAAATCCAAAGTGTTGGCATCCAATACAGTTGTTTCTATATTGATTTGATTTATCTAGCAAAAAATGATTCCAGAATACAGAGTAAATGTTGACAATTTTAGGTAAGTACATTATATCACTAGAATTTGACTAGAGTTTACAATATGAAAAATGGCATCTTTTGTGCACCAACTCTCATGCAGAGGGCAAAAACTTTCAGATATCTATCAACAGAAATTTTCACCAATGTGTACTTTTGTGCCACACAAGGAGCATTCAGGCAGAAGAGGGGGTACTGGAGTATCAGAGGCAAACAGAGGAATTTCTTAAGTAAAAGTTTCTGTTAAAAATCTTCATTGAGAGTCTCTTTATAAGAGACATATTTATAATGAATGCTATAAAATAAAAGAATAAAGAAAAGAATAAATAAATAAAGGGGCAGAAGAACACTTTGGAGGTGTTGGGTAAGTTTATGGCCTTGATTGTGCTGATTTCCCAGGTATATTCTTATCTCCAAACTCATCAAGTTGCATATACTAATTATGTTCAGCTTGTTGCATGCCAATCATACCTCAGTAAAGTGGTTTAAGATAAAGATGAAATAATAACATTTTTTCTGTGCCTGTACACTGCTACTTGAGTAGTGTGGTTTAGCGACTTGAATAGTTAAAATTTGGGTGTTCTGCTGAATTGAATTTATTTCATTTTGACTAATTCCAGAACAGATTATTTAGTAAAATAAAGTAGAACTGGGACTTGCAAGGCTTCCAAACTATACAAACCAAGAATGCTTTAGTGTGAGACATGTTAAGAAATTGCTTTTCAAGTTACTGTTCTCTTATTTATCAACTTTAACGTATCACTTTAAAGAACCTCAATTTAATGTGGACTTATGTTCTCCTAAGGTGAGATATAAATTACACTTTTCTTAAACACAGAAAAGCATCTAAAGTATAAAAATACTCCTAAAATTATTTGCCCCTTGCAAGATTTCAGAGTAATTCCTAACATTTCTGAGTTGTTATGATTGTGGCTTTTGGAACCCCAAAATTCTCCATGTAGATCTGCACCTATACATTTCATCTAGCCACTGCGCCACTACACTCCAGCCTGGGCAACAAGAGGGAGACTCTGTCTCCAAAAAACAGAAAAGAAAATCCCGAAAAACAAGAACAACAAAATAACCAGAATACAAGAACCTTGTATATTTATTGTGCACCAGGCACATACATGCTGTGAGATCCAGAGCCATAGTTAGTACCTGGGAATAGATATGCATACATTATTAACTCACATAGTGTGAAGGGAGATTACAATTCATACTAAATTAATACAGATATTGTGTAATAATTTCAGCAAGCTTAACTAGCTAAGTGACATATTATGGAGTTCAATTATTCATACTAATTGGTAATAAATAAATGCATTTTTAGGAATAAGCCTCCCTTGATAGATAATTTACTTTAGGACTTCTATGGTTATACATACAATATAACAGTAAGAAATGAAAAGGGTCTACTTATTGATCAGGTGAGCAGCTCACTGGAAAAGACCAATAGAACTACTGAATATGTTGAAATTCCTTTTGAAGTAACTTAACCCATACAAAGCTGTGTTCATTATCACAGAATGTTTGTTACTCAGCTAGTAAGCAATCAAGAGAGTGAATGAATGAATGACCTAAGAGATCCCCTTGATCCCAGCTCCCCATCTTACAGATGAAGAAAGGGAGACAGTAGGTGAGGTCACACTACTCGTGGGATCTCTTCACATTTTTCTCTCTGCTCACAATTACTTTACTAAGAAAAAAAAATTCCGGCCAGGCGCAGTGACTCACACCTGTAATCCTAGCACTTTGGGAGGCCAAGGCAGGTGGATTACCTGAGGTCAGGAGTTCAAGAGCAGCCTGGCCAACATGGTGAAACCCCATCTCTACTAAAAATACAAAAAATTCACTGGGTGCAGTGGCGCGCACCTGTAATCCTAGCTACTTGGGAGGCTGAGGCAGAAGAATCACTTGAACCCAGGAGGTGGAGGTTGCGGTGAGCTGAGATCACGCCACTGCACCACTGCACTCCAGCCCGGGCGACAAGAGCAAGACTCTATCTCCAAAAAAAAAAAAAAAAAAAAAAAAAAAGAGAGAAAAAAAATCCCAAAAAACAAGAACAACAAAATAACCAGAATACAAGAACCTTGTGTATTTACTGTGCACCAGGCACATGCATGCTGCGTGTTCTACTTGTACCTTCTCACATACTCCTCCCAACAACAGGGATGTTGGTTTCACCCACGTTTTACCGATGGGAACAGAAAGAATCCATCATGTTCTCAAGTTCACTATGCTAGTATGGGAGTGCTCACAGCCCAGGTCTGACTCCAGGGCCCTTTCTCTTTACCTCAAAGGTGTAAATGGCTCTGTGTCTCTGTACTTCTCCTTTTCCTTTACCTATGACCAATCAGTCTCCAAATTCTAATGGTCCACTTATCAAAACAGTGCTGTCAACCAGTTCCTTTTCTCTATTTCTTCAGTTGCCATTTTAAGAATGTATTCTTACTAGGATGTCCATTTGAATTACAGCAACAGCCTCCTACTGACTTCTTTATGAGACACCAACAGGCAGATTTCTTTCTCCAGTCCCTTTTGGACCATATTATTTCTCAATTAAAATTCTTCCATCAGATGTAAACTCCCCATTCTTGCCCTCAGCATCCCCTATAACTTGACATAATCTTGCCAATTCTGAGGCTTTCCTCACTTCTCCCTGCATTTGGCCAGCACTGCTCCCCTCTAAGTCCTAGATAATGCAATCTCTCCCCTTTCATCTACAGAAAGCATTCTCATCTATCAAAGGCCTTTGTTTCATCCAACGTGACTTTTCCTGAGAATGCAAGTTCAGGTTGATGCAATATAACTCTTAATCAAACCCAGTGTGATATATATATATTTTTTTCTGGTTGTTTTTCCCATGGGTCAATTTTATCTCCCTATGTTGCAAGAGCTTTGAGGGGAGAGACTGTGTTTGACCTGACCATGTCTTTTTCTCTTTAGTAAGGCTTTCAGCACTGGCTATGAAGTAGTCACTGTCTTGGAAAGAAAACAGAGTTTAGAGATATCTTGGCAATCATGGGACTCTTCAAAAGAATCTGTTCCATTCTTTTGCTTTTCAAATGAGGATACAGAGACCCAGGGAAGGTGAGTGACTGGAATATCAGAGCTAGTTATTCAACAATCCTTTAATTCATTATTGAAGCTACTGTTAACACTGGTGGCTCTAGATGGGGCTGTTCTTCTCTAATTTTAATGTGCACAGAACTTACCTGGGGACCTTGTCAAAAATATAGGCTCTGATTCAATACATCTGGGGTAGGGCTTGGGCCTCTGCATTTCTAACCAGCTCCTCAGGTACCACATGAGCAGCAAGAATGATAACTTTTCCCCAGACCAAACATCCCAAATGATGTGTTTTGTGTTTGCTATTTGGTCAAAGAAAGAGCGCTCAGTATTTTACATGGATATCCAAAGGAAGATTTAGGAAGTACTGGAAGAATTAGTAAGGCCACAATAAATATGAAAATGGAGCAATTGACAAGCTACTCAAAGTATCCTCAATTACCTAACCTCTTTTGACCAGTACTAATTCTTACACAAAGGAACATTTGGTTAACTGTAGAACACACCTAATTATCTAGAATCATGCAAGTAGCACAAACAACGGGTGGCTCTGGCCCTTGGATGTTGCCCGTTATTTGTGATTTATTGTGCCCTTCTCTTGAGAATAAAAGATAAGATATAAATAAAGCATTTAAGTGAATTAATTTGGTACTTTTTTCATGTTTGGTTGTCACCATTTAGCAACACAGGTACATGTTTTTGTAGATAAGAAGATAATTAAAACCGAGGGATAAAACACTTTGAGATTATCTGAGGATTTTCATTTTCAAATGATATTCCTATGCTCATAAAGATCAGTTCCTTTTGTAAGCTCTCCAGGTGCTTTAATACAGCAGTTAACTCATGTGCCGACTCAGCAGCTCCACGCTCATAAATGGACGTGCCCAGAGCAATTAATCAATTCCTATTAAGTAGTCAATATGATTTGAAATTAGGAGCTATTTTGGTTGTCAAGATCAGCAATTTTGACTGTCACTTGTGAGTCTATTAATTGCAAAGGGCTCACCTTACAAATAACAAGAAGTCTTCCTAATGAGCATGCTCAGTTTTGTCCCCTGAGCATTACTCTGATGTGGTGCTCCCATTTACAGATATTTCAGACATAAGCAGCATGATACTTGAGTGTCAGATAGTGGCATTGCAAGTCCTTTGGCAATTTGAGCATCCTCTGTTGTTAAACAGGGGTGATCCTGACGACCTCACAGGACACTGTGTGGATTAAATTGTGGCACATACCAGGTATGGCGGAAAAACTAATAAATGCAAATTGAATGAAGGTCACATTCACCTTATATATGGCCCCTGGGTATAACAGGTCCAAGTAACTTGCCTTTAGCTCTTTAGTATGCCTTTCAAAATAACTTTTTCTTTTTCACCTTGGAGTTATCTGGGGAGTGATTGGTGCAGGTGTTTATCTTTCTAAAAGCACCTGTTTGGGCTATCCAATCCTTTCTTTATCCATGGCCTTTAGTTCCCCAATTTATCATTTCAAGAGATAAACTGGGCTCGAATAAGTTACTCATGGCTGGAATTACCTATCTCTTCTCTTTCTGTCATTAGCGTCACTGCCTGGCAGCAGGAAGGCCCTGTGATGTGCTAATGACAATCAGAATAACATCTCAAGAATGTTCTGTATGAACTAGAGGCTAGTTCTAGTTGAAATTGTACTTTTTGATCTACTCTTAGTTACCTTGGAGGCCAGTACATCAGCATGATTTTCATGAGAAAATGTATTTTGAGTTCCAAACAACAAATTTAGACATGACATTCTGTGAGACTATAAATAGAAAACTAGAGATTTTCTTTCATTCAAATGGCAGAGGGCATCAGTAACTAAAACTCTCAAGTTTTTGCTCTGCCTGGTGCTAAAGGTCTTTTTGCTTAGCAGGTGACTTATTGCATTTTTTACTAAAGCCTCTCTGACTGCTTTATCATTAGAAATGTTACTATTTGCCTATCAAAGCAGAACTCAACTTTATCATGGCTTCGCTCTGCACTGATTTGGCATCACAAACAAGACAGTCCTTTCCCCTTCATCAAACCCACAGTAGGCAAAGGCTGATTGGTGGGTGGGGCAGCAGCCAAACTGCATAGAACAGACGGGCTGTTTCATTAAGAAAAAATAATAATAATCTTCCTTTGGCATTCTCAATTTGAGTTTTGGCAGAGCAATCTGCCTTTGAAAATTCATCAGTCACCTCTTTAGGGCTAAATTTTAACCCAAGTAAATTTTGCCCAGCTGTTTCAATGAAAATGTAAAGGAACTGCAGAACAATGAATCTGGCTACTCTCTCGGAAATATTAAATGACAGGTCCACCTCCTTCTACTGTAAGGCCATCTTTAATTCTTGGAAGTAATCACCTGGTTTTTGTTACGTAGTGTTCTGAAAAATGGAACTATCATTGCTAAATCTATTCTAACAATATTTTTAATGCCTTTCTTCCAAGCCTCTAGTGGAAAATCTGCCCCATTTTCCTTTCGGTTTGAGAAATGTAACAAGCACCATTTCATTTCCTAACTCTTTGTAGGTACCTTTAAAATGGGCACTTGTAATTAAAGCTGTGGCTGAAGAGAATATGTCGCTTGAGACTACTAAGGCAATTTTGCTAATACCAGCTTTCCAAGTCCATGGGGCCTTGTGCTTTGCATCAAGAGTTTAATGCTTATGATGGTTTAATAGATAAAAAAATATCCTTAGAAAATATTTAGAATCACATTAACTGTCATCAAATCCCTAGTTTGATGACCCACAAAACTCTGGAATTGGAGGTGTTATTGTAATTTATTCCATATTGTTTTTGCAATGTCTTAATATGAGATATCAGGTACTTACAGGGGATGGATGCTGACAAGCCACAACTCAAGGTTTAGAAATAATATAAAACTCCAGTAAGCATATAAACTAGTCATAGGAGGTAGTGTATGAATTTTCTGCCAGAATTATTTAGCATAACATTTTCTAGACGCAAAGATAGGATGGTTTCTTGGATGAGAATTGGTTCTTCCTTCTCTATAGATCTATGATTAGGATCAGAAATATAACTGATAAATTCTAGTTTTATTCTCAGTTTCAGAAAAACCTTCCAAAGGTACTGCCAGTTCAGTGGTCTTCAGATTACAAGGTAGAAACTGAAAATCAATGGAACAATTACAAAACCTCTCAAAACCTTACCGTGTATGTAAAGCTGCTTGGTTAGCCACAGCCTATTGATCAGCTATTTTGTTTTGTGAAGTGGGACTCATTTAATTTCCTACTTGGTGTGTGCCAATCAGTGATGATTCCCAGATAAAATTTGCATATTGCAAAGATAGACAGTTTTTTAAATCTCAAATTCAATCCTAAAGGATATTAAGAGCATAAGCTTGTAGATGTCATGCTGCTGACAGCCTCCCCCTGCCTGTTATCTCCCCCGTAAATCCCCACATTCCCTTTCACCTCACACCCACAACGCCCAGAGAATAAGGCTTTCATCCTCTGGCAGGCTCTATATAGTTAGAGCTTTAAGTGTGAAAATGAGGGCTAGAAATAATTATCTAAATCATATGAAGATTATAATAAGGGGCTCAACCTAATTTAATAGGGAGTGTAAATAGCAAGGGAAAACCTAAAGAGAATTATGTGGGTGACTTGAGAGGTTTAAATATAAGTCCTTAATTAGGTTACACTTATTTACCTGGCCCACAAGTCAGCTCAGCATTAATTGGAAGAGATGACTAGTAAGAAAATAAGATTCTGTCTGTAATCAAGTCCAACACTGCTTCCTTTCCTAAATAATGTAAGGTGTGAGCCCCAGATGTAGAAGAGTCTTTGAGACATGATACTATGTTGGCTGATGGGTCCATCTTCTTGTTGCTCTGTAAAGGGTCCTAGAAAGTTACCTGGATTCCATTCCAGTAAAATAATGCCTAAACCAGAGCTTTTGCCTCTTATTATCTTCTCCCTTTGTCTCTATGTTCTGACATTTATGGGGCATCTGAGTGAACTGCAGGGTCTTCTGGTTGTTCGGGAATAGCTTACCGGGGCTTGCAATTTGGTAGGATGTGGCTTGGTACTTAACAGGAAGTCAGAATCCTTCAGTTCTATCAGCTTTGAACGTCTTCTTCCTGCGTCACAATTTTTCTCTGTCAAGGGCTGGTTTCACTGTGATTTTATGGGGGCTGGTCAAGCCTGGGAACGGAGGACTGAACACTACAAAGTACTCGAAAAGGCACAGAAAATGGTTCTGTGAACCTAGGATGTAAGTTTACGAAGACCCCTTCCTGCTCACAGCTTTTGAGTTTCATCAACCTCATTAAACAATAGTGACTTTATAATTCTAAATTGATGTTTCCTTATCAATAGCTAGAAACATAATAATAATTAGCTTCCTTTCAATTACCCACATATATATTTCCCAACAAAACATCTAATATAGCCTGTGCTAGGTGTATACAACAGAGAAGAAACAGAACTGACAGGAGTCCTGAGGAGGCTGGGTTCAAGAACTATGTTGTTAAATAACTGTGACTCTGGGAAAATAATTTAACTTCTCTAGGCGCAGATTAGTTAGTGTTTTTTAAGCCTGACTGAACAGTAGAATAACCTGAGTAATTTTTTAAAAACTCTGGATGCCCACGGTCTATGCCAGACCAATGAATGAGACTCTCTTGGAAGTAAACCTTGGACATAGGTATTAGTGTGCTTGTCTCAAAAGTTCGCAAGTTGTGAATTGCTGCATCCAATCTCTCAAGTGTCCTTGGTGGCTTAAGCTCTGTGACACATTGCTGTACTGCCTGCATGATAAAACAGACACACAGAGTGCTCCTGAGCAGAGATGTGGCTCACATGGCCTGCAACATTGTAATAATGATTATGATTCTCTTTTTCTCCAACTTTATCCTCTACCCAGACTCCTGCAGAGTGTCTCATATTATGTCCAGACCACACTGGCAACACAAGGGCTTCAACTTGGCTTCAAAAGTTAATAAAAATCAATCTTCCTCTAGAGTTTTTTGACCACTTTGTTAAAAATAATTTCAACTTTCAAGTATTCTTGTTAGAGGCAGGGGACCCAAGGCATATTAAATCAGTTGGCCAATCTGACCTAAATCTTAGTGAAAAATTAACCATGCCTTCCCCATGCAAAGATTGGCACTCTTTAACAGATGGTGGTTGCTGATTTTCCCTTTCTACAAACTGTGTGCCAGTTTGTTTGAGAGGATAAGAGGTAAAGAAGGAACAGGTTGGCACAAAACAATTATCCTGCCAGATAAAATGAGACCTCCGACCTGTGGACAGCTCCACCCCTTTGCCCAGACAGAAGAATCAGAATAATTGAAGGGCAAGTTTTCAAAGTGGACAAAATGCTTATTTATGTCTGGATGAAGAGCTGGAACTTCCACTTGTTAAATATTCGGTAGTAATAAGAAGGTAAATTGGTTCTCATTTGGCTGATTAGACTCAGAAAGAAAGAAAGGTTTACGCTCGTAGGGACAGCTCTGAGGCCATCTAGGGCAGCCATAACCTCCGAGACCTAGCCTCAGAGCCAGCTTTGTGGGCGTGGGACCAATATAGTCACACTATTCAGAAGGCCAGTGCTTAGGGTCCATTGCTGTGCACTTGCTATCTTAAAATTCTTAATAATTTTATCCTTGAATTTGTGTTTAGTAAATGAAGTCCAATGGGACAGTGGAGTCTTGAAGCTTCAGTTCACAGGTGGTCCCTGGTCCTACCTCCTTGCTGCCTCTCCAGGATGGGGAAGGTCAGGGGCGGGTATGTACCTTGCAGCATTTCAGGGTAATGATAAGGGAGCAGCCTTCTCTGTCTTGGGCTGGCAAAACCATGCTGTGCTTCATGGATGACTTGGCAGAAGTTCACCTGCCTTAGATACTAGCCATGTCCCAGTGTAAAGGTGGCAATCCCATGGCAGGGGTCACCCATCCACTGAGAGTTGGGGCTGCCAGCCATCGGAAGGGAGGATTGATTTCTCTGTCCCTGCAAGGACCCTACATTTTAATTTTGTACTGGGTTCCACAAAGTATATAGCTGACCTTGTTTAACCTGATCACCAGCAGACAACTCTAAGTTCCACAGAGCCATGTGGAGCCTCAGGAGGGCTGTCGAAGCCAGTGTCTATATGTGTCCCCTCTGTGGAGCACAATGGAAGATCTATCTGCTTCTTCGAGTCTTTCTTTCCACTGTGAAATATTGTAATATACATACAGTATATATTTGCTCTGCGACATGGAGAAATTAGTTAACTATTAAGGGCTGCAGTAGGTTACTCTGTCATGTAGGAATAACAATACTGCTGTTATAAACATAAAACAAGGTATCATAGTTAAGTACTTGGCACAGTACCAGCGATGTAGTAGATGTTCCATACATTTTAGTTGCTATTATTATTGTGGTTATCATTACTTGCTACAGATTCTGAAAGCAATTGCACAAGTATTTTAATACTAAGAAGGATACACATTTTAATAAAATCGTTTGGAGTCTCAGTCTCCAGAGTTCTTAGGGTCTGTCAAATGCACTACAATTTTCCAGCAGGAGAAAAAGTAATCACAGATAATGAGAAGGGATCTTGGTTTTGTCCCCCGTAATAGCACACCCATGGCAGCTGTTCAATTGTTGAGGTGTAACAGTGTCTCACTTACTGTTTTGCTGGAGTGAGTGGATACAGGAGGTTGACTGAAAGTGGAAATCTAAGTACGTGATGTGGTGATCCACAGACCACAGACCTCTGTCAGTGATGGGCTGGTGTCCTGGACCCACCCTCCTGCCAGTGCCTGTCACCAATGCCATTCACTGGAACAGAGTTGATTGTGGACTTATGCAGCCTGGCACCCCTATGGAAATATTCTAACACATCTTTGGACTCCTGGGAAGTAAAGGAAGCTGTTTCACTACTCTGTCTTTGTTACTTTTATAAGTAGCTATTATTTTCATAAACATCTTGAGCACTAGCTGTATACCAGGTACTTTTAATTTTCTCTCTAATCTTCATAAACATCAAATAAGGCAACTATGCCTGCTTTATAGATAAGAAAACTTGAGGCTCAGCTAAGTTAAATGGTTTAATCAAGACTTTCTAGTTAAACAGTGAGAGAGTGAAGGCTGAGATCCAGTTCTGTCTGACTTCAAGATCATGCATCTTAATCGCAAAGCCTCTCTTTCCGGTACAGTAAGTTAGCTCTTTGTAGGAAGAATACCAACAGAAAATAGTTGCTCAGCTTTAACACCAGACAAGATTCTAAGTGCTTAACATGAATTGACTCATTTAATTCTAGAGACAGCCATATGAAGGAGGAATTACTATCCTCATTTTACAAGTGAGGAAACTGAGGCAGTAGGAAGCTAAGTAAACTGTCACAAAGCCCATTAATGACAGTCAGGCTGTAAATAAAATGCAGTGTGCCTTCAGATGCTGTGGTCAACCAGTAGGCTAAGGGGTGAGAACTTCTGGAATAATTTTAAAACATTAACTGAAAAAGTGTAATTTGGCTTTCTAAAATAAAATATAAGATATGTGCATCCAAATGAGTGTCTTTCGAAGTATTTAGTCAAAATGTTTTTGCAATTTCTTTCAGAGACTGAAGCAAATAATAGTGATGATAGTATTAATAATATTAATAGCAGCTAGATTAATTTTATATCTATTGTGTGCTCAGCACTGTGTCAAATCCTTTACATAAGTCATCCCGTTTAATGCTTATGACAGTAATACCAACCATTTATACAACAGAATACAATTACTGAGGCTCAGAAAATTTAAGTAATTTTCTCCATGTCATAGCATTATATGATGGTTCTGGGTTAAACTTGTGTTATCTAAATCCACAATCTACATTCTTCGCTTCTAACCTCCTAATACTGATACTTCACTACTAACACTCCATTTTTAAAAGGTATTTTTTAACGGTAAAAAACTTTATCTTCATAGAATAGACTGGACTTGTAAAAAACAGTAGAAGTTACTTGTGACTAAGCTCTAGGTTTTATGAATTTCAGGTACTTCTGATTCATTTTCCATTAAAACTATCATTTGATGAAAATACAGACTGCTTTTCTCTTGTAATCTATAAATTGTCGGGAATCACTCCCCAAAAGACAGATGAGTGCACATTTGGACAATGGCAGCATCATGGTCATCAGAGTCTCCTAAGGTGACAACTTTGAGGGATGCTCTCACTTACAAGCCTATTGGTGCTCCATATCTGACACTAACTCTTAACAGTGGAAATGATGACCAGAGGCTTATCATATGCCTACTGGGCTAATGACACGAGGCTTGCAGGCAGTATTCAAGCATCCTGTGAAGGCACTGGGTGTACCACTCTACAATGATTATTGCCCAGCAAGCCACATCCTCATTTACAGCACTTTTCTTACAGGGACAACTCGCATGACTTTTAACACGTGGTTTCAGAGAATCTACATTGTATGTGGGTCAATCCCATACTGTGAACAGTGACTGTACTGAATTGGGGACAGTTAATAATCTTGTGTGGGCAAATGCATCTCTTAAGTGAGTAAGGAAGTTGACAGATTTCCATTTCCCTTAGTTTTGCATAGGCCAAGACTACTTAACTCATTCTTTGTTTTCCCAAGCCTTGCTGGAGGTTGCAAATAGCACATTTTTCTTTCTAAAATATCGTTCAGAAATGGTTTTAATATACAGTTCAGAATTATATTTCATAGAAAAGAAGTGTTAAAATAGCTCAGTCAGCCATTCGTGGTAAAGAAATTACTGCAGTGGCGGGGGTGGGGGGCAGGGAAAGGGGAAGAGGAGAGAGACAGGGAAGGGAGAGGTAAGAAAAGAGAAGAAAGAGGTGGCTTTATTGCACAGTTTTAGACTGCCATTCATGTGAGGTGACTTCCCTTGTGGTCTGTAGTATGCTTCTTTTAGCAAAATTTCTTCTCCAGACTCAAAAAACTCCATGACACGCCTAAGAACAGACATCTCCTGCTCCACCCTCAGCTAGTTTTCTCTCTTATAACAGTTAGAAGCAAGCTTGTTGGACAATAGCATCTAGAATTTTCATAACACATGCTAGACAAATTCTGTCAGCTAACTAGGAAGTGGCCCATGATGAAAGGTGAAATTTAAAAGCAAAAACTCTTAGAAGTAACATTTGCATATTTCCTAAAGTCTCCCCAACTCAAAAAATGCTTTTTATGTGGAATCTTCTAATGAGAACATTATTGAGCACAGATGCTTGGAGAAAAAGCACTTAATTTCGATGGCAATATTTCTCTTAGAACAAGGAAAGAAATAGGTGGAGTTAATCATTTCTACTTTGAATTAAGAGAAATGCTAGTTACCAACAGAATAAAACAGAAGTCTAAAGAGCAACACATTCTCACCAAAGGGATAAAAAAAGGAGTTAGAAAAATATGTCTTAATGGATGAGACCCAGAAAATGACATAATAAACAGTGAATAACTATAGAAAGCTATTTTAAAATGATTAATAATAAGAGTCACTGTGTCTGTAATTATTTAAAAGTCACTAATTACTTTAAAAATCCCAGGAGGAAAGTTTTCTTTTTCCTGTTTTATAGAAGAAGGGTTGAGACACACAGGGGCAGGGGACTCAGAGCAGGTCACCTCATCAGACAGTGGCAGAGTGGAGATTAGGCCCAAAGACTAAATTTCATGCTCTTAACCACCCCTTTGCAGGACTTGAGACTTGAGATAGCATTTGGGAGCAACTGAATGGCTTTCTGATTACCATGGCTTTGTTGGAATGGCCACCTCCTTGGAACTCAATGGTCCCAAAAGCATCCGTAGGGCTGAGTTGAGTGTGTTTGCTGATGGACCACTTTTCAGACTGGATGTCATTTCGGGAGAGGCGACTTTCATTTTTCTCATTCTGAAGCACGGAGATACTGGGGGTGAGGCCAACATGCTGGCCTATCAGACGCCCACAGCAACACCTATAACAGAAGAGGTTAAAGTGAACCCCTGGTATTAGTCACTATTGGGATACACACTTAAGGCAACCAGCTGGAGAAATCTATAGTCTGTGCCAACACCTGTCAGTCAATTCTCAGGAAGAATTCCACCATGTGGCTATATCAGGTATTGGTAAACTCAGGCTTTCCATGATATACATATCTTTTCTTTTCTCCCCTCTACCCATTTTCCTTTAGCTGTATAAGTTGTAATATGTCTCCTGCCCTTCTCCGTCCACCTCTTTTGTACCTGGCATTTTGTTCAGGATTGGACATCTGCAAACAAAACTTCTCTGGATTTCTCTACTTCTCACTCAGCCCATCTATCAAATCTATCAAAGCACGAAGGTCTCTGAAGAGCTTTGAGGAGGAGAAGTTTAACATGCACATTTAAATGAGGAATCTCACTTCTTTGTGAATCACAACTGAACTTGTCTCTTCCCAATTGACATTTGCTGTCAAATATCCAATTCTGAGAATAAAAATCTGCAGGCTTAAGTGTTCTTGACGAAACAATGAAAAATATTCATGAGATATTTGAAAACTTAAACTTTGCTCTATCATGAAAATGTCCTTCATACATTACTATTACTACCTTTATGACTATTAGTCATAATAGTTACAATATGTAGCTGCCATTTATTAAAAACTAACAATTTAGCATCCATTGTATAGATGAAATATTGTAGTTTTGAAGGTTAGGTAATTTGCGCAAGGTTACACGGATAGTCTCTAAGACTCTGTAGTCTATATTTTAAACTGATCTGTTGAATTGCCCATTCATAAGGGCATTTCAGACATATATATGCTACTTTATCCCAAATGCTTCTTATCTTATATATTGTTGATCCTAAGGAAGGTAAGTAGGGTGCTAACAAAGTGCTTAAATGGGAATCTGAAGGTATACAGTTTAGTTAGGAATCTGCTAGGAGTCTTTTATTTAAGTGTCTCCTTTTTTCCTATTGCAGAACGTGTTGGTACTAACTAAGCATTTGGAGGAGGTACTTAAAAGGAAAAACCAATAACCATAACAAAAAACATAATCCACTGTTATATACAGTGATTAATTCCTTCCACAATGGTATATATGTTTTTCTTTATCGGCTCTTAGAGTAAGAATTAATTGTAGAAATGACATATTATATAGTGTGTATAAATAAGATTGCCTCAAAGATGTCCAGAAACAATATAAAAGATATTTAATTTGACAGTGTTTCCCTTGTAACAGGTCATGATTACTCTTGCAGGTTTTTTGTATAATTACTACTTCATGTTCTCAACATTATAGACAGCAAGATTACCTATGGGGGTCTTTGGTGCTGGGTATGATGTGGACACATTCTCTTTTATAAAATGCTCTTTCTATCCAGGATTTCTGAGCCTGAAAAAGAAAACAAAAAAAAAAAAAAAAGAAAAAAGAAAGAAAGGTGAACATACCGTGAAATATTTTTAACTAGAAAGCAAAATTTCATAATCACATAAGAGACTAGTATATCACAAATTGAACTGAAATTGTGATTATTTCACACATAAACACTAAATATAACAAAATCAATTACTTCCCGTACCTGCTGATTAGATTATTTAACATCACAATATTGAGAATTAAAGGAACTGACCATAATAAAAAAAAGTTAGTGATGGAATCATGTACAAATTCAGAACAGAAAGACAATGCTATTTGCAGAGAAAATAAATTTGGAGGGATAGAATAGTATGTTTGTAACCTTATAGAAAACAAGTATTCAGTAGTGGGAAGAAATGCATCTAAATAAGCATAAGGTTTTCACAGCTGACACTTCCATTAGATTTTCCTTGTAGAAGGAAAGAAAAATGGCAAGAGAATTGCATAACTCAAAAGCCCTAATGTATCACTATGCTTTTTTCTAATTAACAGTGCTAAGTACAGGGGGGTTGGGGGGGGGGAGGAAAATAAAAGCATGAGGAAGATAAATGCTTTTATCATAGTCCAAAATTTTACAGGTAATGCCTTTGGAAAAAAGTAAGATAGCACATTTTTTCTTGTGCGCCCCACACGCCCTTCAGCAGAGCATATACAGCTTCTTAGAATGGGCTCTGTTGGGTCCATCCACCCAGAAGTCCTGCCACTGAGATTGGGTTCCCATGTGGACAAAGGATGTCTCGGAAAACTGTACAATCTCTGTTCCAAAGCAGTTGTCCATCCTGCATCCCTTCATAGTTTTCTTTACCAGCATTTGCAATGGCAGCGGAGTCTCCCATGAAATTCAATGAGCTGCTCAGAGGATTCCTTCTCTAAGCCTTTAAGATGGAAGTTGCTAGAGCAACATTTAATGTTATTTCTACATGGCATCATCTTCTCTCTAATGCAGCATCAGTACTAAATTCATACTCTTATATACAGGGCTAAAGCACAACTGAGCTGTTGATTTGACCTGTCTCAATGGTGTTAACTGTTATAAGCCCCCATGTGTTGAACCATAATTAATCTTGACTCTGCCAATGACTCAGATGTCTATAAGCTGTGCTAAATTCTGGTTGGTCCTCAGTACTTCAGTCTTGCACCTCCCTCTTCTCTCACAAGGGAGGTTTAGGCAAGCATGTGGCACCGAAGGCAGTAATTGCCTAATACTCGTGACAGTGCACATTTTACAAGGAGCAACATGAGCCATGGTTGAGGGGCACAAAGAAACTGCATCCTGTTTCAGTAATGGTGAATATCAGATGGAATCATTTCTGGGTGTTCATGCATTGTCCACATGAAAAGAGCACCCACCGTGCCTCAGAGACCCTCAGGTCCAGGTGGGCCTCTGCATTCTCACACCACAAAGGTAACATTTGCAGTTTTGCCTTTCAGCTAAACATGAAAAATTCCCAATGTCTAGTCTCAAATATTTTTCTTTTCAAACAAGTAGAAAAGGCTAGTGGCTACCTCTTTGTAACAAAAATGAGCTTAGCAGCGTAGACAGCCAGTCTTTTTCTTTGTAAAAAGCCTGTTCGCTAAACTATTCATAGGCCATGATTTTTCTCCAGACACTGAATACTTTCATTGATAATATCTCTTGGCAGAAAGAGGGTAAAATGCTCTTCACTGGACATTTGAAACCAACTTTTCCTACACTTTAGAGAGCAAAAAAGGAGAATTTACTTTCCTTCTCTTTTTGTGTTCAACTTTGGCCAACATTCAGAAGGCTCTTTTGTGGGGGAGCATCTGGGAATTTTAGAGAGTGCTGACCAATACTCCCTGAGAAAAAGTGGGACAACCTTGACCATGGGTAGAGCATGAGGTCTGCATTTAGAAAAAATGGTGTGAGTGGGACACTGTGACCTGGAGAAAGTTACATGATTTCTTTGATCCTCAGTTTTCCTCATCTATAAAATGGAGACAACAGCAATACCTGCAACACAGCATTGTTGTCATGATTTTGGGGGTACTATGCTTTGCTCCAAGAAGAGAGACCTGTCCAGGGTTGATTCTGGTACTAAAAGTTCAGATGAAGGCTCAGATGAGGGGACTATGAAATTGGTCTCCCTTTGTGTTGGGGATGATAGGAACCCACAAGCCCTGGCTGGCCACTAACAAGATATATAGGAAGCTTATTTAACATTTTGGAACCTCTTCTATGTCACATGGATAATTCCAGCTACTTTGAAGAGTTGTTGGGATAATCAAACCAGATGATTCAGATAAAGCACCTGGCTTTATCTGACTCTGTGAGGAAAGTACTACTTTTATATCCATTTTTCCAGTGAAGAAATTGAGGCAGAGAGATGCAGCAATACATTCTAAAGCCAGGGTTTGAACTTGAACAGTCTGGCTTCAGAGTTCACACTCTTACCCACTCTGCTAAATTGCCATTAAAACATTAGATGTTATTGATATGAAATACCCTTGTTATGGGCAGTACTATCTAAGCATGCCCAGGAGTATCCTGGCATTTGGACAGAGCTGGCTCCCAGAGACAGGTCTTGGAACCAGTTCATCCTAATTCTTTCCCCCTATCATTCCCCTCTTCTAGTCCCCACATGCGCAGGAATGAATACTCTGCTATGTCTTCTTCTTTTCTCCTTGCGGTAAAGGATGAAGGTAGGACATTAGGAAGACACCAGAATCTGAGAAATGGCTATACAGCAAAGAAATGTAAGCACAAGACTCCTCACTTAAGAATCTGTGCTGCAAAGACAAATGGATGAGACTTTTCAAGGACACCTTCCTTATTTCTCTTGCTCATGGATCCCATTGTTAACCTGGAAAGCACTGGAAGTTTTAGTCAGATGATGGGTGGTAAGAATTCCTACATATGGATTGCCAGCTAGTTAGCGTTTCAGTAAAAAAGTAATTTAATTTGTGTGTAGCTTTGCTACTTAATTACCTTCTCAAAGGTGAAACGCTACATCATTGTTAGCAAAAAGACTGAGAATCGTTTCTATATCTTATTATTAGCAGATTAATCATCTCCCTTGCAAAGTCACAGAAAATTGGGAGGAAAACAAAAGAGAAACAGAACATTAAGAAGTCTTCCCATCATTCATGATTAAATTGGATTTTTTCATTGAGTAGAAAAGTATAAGACACAATAGAAAGAATGCAGGTATAACACATGAATTAGGAATTCTCCAATATATCATGCATAATTACTATATTGTGAGCTTCGCTTTATCATGCTTTTATTCAGGTCTTTAGTGTGAACATCATATATTAGATTTTTAAATTTATTTTATTGGAGAGGGCATTTTGACGTTTAATACTGGTTTGTTTCCTAAACAAATTCCTTTTCTTTGTTTGAAGGTTTTGAACTACTCTATATGAAGCTTTATATTTTGCTTCAACATCCAACTCAGTTATCTCAGAATAGTTATCCTCATTGTTAGAAAGCATGAAATAGTTTCGATGTGCTGTGTTTCTAGCTGACCCTTCAATTCTTCTTTAATACAAAACTTTAACAGACATCATGTCTTAAAATCTTTTCTTTTTAAATATGCTTTGGAAGTCTCATGCACGCTTAGAAAAGATGGCTTCTATGGCCCCCAGAAAACCTCTCTGTATATTCTTTTCTAAAGGTAGAATGGTCACATAACCATGACTGAGTTTGTGAAGGGCTGGTTATTTTCTTTCTTGTCTTTCTGCATTATCAGTCATGTGTGATGTGTAATAGGGAAGTGTTTTTCAAAGGCTAATAATTAAAAGACATCATATTCAAGACAGAAATGAGGACACTCACATTGAACAAAGTATAATGATTACCCTCAAAGAATAAAGCAACTACTAATTTTGAAAGTTAAATATACAGTCAATAAAGCATCAAAATAATAAAAACAAGTCTGTAAATATTGCTTTAAAAAATTAAGTCATTTCATTTAAGCAGGATTCAATGTTTTTCACAAAGTCTTTGCTACAAATGTTAGTCCCCAAACTACTTTGAATCTTCTTACTATGTCCTCCCCACCAGCTATCGAATCAAGTTCTCCAGGCAGGAAGATTTACAAGCACATACACACACACAGGGTATATTAAACCCATTTCCAAAAAGCCTTGGAAAGTGCTATTGCAATCTCCTCTTCAGCAGGGCAGCTTAACAGAAGGACAACCACTCAGACCAGTATTTGCAAGATTAGGAAAAAGGGTCCACTAACTTTATAGGAACAAATTACAAGAAAAGTTTCACAATGCTTCTCATTGTCACCCTCTCTTGTTTCAAATGTATACCCTGTCTTCATCAGAACAAACATCCCCAACCCAAAGGTACTAAATTCATAAGTTCGTTTTGCCCTTTCCCTCCAAGCCTCCCTCGGTGTTGATCTTTGGTCTTCCTCTAGGTCCCCAGATCCAATATTGAGAAGTTGAACAAGAGAAAAGTTAGCTGAAATCATTTTACCTGAGCACTGATTCTGGGTACTGGCAAAAGCAGTCCCCGGAGCAGCTCCTGTTGCTTTCATTTTGCTGCAGCTAGGGCTGGTCATTCCGTTAATAATGCTCTTATGACCGCCCACTGGAAAAAAAAAGTCACTTGTTCGGCTCTTCCCCCAAGAGACGTTTCAAGTAAGCAATGAACTTGGGCAGATTAGCCCCTTGGAATGTGCTGCTTCGGGATTAGCCTCACTAAGAATCCCATGGACATTCCCTCCCAGCCCTCAAACACTGCTTGATTTGAACATCTAATCTGACGCCAGAAGAAAAACAAATCCCCGGAGAGATCGGATTTAACTGGCACAGGTCCTAACAGGCTCCCCCGCCCTCCCTCCCTTTTTCTTTTTCCATTTTCAGAGAGAAAGCTTGTGAAAGTGTGATAAGGTGTTCTGAGTTCTGAAAGTTCAACTTTGGAAAGCAAATCCTTCTAAAGAAACAGTGTATGAATGATCCTAGTGGTTGGAGCACACAAGCGGCATTGTTCCACCATCCCCAAAGAATGGAATGGTAGCATTTCTTTAAAGAGAAACTGCTAAAATCTCTGAATGTTTCAGTAGAATATTTTGGTCCCTGAACATGGGCCTAAGAAGAATGAAGTTGGAGTTTGTCGGGGACCTTCGAGAACTTCTAAAATGTCAATAATAAAACTTCTCCGATCATACTTCTTATCCTGCTGCCCCTCTAGCAATTGCAAATGTATGATTAGAAACCTACAGTCCTGCTTCCTTATTAAAAAGAGGTGAGCTGTGACCACGGTGGCCTATGGATGCAGATCAAAAGTTGTGATGCCCTGATATGTTTATTTGGGGTGGCCCAATGGAGAGATTCCAGCTGGTATTCAGTCACATAGAAAGGGCTCTTTCATATATCATCCAAGAGTGAATATTTTAGATAATAGTATTCTTGATTGGATAAGTGAACAAACTGGGAGATAAAAGAGCTTAAATTTCAAGAAGGCAAAAATACTTTTTAAAAAGTGAGTATATGAGCACTTCATCTCCAAAGGACTTTTCTCTTCCCAAACACAGAAATAAGTGCTAAGAGATGGCACTCTTCCCTTTTCTTGTGGATGGTAAATCTGTGAGGGCAATGGGGCTTTGGTTTTCATTTTTCCGTAATCCTCTGTTAATGCGCCTAGTACGTGTCATGTGGACACTCAATAAGCATAATACTGGGAAACGAATGACTTATTTCAAACTTGAATTCGGTCCTGAGCCATCTTTTTAGCCCTCTGCTCTTTCCAGGGTCAATCTTCTTCAAACTCCCACATTTTCTGGTCTGTAACTTGCAAGGTTTCCCCAGAGAAAGAAACAATAAACTACCTAGTGACTTTCAGTTGGGGAAACATTATGATAAATAAGAACCAAATGAAACATCAAACTTAGTTTTAGCTTTAAACACATGATGGAGGAAGTCCCTTTGCCTGTCTTCAGGAGTTGGCTACAGAATAACACTTGGTGACAGCCTTAATGACATATATAAACTTGCTTCTCTGCAGCTGTAACACTCCCAAGCACTTATTCCAAAGGAATCATCAGAGATGTGAGCACACAGAGATGTTCACTGCAGTGTTATTTATAATACAGAAAAAGTGGAAACAAATGAAGTCTATCAACAGGAGATGAATCAAATAAACAGTATTTCATGCCATTTGGTGGTGATAATCAGGTTTCAAAAGACTGCTTAATTACGTAGAGAAATAAACATTTTCATGTTGCTATGTGAAAAAAGCAGGCCATAAAACAGTAAGGGTGGAAAAATTATAAATTTTAAATAGATACAGAGGTGATAGGTAGGAAACATTTTTAAGGTGGTAACTATGTAGCTAATTTTTATTCTATTCTTTTTGCTTTTCCATGTTTTCCAAAGTTTTCTCCTGTAACCATATGTTTATAGTCAGAAAACTATATTTTATATAGTCAGAAAATATTTTTTTTCAACTGTCAAGCTTAACCATATGATAATAGGAGGTTATTACGGATGAGTATCTCAGGAAGAGACAAAGCAAGGAGAATTAAGTAAAAAGATAGAGGGATCAGTGGGGAAGATTTGGAAAAGAAAGTTTTATAATGTGGAGGGTGAGTTTTCTAGAGAAACAAAGGGAGAAGAGGAGGAAAGTGGGGGAAATGAGAAGGTGGGAGCTGAGTGGGTGGGCAGGGAAACACCTGAAAGATACACTGAGCTAGTAGGCTGTAGTGGGTCTGTGAGACTAAATAAATTGATTGTAGATAATATTCTCAATGTAAGAAATATTTTAACAGTTCATCTTTTTCAACTTCCTTCTTCACTAGATACTACTCCAACCCTTCATCTGAATTACTTTAAACACTGAGTTACATGTATACGGAGTCTTTAAATATTGCTTATGTATTTTTTTACCCGATTCTCTCCAGTCTTACTTGTTTTTGTCTTGTTTTCCCTTTATAAAGATAAATAACTATTCAATAGAGAATAGAATAAGAGGAGCTTTCCATGAACTTTAACCAAAAACAAAAATATTGCTGCCAGAACCCTGGGCATTTTGCTTAAGTGAAAAAGGAAGTCCCAGGTGAGCACAGCAACTTTTTCATGTGAGGTTGTAGATTATCTTTAGGACCCTTTGATTTAAGAAGGTAATTAGCTCCAAAGAGACTTGTAGCTCTAGGCCACACTGTCCATATAGATCTGCATAAAATCTTGTGCATCACCTGACAATGCAACT
The DNA here is from genome assembly GCF_000001405.40 of Homo sapiens. Classification (NCBI taxonomy): domain Eukaryota; kingdom Metazoa; phylum Chordata; class Mammalia; order Primates; family Hominidae; genus Homo; species Homo sapiens. Next base: position 70,871,719 of record NC_000009.12, read on the forward strand.
CCCAACAGGGTATATTATCAACCTGTTTCAGATGTAGTTTAGAGTGAATGTAATTTGAATACTAACAAGAGAAAACCACAAGGGTAATGCTTACTGTGCTTCTTCCTCACTCTTTTCTTTATGCAATGGCAGATACCTTATTCTTCCCATTCATTGTTAAAGAAAAATCACACCTGAAGATAAAATACTAAAAAGTTTCTACTGGTACACAACTCCGTTTTGAAAAAGTGAAATCAGATTTTCTACCATCAGTAACGAGATTTTAACATGGAAAATGCATATTTCATTATTATAAAGATGTCCAAAGCAGTATTTTTCTGGGATGTTCGCATTTGACAACCGCATCAACTAAAGAGCATGATATAAAGTAGTGGTTAGCAAACGTTTTCTGCTAAGGGCCAGATGGTACATATTTTAGGCTCTTTGAGGGCGATACAGTCTCTGCAGTAATATTCAACTCTTGTTGTAGCATAAGAACTCCCATAAACAACAAGTAAACAAATGAGCATGGTTTTGTTCCAATAAAACAGGTAGTAGGCTGGAACTGGCCCTGGTCAACCCTTGGTATAGAAAAAAGGGGTGTGAGTGGTGAGGTGTCAAGCAGGAAGGAGTAGTAGTGGTCTTAATAGACAGGCTTTCATGGCACCATCACTAGTTTGCCTTTGCTCTTTCTCAAGCATGTCAGGCAAGATCTCCTTGAGAGGACTTTGCTCCTGTCATTCCTGTACCTGGATAGAACCATCCTCAGATATGCCACAATTCACCCTCTCAACACATCTGGACTGCTCAAAGGTCTTTCTTGACCATCCTATCTAAAAGCACACCGTGTCATTATTTATTCCTATGCTTCCCCCTATTTTCCTCATAGTCCCTCACATTACCTGCCATTGTGCTGTGTCTTTGTAGGTTTGTTTTTTGTCTGTGTCCCCCACTAGAATATAAGTTCCTGAGGGCAGTGATTTTGTAACTGATGACTAGATAAGTGGACAAACTGGGGGAGAAAAGAGCTCAATGATGTTGATCTGATGTTGCCCCAGATGATGTGGCCCCAGCACCTAGAACTGTGGCACATGGTTAGCACATAGAGGATGTAGGCAAATCATCTGATTTCCTTGCACATTAATTCTTCATTGGAAAATGATGGCATCAGGTTGACCAGCATTTCCTAAAGAAGGATTTCAGGGCGGGACTCAGATGGTACCATCCTAAAAATGCCCAGATAAGCATTTTTCTTTTGATAGTTAGGTTTATATTAATATACAATACACAAGGAATGGCTAAACCTGCAAATTTAACAAATACTAGTGCTTGAAGATATATTTTTTTCCTTTTTGGAGTTGTGAAAAAATGAGCCCATCAAAAATATTTAAAAACTAGAGTAAAAATGATTTTTGGATAAGAGAAAATCACGATGATGTCACAAAAGTGACCCAAGTTTGAGAAACACAGGACCAAGCGCTCTTAAATGTCCCTCAGGCTCCTTGCTTTTATTCCAATGCTTGGAAATAAATGTATTGTGTTCTCTAACATTTAGGGTTGCCGTTGGCCTACAAAATTAATGGCAGAGGACCATGACAAAGCCAGCTGCCTCCAGAGAACACTGCCATCAGTGTGTTCTTTCCAAAACAATCAATGGTGCCATCCCCTGATCAATACCAGTCAGTGGCTCTCCATCCCTAGTATGGTCAGCTCAGCATCTAAAGTCTGGCTCTGGCTCTGGAAGTATCTTTCTTCAAATTTCTTCATTTCTGTACAAATCTTCGTACACTTTACGCTCCAGCAAACCAAATTATTGATTATTCCCCTCATGAACCATGTTGTTCTAGGCTTCTCAAACTCTGAATATGTTGTCCCTTCATCTGAAATGCTAGGTTCTTCCTTCTCTACTCGATCAATGCCCCTGCATTCTTTAAAACTCTGCATGAAACATTGTGTTCCTTGATGGGCTTAGCTGGCCACTGCCAGAGTGAATCACCATGACCATTGTTCCTCTTCCCTATTTTGGTCACACTTCCATTAGGGGAAGAGTCACACGATATAATACTTATTTTCTTTCCAACATGTATAATCATCTGTTGCCAGTTTCCACTGCAAATCTACAGTATTCTAGGTCTACTATGGCATAACCAGAGTGTTGTAATTTCACCTAGAACACTTCCCTTCTTCCTTCTCCTATTTTTATCATTATTTGGGGGGTATCAATTTCTCATCCCTATAATTCACCCTAGGGGAATAATCTCTTTGTGGGCTGAAGTTATTTGTACTAAAATTTACTTTATAGCCTCTAAACTTAAATCATATACACCTTAACATAATGTTAGGTTAGATTATGTTTTTATCATCTGATTGGGAAAAGATTCAATAAATTATGATTTACAATGATAAATTAAACTCATGTTTTGTCAATAGGTCATGCTGTGTAAATCATACTTAAATATATTCAGAATGTTCATGTAGCATGTCATTCTACATAGGCATTTTTATAAATAATTTTAAAATATACTTCTGTTTCTTTGGAAATTTGTTTCTTCATTATGGGGCAATTAATCATTGCTTGGCAATAATATGTTATATTTATAAATTATTCTGCAGTTCCCAGAATGCTATGGCATATAGAATTTCATGTAATCTTAATAACATTGTATGGTAGATATTATAAAATTCCAGGATACAAATAAAAATCTGGGGCTTATAGAGGTTAAGCATCATGCCAAAGTTATACGTCAGCCATAGGCTTAGCCCAGTGGACCCAAAGCCCTCATATATTTGGTGTAGAGTAAAAATGAGGCTATGCTGGTGGGAATTATAACTTCGTTTTCTGTCAAGTAAATGCAGAGTTGCAGCAACATAATGTCATGATTTAAGTCCTTAATTCTGTTTAGCTTTCACAATTCATTCCTTCTGATTTTGTTAGCAGCCAAAGAAATGTGCTGAGTCATAAAATTGGAACATTTTATGTTAGGTAGAAATGTGGAATTTATGTGACAAATAATATCATAGATTCACCAGCTGAATTTTGTTTATCTCTTTGGCCCTGGAAGGATGAAGAGGCAAACCAGAAGTGAGAATGAAAAAATAGTTACAAAGTTGCAATAGCATTCATAGTAGAGTGGTCATGTAAGGATTAACTACTAAAAAAAAATCAATCTCTTTCTCTCTCTCTGTCTATATGTATGTATACATGTATATTATATATGCACACCATTTTTATTTTTATTTTCTTTATTATCATTCCTAACTACTATTAAGTGTTCTGGGTAGAGATGCTGATTTATTTTAGTCAATGGATGATTCCAATTCTGAGGTCAAATTATTTATCCTCACAAGGTACAGACTTAAATCTGGCTGTCGGATCTTGTTTCTGAAATCCCTATTTTCTGTATCCATTCAAAGCAATAGTAAGGTAGAACCTGGGGGACGCATGACCGATTAGGAGTCTCAAGATATGCATCCTAGCCGTGATTTGCTTACAACTAGACATGACCTTGGAGGAGTGACTTAATTTTGGTGATCTTCAAGGTCAGCCCCAATTCCTAGAGTTAGGATTCTGGGAATCAGCTTTATTGTTAGTCCCTCATTAACGTGTACAAGGTATATATAGGGCCTTTTTTGAAAATAAGAGATCTTTTTAAATTTTAATTTTTATAAATTCATGCAATCATTTCTTTTATAAGTAAACAAACAAAAATGTAGCAGAGCACACAGTTTTGTGTTTACTTAGTGCAGAGTACACAAGAGATTTGAATTAATAAGTAATTCCTGAAATAATTCTCACCAGACTCCAATCATCCTTAAGAATGCCCTGGTTGAACAATTTGGCACATGTGTAAAATTTTAATCTATTTCAATGACACTTCAAATATTATTAAGATGTTATTACAATTAATTAATAACTCTGCCATAGAGAGAATTTCCAAGAGTAGAACTTGGTATTCTTTTGCCTCATCCCCTACTAAATGATAAATCAAATCTTGAAGATCATTCAGGTCAGAATATGCAGAGACTGCTCAAGATTTGTAATATTTTTTGACCTAACAAACAAGAATTATTTAACTGGAGGAACTGATAACAAATCAATCCCATTTGTGTCATCAGAAGAAACTTATAAGCAGACAGATCCAGCAATATAAGTGTAAGGTTATTTCTATAACTCTCTGGAAATGAAAAATTATTAGGTATTAAGTTAACGCAGCATAAATATATTTCTGGCTGATAGGCATTTTTCTGTCAAATTACTAAATTGTTAGGTAGAAAATAAATCCATCTGCATAAGTTCAGAATTATGCAGATTTAGATCCTCAACTGCTCCAAATAAAAAGGTAGAAGGGTAAAAATATCATAAGCTAGTCTTTAATTTGGTTATATTGTTCTAATGTGACCATTTTAAGGTTGTTCAAGGTTATTAGGCTTAGCTTCAAAATATTGTTAATGTCTTTCCTTATGACTAACTACCAAAGCCTATATCTTACTGATTTATTCTTACCTCAGTGTGTTAATATTAAATCTTTTTGGAATATTTTACATCCTAGAAGACACTAATATATATACATATACATACATACACACACACATATATAGACATATACATATATAGACATATATATATATAAACTTTAAATATATTAATTTAAATTTGATGCATGTAGAAATAATCACAATTCAAATGTAGGTATAAAGAATTTTAGTAGTATCACTATACATTATATGTACCCCAAGTCACTATGTAGCCCATAAATATGTATGATTAGTCGATTTAAAAAATTATAAAAATTAAATAATTAAAATTTTAAAAGATAAAGTGAGTTTCTGATAGACATTATAAAAATAATTTTCAAAGATAGCACAAAAATACAGATTTAGTTTCCAATTTGTTTCTGTTCCATTGGATGGAAACATGACTTTTTTTCCTCCTCTCTGTTTTCCCACCATCTCACCCTTACACTCATGTAGAGTTCTAATCTCTGAATATTTGTTGCCAGAATGAATTTCTGATAATCGGATTCTTCTGAGACAAGCTATGCTAATTTTAAAAAGAATATTGTGCTGGCTTTCTAATTGTTCCCCACAACCCATTCTTTACCCAGCAACAAGTTATCATTTTTCCCCTTTAATTAATAGACTTTATTTTTTAGAGCAGTTTTAGGTTTACAAAAAAAGTTGAGAAGAAAATACAGTCTCATATACTCCCTCCTTCCACCTCTCTCCACAATTTCCCTTTGGTGTAGTACCTTCCTTATAATTGGAAAATTGATACATTATTATTAACTAAAATTTGTACCTTACATTAAGCCTCACTGTTTGTATTGTACAGTTTTATGGCTTTTACCAAATGCATAATATCAGATATCCATCATTAATATCATAACAAATAGTTTTATTAATGGTCTTTTAAAATGACGAATTAGCTCATGGCATTTCATCTCCCACACTCCACAATCATTCAATGATTTCATATTACTTTCAAAATAGAGCCCAGGTTCGTTACTGGATCTCACCGGCCTTACATGTCACATCCTAGCTCACTTCTCCAAACTGTCTATGCCAAGTCGACTCAGCTCACTACCTCCAGCCACGTCAACATTATTTTAGATCCTCAACTGCTCCAAATAAAAAAGATAGAAGGGTAAAAATATCATGTTATAAGTTAGTCTTTAATCTGGTTATTGCTTCTTTAAAGTGACACAAATATTCATAACCTGGGATGGGAGTTGGGGGAGGGATTACTGGAAATTTGATATTTCAAATGTAAATTTTTGTAAGTAGCAATTTCAGAACTACCTCCCTCCAGGGAACTGAAACTCCCTACAGATTGTTTTATTTGATAATGTGATTTATTCTAAGATTCCTGTTTGGGACATGAGGGATAAGTGTGGTATTATTTTGGATGTAAGGTAATTATAAACTCATTAATCACTGGGAAATCATGGAGTGGAAACCAAGTATCCTAATTCATTTATCCATTTAAACTCTACGTTTGCAAGAGATCTTAGGTCCTTTCTCCAATATTTAGTAGAAAACTAACTTCTTTCTGGTAAATGATACCTTGTTTTCCGTTGGCGACCTAAGTGCAAAGAGAAAATCATAAAACACACACACACACACACACACACACTCCCATGAAATTCCTGGCTCTGGGAAGCTATATATAACACTATTTATGATTATTCATTAAAACTGTCACCACTGGTGATGGTATATTATATACTATTGTACTAGTTGGATCCCCAAATAATAATATGGCTCTTTTGTTTGAACAATTATTTTTTTCTCTTTACTTTTTTGAATGCCACATGACACACTGATGTGCACATTAACATTAAATACTGACTTGACTTGAGGCCACAATGTGTATATATCTTATCACATATTTGTGTGTATGTATCTTATCCCACTGTTGATTCCAATGTTAATGATTTGAAAGCGAATTGTTATGAAAGCGGGCATGCATTTTTACAAATGCACAAATCTAATATCTCACAGGGGAGAATCAGGTAGAGAAAACATTTCACTTTGCTTACAGTTCTAATGCAGAAGTCTTTAATTTATCAAGATTAAAGGTAAACAGAAGCATAGCTGTGGAGTTAATTGTACTTCATTAAAGTCGATGCTACCTGGAGCTCCAACTTTAGTCATTACGTGGAGAATTTGAAAATGAGCCATCAGAGCTGTACTTACTTATTTTTTAATTAATTCACTCATGCACTCAAAAATATCTGTTGAACACTGACCTGTGCAAAGCTCTTTTAGTTTCTGAGGAGGTACAAGGCTTTCCTTGTATCTGTTTTTACGTTTATGCTGTGTTCTAGAACAATGCTTCTAAATGATTTGTGGTAAAGAATCTTTTAAAAGAAAATTTCAATCCATTACATTACAAACTGATACTTTTATAACATGCCATAAAATCGATTATGCACATGGATTTTGTGGCAACAACAAATTGCCATATAAGTTTCTAAATGCTTATTCTCAATTTTTGTACTCTTATCATTCACAAACAGTTTGTGGGCCAACACCAGTTTATGAACCACAAGGCACTAATCAGTGTGCAGTGCATGGTCCAGAAGCATCAGTAGCATCTGAGAACTTGTTAGAAGTGCTGATTCATAGGCCCCCAACGGAAGATCTACTGGATCTGCACCTACACGTTAGTAAGATTCTCAGATGATTCCCTTACATCTAAGTTGGGAAAACACCCTGTGCTGGAGGAAAATCAATCAGAGGGAGTAAAGATTACAATAACGTTTCATAATAGCAGCAATAACAGTTTTATAGCTATTGCAATATGTCATACATTGGTCTAATTATTTTCATGTATTAACTAATTTGGACCTCATCATACACCTGTGAAGTAAGTGCTTTTATTATGCTCATTTTGCAGATAAGGACACTGAGGAAGTGGAGGTTAAGCTACTGGTTCAATGTGATGCAGCTGGAAGGCAAAATACAGGGACATAGAATAACTTCAGTGACACAGAGAAGTAAATACACATGCCAGGCATGCTGAGAAAGAACAGTCACTTTGGGCCAGGAGAGGTATCTGAGCTGGGCCTGGCACAGAGTTAGTGCTCTCAGCACAGAGTAAGCACTTAAATGATTACTGTTGCATTTCATTTAATTAAATTTGTGTCCTTTCTTATTTCCATAGCTTCAGAGAGGTAGTTGCAAATTAATTACCTGTTCTCATACTTTCTACATTTTAAGATTTAAATTTTCCTTTCTCTGTTTCTCCTAAATCTTTACAATGGACTTCTAAGTACTTTGTTCTTTCGCCTGCCCATTAACACTCTCTATCCTGACTAATAGCGTGCAGTTATCCTATATTCTCATGATGTTCTCTAACTCATTTAGGGCAGGGACCAGACCATATCTATTTACCTTTTCAACCCCTTCCCCACCCCAGTGCCTGGCATCTGGTAGAACTTCAATAAACATCTGTTAAAATAATAGATATTATACAGTTATCAAAAAATAGAGTAGTTAGCTGTAGATGGAACATTCTTTCAGATGTGAATTAATGGAACACCTTGCTCTTTTATTTTCCTAACATGTTTTGCATAAATGGAACCATTAAGCCTTAAAATATTGGGACAAATGTAACTGACCGTCTCTTAAAGCACTGTCATTGAATTGACTGAGTGATTACACTGAATCACATGTGCAATTCATGCTGCACCTGTGTGTGCACACACACAGACACACACACATGCATGTGGTTTTTCTGTTAGAATCTGGTAGACACACTCCTAGTATTGCATTCACCAATTCTGCATTACAGATTACATGCTGGAAAACACTGATAAAAGACAAATTATGTATTAAATCTCCACCCTGCCTTCTGTTGGCATTATAGCCTAATAGCTCATTTGAAGGATAAGGGGTCCACACTATCATTCTTGAATGTCTGTGCCTTCCAATTAATATTTCATGATCTATGGAAAAAAATCTTAGGAAAGCTCTGGATTATCAAATGCTATTGTAGGGGTACAGAACATTTTTTTCTTAATGTCAGTAGATATCATTATTTAAATTCAGCCATTTGTTAAACAGTATAATTGCCCATCAATTATGTTTTCCCACTGAATTTAGATCACATGTTATACCTTCCCTTTGCTCAAGATTTTTTAAGCCTTAGAAAATAAAGGCAGATTCAGACTAACCTGAAAAATAAATTTAGTCAGTGTGATTCACAATAATGGAAAAGTTCAGACTTTTATTTCTTAGGTAGTTTTTAAATGATGGTCCTTGCTAGCTTTCATCTTACCCAATTAGAAAATTCTATATTTTCTATGTTAAAAAAATAAAATTGTGCCCACAGGGTCCTAAACAGGTGGATTTTAGTTGGTATTTGCATGTGTGTATAGTTGTGTGCACCCTGGCCAGGTTTAAATGATTAATTAGTCCATAAATTTGAGGACAAAGTCCTGAAATGCTTTGTTCAGCTTAATTTTATGGCTCTCTTTGTGTTCTTAGATGGCACATCTATACTGCTCTGCTCATTAACATTTAAGACCTCATTGATAGCTTCCTCATGACAGTGTTACTATCAACTTGAGCTTTTGTGTCAGATATCAATACAAGTAACTTAGAGGCTACTTATATGAAGCCTAAGTCACTCAATTAGTGCTTCTGTTCTTACAGTCCTCTTCCACCTGGCCTGTTTAGAACAAACAGAGAAATGAAGTGGTAGCCTGCTTGTGTTCCCAACTGTGACTGGGACAGATTTTTCCTTTGCTTCAGTTTTTCCTTTTGCAAACATAAAGAATACTCCTATCTCTTGTTACTTCACAAGGGACTATGGTCAGCATTGATAAACATGATGACAATCCTGGATTCTTTTTTTAAAATGACTTACAAGTTTTTGTTAAATTTTTTTTAACTGATACATATTAGATGTACATATTTTCAGGTACATGTGATAATTTGATACATTCATATAATCAGATCTAACCCTGGATTCCTTATGAGTATCATGTGAGGACTTTGTTAGCATAGGGTACTGGCTTACCATATAGAGACTAAAATATTCTTTAAACTTTCTTTTTATCATAATAGGTGGCTGAATTTAAGCAGTTTTAAATTACATTCTTGCTTGACTTACACCTAAATGTCAATTTTCTTCGGATTACAAAAGCACGATATGAATTAATGTGACCGCCCTACCACCACCCCCATACAAAAACCCATTAGGAATTTTCTGAGATTTAAGTAACATGGAATTTGATTACACAGTGCATTCTGGGGCTCAGCCACAGCAGGCTGTAGGTACCAGGCAGGCTGATTATGACTTAACGCATTGTTTCAATGTGATTTTGCAAAGGATTTCATTTAATGCAGATTAGTAAGTTTATTAAGCTGTTGATAATTGAAGCCTCTTAAGTTTGGTAAGTACCATCGAGTGAGGTAGATTAGTGGGGTTTAATTTGTTGCTCTCAAATAGCAAACGAAGACTTAGCAGAATAATTACATCTCCTCTGTGGGCTAACAAAAGATGACATTGCAATGGTGCTTTTGGCCATTTCTGCATTTCTGCATTTCTGCAGTTTCCTTTACAGTACTGCCTTTAGAGTTTTCCCCCATTGCTCTCAAGTGACCAAACTCATCAACTTTTCTGTTGTTTCCTGAAATTATCTCTTTATTCCCTTGGTCACATTTTAACTACATTGAGGGTAGGGACTGTGTCTCCTCTGATTGCTAAGTATCTGGCATTTAGAGGGGCTCAGTATGTGTGTTTAAGAGAGGAATGAATTATCTTAAACAATCATAAAGTATGTTCTGAAAATAACATTATCATCAAGTTTTCAAGTGCTAGGAAGTTATTCTTAGCCAGAGCGTTAAGTAGCTGTGTCAGCCAAAAGACTAAGAGTCAACTCAACTTATTAAAGGGATTGTATCAATGAGTAAAATTATTTATTATTTCATAAATCCTTGGCCACACAGAGTGCTCAGCCCAAGTTAGTCTACCAAACACATTAACTTAATCTCTGGCATGACCAGGTCCTCATTTTGTTACATGCCTATGGTGTCATTGCAAGAGAAAGAGTCTTTATCCTTCTGAGACTCCTAGGTCTGCCATATTTCTAGCAGAGTCATAAATCAGATGGTAGAAAATGCTACACTGGCATGAGCTTACATAAATTATATCTCTTAAGAGGAAATGCCAAAGCTGTTTGGAATGGCTGTAAATGGATTTCTAAAGTCAATTTTGGTTGTCTTTTTCATTGCTGGTTGTTAGAATACCCACAAAACTGCAGGTGTGAAGGCTTAGGGACTTAGGCCTCAGATAAGGTCATGGTTTTTGTTTTTTTCAAGTGGCTATTCAGGTACTTTATTTTTTTCAGAATGACACCAAAACTTCACACTTAGCAAGAAATTTTGAGTATTCTGGAACACATTGCCTTCCTGAAAACAGATGAATGAATTATCTTAAACAATCATAAAGTATGCTCTGAAAATAACATTATCATCCTGTTCTCAAGTTCTTGGAAGTTATTTTTAGCTAGAGCATAAAGTAGCCCACTCCTGGTGTCTCCCTACTTTATAATGTTGATCATATGAGGTCTACCTTGAATTGTTGAGGTAGTGCACCTTGAAAGATTTAACCAAGTGACTGTGCAAGGATGCTTGGTTGCAGGTCATGGCAACTATTCTCAATGACTTCATAATACCATAAAGAATAAAGGATAATGAAGGTCGACTCCTTTATTTTACTGAGTGGTGACTTTGTTCTTGACTGGGTACAATTTAAACCATGGAAACATTTCCAAAAACAACATTCTGAACATATGTGTTTCCTGTAACATAATAACAATGGGAGAGTAACAAACTTGAAAATGATATATATGTAAGAGTACAAAATCCAAGAGCTATAGGGAAGTTCTCAAACCAATGTACTTCCTAGAGATCTCCATCAGTACCTCTCTGACCACACGTGGCCATTTTTACAATGATATCACCTCCACACCCATCCCCATGGTCATAGCTGAATAGACCAATGGACCAGTGGTAGTGAGTGACTCAGGAGCAAAAAATCCACCAGTGGTCACTACTTTTGACTTTTGCATTTCCCTCAAAGAGAAACTAACCAATTATAATCCCTTTTCTGAAATTTGAACTTAGAAACTTACAGGAGGCATGGAAAATTAATGCTGACAGGTCTTGAGGCAGAGAAAGTTCCAAATAGGCAACTACACATGTATTAGCAGAAATTGAGAGAGGAGATTACATGTATTATGAGTACTCTATAGTGCTTGTGCAGTTAGAAACAGAAATGCTGTGTATAAGACAGAAATCAAGTGGCCTATGAAAGACTGAGAGCTTGAGAAAGTGGTCTCTGATGCTTTTCCCATTCCAATTCTCATCAATTTCTAGGCCCACATTAATTTCTCCTCCTCGAAGTGACTTGAGTGATTTTCATAATATAGTTGAAAAAGGTAATGGTAGACTTATATGAGCCAAAGGTACCAGAAAATTTATTTCTTCACAATTCACAGATTGAGCATTTCATTTGATTTACCTGAGCCCTATGGTAGAAGAAGCTGACATCGAGGGGCGATGAGACTTGCTCAAGTTCACACCACTAGTAACTGGCAAAGCCAAAGCAAGGACTTCTTACCCAGATACAATCACTCTTTCATGTAGAAGGCAGGGTCTGGTGGCTTCTAAGGTAGAGTATTTTTATCTTTGGAAAGAGGCCGAATTTGCAAGACAAGTACAGAGGCTGAAACGTTCTGTGTATATCAGGGGCAAGATCCTAGGAGTTATTTTGCATTTGGAAACGATTGCAGTTTTAGCTCCGACATGTGTGGGTCTTGATGTCCCAAGGTTTTTTTTTTTGATGTGGTTCATCTAAGGGAATTTCATTTTCAGCATTTGGGTAGTTGTTTTCTATTTGCCATCCATAATGAAGGGATTCCTAGGGAGTCAGTGTTAGGGTGTGGTTTATAACAATCCCTTCCAGGGACAGTATCCAAAAGTAAACTCCTCAAGTTGCTTTTTTAAAACTTATTTTGTATGTTCCTTCTGTATTACAAAAGTTGTGCTAATTAATTGAGGGCCTTTGGGAAATAGCTACACAGAAAGAAGAAAATAAATATTACCTCCAACCCTAACTCCTGCTCAGAGAACTCTGATACCATGTTGGCATCTATAAGGCAAATGTCTGATTTCACTTTGGGATGCAGTGACCTGGTGAAAGCATGCAGAACTAAATTAACCATTCATCTGAGAATGCGCTGACCAGGCAAGCAGGGGCAGAACTGGCGATGGCCCCAGCATGGGGCAAAGTGTGCGTGTGTGTGTGGCATGTGGCAAAGCTGCTTCTTATTACAGAAGTAAACTTTGTGTTTTATGGAAATAACTCCGAACAGTCTACAGAAGTCAGCTTTGCATTTTATGTAAATAACTCCGAACAGTCTCTGTATACAGCTATGCCTTTAGTTTTTGCAACATCCTAAATGTGTTTGGTTCATGTTCCTGCTTCATAGAGCTAGAGGGCATGTATTCTGCTAATTTAAGTGATTAAATATAAATTATGACAATCCTGGAGATAATTATAAGCATACCAATGTATTAGAAAACAGGCTGAGGAATCAATGACTTGAGGCAAAACTCCTGCTAAAAATCATCCCAGGAGTTTGTGAAAAATGCATACTCTGGTCCCTCGCTCATAGATTCTGAATCTGTAGGTGAAGGTGAGTCTCCAGATTCTCAACTTGTTTATAAAAATCACAGATAATTCCATGAACTGCTTTCTGAATGACACTGCTAACATTTCCTCTTCATCAGAGTTTCTCAGAGTTGGCCTCCTGACGTCTACTTGCAATGTGCCCAACCCCCTGTTGCTGCCTCCTTTGAGGTCCTCTTCATCTCACTCCAACTCTAACTGCACTTTTCTAACAGGCTAACACTCTGTGCCCCCAGTCCCTGCTCCCCTCTCCATCCTTGACGGTGCCATAAGAAGTATCTTCTTAAAGCAGGATTTCTCAACTCGGTATTATTGACATTGGGTATTATTGACTATTGCATAATTCTTTGTTGTGGGTGCTGTCTTGTGCCTTGTAGAATGTTTAGCAACATCTGTGGCCTGTATTCACTAGATACCAGTAGCCCACCTCCAGTTGTGACAACCAAAATTGTCTCTAATCATTGCCAAATGTCCCTTGAGGGCAAATTTTTTTCCCTGGTTGAAAACCATTGTTCCTAAACCTTAGGGAAGAATGAGTTAGTCTCTTCATCCAGTGTCTGAATGTTTTACCATAGCATCCAAATACCTATGTGATTTGCCCCCAAACCACATTTTCTGGCTTGTCTATTATTAAACTTCTCAATAACCCTCACTTTTTACCCAGCTAGGTCATTCCTCCTACTAGCCCTGGCATTCACACTTCTGCACTTGCTTCTGCTTTTTCTCAGGCCTTCGGTGTTCTTCCTTTCTTGCTTGCTTTACCAGGAAAACCTTAGCTCGCTTCCAAAGCTAAGCTCAAAATCCATTCTCTCCAATTTTTCTTGAGTTTTCTAATTAACTCCTTCTTTTTGTACTACATGTTTACTTCTGCTTTTGTCTAGAAAGTATTCACTCAAATTTTATTCTGCAACCAATTTTTCCCTATCTCTTTCACCCTTGTAGATAAGGACCAGACCCTATTTCTGCCCAAGTCTCTGGTACTTAGCATAGAAACAGCACAAATTGCCCTTAATAATACAAAGAAACAAAATTTGGCAACTTGGCATTTAAAATATACCACGGAAAGTAAAATTTTTCAATCTGTATGTTGTAACTGACTCACCAAGAATAATGACAATAAAATTAAATGTGAATGTTATAGACTTTCAGCATTACACTTACAGCCAGGATGTTAACCATCAACATTTTAGAAAACTGCATTTGCATTGTACATTAAGTCCTTAGGTAAAGTTAAGTTAAAATCTGTAAGAACAAGTGACACAGTTATTAATAAGCAGGCCAAATTAAAAAAAGCCACTTTCCAAATAAACACATGAGCCATGGCTACTTTAGTGTTTTTCCTTTAATAGATATAAATTAAACCTCAAATCATCTTTGAAAAGCACTGATTCAGTAGATATTACGTGGAGCATCGTTGGTGGAACTGTTACAATGGGAACTCCCAAGGAGTTCTAGGTTTTAGGAGATGCTCTATTATTGCCTTAAAAATAGCAGTAATTTAAAGTAATTATCTTGTCTCCATTTCCCTCAGTGCCTTGTGCCTTTACTTTATATTGTACAACAAATGCACCTGAACCTTCTAATCTTAACCCCGGGTCTACAGTGCTTACTTCTACCACCTTTGCTGCCCTGAACTCAGAAAAAAGAGATAGGGTCAAGGGTTTGAAGGTGAAGTAAGGACTGCTGAGGAAGAAATATTACTGGGGATGGCGATCCTCTGTGAGTGTCTCTTTTTGTTTATAATGAGTCAACACTTTTTTTTCTTTTTTTCTTTTTTTTTGAGATGGAATTTCGCTCTTGTCGCCCAGGCTGGAGTGTAATGGCACAATCTCAGCTCACTGCAACCTCCACCTCCCAGGTTCAAGTGATTCCCCTGCCTCAGCCTCCTGTGTAGCTGGGATTATAGGCCTGCACCACCATACCTGGCTAATTTTTGTATATTTAGTAGAAACGGGGTTTCACCATGTTGGCCAAGCCAGTTTCGAACTCCTGACCTCAGGTGATCCACCTGCCTTGGCCACCCAAAGCGCTAGGATTACAGGTGTGAACCACCGTGCCCGGAGAGTCAACACTTATAACTGACAAATATAACTGCAATTGACAGGAAATAAAATCAAAACATATGATGAGTCAAAAGGAAGGACATTCTTCTACATTAAAATCTGTAATAGCATCTGCCTAGAGTTTACCAATATAAACAACCTAACTCCTACATCACTTGGATCTCTGCACACAGGTTACCTGTGGCTAGTGGATTGGGCTACTGCTTAGAAAGAAAGAGGGCTAAGGATGTGAGTTCCAGCCATCTAGTTTAGGTTGTTTCAGGTTTTATTAAGCTCAAATTGTGTCCTGTCAACATGTAGTCTCCTTCCTAACTCCAATGTTGAAGTCACAGAAAGAAAATTAAATAATATTTACTGAAGTTCTGGATATATCTTCAGTGCTAATTGTTCACTGACAAAATGATTCCTCACTATGTCATTACTCATCTAAAGTGTTAATCAAACTTAGAAATAATATACAGAATAGAAATCTAAAAATAATTTCTCCATTTTAAGAGCTTATTGGAAAGAACATGTGATACAAATTTAATAAGTAAAATTTTATGCTATGATATTTATGCCAGCATGATGCCTTTTTATGTAGTACTTCAGGAGAGTTTTCCTGAATATCTGGTATGATAAGAAGAGGCTTCTGGCAGGCAACCATATGTTTCTTATTCCAGTAGTTATGATTCTTCTTATTTATGTTACAGTTGAAGGAATGAGGCAGCCCATACAAATCTATTTTCTTAGTATCTGGGTATCTTGTGGGTTTCAACATCTGTTTGTCAATTACCATCTCATTTCTTTACCACCAGAGAATGGTTTGCCCCTTTACCTCTATGTACATAAATACACACTCTCATAAGCACAAAGACTTTAATTTGGGCAGAAGCAGAGATACAGTCTATAAAGTACTATGTATCTTTCCCATAACCATCATATGATGAAAAATAATGTCAACAACTGTGCAACTGCAGTATGACAAGTGTGAATGCCCTAATTGGTCAACTGGACCAGAATGATGAGTTGTTGTTTTTATTTTAAACCAATGTCACTTCTAATCTATTACAATGGTAATGAACAGTCAAGCAGCCTATTTCCCACGGATATCTTCAAAGCTCTACAGATTGCCATTTGAACCATTCTTTAATTGCCTCTGGCACAGATTGTAGCATGCTCCATAGAACCAAGAAGGCGTATTAACTAGATTTGGCTATCCCCAAGTCACTATAATGATGAGGCTTTATATGACTAAAGGAGGTTTTAGCTTCAGTCTTTACTATGAACCATTATAACCACCCAGCACATAGTAGGTACCTGAAAAAAGTGAATTTTTATGGCAATATAGTCACATTTTAATTTCTTGTTGGATTAATGGGAGTTAGGAGTATTTTTTGCTCTTGCTTTTATTTTGGGGTGTGTGTGTGTGTGTGTGTGTGTGTGTGTGTGTGTGTGTTCCAATCCTAGAAGTAAAATTTTCTGGATAATTAAGATAAAGTTAGAAATTACCAGATATGTATTCTCCAAGCCTTTTCTCAGAAAAGTTTACTATTTTTTATTAGAAGGGTTTTACTCTTGAATTTAGTTTGCCAGGTACAGGTTTTGTTTTAAACTTTTGCCTATTGTCTTACATCCATTGTTAATGCATGTTGCATACCATTTGTAAAAATTTCAGATTGAAAGAATGGTTGTATCATATCCTCTTCCTGAGCCAGTGATAGTTCACTAGATCTGCCTGTCTACTTTGGCTCAGCAGAGGTGCCTACTTGACTCCTGGGCCTAGGATGAGAAGAGGAAGGAGATGACATGTGGTTCCCTTCAAGCCGACTTTTGCCTAAGTTAAGGGGTGGTCATGTTTTTAGAATGGGAAGGAGGCTGATTCAACAACATTTCTGATCAAACCTGGAAGATTAGACATATGCATTTATCTCGATTTCTCTCAAGTATTCTTCTAAAATGAGAGGAAAGTTGTAACAACAAAAAGGCATGACCTACAAGGACACCAGTATGGAGAAGGAAGTGGGAATACATAACAGATGTCAACAAAATTTTTGGAAATTTCAACATGAATGGATGGGTAGTAATTAACATTGCCAACTAGAGAATGTTCAAAGCTCGGGAACTGGAAGGGGTGGCACAGCCAGCAAGAAACAACCTGATTCACCCCACTGAAACTCAGATAGGCCTAGGAATAAAGGCACCAGGTATTTTTAAAGGCTAGGAGATGGGTGGAATAGCAAGGTCAAGCCCATATGGGACAAATGGTTGAAAGTCTTTAAAAGAACCAGCCAAACTTCTGCCTCCTCTCCACATAGCCAGGAAACTGCTGCTCTCCCACCAAGGGGAAGACCAGAAGTTGATTCTTTTGAGAAGTTGAACCTTAGACTAGATGTACGGCTGAAAGTATGAGGCACCAGGATGAAAGCAAAAATATGAGTGAAAGTTTACACATTGATGGGCGAGGTCCCCGCCAACCCCACCTGTTTTCTTACCTCTGTCGGCCACTAGACCATGGTCAGTTTGGCTCTATGTCCTCCTCCAACCCCCTGACCATCTGTACCCCACCCAACACACACCTTCCAGCAGGATAGTGGTGGACTTTTCTTTGGAAATATTGAAGAGCACCAAACAGACCTCATGATCTTGACTTTCAGGAATCTCCTAAGAAAATACTGGGTATCCATAGAAAAGACCACTGGTCAATAAATCCCACCTAAGGACAAAGAATTCCCAATCTGCATTTTAATGCCTTACTCTGAGGTATAAGAGCAAGCTTATACTTAGGTTTAAGTAATAGAAAAGGCTTAAGTAATAGCCAAGGGTCATCAGGAATTAAGGAAAGCCTCTACCATGAAAGACAGGAACCATTAAAATGAAACAATAAAGGAAACAGTACAGAAAAGTATAGTAAAAAGTGTATATATGGCATATACTTAGTATATACAGTATATATAGTAAACAACATAAAATTAGTATATATGTAGTATATATGCTATATACTATATATAACATACTATAAAATATAAATATTTATAGCATATTATATATTTATATTTATATATTCTATATAGCATATATAAATATATACACACTATACATTAGTATATATAATATACAAATATAGTGTACTATATACTATATAGTATATATATAGTCAATAGTACAAAATATATACAATAATATAATCAGTAGCCTCAGAGAACTAAAGAAGACCCAAGCATGGAAGAAGAGAGACTATAACACAGGACATTTTTAAAACAAGAAGAGAGTGTTAGAAAGTTAAGAGATATAACAAGAAAAACAAAAACCTAAATAGAAGATAAAGGTGAGGAAGCAAACGTGAGGCTATCTCTTACAAAACAGAACAAAGAGAAAACAGGAGCAAAAAATATATAAGTTAGAGACTCAGTAATAAAGGTTTCCAGCAAAAGAGAACAGAGAACACCAAAAGAGAAAATTATCAAAAAAATTGATATAAGAAAAACTTCCAGAATTGCAGAACATAAATTTCCAAATTGAAGGGGTCACTGTGAGTGGCCAGTGGAGTAGATGAAGATAGACCTCCACCAAAGAATAACGCTGTAGAATTTTTAAAGACCAAGACAAAGATAAGATTCTACAGGCTTCCAGACAGAAGAAAACATATTTCGTAAATAAGATCAAGATTCAAGGAAATCTAGAATGCAATGGGGATATCTTGAAATTATGAGGAAAAGATTTTTAATCAAGGGTGAGAATAAAATAAATAAATGTTAGTTCCTAAAATAGTTCAAAATTTAACTCCACATGCTGCAACATTTCATGGGATGCTATTGGAAAATATGCTCCGTAAACAGGAAAAAACATGGTATCTAAAAACAGGGAACCAAGCACAGGACAGAGGCAGAGGGAATTCATAAAAGGATAGAAAAGCAAAGTGCCAGATGATAAGACAGCTCTGCAGCAGAGCTGGGAACAGCCACTCAAGGCTGGAGTGTATGCATGAAAACAACAACAAACACAAACACAACTAACCTAAAGAATTGTTCAGCAATGGGACACAGGAAGGGGAACATCACACTCCGGGGCCTGTCGTGGGGTGGGGAGAGGGGGGAGGGATAACATCAGGAGATATACCTAATGTCAATGACGAGTTAATGGGTGCAGCACACCAACATGGTACATGTATACATATGTAACAAACCTGCACGTTGTGCACATGTACCCTAGAACTTAAAGTATAATAAAAAATTAGAATTGTTCAGAAAAGGAGATTGAATAATTTTATATACAGTGAAGAAAATTTGCATAGTCATAGAAAATAAAAACACTGAATACTGAAAAATTGAAAAAAATAATTGTTAACTGTATGGAGAGTGAGGGAAAAGATGAAGTATATGCTGGGAAAAGGGAATAAAATAGCTAAATCCCATTTTTCAAAGTAAAAATATCAAACATGCAAAATGAAAAAAGCAGAATTATAAGCATGCTGCTTATAAACATAGAGTTAAATGCCAGAAAAAGATGCTTTTAGAGCTGAAAGCAGATGTGAAAGCAGATATGTGGGGTGAGAAGTGTCAGGCAAGGGACCCTGTTTTTTGTGTGAAAGTCCTCGTAGCACTATTTGACTTTTTAAGCTCTATCATAAAACTATGTAATAAAAATGAACAGCAATAGCAAAATTTGGAAAAACAAAAACTTAAATGGAAGTACTGGAAGATAAAGGTTTCAAATGAATGAAATTGTATCCTTAGTTATCTCTCCAGCTCCTCTTGGGTTGTTGTATAAAATGAACATGTATTATGTACCATGAGCCACTGTTAGGAGGTTTCTTATGCATTATCTGATTTAATCCTAATGACAACTCTGTAAATTGTCATTTTTGTCCCCACATCCCAGATAAGAAAACTGAGGCTCATTGTTCTGAAGATTTGCTGAAGACCTCAGGGCTGGCAAAGTCAGACCCAAACTTAAGCCTTTCTCACCTTGTGCCTTAGGCGCTTACCATATCCCAGAGTTTCATTTTATTATATAAGAAAGTTTACTTCAAAACTTACGGACTACCAAGCTTCTCCCAGCCTACAGATCCACAGCAGGGTGAATACCTGGATAATAACTAGAATTCCGTGGTTGGAGCAGGAGGGATTTACGAGGAAAAAAAGGGAAAAAGGAAAGAGATACTGAGAGGACTTTTAATTCTCAGAATGAATCGCCCATGTTATTTTAACATTTTGTGCCTTAACGTTTTGGAAGACTATATAGAGAAATTAATTATTCATGGAGTAAGATAATTTACTTCTTTTAGCCACAAGTGAATTATACAGTACCAAAAGTGAAATGAGTTAATATGTAATATCATTCAGAAAAAGAGGCCTTTATGAGAGTCTGAACATAAAAAAAGGCATCTGTAAATTCGTAGAAATACCTAGAAATAGGGTGATTACTCTAGATCAGCACTTCTTTGCCTTTAAATAAATGAAGTCAGATCCTGAATTTTGAGATTACAAACAATATCAAAATTATTTTCACAGCTGTGCAACATTTATTATCTTGAAAGAATAATGTGGTTTAACATAATTTAATTTTAATTATTTTAATATTTTATACTTTTGGAGAGAAAAAAGTCTCAAGTCAATACATTGCTACTTCTTTAGGTTCAAGTTTCAAATTTACCCGTTTGACCTCAAAAAAAAAAAAAAAAACTAGCCAATCTGCAAGCATTTATGAGAATCTATCACATTCATGGATGGTTAAGACCAGTTCTAAATAAATATATTTCTGCATGTAGCTCAAGAGTTTTCAATTAAAGAGGCTATTCTAATTCTCAATCAATACTTTAATGTATGTGGTTAAAATGTAAGTGGTTAAAATCAGTAATTATTATTACAACCATAGTATGTGGTGAAATAGAAAATCAGTTGAACAACAAAATAATATTACAGGTTTCTTGTTTTGATTGTTACCTTCACATATCTAGGAAGGTCACTTAATTTCTACATGACCGGCTATATCCACAAATAAAATTGAGAAAATACCATCTACTCTACTTTACAAGGTTGTTAATATGCTGCAACATGAGATAGCATTTTAAGCAAGCACAAAGCACTATCTATCTACAATATATTCTGAAAAAGAGGCAATGTTGATGATATATTTCCCCAAAGCAGAGTCTCCTGTGCTGGACTGCTATTATTAATATTATATGTAGGGGAAGACATTTTCTGCGACACCAATAATGCTTTTTCTAATGAAACTATTCCCCACAGGTCCTCCAGATTGGAAGGGCTGCATAACCATGCTAGGGAGGTTTGCTGGGTGAAATCACATGGACCATGCCAGGGGCTTGGGTTAGAGAACTGCCTTTGTCATAAGAAAACTTGGGTAATTCACTTAAATGCTCTTAGCCTTAGTTTTCTTGTGCATAGAAAGGAAGCCCTAAGATGCTTTATAGGGCTCTCATTAGGTTCAAGTGAATAAAGAATATGAATGGCTAGAGTGTAAGAAGCTCTTTATAAATGATAAAACACTATATAAATATGTTATGATGATGCTACTACTAATAGAAATATCAGTATAACATAAATATCCAATTGTCCCATGGTGACTACGAATGGTTTATGGAATACTACATATATTTCTAGTAGTAATTTTGATGACTTTGGGATTGAAAGTGTACCTCCTAGATCTGGAAAAATTAGGGCCCTATACTCCTATCTACTGAAAAGGGAAAACTGTAATTATGGAACCACATTACTGTGGAAGCAAAGCGCCCTCCTCCTGAAATCCAACACGTGGCGAGATTAAAGGACTAATGGTAATTAAACATTGACACAGAGTGAATAAGATTAATATTAGAAAAGGATTACATCAGAAAAGATTTACATCAAAGGATTCTTTCTCTTTTCTCCCATAGAAGGCCTAAGACACAAAAGAAGTCTTATGCAAAACATTCTAAGCCTCTCAGTTATTTTAAAAGAAGCTGAAAAAAATGATGAGGTAAGCACAAATTTCTTCTACTGGAAAATGCCAAAAGTTATAATATGCTTAAGGATTTACTCCACATATGGGAAATAGCAATATATTGGAGGACAAAATGGGTCACGGATGTCCAGGAACTTGGAAAAATGTTTGGAACATTGTTGGAGGAAAGCATATATAATAGAATGAAAAGGTGCCCATAAGCCATCCCACCAAATTTTAATACCATCACGTGCTCCTTGTTGAGCTACAAAGATGCAAGGATTTTGTTTGTTTGTTTGGTGTTAGATACAAATGCAGTGAATATGTGTCTATGAAATGAACATATAGAATAACATTATATGAACAAACAAAAAGGAATATCTTCAGTGGGGTTGCCCAGGACACTACCAGCTAGGAGCATAGTCAGGATTAGGACCTGGCAGAGGTCTGCTCTAGCCTATGAGGTCAGTGGTTGCCTGGGCCCAAGGGACCATCGGGCATTACTTGGGTTTTCTGGGACTGTACCACACTGGTTTGCTACATTCAGCATTTGTATCTCATGGATACAAATGCATTTCTTTAAATATCAAGATCCATGCTGTTGGTACAAAGGCCAGGGATATTTCTATTAAACACATGTTTCTTGAGCACCTACCATGTACCAGGCACTGCTTTAGGAACTTGGGAGTACAGTATTGACTAGGAGAGCATTGAACTTTAGGATAAAATACAAGATTAGTTGCAGTTGAGAATTTTCTAAGCAAAAGTGAATGCAAGATTTGGCTTCTCCAGGACTCAGATCTACATCTATTTGGGCTGTCATACAGAATTGCCATAATATTACCAAAATATATATAGCACTCAACAGTTTGCTACGTAAAGTTTAGTAGTATCATAACAACATCACTTAGTTATACAATATACCTTCTTGAGGATCTGTGTCTTCAAGAAGCTTACATTTTAGTGTCACGCTGATTCTAACAGGACCTATTGCGGTGCTGAAGCCCTACTGCTAAGATTGTGAATAGAAAATGGGAAAAAAGTTTTGCCGTCAGACAACTTTGGCTTGAATGCTGACTGTATTGAGTGCTAGTGCCATGGCTTGGGAAGATACCTTATCTTTTAAGAGCTTGTATTTCTTCATCAGCCCAAAGATGCTAATAGTATCTATCGTCATCAAATGTTATATTGTACATGAAGGCACTTTGCAAAATGCAAAGTGCTACATAAATGTTAGTGCTATTATGACGATTCTGTATGCCAGTCCAGATAGATATGGATCCAGGTTCTGAAAACAGGCAGCGCTGCATTTTCTTTTCTTTACACAATTCTCAAATATACACAGCTTTGTATTTTATTCTTATGTTTAATGATTACTAACTTTTAACAATGTTCTTAAAATTCTTAATATTTTCTACAACTGGGTAGGACCTCCTGGACCATTCTGAATAGGCACATCTCTGGAAGATAGCTTACACTTTGCTGAAATCTAAAGGGACACAATAATTGTGCACACATCTGAAATAAAACTACGTAACATCTGGATTGAATCCCTAATTTTTCTTTTCCTTCACTTCTGATATTTTGATTAGAATTGTCTAATACAATGAACCAATCAATTACAGATAACCTATGATAACTCCCATATTTTATGAAAAGATAAATGGACTATAGAAAATTCCCAGTATTTATGAGCAAATTCCCAGTATTATGAGCAAAGAGAATTCTTTTATACAATTACCTAGTTGGTATTATATTAGAAATACCATTTTCAATGAATTTCAATGAATACCATTTTCAGTGAATTTACAAACTATCTGGGGGGAACTGAGAATATATTTCACAGATAGAGAAGGACCTTAGAAAGTTATAATCTTTATAACTTACAAAAAAAAGAGACCACAGACTCACCCTCAAAACAACCCAGAAACTACAGAGTTGATCTCATCAGGAACACACCTGGAAGAAATAGCAAGTTTGACTAGAGATGTCAAAACTATTAGATAACTCTAAATTAGGAATGGGAGAGTGATAACCAGAGGTGACTCCAGTGAAATCTCACCACATAGGGAAAATGTACCCTCTTATAAAAAGCAATACTTGGATCAAATGGGCCAGACAACAGATGCCCTAAAAGGTCTAAAAAGAAACTAAAAATATATAAGTGATGGGTCACAAGACAGATCATTAGAGATTAAGAGTACTTTTAGAAAAAACATGAGATGAAGGACAATCCCTAGAAAAAACATAGAAACCAGAACAGTAACAATTCATAAAAATGTGTTTGTTTGTTTGTTTGTTTTTGGTGCAGGCTGTTGTTATTTATTATATGTTGACACAGTGGCAGAACAGCTCAAAAATTTTGGAGATGTTCATTTCTATCTTCTATCTGCCTGTGCTCCCTTTCTAGAGCAGGCTAACACAGTATAGCCTTGTAGACCAGTATAAAGTGGTGCTTTAATCTTATAGACTTACTTGGCCAAATTAATCACTGAAGGGCTAGAACTCTTGAAAACATATTGGGATCTGGATGAATTTTCTACTTCAGCTGCACATATTGATTACATTAAGCAGATAAGTGCCATATCTTCAATTTATTTTAAGCAGTACAGGCGGCCACAGAAAATAAAGAACCAGATGCTGCAAGACAAAAGAATTCAAAAGTGAATGTGTGTGAATTATTGTACAAAAAAAGGACTAGTCAATTTGTGAACAGATAGAGACAATGAGCACTTTCAATAACAAAAGAAACAAAAACTATAGAGGTACTTAATCACAACTGGTATTCATTATGCAATTAAGATATTTTAACATTTATTAATAAAAGCCTAAAGTGTTCATTGTATATCACTCTTGGATCGAATTAGGCAGATTTTAATTAAAAGATTACTACTAACAAATAACAATGATGAGATTTGCAGGGGCTAATGCTTAAACCAGGAGATTTATGCCTTATTAAAATGAATTCCTCTAGTTTACAATCATTTTCTACAAGTCAGAGCAGCACAAAGAACTGCCTAAGATCACAGAACATTTTGGATCTAAGCAGACCTTATGACCAATCTTTTCTTTTTATTGACACATAAGAGTTATACATATTTATGGGGCACATGTGATATTTTGATACATGTATATACTGTGCAATGATCAAATGAGAATAATTGGGATATTCATCACCTCAAACATTTATCATTTCTTTGTGTTGAGAACATTCCAGATTTTTTCTTTTAGCTATTTTGAAATATACAATAAATTCTTGTTAACTGTAGTTGCCCCACTCTGCTACAGAAGACTAGAACTTATTCCTTCTATCTAACTGTATTTTTGTACCAATTAACCAACCTCTATCTCTCCCTCCGTGCTCCCCTTCCCAGCCTCTGGTAACCACTATTTTACTCACTGTCTCCATGAGATCAATTTTTTATTATTCAGCCGTAAAAAAGAATGAGATCCTGTCATTTGCAGCAACATGAGTGGAACTGGAGGACTTTAAGTGAAATAAGCCAAGCACAGAAAGAGCAATATTGTACATTCTTACTCATATGATCATACTTTTCGGTAACTGTGAAAACTGAGATGTATAAGGGTAGCGAATATCAGCGGTGGAATTAGATCTCAATTTTCAATTTCCCAACAATTCTGTTTGGAGGTTCTTTTATTACATCAAACAGTTGTAACAGCCCGCAAGGTCTAGGCTGAGTTTTGAAGAGAAAATTGTTTTCTCAGAGGCAAATTTCTAGAAAACTCATAAAGTCTATAGTAACTCTCTCCAACTGGGAGAAGAAACTGATGGCATCTAGTGGAGGGAACACTCAGAGTATGCTAAAGGCTTGAAAGATTAAAGAAACAATGGCTTCTAAATTATGCTGATAACCTATTAGTTGGTGCAAAAATAATTACTTTTGCACCAACCTAATAGAAGAAATTCTCTTTATTGTTGTAATAGCGCATTGGCCATTAATAGCATTTGTGGTGAAGTTCAAGAAGGGTCAGACTGGTAAATTATAGCAAGGCTCACGTTGTGTAGGGAGTTGTTATTAAACAACAGATAATTAACAGCTCAAGACCAACTAAAGCATTAACTCCAATTTCTGGAGCTTGCCTAGCTCTGCAGATCCTCTTGCTTGAATAACATCCCCGACCAGTGATACAATAAATGACTCATTAGGACGGTCTTTATGTTGGTTTTGCAGGCACCTACATTCTCACTAAGCAGCTCACTCACAATAAATTGTTTTTTTTTTTTGGTGGCTGGGGGACGGAGTCTGGCTCTGTCGCCCAGGCTGGAGTGCAGTGGCGCGATCTCGGCTCACTGCAAGCTCCGCCTCCCGGGTTCACGCCATTCTCCTGCCTCAGCCTCCTGAGTAGCTGGGACTACAGGCGCCCGCCACTACGCCCGGCTAATTTTTTGTATTTTTAGTAGAGATGGGGTTTCACCGTGTTAGCCAGGATGGTCTCGATCTCCTGACCTCGTGATCCACCCACCTCAGCCTCCCAAAGTGCTGAGATTACAGGCGTGAGCCACCGCGCCCGGCCACAATAAATTTAAAAGTAAATGTTTTTGAAAAATTTATTGGTTTCCGGCCGGGCACGGTGGCTCATGCCTGTAATCCCAGCACTTTGGGAGGCCAAGGCGGGCGGATCACGAGGCCAGGAGTTCAAGACCAACCTGGCCAACATAATGAAACCCCGTCTCTACTAAAAATACAAAAATTAGCCAGGCATGTTTGTGCGTGCCTGTAGTCCCAGTTACTCCCGAGGCTGAGGCAGGAGAATCTCTTGAACCCGGGAGGTAGAGGTTGCACTGAGCTGAGATCGTGCCATTGCACTCCAGTTTGGGCAAAAGAGTGAGACTTCATCTCAAAAAAAAAAAAAAAAAAAGAAAAGAAAAGAAAAGAAAAGAAAGAAAAAATTTACTGGTTTCGTTCTACTTCTGCAAATTTAAAAGCAGCCTGAAGATAGCAGCTGCTGCTGATAAAACGTGGGCTGAACTAGTCTTTTGAACCTGAACCCTTTCTGGGAATGAGGGTGGTTCAAATGCAACCTTTTTGGGAAACCTTTGCTTAATTGGTAAGTTTGTTACCAATATGAAGCTTGGACAACAGAAATCATACACTATCCATAGGAGACAATGAGTGAAAGGAACTGAAGCCAAGGCCAGTGCCTGCATAAAGTGTTTGGAGAATCTGAAATTTATGTTCCTAGAGAAAGAAGGAGGACATGAAAGCCTGGGAGATATCTTTGGAACCAAAATGGAAAACCAATAGGGTAAACCGAAATTTAGAGGGAAAGAGAGATTTCAGTTTATAGAGTAATACAGTTATAAACTACACTCACTGATTGTACACTTGTCACCACAGCTTTGTTGTAGCCTTAAAAGATGACTTGTTATTCCTGGAAGTGATCTTACTGTTACTGTTTATTTTATTAAAACAAGGTCTTTCTGGAAAACCTGATCATATCGTTCAGCTGCTCCCCATTGCCTAAGAGTTTGTGAACAAACTTCTTATGGCATTCTGAACCCTTTTCTATCTCTTTTCCTTACTCATCTCTCATTACGTCCTTCCTTCACATCTTACACTTGAGCTACAGGACCACTTGCAAGTCTCCAAACGTTGTGTCATAACGGTTTGTGTTGTTTTTTCTTGTGCTGCTTCCTTTGCCTAAATTGCTCTTTTTGTTCCTTCCCTTGACCCCTTATGAATCTGCTGTCTTGCAAAACTTTTAATTGATGAAACTATTCCTAACCTACGCCTCAGGGAGAACTGACCATTCACTCATTTGTGCCCCAATGCATCCCACAGATGCTTAGATCATAGTAAGGATTCTATCTTAAGGCATTTGCTTGTTTGAGAGTTGGTCTCAAATAGACTGTGAACAACACTGGGTTAGGAACCCTCTCTGCTTTATTGCTATAGACGTAGTTCTTAGCATCATGTTTGCATAGAGAAGATACTTGATATTTGAAGAATGAATGAATGGACCAATCAACCAATCACTGGATAAATATATACTTGATGAGACTGGTCTTAATAATACTATTGCAGCATTATCATTGCTTTAAAATATTTGTAAAAAAATATAAGAATAAGCACTGCACAAACTCTCATTATCTTTTTCCTTCTTGGGCAGAAGAAACATTTAGAGAATCTCAAGGTTAGAAAGGACCTTAAAAATAAATTCATTGGAAAAGAAAAATCAAGTTCCAAGTATAAGAATCATAACTGATGACACAGATACAATCATACTTATTAGGGGACAAGAAATACATCTCTAGAAAATCAAGCAAATAAGGAACAGAATAAACACAGCTCATGGTTTAAAAAGACTTATTACACTCAGCTACTCGGAAGGCTGAGGCAGGAGAATCGCTTGAACCCAGGAGGCGGAGGTTGCAGTGAGCCAAGATCACGCCACTGCACTTCAGCATGGGTGACAGAGTGAGACTCTGTCTCAAAAACAAAACAAAACAAACAAACAAACAACAAAAAAAAACTTATTACAGAGATTAAGGAAGTAAAAAAAATAATTGTAGTGACATTTGGAATTCAAGGCACAAACAAGGAATAACAGAAGAAAATAAATAGACCAGAGCATTATAGGAATAGATTAAAATTTTAAAATAATCAAAATAATTAAATGCTTTCTTTCCAAAGGCGTATTCTCTAAGTTATAGCACAAAACTAGACAGTATTCACAAATACTTTGTAATAATAATTTCTAGTTTTTTTCCCAATATAAGCAGTTGGTTCACTTGGATCAATCTTTATGCACCTCCTCGTCTCCTCTTACTTTTTTCCTGGCCAAAGTTACTACACAACCTGACTATAAGACAGCACTTCTGATGCCGCCCTAAATCGTGGTGATGGTCCAGCATAACCTTTGGTTTCAGGCTTGTAAGACTGATAAGGAGACTGGAAGGGCCAGGCTAGAGCAAGAATCTATATCTGGCCTCTACTAAGCAGGTAGTCACAATACTATTGTAAGGGCAATATCTTCCTTCTGGATCAGAGACACTATGAAGGACTATGTCTTTGAGGTTTACAAAGTGCTTTCAAAACTATTTTCCATTATATGCCCAGTGGGATGTAGAAGGCAACTTTTTCTCTCATTTGTTTTCAACAGAAATCACTGATTGATTTGCCTTAACACTATCCTTTGCTTCAGTGCTATTTGTAAACTGCCTTGTTCCAGGAGGAATAGGATAGCCTAAAATGAAAGTGACATGAAAAAAGAAAGAAACAATGGGTGGGGACCTAACATGTAGCCAGGAATCAGGTAAAAATGCATACAGTAATGACCTACACAGTTGTTATTGGGTGTGGCTAAGATAACACAAATCAGAGCCAAAGGAAACACCTTTGATCATTGACTTCCTTGGACACAAGTAGATTAATGGCCTTTTAAGCATTAGGTAATATAGGGTCAGTCCTTGGAGAGAAACCTCCCTTGAGGAAGCTCCAAACACTGTCAAGTAATAGAAAGGCACACATTCTAAAGGCATATTTAAATCCAGTGGCTTACTTTGCGTAAGGGAAATTATTAATATAACAGTTAACTTTTTTTTTTTTAACAAGGTAGGTTAAATGTAACTTTGGTCATCAGCATAACAGACTTTGTATCCATGGTGGTAAAACATTTTATGGAATTTGAAATATATGGTGGAAAAATATACTCAGGAGATTTTTAATATCCAGAAATAAATTCAATAAATATATTTCCAAATAAATTGCAAATAAAATTTAAGCATTCAAAAATCAAAAATGTATAATGGGAGAGGAGCAGCAATATGTGGAGATGTGAAAGATCAATTGACTTTGAAAATTTGAAGCATCTGAAAGCACTGAAGTTTTGATGCTACTCAATGGCACAAAAGAATAGAAAGGAGGCAGATTTTGTTTCCAAGTTATTAATTTCCAAGTTATTAATGATTGATTAATGACCCAGAGAATGACTAATGATATGAGAGTGCATGACAGCACATATATGAAAGTGCTTTGTAAGCTTTAACCAGCTGATGATGTTCATCATCATCATTAGGCTTCTATTACATGTCACATATTGTGCTTGTTGCCGCAATTAGGATAAGATAACACAGGCAGACAGCTGTGGCCACACAAGGCAAGCTTTATGCACTGATGTTCTTTGGTAGTTGGGGGTGGGGTCACATAGAATGTGAGGGTCAACCTTACAGGTCTAGTCAGTAACACACAGAAATTTTTATGTACTGTCATTTTCCTTTACCAAACCTGCTTCTCTCCCCATGTCTAGCTGTTAATGAACCAAATTAACCATCCTTGCAAGCAAATGACATCTAGCAAGGGCAGTTTCAGAGAAGTCTAAGCTTCAAATAGTATAATCTTGCAAAGTCAGTCATGGCTCCAGCCCCAGTTGGGGCATGCCCCTTTATGTATTCACACAACAAAGCTGAGGTTATGCTTGACTCTGTTGTACTCAGGATTTGGGATGCCTCATTTCCTTTTTGCCCGGCACTGTACATATGTGATAAATGCTGATGACTGAATGGGAACTGCTTAAGATTTATCTTATCACTCTGAAGGCAATTTATTTTCATCTGGGGAGGACAAAGGAGGGATTTTTGCATTTTGCAAAAGAGACACATATTTGTTGCAATTCTATGAGACAAGTTAAAGTCAGTTTGGTTTTTCTTCCAATTGTTTTACCTATTATTTGAATAAGAATCATGTCAACTGCTTTCCTCCCCTTCTTCCAAAGAAACTACAATGAGCAAAAAAAACAAGCCATGCTCATTCATTGATTTAGTTCTTAAGGACATATCCAGTCCCAGGCACTGCATTAGGTACTGGGGAACTCTGATGAATAAGTTACAGTTCCTGCTGCCTAATGCATCCCTCATGAGTGAATGAATGAATAACTTGTGACTCACACATAGTAATGTTTTAGGGAAAGAGAAAGTTGTTGGCTTGAATCACCTTAGAATAAGCCACAGAACGTATCTTAAGGGCTCACAGTGTTGTGTCATAAATAGCAGAGCAGATGTAACCCTCGGCCTGCCTCCAGTTCACAGTCTGGTGCAGGGCTTGCCACAAGTACGTAAGGTTCCACAATACAAGGCATCGTGTGTTTTGCTGTAAAAGAGGAGGTGAAGCAGATGGGGGATGTAAAGATGTTATCCACTAGGCTGGCGAGGGAAAAATTACAGCCGGAACTCTTTCCCAGGAAGGAATTCAGAAACCAAATCCAGCACAAAAGAAAGATGACTCCGTGTTGGTTTGTACCTTACTGTTCTTTCCTGTGTTGAAACGTTAACATTTTCAGATATAATAGGTCTTTTTTTCCAGTTCACTCAGCACAGACAATGTGCTAGAAGCCTGGACGAAGTTGGCCCATCAGCAGGGCTTTGCACTTAAAACAAAGATCTGAGCTTTCCTGACTGTGTAAATGAGAGTTGGGACATTAATACACAGAGAAATGAGTGACACATTTGGTTGTGGGGATTAGTGCCACTGTATGGAAATGCCACGTTGGCGCCCCTACATGAACATTCTAGACCTCTTAAAGTGTGAATGGAGCTTCCATCCATCTCCCCAAAAAGAAAATTTCCCTTTAAGTGGCACTCCATTCAAAGTGTTTTTGGGGTTTTTTTTTTAATCCTGTAAAAAGAAGGGAATTACAATTAGGAAATATACTTTTTCCTTCACAAGAGAACTGAAAGATAAGAAATTTGCCTTTTTGTTGAGTTTATTTATCAAAAGGAAATGTAAAAGCAAAATGTCTAATATGAAACACTAATGAGAATTACTCAATTTAAACATTATCTATAGATTATTCAATTTTATTAGCTAGAGCCAGTAGACAATAAGGCAAGAGGTTTAATTTACCATACTTTTAGTTAAAATGCCTACATATAGCAGGGTTCCTCATATATAAGAGATGTACAATGAATGAGTTTATGTAAATGTTCGTTTAACAATCCATTGTGTATCCTCAAGAATACAAAAAAGAATGTCTTCTCTGGAATGTAGAATTGTATAGGATTTTAAATTGTCAGATAATTTTTCTTTTGCTGATTTTTTTAAAATAAAAAAAAAAATACTGTAATTCCATCATTTTGGAAGACCAAGGCAGGAGGATCTCTCGAGCCTAGGAGTTTGAGACCAGCCTGGGCAACATGGCGAAACCTATCTCTACAAGAAACACAAGAATTAGCAAGGCATGGTGGTGCACACCTGTAGTCCCAACTACTCGGGCAGCTGAGGTGAGAGGATCACCTGAGTCCCCGGAGGTCAAGGCTGCAGTGAGCCCTGACTGTGTCATTGACCTCCTGCCTGGGTGACAGAGTGAGACCCTGTCTCAAAAAATAAAATAAAATACAAAAACACCTCACTCTTTTGGCAAACTTGACTATCCAAAAAGCAGCCCCAAATCATAATGATATTTGTTAACTAAATACTTGTCTGATAAGAAAAAAAAGTCTTCTGTGAAGTTACTTATTTTTAATTAAAGAAACACAACTCAGGTGCTCATTCTGCTTCCACTTTCTCTAATTCACTGCCTGCACCAATAAGTACATTAATGTGGTTTCCAAGAGCTCAGCAGGTTAGAAACAGCTTGGGGAAGAGTGCAAAGAAGGAGGAGGGATAAGAAGGCAAGGACCTCAGAGGCGGATAAGTAGGG
Source organism: Homo sapiens (assembly GCF_000001405.40). NCBI lineage: Eukaryota > Metazoa > Chordata > Mammalia > Primates > Hominidae > Homo > Homo sapiens. Next base: position 70,904,545 of record NC_000009.12, read on the forward strand.
AGTAACCAGAAAACAAAGCATGCTGGGGCCAACACATATTAACAAGCCTGGAACAGCCCATCTTTCAGCACTATACAGACCCCGATGGCCACAAAATGACACAGTCCTCAAGGAAGAGCTAAATTGGGTTTGTTATACTTAGTTTAAGAAGACAGTAATCACTGAGAATATATATTTTTCAGAGGTGTTGAAGTTTTGCTGTAGAGACAGGTCAACAAGATTTAGAGCTATAAATAGAAAATATTTTAAAAGAGGGCTTCAGGGAGAGTCTTCATTGAACAATGGTTTCTTTTGATATCAGCAAAATCTGAAAGGAGCTTTTCTAACAATTTTGTTTATATGTCAGAGCTTAAAGTTTTCTTATGGCTGGGGAAGCTTTCCTTATAATGATCCCCGAGTCTCATAACATCTGCTTTGTTGATGCTGTTTAATGAAGTAGGTAAGCAAAATCTCAACTGTTTTGGCAACTTTCAAGGGGCAGATGCCAGTAATCCTGAAGAGCCACCTCCAGAGCATCAGTAACAATTAGATATGACTCCCATCAATCATGGATTATCCACTTTCCTCCAGTTGCATTTCTGAGCCTACAAATGCAATGTGGGTCATATTCTAGAGGAGCATTTCCCAAACCTATGCCTTTTATAGCATATTCCTGCATGATGTTGCTTTAAAAGTTTCTGAAGTTAAGTATGTTTGAGATTGCGGTACATTGTAATGTTCTCCTGGAGATACCAAATACACATTGACATATTAAAGAACACAAGTGCTGCAGTAAAGAAAGCTGTTCAATTTTGTTTAAACCAATATTCCCTAAACGAATGTAATGAAAAGTCTCTCTCTTCTTTGTTTAGAGATCAGCAGCAACTGTTAACATCTTACAGAAGATACCAAAGGTCCTATGTTAGAATTTTTACAAACCGACTGAGGGTGACAGCCTCCATTTAGTTGTAATTATACAATTATATTATTTCATATTTTTTCAAAATAAAATATATTTAGTTATTCTGAAGAGTAACATACTACTGTATAGACAGGCCAACAAGATTTATATCCATAAATGGAAGCATCAACATTTTAGAAATACCTAGAAATGTGATGAATAACCTTTTGTCATCTCTATAATAACAATGCTCCAGTGACCAATATACAGACATTATTATCCTCTGTCTGGGATCTGGATTCTAATAAGAAAGTCGTTTCTTTTTTTTTTTCTTTTGAGACAGCGTCTTGCTGTGGCACCCAGGCTGGAGTGCGGTGGTGCAATTGCAGCTCACTGTTTGCCTCAACAACCTGGGCTCGAGTGATCCTCCCACTTCCCGGGTAGCTGGGAATACAGATGTACGTCAAAATGCCTGGCTATTTTTTACTTTTTTTGTAGTGACAGGGTCTCACTATTGTCACCAAGGCTGGCCTGCAATCCTCCTGCCTCAGCCTCTCAAGGTGTTGAGATTACAGGTGGGAGCCACCTAGGCCAGCAGAGATTCATTTCTTGTTTGAGAATCCTGACTTTTCTGTTCTCAAACAAACAATAATAGCTCATAAACTATGAGCTATTAAATAAAAGTATGATTTTGTTCTTCCTTGACAACTTAAAAAAATCTTAATTTTGCTAAATTTTTATTTCTTTTATAAATAGGGGAAGAAGTTTTGTGAATTTATCAGCTATTTCCTATTGTTAAAAAAAAAAGAATTCTAGGTAGTAGCCAGGGATTTTAGAGATTACATATATTACAGAAAATAAATGAGGAGGGATGAAAAGAAAATCTCGAAATGGAAATGACATATAGGTTTCATCTTCTGCAATTAGCCTCGAATATGAGCCAACTGAATGTTCCCTCACTGGGCCTGAGCGCTGAAAGAGAGGGCCGAAATCAAAGGCAGATAGGGCTGGTGACCTCCTGCTTGTTAAATTAGTGCCATCTTTTTGTTAAATTTCAGGGAAGTAAATGCCAAGAGTGTTTTGGGAGTCCTTGGAAGTTTGGGAAAGGCTTCTCCAGGACTAGAGAATAATATGTAGATGTGGATTTTCAAGCTTGTTAGTTAAAGTGAATAAAAATGATCTTTTAAAAAAGTACAGGCTGGGCATAGTTGCTCATGCCTGTAATCCCAGCACTTTGAGAGGCCAAGGCCGGCGGATCACCTGAGGTCAGGAGTTCGAGACCAGCCTGGCCAACGTGGTGAAACCCACTATCTACTAAAAATACAAAAAATAGCTGGGCGCGGTGGCAGGCACCTATAATCCCAGCTACTCAGGAGGCTGAGGCAGGAGAATTGGTTGAACCCGGGAGGCAGAGGTGGCAGTGAGCTGAGATTGCTCCATTACACTCCAGCCTGGGCAACAAGAGTGAAACTCCATCTAGAAAAATAATAATAAAATAAAAAATAAAGTCCAGATGCAGAACAAGAAAGGTGGAGAAATTCTGAGATAAATAAGCTAAATTGAAAAAGGACAAACCCAAGTATATGAGAGCTGTATACATTTGTTATCTACTCTTGAGATTTATATTACCTTACTTTATAACACAGTTTATTGAAAACAGTATAATTTTACTTAAAAATACAGTTTATGTATGTTATCCACTGATTCTATATGTTTAAATATGTCTACTTGCTAAAATGTATTTGTGACTCTGAAATCAATACTGGCAGGGCTTACACCATCCTCTGTGGACATGTGTAGAGTGACAAACAATTAGAGTCACCCCATGTGCATGTTGCATGTTCCCAGCTGAGGCAGGACAAGGTGACACTCTGCCTCCTTGTTTCAGTTGCATGCTGTGAACTTTTCACGGTCTATGTAGTGCCAGTTTTTACATTTTAATACTTTTTGTTGATGATTTTGCTCTTAAAATGTCTCCGAAGTAAGTGCTGAAGTGCTGTGTAGTGTTCCCAAGTATAAAAAGGCTGTGATATGCTTTAGGGAGGAAATATATGTTAGATGAATTTCATTTAGGCATCAATTGCAACAGCATAGATGCAGCTGTTGGCCCTGAACTCAAATTTCTGTATGTATGTCTTTATTTTAGATTCAAGGGTATAGGTACGGTTTTATTACATGGGTGTGTTGCATGACACTGAGGTTTGAGCTTCTACTGATCCCATTGCCCCAGTAATGAACATCGTACCCAATAGGTAGTTTTCCAACCCTTCATTCCCTTTCTTTATCCCCCCTTTTCAGGATCCTCAGTGTCCACTGTTTCCATCTTTGTGCCCGTGTGTACCCAATGTTTAGCTCCCACTTATAAGTGAGAACATACGGTATTTGGTTTTCTGTTTCTGCATTAATTCACTTAGGATAATAGCCTCCAGCTGCATCTACGCTGCTGCAAAAGGTATGATTTCATTCTTTTTAATCGCTGCCTAGTATTCCATTGTGTATATGTACCACAGATTCTTTATCCAATCCACAACTGATGGGTACCTGGTTTGATTCCATGTCTTTGCTATTGGGAATAGTGCTTCAATAAACATACTAGTGCAGGTATACTTTTGGGAGGACAATTTATTTTCCTTTGTGTATCTATCTAGTAAAGGGATTTAAGCTCAATGCCAATGAATCAACAATATATATTAAATAAAGTGTCTTTGAACAGACATACACATAAATCAATGTCATATATCAGTTAGTTGACAAAAATCGTATGAGCAGAGGCTCCCAGGAACCTGTGTATTTCCCTTAGGAGCAGTGGTTCCATATTTGCTAATTCAGTGTTCATGGTGACTTTATAGAACATAATTGCTACAGATAATGAGAATCAACTATTCAATTAAATAATATTAAATCATTTCAATAGAAAGGTAGAGAGTTTCACCTCAGACGGACTAGTTGGTTTCAGACCAATGTTTGCACTGCAACAACCAAATGAGCTGGACAAAATATACATAAAGTTTTGAAAACATTGTGAGCTATGAAAGCTCAAGAAATGTGGGGCCAAAATCCAGGAGGGAAGGGAGCCCATATAGCTAAGGAAAACAATACTGAAAGAAACTAAATAAGACCTAAACAAATGGGGGCACACAGCATATTCATGGATTCCAAGATTGAATCTTATAGAAATGTCAGGCCTCCCCAAATTCATCTAGATTCAATGTAATTTTAACTTAAATCCCAGGGAGAGATTCAAATGGCGGATGCAAGCTTGAAGACAAATTTGGAGTATCCACACTCACACATATGAACAGTTATTAGAAAGCTACAGTAATTAAGACAGTGTGGCAGTGTCACAAAAATAGAATAATAGACCAATGGAACAGAATACAGAGTCCAGAAGCAGACCTATGCATATATCGATACTTGATATATGAGCAAAGTGACACTTCAGAGCAGAAGGTGAAGGACAAATGGTGCTGTGTCAACTGAATATTCACATAGGAAAACAACAAAACTACCGCATCTTATGCCATCAAATAATAATTCCAAGTAGGCTGTAGATATAAATGGGAAATGGGAAATAAAGTTTCTAGAAGGTAATAAAGCATCTTTATTTCTTTGGAGTAGGCAAAGATTTCTTAGACAAAACACAATAGCATGAACTGCAGGTGAAAAAAGATTAATTGCAGTGCATTAAAAATGTGAACTTCTGTTCATCAAAAAACTCCATTGTAAGAAATAAAATGCAAGTCACATAGCTGATTGCTTAGTTTCCAGACAGGACATAGAAAGCCATCTAATTTAGAAGAGTATCCTGAGGGCAGGGAAGAAAAAGGATTTGTAAGCTGGTTCTATCTAGCTCTTATCTGTCATTGTCCAAGTACTCCACATAGGACCTTACATTTCTATGTTAAATCAGCTGGCCTTTACAAGTAGCCTCTAGGTAACTCCTAGAGGTGATGGGAGCGGTTAGACCCTTCATAGTATGGTAGGGTTGGGCTTGAGAATCTGAACTGCTGCAGCTCCAGCCATGGTGGACATAAAGGAATCCATGCTGAAGCCCAGGCCTTACTCTGGGGAGCCCTAGGCAGCCAGTAGTGTCAGGGAAAGAGGCAACAGCATTGGAAGGTTGGGCTGTCCATTGAGCAGGTAGACAAAGGCCCAAAAGGTAGGGGTTAGAAGGAATTAGTTAACTGGGGGTGGAGGGGCATGCACATAAATTGGGTACAATATACAATCTAATAGGAAAGTTGGCAAAGGACTTGATGAGGTTCTTTGAAGATTTTCAAGGGGCCAATAAACATATATAAGATCAAGATTATTCAACTTAATTTGTCATCAAGAAAATGAGAATTATTTAGGTCAGTGCAAAAGCAATTGTGGTTTTTGCCATTAAAGGTGATGGCAATTACTTTTGCACCGACCCAAACTATGATGATATACCAGTGCATTCCCACCCTAATAGCTAAAAGTAAAAAGACTGACAATATGAAGTATTGATAAGGAAGAGGGACTGAAACTTTTAAATACAGAGTGGAGTGTAAATTGCTACAATTTGGAGTGTCATTTGATAAGACTACTTGGAATTTGTCACTAATGTTGATTATGTACATCCTATAATCCAGCAATTCCAGTCCTAGGCAAATAACAAAAATGCATACATGTGTTCACCAAAAAATATGTGTATAAGTGCTTACAGTACCATTATTCATAATAGTCTCAAATTGGACACAAGTTTTTATCAATAATAGATCATTAAATTGTGGCATGCTTACACAATGGAATACTATGTAGCAGTGAACAAGAGCAAACAACTGTTATATACAAAAACATGGGTGATTCTCATCAACATAATGTTAAGCAAAATAAGTCAGATGCAAAGGAACACATGATTCTGTTTTTATAAAGTTTGGAAACAAGTAAAATTAATCATGGTATTTGAAGTCAGGATATGATTATTTTGGGGGAGGAGGCTATGAATAGTGACTGGGAAGGGACAGGAGTAGGATATTTAAGGTGCTGTCTGAATGGACCTGACTAGTAGTTGTATAAGTATATGCACTTTGTGTTAATGTATTCTGTAATATGATTTATCTACTTTTCCAGTTGTTATATATATTTAGAAGTTTATAAAAATAAAAAGAATAAAACTTGGTAAATATATAAGATAAATAGGTATGCCATAGAAGCTGAATCTTTGATTATTGCATTATCACTTTCTATGCTCTTCAGCTTCTAAAAATCAAGATTATGCTATAACATGCAACTGAAATGGCCAAGCTGTGAATAAGAGTTACCAAATGGCAGCTAAAAGCACTTACTATGGGCCAGGCACTGCTCTAATCAGTTTGCGTATAGTTACTATTTTCATCCTGCTTTAATTACCCTATGAGGTCATTACTATTATTGTCTGAGCTCTTAATCATTGCTCAGCGCTGCTAAAGGGAATATATGGCTTTCAACTCTAACCTGTCTTTGACTTTGCTGCAGCAATGAAAAATATCACCTTCCTTGAAGTTCACATACCTTGACTTCTATGACAGCAGCTCTCTATCAAAGTGTGTATCAGAAATAGTAGTCTTATGGGATGTTATTCAGGTTTACTGAGTCTGAAAAGTGTTTTTGGCTCAATGTGTTAGGAAATTCCAAGATTATATAACTTAAACAATTTTCCTTACCAGAGGACTTTTCACAAAAGAAAATCTTCAAGAAGAAATATCTTAATAACATGCAGCATTTCCAAAACTTATTTGTGACCAATGAATCACATTCTAAAGATCAAAATCATAGAAGTATGGTCCTGTGGGTCACACTTTGGAAAGGATTTTATTATTTCAATTACTATTGGTGTTCCCCACCCTTTCTGGCCATTCTTCCTTGGTCTACATTACAAAAGGCCTGTTTTTTGAACAACTTTTAAACAGTGGTCTTCCCCAAGGCTCCATTTAGGTGATCCTTTCATTTATCTTATTCTATACTCCCTTCCAGAGTAATTTCATACAAAATCATGCCTCAAATATGATCTAAAACTTGATAACACCAAAATGAACCCTCTTACAAATTTTCTATTTCTATATTCGACCACGTGCTAATGGACTCCAATTAGATGCTTCAATGGCATCTTTAATTTATATGTCTAAACATGAACTCATGACATTCTACTAAAACCTGCCTCATGTATATTCTTTATCAATGAACATCACCATCATGAATTTATTAGTGATTAAAATGGAAATCTGTATGTCAGTAGCCTCCCCTCTGATACTCACTTTCCCACTCATTATCTAAAGGTCACCTAGTCCTGCTGATTCTAGTTTCTAAATATGTCTCAAATCTGTTTTCTCCTGTTTGTCCCTGTTACCAATACAACTGCTTTAGTTCATGTCTTGATTTTTTCTTGCTGCATTACAACAGCATCCTTCTAATAAGCCTCATCATACCCAATCATATCTTCCCATTTGCCTCCCTAGAATTAATGCAAACTTTCCCCTATGTCATTGTCCGTTCTCTCCTTCTGGCAATGGCTGGACTTGACCTGGATAAAGAGTGGCTCAGTAGCCAGGAATGAGGATTGAGGGCCTGGAAGGAGGCAGTTGGCTGCTACCTCAGGCAACAGAAGGATGTCTAAAGAAAGAAAAGAGTAACTATGGGTCAAAATAATCAGTGTGGATTCCTTCATGAGTGTCTCAATCTGTGCATAGTTTTGAAGACAGTTTTGTGGCCAGTATAGACAGGAGAAGTCAAAGAAAAGAAAGAAGGGGCAAATAAATATTTAAAAGGATAAATGTAATCTTCTCCAAGAATCATAATATTGATTTTTAGTGTTCCAGGCACTTTATAATTCTCACTTAGTGTTTTTTCCCCGCAAAGGTATGAAGTTAAGAATATTGGCTAAAGGCTAAACAACTTCCCAGTTAAAAATTGCAGAACAAAACAGCCCTTTTATGGATCAAACATTATGTTTGGGAAAAATAATTTTGACATCTGATAAAGAAGTAAAAACAACTCTCCTAAGATGATGTTCTGAGTAGCTGCCTCATGGACTTGTTAAAGTGAGGTAAGCATAACCAGTTAAAACAAATTAGAATTATTCTTAGCCTAGCTTCTCAGATAGTGCTGATAGTAGATAAGGAAAGTGAGGAGAGTAAGGAAATGTGAAAACATGTTTGGGTAGCTTATCTTAAAATCAAACATATTTAGGAAAGGAGCAGCCTATGAGAAGTCAAAACAAATGTGGATATTGATCCTTAACAAGTGCTTGAGAAAACAGACTTGAAGAGAAAGCCTGGAAAACACAATACATGATGAGAAGAGAAGCAAACTAAAATATATTGGAAACCAACACTCTGGCAGGCACATTTCATGGTATTTTAGATTTGCCTCTCTCTTTCTCTCTCTCACCATTTACAATGCTATTGAGGTACAATTGACATTCAATAAACTACACATATTCAAAATATATAATTTGATGAGGCTTAACATGCATATATAAACATGACATTATCACTATAATGATAATGTACATTTACATCGTTCCCAACAGTTTTCTCCTTCTCTGAAATCCATTCTTTCCAAGGAACCCACTTAGATAAGTAAGTACCCAATCTATGAGATGTATGCTTGTAAAATAAAATTAATTAGGCAACCTATAAATGTAGAACAGGGCTTGTATGTACCATCTCTAATAGCAAAATTGCTGAACCCAATTCTACCCAAAATAGTAGATACAACATTTTGTTTTCTTTTCCAAATTTGTGATGAACTGTCTTCCATAATATTTGATTTTGCTTTCCTGGGCTCTGTTCCTCTGACATCATTCTGAGGTATAAACTTTCAATTCTACCCGTACGCAGAGGTATCCCAATGGTCTTATTTAGTTCACCCAGAAATGCTTTACAGCATTTTCATAGTCCCTGGGGGTCAAAAATCAGTACTCTAATCAGTGCAGTGTAGTGACCTCTTTTTCATTGCATTGGCCAGGATCATTGTTCCCCTAGGTTTCATACTTATCACTGCCACAATTGAAAGAAGTTTAGAGATAGATATTAAACAGAAAGGAAGGCCATCAAGTTCACACACATTTGTTTATAATGTCCAAGTTCAAAACTACCAGAGGGAAAAGCTGCTGCTAAAATATGCAAGAGTTTCTATAGCAGGAAAAGACAAAAACAACCAACAATTATTTAAATGAATAAATATCTTAGTATTATCAAGTACTAAATGTTCTAGAGGATCATTCATGATGCCCAGTCTTACCAGAAAAAAACCACCAGACTGGACTTGACTAATGGATGAATTTTTTTTTGTCTTAAATCTATATTTCTGTCTCTGTAATACTCTGAGCAACTCAATGTCTCTCTCTGTATGTTCTTCCAGGAGTAAAATACTGGCTTGTCCATTAGTCTTGAAAACATAAAAATTGCTAAGCATACAGGTTCTTCCTTTCCTCTGCATGATGGCCACAGACCTCGCCTAAACTCCATTGCACTGAAATATTCTACTGGTTATAGAAAAGATCAGGTCAAAGAATAAAGAAATGAAGGTATTGACCCCTTTCCATGTTTTCCAGGCAAAATAACTTAGATCACAGCCTTCAATGACAGCCGATAAATACCACACTATGGTTTGAATGTGTGTCCTTTCAAAATTCATATGTTGAAATCTAACCCTCAATCCAACAGTATTAAGAGGTTAGGTCCTTTTGGAGGTAATATTTAGGTCATGAGAGCTCCTTCCTCATGAATGGAGTTAATGCCCATATAAAAGAGGCTTCACATAGCATTCATCCCTTTTTCTTTTCCACCATGTGAGGACACAGCATTTGCCCCTTCTGTCATGTGAGAACACAGGAACATCGTGCTATTTTGGAAGCAGAGATTCCTCACAATACACTGAACTTTCTGGCACTGTGATCTTGGACTTCCCAGCCTCCAGAACTGTGAGAAATAAGTTGTTTATAAATTATTCATTCTAAGGTATTTTGTTAAAGCAGCAGGAAAACACTAGAACACACCATGATATGTATTTCTTAGTCATTGGAGGTACAATGAGAGATCATATGATGTGCCAAAAGAAAATCCCTGCAGTGATGGACGCTGAAGCAGAACAGACGTGTAGTGTGATAATTAAAGGGCATGGAGTTACTACTGAATAATGACAATGCAGAGTCCAGTGTCCTTGAGCAAACATAGGAGACAGCTAGGGAGTGGTTACAGCAGGCCTTGAGTGAGACTCAGTGCTGAATGGGCTTCAGGTCTGACCCAGCACAGTCCTAGTGCTGGTGGTCACAGGAGTGCTTGTGTCACTTCACCCTCAGCTCTAGGTGACTCAGAACGGAGAAAGAGACACTGTTTGGGAAAAAGTAAGGGAAGAGAACAAGTGTCTCTGCCTAGTGATCCAGATAATTTTTCCAGATCTTGTCCAAGACCATCAAGACAGTACCTCCATGAGTTTGCAAGAACTACAGTGTTACTGGACTTTGTTACTGGGTGCCTCCTAATGAAGATATAGCTTAGATTACAACACCCAAGTCCTTTTGAATACCTGGAAAGCCTTCCCAAAAAGGATGGGTACAAATAAGCCTGAACTCTGAAGACTACAATAAATACCTACCTCTTCAATGCTCAGATACATACACACATCCACAAATATCAAGGCCATCCCAGAAAACATGGCCTCATGAAATGAACCAAATAAGATCATAGAGAAACAGAGATATGTGACCTTACAGACAAATAATTCAAAATAGCTGTTTTGAGGAAACTCAAATAAATTCAAGATAACACAGAGAAGGAATTCAGAATTCTATCAAATTTAACAAAGAGATTGAAATAATTTTTAAAAATCAAGGAGAAATTCTGGAGCTAAAAAATGCATCAGAGTCTTTTTTTTTCTTTTTTTGAGACAGAGTCTTACTCTGTCGCCCAGGCTGGAGTGCACTGGCCCAATCTCGGCTCACTGCAAGCTTCACCTCCTGGGTTCCCACCATTCTCCTGCCTCAGCCTCCCAAGTAGCTGGGACTACAGGCGCCCACCACCATGCCCGGCTAATTTTTTTTTTTTTTTTATTTTTAGTAGAGACGGGGTTTCACCGTGTTAGCCAGGATGGTCTTGATCTCCTGACTTTGTGATCTGCCCGCCTTGGCCTCCCACAGTGCTGGGATTACAGGCATGAGCCACCACGCCTGGCCACATGAGAGTCTTTTAATAGCAGACTTGATCAAGTAGAAGAAAGAATTAGTGAGCTTGAAGGCAAGCTATTTGAAAATACATGTCAGATGAGAGAAAAGAAAAAAAAAACAATAAAGCAAGCCTACAAGATCTAGAAAATATCCTCAAAAAGGCAAATCTAAGAGTTATTGGCCTTAAAGAGGAAGTAGAGAAAGAGATGGGGTAGAAAGTTTATTGAAAGGGATAATAACATAGAACTTCCCAAACCTAAAGAATGATATCGGTCAATATCCAAGTACAAGAAGGTTACAGAACACCAAGCAGATTTGATCCAAAGAAGACTACTCCAAGGCATTTAATAATCAAACTTCCAAAGGTAAAGGATAAAGAATGAATACTAAAAGCAGCAAGAGAAAAGAAACAAATAACATATAGTGGAGCTCCAATATGTCTAGCAGGAGACTTCTTAGTGGAAACCTTATAGGCCAGGAGAAAGTGGCATGGCATAGTTAAAGTGCTGAAGGAAGAAAAAGCTTTCACCCTAGAATAGTATGTTCAGCAAAAATATCCTTCAAACATGAAGGGGAAATAAAGACTTTTTCAGACAAATGAAAGCTGAGGGATTTCATCAACACCAGACCTGTTCCACAAGAAATGCCAGGGGAATAAGTCAATCAGAAAGAAAGGGACATTAATGAGCAATAAGAAATCATCTGAAGGTACAAAACTCATTGGTAATAGTAAGTACACAGAAAAATATAGAATATTATAAAACTGTAACTATGGTATGTAAACTCTTGTGTAGAAAGACTAAATGATGAATCAATCAAAAATAATAACTACAACAACTTTTCAAGACAGTAGAGTACAGTAAGGTATAAATAGAAACAACAAAAAGTTAAAAAGTGGGGGGCACAAAGTTAAGGTGTAGAGTTTCTATTAGTTTTTGCTTCTTTTTCTTGAAACCATTTTTATTTACTCACTCATTTTTTGCAGGGTGGATAAGCTCAGAAACCATTTTTAAATTTCTGGTCCATTCATGTGTATGAATAAATATACTATATTATTTATTTGATATATAGTTGTATAAAAAGTCTGGCTATATATATTCTTAGTGCTTAGACTTTCTAAAGAATAAGCCATAAATAGGAAATAAGAAAGAAAATACAAGCAGCACTTTGTTATATGGAAAAATGCTTCAGCTCAGCAAGAATATAGAAAAAATCAAAGCAAAATAACTTCACAGTATGGTGATACATCTACTGAACTGGCAATCATAAATCAAACTTGAAAAGTCAGTGCTGGCAGATGGGGAGGCAAGTGGTTCACTTCTCTTTAGATACTGATGGTGGCACTGCAAATTGGCTTAGGCTTTCTAGTGAACAATCTGGTATAATTGCCTGGAGGAGTTAGAAGTCCTGGGACAAACAAGGTGAGTGGGTATAGAGACTGGTATGTCGCTAAGGCAAGAAAAATAGCACTGAGGAAAGCACTGCAACAGGTCCACTTTCAGAGAGATGTAACACATTTCCATAGGGGTTCGGATGAGTTCGGCCACATCTGGGGCATACTGGTCCAGTTCTAGGAGGAGTTTCTGCTTTTTAAACACAACTTTATTGAAGTCCTGGATTGCAAAATACAGGGCAATAGCAGTGAGTGCATCAGTTATCATAAACACCAATTCAGCATAGTCAATTAGGAAGCGAAAGTGGTATATTATTAATGGAGTTTCATGAAATATTGCTCCAGAATATGGAGATACTCCCAAGTCCAAGAGTGAAAGGCCTTCAACCACTCTCTTCCAAGAGCTCAGTGGGGACACCACCTCCACCTGCTCAGAAATGAACTCGGCCAGACTGGAGTGGAACAAGGCCACCCGCACTGTCACTGCCACCACCAGCACCAGGGCCAAGGGAGCCACCACGATAACTGGGGCGGGCACGCAGCTTTGTTTTCTTCTTTACGCAAACAGTGTTAAGTTGTTATATCAACTTAAAATAATGGCTTATACTATAGATTCACAAGTCTTATGGTAGCCTCAAATCCAAAACAGAGTAAATACACAAAAATAAAAAGCAAGAAATTAAATCACATCACCAGAGAAAATCACCTTTATTAAGAGGAAAACAGGAATGAAGAAAAGAAGTCAGAGAAGACTACAAAACAAGCAGAAAACAAATAATAAAGTGGTAGGAGTAAGTCCTTACTCATCAATAACAACAATGAATGTAAATGGACTAAAGTCTCCAATCAAAAGACATAGAGTCACTCAATGGATAAAAAAAACAAGATCGAATGATCTGTTGCCTACAAGAAACAGACTTCACCTATAAAGACACACACAGACTAAAAATAAAGGGATGGAAAAAGATATTTCATGCCAAAGGAAAAAAAAAAGAGAGCAGGAGTAGGTATACTTATATCAGACAAAATAGATTTCAAGACAAAAGTGGTAAGAAGAGACAAAGTAGGTAACTATGTAATGATATCTAACCATTGTAAATATATTTGCACCCAACACTGCAGCACACAGATATATAAAGCAATGATTATTAGAGCTAAGGAGATAGACCCCAATACAATAATAGCTGGAGATTTCAACACCCTACTTTTAGCATTAGACAGATCACTCAGAAAGAAGATCAGCAAAGAAACACAGAACTTAGTTCTGCACTATAGACCAAATAGATCTAATAGATACTTACAGAACACTTCATCCAATGGATGTAGAATACACATTCTTCTCCTCAACACATGGATCATTCTCAAGAATAAACTATATGTCGGATCACAAAACAAGTCTTAAGGCATTAAAAAAAGTTGAGATAGTATTAAGCATCTTCCCTGACCACAATGAAATAAAACCAGAAATCAATAGCAGGAGGAATTTTGGGATCTATACAAATACATGGAAATTAAACAATATGCATGACCAGTGGGTCAATGAAGAAATTAAGAAGGAAATTAAAAAATTTCTTGAAACAAATTATAATGCAACACAACATACCAAAAACTGTGGGATACAGCAAAAGCAGTACTAAGGGGGAAATTTATACCTTTAAACGCCTATGTCAAAAAAGAAGAAAAACTTCAAATAAACAACCTAACAATGCATCTTAAAGCAATAGAAAAGTAAGAGCAAAGCAAACCCAAAATTAGTAGAAGAAAAGAAATAATAAAGATCAGAGCAGAAATAACTGATCTTGAAACGAACAATACAAAAGATCAATGGAATAGAAACTTATTTTTTTTAAAAAAATAAACATAATAGGCCCAATAGTCTACTCCATTTGGGAAAGCCAGAGTCAGAAAGATCAATCATTTTTTCTCTTGGTGGCCATTATTTTTGATAAGTGGGTCAATTGCACTGTTTCAGATGATCTCATAGCAGATAAGTTTTGCAGAACATGTTTACAGAATCTCCTCTCTTTCCTCAGGCCTCATTACCCATTACTCATTACATCCTAATAGAGGTGTCTGTGCCCCTCTCCCTGTCTCCCCTCTTTCCAATTCATCCTATTCCCTGTCCTGTTAAAAGAATACTTTTCCTAAAGCACCAGATTTTCACCCTCAGTAAAAAATCTTCTATTAGATGTTGATTTGTTAAGAAACAAAGTCCCAACTGCCTAGCATGGAAATCAAGGCTCTCCTCTGTCACCTGATTAGAATCCCCTTTCTAGTTGAACTTTTCATTTCTCTTCTTTGGCACCTGATGGTACAGTCAGTCAAACTGAGCCTTGTCCTAGAAATGTGCCCTGCCTCAGCAAGTGACTTTGCCATTAGGAATACTCTGCCCCAGCCTGGAAGGGCTTTCTCCACAACCCCAATCTCTTAATGTATATTTGTTACCTTCTTGAAGGTTAGCTCAAACATAATCATTTTCATCACTTTCCTCAGCAGAATTAATCTTGCATCCTGGCCAGGCACGGTGGTTCACACCTGTAATCCCAGCACTTTGGGACGCCAAGGTGGGTGGATCACCTGAGGTCAGGAGTTGGAGACCAGCCTGGCCAACATGGTGAAACCCTGTCTCTATTAAAAATACAAAAATTAGCTGGGCGTGGTGGTGGGTGCCTATAATCCCAGCTACTTGGGAAGCTGAGGCAGGAGAATCTCTTGATCCTGGGAGGTGGAGATTGCAGTGAGCCAAGATCACGCCATTGCACTCCAGCCTGGGTGACAAGAGTGAAACTCCATTTCAAAAAAAAAAAAAAAATCTTCCATCCCACCATACTCCTATGATATTTTGTTCATTCCCTTACTATATTCTACCTTATATTTTATTTGCGTATGCTCTTGCCTGATATTTATTTGGGAAAGTCTAACTTGGGGCCCATCTGTCCATCAATCAATGCAGATATTCCCATATAAGTGTGGTCAAAAGTAGGGAATAGACCCTCCCTGCAGTTTACTAAATTGATCTTCAAGAATATAGGTAGTTTTCTCTTATTTAGGCATCAAGTCCAATGGGGAGGCTAGGGAAAGAAAACTGACAGAACAGAGACATTTACTGTAGATAATGTTCAGTATTTTATGATTACCTCAAAAGGCTAAGGACCAGTCTTTTTTTATTACTTCATCTTCAATATTTGATATGCAGTAGGAATTCAGCAAACCATTTTTGGAATAAAAGTCTTTCTTCTTCATTTGACTAGAAGCTTCTTGAAGGCAACAACTGTGCCCTGTTTGTATTTGCACTCCTCACAATGTCTGTGTGCCTTGCTTCATAAAATTTTGTTTCATTGCTTAGTGGGTGGGTCAGTGCTTTGAAAAGTCTATTAGGTTTTTGCTGTGGTAATGACATAGAAATAATGAAATGTGATAATAAAATAAAAAGAAAAGAAACTGTGGAAAATGACAGACCATTTTAAAATGTCAACAACTTTGGCACTTTAGTCCCCTCTACCAAACTTCTAATCAGAACTCTTTAACATGGAGCTAAAATAACAGATTTTGGTCACTCTATATTCTCCCAAAACGACATACTCATTATTATGAAAAAGTGATGGAATGCACCATCAAAAAGAATCCTTGAGGATTAAGAGGAAATCACATGAAACTCCCAGCATGAATAATGAAACATCTATACTTCACATTATTTCATAAATAAAAGGAAATATTAAAACTCACAAATAGGAAAGATATAATGCCAAAAGAAGATAGTACTTTAAATGGAATCAATATGAAAAGCTTACTATATTATCCTTATTTCTTATTTTAACTGATCATAATTTTAACTGATCATAACTAAACTGATCATAATTTTGTTGTAGACCAATATTAGGCATTCATTTTTAGCAGAATCTTCAAATACCGGTTGCATACTCTCAATTAAATATTCCTAGTCACTACTGACCAGAGGAATGTTGCCAAACAAATATACATATTTTCCTTTGGTGTCTATATATCTTTTTTACTCTAAAACTTCCTAGTTTTCAACTGCCTTCTGTTGGTCCCTCTAAAAATGTTTGATTGCTCCCACTCTGGTTTTTGGTTAACAAGCAGATTCATTTATCTCATGCTCACGTCCTCTTCATTCCTTGCCTATTTTGTTCTTCATCAAACAAATGACTGTTCTTCTCTACACAGGTTGTTCTGTTCTCTCCCTTCCAGTTTTACCACAGTTCTCATTTTTACTTATGTTTTCCACAGCACATTTAAATAAAATTTTATAACCTGCTTCTCTGTTTTGTACTGCCTTTAGATTAAAGGGTAATAGGATATTCAAACAGAGTACTTTGTGTCTCGGCTTTGCTGAGGCCTAAAGGCTGAACCATACCTAATTGCTTACTCACTTCACATTGTATAGCAAAATGCTAACTCATCCATGTGAGATTCACAAAGAGGAAAGCTACAAACTAGTGCTATTAGCATTAGCCAGGCCTTTCACTTCCACAACCTTGAATAGTCCAGGAAACAGAATATTTGGTGAGAGAGTGCTGAAGTGCTATGACATTTCTCCACTGGGGAGAAGAGGTTGTTACTCCCTTAGTGAAGTTTTAGACTCAAGTGAGTCTCTAAGTAGCTCAAAGAGTTTGATACGTGTCTCTAGGAGGGAAGGTTGTACAGAGAGTGACTACACTTCTAACACAAAGACCCATTTCTCCGTTCTTGTGCATGTTCTCTCTCTCTCTGGTTCTTTTCTGTTGTTCACTTTGATGAAGCAAGCCACCATGTCACGGATTGCTATATAGAGAGGCCCACATGTCAGGGAACAGAGAGCGGCCTCTTCCCAACAGTCCTCAAGGAACAGAATGCTGCCAACAACCACATGAATTAGCTTAGAAGAAGATAATTTCCCAACGGAGCTTTAAGATGGGTTGGCAGCCACTATACACACACACACACACACAAACAAACACACACACACACACACACACACACACACACATATAGTTATTTTTGTGGTTCTACATTACTAAGCCAAGCTGGATCAATAAGCTGGTAATAAGAATCAAATGTAGAACTTTGAGAGTAACTCATTCTCTTTCTAGGGTCTTGCTTGAAAGAAGTTCTTGGGAAGTGGATTTGACAGCTGACAAGAATAACTCATAGGAGACACATATCTGTGCATAGATTGAACAACCATTTTTCTGACATATGAACCTCAGAAACGTAGGCATTTTCCACTTTTGTACTAACTACATTCCTTTTTTATCATTTCTTGGCCAAAGAGATTGAACTCTGAACAATATCACCCCTCCCCACAAATCCTGTCCCCAGCCACACATATATGTTCCCATGCATTATGTCATTAAGGTTTGACTTGGACCATCAAATATGCCAGGCCTCAAAAAGAAGTTCGACTGTTGTGCCAATTGCATATTCTGTAAATATCCTAAACATTATTGAATTGCACACTCAAAATGAACTAATTTAATGTTATATAATTTATATCTTCATAAAGCTGTTAAAAATGGACTTTAAATAGCAGAAAGGCAGCCTTGACATTTTTGTACCTCTGCAGGTCTTCTGCAGATATCCTTTCTGCCACTATTTGAAGATACAGAATACTTTTCTTTGATTACCATTTTCCTACTAAATCATTTCTTTCAGAACTTATTACAGTTCCTTTGACTTGGCTTGTGGCTAAACCTTCATACACTGATACTCCACTGGTAAGAAAATTTCATTTCAAAGAATTGGAAAGAGAAAGAGCTTACTCATTTTTATTTGATTTCAGTTATTGTAGTGCAGCTAAGTGGTCTCAGTCTCGTTTTCTTTCCACATATTGAGCTTGGGTCTCCAAAGAGGTTATTTTTCAAAAGGAGATTTTGCAGGTAACCAGCATGTTATATAGAATGTAATATTTGGGGCCTGAGAAAAGAGAAGAGACTCTGTAAACATGTTCCACAAAAGCTCATCTGCTATGAGATCATCTGAAACAGTGTAATTGATCCACGTATCAAAAGTAATGGCCACCAAGAGAAAAAGCCATTGATCTTTCCGACTTTGGTTTTTCCAAATGGAGTGGACTATTGGGCCTATTATAAAAGATAGCGCCTATCCAGGGGCAATGAAGTGGAACCCATAAATTACCTGGTTTATTAATTTTTGTAAACATTTAGATGAACTAGTTAATAAAAACAAAAAAAGCCTAAAAAACCTGAAAGCAAATGTCGCTTAAAATAACTGTGTGTTCATCTTCATGGCGTTTTACACTTTTTAATACATGTTCATGTTCACGTTTTATACTTTTTAATACCTGTTCACAAAACTGCAATTTTGCAGGTTTTGTCCTATTTTGGGATGATGGGAGGATATATAGAGAGGATAAAATCCGTCAAGATTACAACAGAACACTAGATAGGATTACAAAATTTGCTTTGTAGCCTCTCCCATGGGGGTTCTTAAAATGTATTTAATTTTTTTAATAACAAATGAATTTATGTTAATTGTAGAAAAATACAAAAATAGAGAAATTACAAAGAAGAAAAAAAGTAACTATTTTACCAAGAATTGGATATAAAGTAATGCCATTAATACAAGGAGAAAACTGCCTAGATTCCTAAGGGTCATGTGTCAGAAAATCTTTGTATTTCCTATGAATTTTTCTTGCCAGTTGTCAAATGTGTTTCCTAAGAACTTGCTTTAGGCAAGACCCTGGAGAGCCAGTGAGTTACTCTGAAAGCTGTCCATTTGATTCCTATTAACTAGCTTATTCATCCAGCTTGGCCGAGTAATACTGGCAACACAAATAACACACACACACACACACACTCTCTCTCTCTCTCTCTCTCTCTCTATATATATATATATACACACACACACACATATATATATATACATATATATACACACACACATATATACATACACACACACATATATACATATATACACACATATATACATATATATATACACACACACACATATATATATACACACAATCTATCTATCTATTTATCTATCTATATATATATATCTTTGTGCTGTTTTCCTTTAGAACATTGGTTCTCAACTGAGGGCAATTTTGCTGTCTCCCGTCTAGGACATTTGGCAATGTCTGCAGACATTTTTGGTTGTTCCTTGTGGGTGAAATGGTGCTGCTGACATTTGGCTAGAGGCCAGAGATGCTGCTAAACATCATCTAATGCACAGAAAAGCCCCCACATACCCAACAAAGACTTATATGGCCCCAAATAGCAACAAGGCTGATATAATACCAATATTTATTTCCTTCCTTGATTCCTCTTTCCTCCCAAAATTATAGTCACACTGGTCATCTACTTCCATATACTATTTATTTTTTACTTACAATTATATTGTGAATATTTCTTCATATCATTATTCTTCAAAGCATGAATTTAATGCTGTACAACAGTTTATCATGTGACTTATTTAATACTCCTTACTGATGACAATCAGTTCCATTTCCAGTATTTCAACATCATTAAATAATGTTGGTATGAACATTCTTGACCATAAATCTATTTTCATTTCTCTAATGATTTTCTTTGGATGGATTCCTAGAAGTACAATGACTGAGTCAAACCAAATGAATGTTTTTAAAGCTCTTCGTCTTGTTGCCAAATTGCTTTCACGATTAACAGTCTCTCTGGCAGCATATTAGAATACTCGTCAGGCCAGCTCGGTTTCTACCATATTTTTGCGCTAAGCTAAAATTTGACATGTTAACACTAATACGTAAGCCTTATAGTCCTGATATGATTTGTGAATGTTAAGTACTTTAATAACCATTCTCTAGCTGACTAATACAAGGTAGAAAGTTCAGGTGCTATACTCACCTTACCCCCAACAACCATCTAAGAACTCTTATTTTCAAGAAGTAATTTCTACAAGGTTACACAGATTTCAAGATGAAGGAGAAAGAAAAGGAGAAGGAGAAGATGATGATCGCTGAACCTAAGCCAGAAGCCAGCTTTCATTCTGCGCTCTTTCCACTGAACCGTACACAATTGCCATTTCATAACGTGAATTGCATGAACATGGATATGCACGGACTCACTTGAGTCAGTCAAGAGTTTTGGCTTTCACATTCTCCAGTACTTGGCTAACATGTATAGCCCTACCTGCCCCTTTCCAGCAGATGGTGCTGTTTTTCCAACATTTAAATGCTACACAGCAAATGATAACTTTTGATTGATTTGAGCCAGGTTGCTTAAGGGCGTTCAACGAAGTCTACTTTGCACATTGGTATTATTAAAATTGCTCAAACATAAAACCAATCTTTGCTCAGTATTGATGGAAACAATGTGTGTTCGAGAGTACTGATAACAAATAAATAATGAATCACCACCCTACCGCAATGATGTATTACACTAGACTTTTTTCCTGGAGACATAGAAGTAAATGTTTTAGGGAGGCTGTGGGAGTCAGAGGTGGGTCTTAAACAAGGTAGATATAAAAGATTATGAGTCATCATACAAATTCTGTGTTGCTTCTACAGTAAATATCATGGAACAAATGTTGGTAGAATATGGAAAAAAATATATATATATATCCTCCTGTCTATTCACAGAATATGGAATATATATATATATCTCCTCCTGTCTATTCACAGCTCCAATGCAGCTTTCTTACTTCCCACCAATTAAGTTTCTAATAACACCTATAGGCAATCTTTATATATATATGCTGGGGTATCAGCAGTGACTCATTTTCCAAAATAATTTGATATTAATATAGAAGAGGAAACACAATATCTCCTTTCAGCCAGCGCGGGAGAGATAAATTTCTCACTGTCAATACAGGTTAGTAGTTCCCTCAAACACAATTAGGACTTAGATGAGAACATCCTCTTTCCTGGGTTAAGAATATGTTTACAATGAGAAAACAAGGCCAATCCAACTTTTCTGAAAAGAGCATCAGTCCAGATGAGGACTGATTCAGTAAGGTACATTGTGATTCACTCATGACTGGAGAAGAAAAAGGTTGGCTTGGGAAAACAAAAAAAAAAAAAACAAACAAAAGCCACCTTTAAAATCAATCCACAATCCGCAAGTCTCAAACAACTATCACTCATCCACATAGAAAAGTCATCCATGTTTCAAAAAGGCCATAAACCATGCATAGGCTGCTGGTTAAGAGACTGATCACACTGGCAAGGAGAGGACCTACAATAGTTGTCCTCTCAAATTTGTAAAATTTGATGAGAAATGGGAATAAATTATAAATCTGAGCTTGGAGGCTTGTGTGATCTTCAGAGCAAAGTGTCCCCCAAACCAAAGTTGGAATAAGCAATATTTTTAAAATATTTCAGGTCCAGCCCAAACTGACATACTTATCTGTGAAGTTATCTGTATTTATCTGTAAAAATTTGTGGCCATATAATGCAGAGATACTAATGCATGAACCCTTTTGTATAAATCACAAGTACATGTGATTTCATAGAGAGATGCACAAAAAAATTAAAAGTGGCTCTCTCAAAAGGAAGTGTTTGGCATTTGAAAAAGAGGAAGATATATAACAAATGTTGAACTACTTTAGATCTTAAAACATCTCAGAAAAAAAACACAACTTTTTCTTCACCTAATAGTGCTTCAAAGAAATATAATTTAACTCACATCCCAGTCTTGGCTATCGATTATAGAAGTTAACAAACAGAACAATTTCTCTGTAACCTATTGTTTTTAAGCAGGCCTTGAGATTTGTTTTAATTATTTAGTATTCTGCATAGATGCATCTGATGGACTTGGCTGTTTTGCTCCTTGAACATATTGTAACAGTCTCAGAGCTACATGTGCTCAGGGAAGGCATTTTAAAAACTAAATTTTCAAAGGTGTCAGCAACCTTGCAGATTTAAGATTGTAAATATCCACACTGCAGAACATGTCCACTAAATTTTCCAATCAGAGGAGGCCTGTGTTGACAGCTCATCCCATGGCAGGCATTGAATTTAATCAAGAAATTTCTAGTTTAAAGGTTAAATTCTAACCTGAAAATGCACCATATCTAAGGAAATTCCATTTCAAGTAACATGAAAATTCATTCCAGAAGTTTTCATGACTGTCATGGTTGAAGAGCTAAGTCTTATTTATCAAGGTTTTATACTATATGTCACTACCAACATACTGAAATGTTTTCCCATTTACCATTCCTTTGAATCTGAGTTTATTGTACTCTAGTTCTCTTTTCCTGGGAAGCTGAGGAAGCTAGAGAATGTTATCTTATATAGAAGGTTTGGAGATTATGTCTCCTTAAATTTTTATGGAAATTCAAATTTACTTTTCACACTTTCATGTTCTGGACATAGAGGGTCAAAATACATTAAGCCATGGATAAGACACAGTTGAATGTTATTTGAATGGTATTAGTAAATGCCATCACGAAGCTACTGTCAGACAGCTATGGGTAAAATTTCAGGAAATTCACAGCATAAGAAAAGGTAAAAGAATTTCAATGCACTGGCAAAGACTTAAAGATGTCCAAATCTTCCAATGTAATTTTATAAATTAGAAAAGCATATTAAGGTTTTCTTATGGAGAAAGAGAGAAAAAAATGTTCTATCAACTCTCTTGGATTGCCAGTTTCCAACAGCTGGTAGTCTTTGCTATTTGCAAAGACTTTCTGAATGTTTTTCTCCTGTATTTTCTCTTCTAGCATTTCTCTTAGGCCTGCGCACAGAGTCTGCAGTGCCCTGTTTTGTACCCCACAAAAGAGAGGTTTGGCAAAGTCACAGCATCTGGTAGGTCCTGCCGGCTGGGTGATTTATGGCAAAACTAAGAGGCAAGCACAATTGATTTGGGTCTCTCTTTTCCTGTTTAAATGTTGTCCATTCTCCCCAGTTTAAGCTGCCTCCTGTCTATTCACAGCTCCAATGCAGCTTTCTTACTTCCCACCAATTAAGTTTCTAATAACACCTATAGGCAATCTTTATTTTTTATTAAAAGCTTTCCTAAGACATGTCTTATTTCCAAGACAATAAATATACTGCTTGGAAGTATGGGGGCTAGTTTGGAAATTTTACTTCTTTCTTAGTTTGTGTGACTTCCAACTAATTGTTCCCATATTTGTAGGCCATCTGGATATTTAGGTAATAGGGAAAAATGAAAGGAGCATGGGGTTGGAGTCAGAGAGATAGATCTAGGGCCAAATGCCACTTCCGTGACTTATGAAGTGGGTGACATTGGGCAGGACCTTTAATATCTTGGAGTCTCAGTTTCCTCATCTGTGAAATGCAGGTAATGAGCTCTAGTTTATACACTGTAGGATTGCATTTGTAGGGATGCATTCTATTACAGGCATTTAGACTTGTCTTAACAGACCATGTCCCGTAATTCCTTTCTAAAAATTGCCTTCTCTTTCCAGTTCTTGCTAAAAGGGTGATCCTAGGGACAGTCAGATTTTATACAGGTGATCTTGACCCTCTGGCCACAGTGTTAGATCAATGTGGAAACCTGATCCCAAGAGAACCCATCTAAATGTTGAGCACAGCCAATTATGGTGTCTTTCTTGACAATTTAATCTAAACACACACACACACAAAATAGTTGAGACAATATGGAGCACCTGGAACTCTTGTGACATTGACAATAAACATGGGATGACCTCTCTGTTGACTTCATTGTAGCTGGCACCTGAACATTTTCGACTGGATTCAAAAGAAACATCATGACCAACCTGAGCCACTGATGGCATGGAGGAGAAGAAATCAGGAGGCCCTGAGGAACATGATGTACAGAGGGGTGTGGTTGAATAACATGGGTGTATGAACAGAAGATGAAGCGGGCATCATGCAAACTCATGAGAGGCCTGGCTGATCTTGGCCCTTGCTCTTGGTTGTCTAGAAGGTTGTGCTGACAATTAGCCACCACCTAGAGTCTAGTTTGAATGGGTTTCTTTAGCTTCCAACCAAACTGGAACTACAAAAGGCCCTTGGTTCCTGTCCTGACACAGCATAAAGTTTGATGTGCAATGAGAATTATTATGATTCCCAGTCTGCCAGCTACTGTCTTCCTCCATGGCTTTCTCCATTATCCAGGGAAGACTCAGCACATGTTCAAGGCAGAAAGGATTCTATATTACCCTGGTTGTTCTAGCCATCCTCATAAATGGTGAAAAGTAGTTTCTTGGTTTATTCAGTTGCTGGCTAATTACAATAGACCTTAAACATTGACTTTTTTTTTTTTTGCCTCATCTCTTAAATATAATTTTTTCTTTTTCCTTTTTGAGACTAAGTCTCACTCTATTGCCCAGGCTGGAGTGCAGTGGTGCAATCTCAGCTCACTGCAACTTCTGTCTCCCGGGTTCAAGCAATTGTTCTGCCTCAGCCTCTCGAGTAGCTGGGATCACAGGTGCCCGCCACCATGCCCAGCTGATTTTTATACTTTTAGTAGAGACGGAGTTTCACCATGTTGGCCAGGCTGGTCTTGAACTCCTGACCTCAAGTGATCTGCCCACCTCGGCCTCCCAAAGTGCTGGGATTACAGGCGTGACCCACCGGCCTTTTTAAAATTATTTTATTTATTTATTTATTTTTACATCTTTGGAGCTTAAGCCACATGAATTGTGTTTTCCAAAGTTACATGTTCTGGATAGTCCTTGAGGATGGTGCTATCTAAAATCACATGTCCTACTGGATCCTAGTTGAGCCTGGCTGACAGCAGCAACAGTAAACTCTATCCTTAACATGGTTAGGGAAAAATTACTTCTCCATACTTTCTAGTATTGATCTTAACCAGGACTGTGATCTGAACCAAGAGCTCAGTAAGTGCTTGAACATATTTAAAAAGGTTTTTGTTTGTTTTTACTTTTTTAGAGCACTTTTGCTATCCTCCTCCTTACCCCTGCCTCTATTCCCTATACAAAATTAGAATTAGGCCTCAGAATTTCAGCTCTTCAGCCTGTTAGAAGACAGCGAAACTGGGGAATCTTATGTATCAACCAGTGGATGTACATAATATGATTGGTTCTTCACAACAATTCTTATGAGATAGATATTTTTATTCCCAATTTACTTATGAGGTTCAGAGACTGGAAAAAGAGAAAGCACAAATCCTAATGGTAGTGAATAGTGGAGTTCGGGTGCAAGGTTTTGAGCTTCTCACTCTTTCAGTTTTTACATCCATCTGTTTGGGGGTGGTAGGAGAAATAAAGAGGTCCACAGGAGACAGTGGAAGGCAAAGGTAGGATGGGAAAAGCTCAGTTTAGTAGTTAGAAATATAGTCATATTTGTAAAGTGCCTAGCATATTGCCTTACACTAAGAGCATGCAGTAAATGGTGGCTATTTATTATTATCTTTTTCACAATAGTAATTCAGGAAATTATCTTGTCAACTTAATGCAGATTACATAATAATCTATGTGTTGGCAACTGTTAGTAGGATTCAGCATGTCATAAAAATTATTTATCTGGGTGAAGTTTTATACTTCCTTTCATCACCTTTCATTATCTTTTTCTTACAATTGACTTTTGATCATAAAAAATGTAATATGCATATTATTGACCTACTTTGTTTTACTTATTTAAATCTTAACATTTAAGTCACAGAATCTTAGTATTTGGGCTCACAATAAGTAAAATGTTAAGGATAGAGTACTACACTGGATCTGTGGTCTTATTAATGATACATTAGCAGGCATTATGGCATAAGATGTAGGGTTATCAAGAAGCAATGGATGTCTTGGAACATGACTGCATGGCTGTTTTCTTGTAATAAAATTATGATCCAAATTCAATTATCCTCAATATCAAAAGTGATATCCTTAAATACTTTTGGTAAAGGCAAGAACACTGTTTATTTTAAATGTCCATTGAAAAGAAGACAAAACCTTGCAGCATGTTTAGTTGAGAACAGGAAAAACAGGGCAAATGAAAGTGGCTGAGAAAAAAATAAAAATAAATATATATATTCACATTTATCAAATGTAATAATCAAGGCTGGAAAAATACAGATAAAAATTAGAAAATGAGACCTCCAATAACTGTATTTTCCAAACTCCGCATTAGCTAGAGGAGTATAATATTTATTTTTCTCTAAAGAGTGGCTTTTTTTGTTTGTTTTGAAAAGTGAAAAGATTTTTTCTTACTTTTTAAGAGTTACATAAGGATAGCAGTAAATAACGCAACTTTGAAGAGACAATGTTCAGGCTCTGCACAGATTTATGTTTGGTAGGGTTTCTGGCATAATGGTAATTATCCTTATAGTAAATGCATTTATATGTATGTATAAATCATAAGTTTTAAGAATAACTTGGAATGTATAATTCGAATTTAGAGAAAATGCAAGAGTAAATTTGAAAAACTTTTATTTTCTGAGTGCAGTCAAGAAACAAGAATAAAAATTACAAAGGTTATATAATTTTGAGAGCAGTGTATTCAGGGTGCATTTCAAGAAAATTATCTTCAAAATTAAGAAATAAGAACGGTCTTACAAATGTGACCTCTTGATGGCTGAAGTTGATTGGAGACAGAACCCAGAAAATAGAGTTGTATACAAAGATATATACCCACCAGCTTCCTAATAAAAACAATAAAATGAAGTTTGAATAAAATATTTAATTTAAAGAAGTAAAAGTTAGAATTGATCACCATTTGACTCTTTTTTTTTTGTACTATAATTCTTTTGCAGCACAGAAAAATAATCAGAGAAAGAAAGAAAAAATTGGTCTCTGGAGAGAGATATTTTCCCCAAATGACACATCTTTTAGTATTCTACTCATACTTTTTGGATTAGCGCAAAACTTTAAAATCAAAGTTTATAATCAATCTTGAAGTTTTACTTTTACTTGTGTTTGGGTGTTTCTAGACTATGAGCATATAATTGATAATTGGTGTTTAAAGACTTTCTAAACTCAGTCCTTGAAGTTAAGGAAGTCACATAACTGCATTCTCTGGCATTTGTTGCTTTACCAATATGTTGAATGCTAAAGGATTTTCTCTTGGCTGTTCAAAACACATGTTTATCAAAATATATTCACGAGTGTACTAACATTCTTGGAAGGTACAGGACAACAGCAGTGTGTGCTGAGTCCCAGGTAGACTCAGGAATAGCAAAGGAGGACACAGACGATAAATCTACAATATGGAGGGATTATGGGAGGATTTGGCAAGAAAACCATAACATTTGATGACTCTAGGATTAGACCTGGAGGAAAACTGAGAGCATTTTAGATTTGCTTTATATGCCTCTCTACCCTTGCTTTATCATTACATTATTGCCAGCCTTCCTCTTGGAGCTACTGTTTTTTCTTTAGACTGATTGTGATGGAAAGTAAGAGAGTGGGGAAGAGGGCCTTCGTAAACAGTCTCTAATGCCTTCCTGCCTGCCTGCTTGCCTGTCCACCTGCCTGTCTGCCTTCCTTGAGTTTCTATTGAGTAGTTTTATCTTCTAGGCACTGTACTACTCACTGGGAATACAATAATGAACAAAAACAGCCACATTCCCTGCTTACTTTGGAGCTTAAGATCTCATGATGGAGACAGACATCATGTAAATATTCATGTATTTGAATGAATAATTAAGGTCTGAGCTAAAATTCTCTGAAGGAAGATAATAGGCCCAGAAAGCACAAACAATGTATCTTGACCTAGACTAATGCTGACTCTTCCAAAGAAGAGTTATATCAATAGCAGTGGTAAGAGATTGACAGGCTGAGAGAAACAGCATGTGCACAGATACTGTAGCAGGTGGAAGCAAGATCTTGAAGAAGTCACGTTAACTCTACAGGAGTAGAAAGCCAGAAATGCAGACCCATATTAAGGTCTCAGATCTCTATTCTAATGGAACCACAGGATGCCTCTGAAGGGCTTTTTTTGTGGTGGAAAGTGGAGGTGTTACACTATGGCTGCTGAGTGTAGAACATCTTAGGCAAAACTATGGTGAATGTAAGAAGACCATAAAAGGCCATTTTTATACTTTAGGCTAGAGGTACTTTGATGACAGAAGAGATGGTGAGAAGTAGGTGGGTTTGAGATATATTTTAGAGGTAATTTCAGTAAGATTTGATGATGTGTTGATGTATGAGGTGCAAAAGAGAGGATGGTTTCAAAAAGGACCCTGATTCTGGTTTCTACATCAAGATAAAAGATGAAACCATTTAATGAGATAGACAAGATTAGAAGAGATCAAGATTCAGTTGAGAATATCATGCATTCAGTCTGGGTTTGCAACGTTTGTGGTTCCTCTGAGATATTAAGGTAGAGATATCTAGGAGACAGTTGGGTGTGTGATACGGACCTAGAAAAAGGGTCCAGAGTGGCGATAGTAAATTTGGAAATCATTGGTTTATAGATAGGAACTAAATTGGTGGGTATAGATGTGATTACCCAGACAGAGAGTAAAGGGTAAGAGGAGAATAGGATCTTGGTTGAGACTTAACTCTAACATTTAAGGATTAGCCTTCAAAAATGCTTAAGTATCCAGAGAACTGGGAAGAAAACCAGATAAGTGTAGAAAATAGAAGCCAAGAAAAGAGAGCATTCCAAGAAGGTGAAGTGAGGGCTGAAAACATCCAGCAAGTTCAGTGACATGGAGATTTAGGCAGAGAGCCATCTATGGAGTGGAATGAAACCAGATTGGAATGAGTTAAGGAGACAGTAGAGGTGTGGAAAAGGAGATGGCAAGAACAGACAAGGATTTCAAAAGTTTTGTTACAAAGGAAAAGGCAGGGATAGAGTCATAGCTGAAGGGGGATATAAGACCTAAAAAGAGATTTTTTTTTTAATGCGTTTGTTTAAAGATGTGTGAAGCTGGAGCATACTTAGATATTGAAGGGAAGAACCCTGGTTGGGAAAGACAAGTTGAATCTAGTATAGAGAAAAGGCATAACTTATAGTGTTGGGTTCCTGAGAAGGGCAAAAGTATAGAACTTAAAACCCAGGCACAGGATTGGACTTTGATAGGAGGAAGGGAGCTCCCTATGACAGAAAGGAAAAGGTAGGAGCAAAGGAAGGCAGGGTTTTTTGTGGTGTGGTGGAAAGCTGAGGAAGTTACCATCTTAGGGGTTCAATTTTCTCTTGGAAGAATTGGTGACCTCACCTAGACATATTCTCTTCATGTGCACCAACCATGCCAAGGACATTCTTTAAACTTACTCCATCAACATTTAGTAGTTCTGTATCCTGTTATCTCAAGGCTCTATTCTTTAAGTATGATACATGAATTAGGAATGAATGGCTGATAATAATTTAAGTGGCCATCTACATCATGTTGCATTTTAATATCTTCAGAGTTACAGCCCAGAGAAGCAATTTCCATAGAAAATTTGGGATGTTGGTAGGAAGAAGAAAAAAATGGTGTGGCCTAAGAGTTGTGGCATTGTTCATTCTGTGATATGGGAAGGTCAGTCTGATGATGCCACAGGAGAGATTTTCATGTGACTGTTATGTGGTAAAACCTGAGTATGGGGACTCTACTGCTCCCTGACTGAAAAGGAAAAAAGATGGTAGCTGCATATCCATTGTAATCTGGAGAATATGAGCATATGTAAGAGTTATAGGGAAAAAACATAAGCTTGGGAATCAGCTAGACATAGGTTCATATTCCTGTTTTGCCATGAGCAGTTCTTAGCCTCGGTTTCCTCACCATGAAATGGGAACAAAATATGATCTTACAGGGTTATGAAGATTAAGCAGAAAATATATAAAATATATATTAGGTTGATTCAAAAGTAATCAAGATTTTGCCATTATGGCAAAAAAACATGTATAACTACATTTCCTTTATTTCTCAGGCTAAAAGTTGAATATCTTTGTTTCTGTTGTCCATGTGTTTTCACTGAGAAGGTGTACAGTTGAGGCATGAGTATGGGAAATTAGCCCAAGGCTTTTCTCAGGACCTGTTATTTAATGAATTGCGCAATGGAATGACCTCCTCCCCCCAAAAAAAATAAAAACAAGGAGCCACAAAAAATGATTGGGTATTCTTGTTCTGCTACAAATTCCACAGGTGAGATATTTGCAATCTAGAGGGCCTTTTCCATAGTAGCAAGTTCTTAGAGAATAAAATGTAAATTCCTACAAATGCCCTTCATAGTCCAACACTAACCCACTTCCCAGCCTCATCTTCCATCACTTCCCCATGCCCTACTTTGCAAACCCACTGACTACTTCTCTTTCCACCTCATGAATGCCCACGCACCCAGTGGAAACAGTCCTTTCTGCGAGGACTTCCCCACTTCTCTGGGCAGTTGTTTTTTCTTTCTTCTCTAGACTTACAGCTCCCTGAAATTTTTGAATCATGCCTCCCTGTAATACTTACTGGGTTGTGTTTAATGAGTCTGCCAGTCAGTTTGTCTCCCCTACCAGGCTTTAAGTAACTCAGGGGCAAGGGACCCAATTCACTCTTGGAAGCATGTACCCCTACTATGGTGTGAGAGTATCATGGCATTTGATGAATGCTGTTGGATGAAGTAAAGAATGAATGCTTGGGGATATTGTAAATAACAAGGCTGACCTGCATAATTACCTAACATGTTTTTCTCTCACAGAATAGTACCATCTAAACAGGAAGCTGGTCTCACACTATAGGTTGCCTGCAAATTTACCTAGCCTTTTGTTTGTACACACCCAAAATGTACGATGTTATCTATGACCTTTTGGTATCTACCTTGCTCTCTTTACTCACTGATGTGTGTCCTATATACTTGTCTGGGTTGCTGAGCACCTGGAACTCTGACAAATTAGCTGGATCTAATAATTTGATTCCAAGAGTAAGTAGACACCTAAATTTGTTTTCTGGATAAGGCTTAGACAAAATCTTGTTAATATTTGTGAACATTTAAAAAAGAAGTGGCAGATTTTTTCCCCCAAGCGCAATCCGTACCCCAAATCAAAATATCCTTCGGTATGTTGTTCACTCCAATCAGTTACCAATTCCCAAATTTGCTCTAGTCTGCTTTAAAGCTTCAAGGCTTAGGAAAAGGAGTAGTGGTGGTTTAGTTACTGACAGTACAAAAAGGCCTGTGAATATGGAGCATTAATACACTTTACTCCCTTCAAACACTTTCCTCCCTTCAAACACTTAATGACAAAGACTCCTGGCATTGCCTTTGCAATGGAATTAACTTTGGCTTCAAAACCTAGGAGAGAGAGCATTCTTGGGGATGACTGCTCCATGAAAATAACTTTATAATTTACTGTCTTCAGCCTCCAAGGTTTTAAAACTTGATTGCATAACAAATGTACTGTAAGTTTAATAAATGCAGTAAATGAATAAGTAAATAGATGACTAAATCTACCAGTCTTAAAATATGAACAATAGTGTTGCTTTGCCTTGATTGAACTTTCAAGGATTTTTAAAACAAAACAACAAAACAAAAACTTCATTCAATTCCATGTATGAAGACCTGACAGCCATGGAATTTTCCTTGAAGGGTGAGATTTCCATCCTCTGCAAAATTTTAGCTAATGATAGAGTTCCATACTCTAAAGCTTTTGATAGGATGTTTCATTATCAACCCTTTGGAATAAGATAAAAAATTCAGGCTGCATTGCTAAAAATGGGAAACCTTGGCAGAAGAGCAATCGATTTATTAGGAGACCACCAATGAGTTAGAAGAGGAGTGGAAATCAGAATTGATAATGGTTTGATCACTACCAGTTTGCTGGATGTTTTGGATATGGTTCAGAGAAACTGAAAGCTACAGTCTTTATCTCTCACATGCTCCAGGGGCTTTTGTTTCACATAAGCCGCCTCTGCCTAGAGTTCTCTTCACCCAGTAAATAGATTTTTATGACTCAGTGGAATATACTCTCTTCACTCCAGAAGAGAGCTGTCCCTGTACGTAAAGTGAAATAAGATCAAATTCATTTGAACACAGCTTAGTTGATTCCAGGCTTGGGCATTGAAGAAGAAATTTAAATAACATTTCTCTGCTGTATCTCTTGTCTGTCTTCTAGGCTCTTAGCTCCAAAGACCATACAAAAAACCATACAAAAAACACACAGCTTATCACCAATTTTTAATCTCTGCTAGCTCAAAAACTTTCCAAAGCAAACTTAGCCTATTGCATAAATGATTGTATACTTTTGTTCAACATTAACACAATGAAGAAAAGTGCCATGAGCTGAAAATAGTCTTACAGAAATTAATGACCTTGTTTTGTTATGCATTTTGACGCAGCTTCACCACATGGCAAGAGTTGATAACTTCTTTTCATAATTGTACATTTCAAAAAAAAAATAAGTCTTTCAAAGTAGCTAGTTAAAATGGATAAGAGAGGCAGGTAGCATAGAAACAGACAGTGAGGTTAGAATTAAATTTAGGTTCCATTCTATTCTCTAGTTTCCCTTCACAGCTGGGTACAAACTAGCATCTTCAGGCAAATCTTTCATCTCCCTCTTTGGCAGTGTACCATCCATAAGTTAGAAGATTTGTTTATGATTCTAAATGCAGTCTTTTCAAGTTCTGAACTGTAAGATGCTACATTGGAAAGCAGTAACTCTAATAATGTTTTAGAATATTTTATTTCATTCTTGCTGAGATAATCTTGCAAGATATTACAGAAAAGAGTATCCAAAATTACTGAGTCAATGCAAATTTTATTATGGGCAAAATTTTAAAAAATTACATTTTTAAATTGGCTGCCATTCGTGAGTCAAAAGAAATTAAACCTGTAGGTAAGTAACTTGTATTTCATTGACTCTTTTGTGTGTAAACCTCACCAGAAAAGCAGCTTCAAAATGTGACTGACTGAAATTGTGGCCCTATGGAAGCAGAGAAGTGGATGTTTAACTGGGTGGACTTGAACTCCTTTTTCAAACAAAGCTCCTGGGGCCAGAGAGCTCTAGCAATGACACTCATAGTCCTGTGTGATTCCTGGAGGTGCTGCAGAAGTCAACTGAGACCCTGACTAGATATTCATACTAAAAGCTAGCATTTGGGGTCGGGGGAGGGTGTAGCTTCTAAAATTTAATACAATTCTGAATGTTGACCACTTAGTTGAATTCTGAGGATTTGTTCTCTCTTTTGCCCCTCTCCTTTGAGAACCGTGGTCTCCTATTACAGTTCCTCAGTATATCCTGTCCAATAAGCAAGCAGCAGTTTGCTAACCATTTTTCAGGACTTCGAAATCTGTTAGGATGTGGAATAGGACATGGGTCTGTATCACTATTACTGTGCAAGGGAGTGCTAGGTCCTTTTGTCTGGGGCAGAGGGAGCTAGAGTGTTCAGGAATTTTTGACCTGAGTTTGGAGTTGTTGGATAAAGTTGCTTCAAAAGCTAGAGCTCTAGACAGGTTCCACATAACAGAGTCAAACCACGTAGAAACCATGTAATCTCTACTTCTTCTATTCCCTTCTCAGTTCCCTGAGTCCTGAGCCTGCTCTCTTTAAGATCACCAATAAGTCACTGTCACCAACGCCACTGGATAACTTGTGGTCATCATCTTCTTTGAGCCCTTTGTACATATGCTAATGCTAAGCCACCTTCCTCCTAGATACCCTCTCTACATTTGGTGAATATGTCTCTATTTAATCCTGTCTTTTTTTTCTATCTCTCCGCTTATTCTTTCTCAGTCCTCTTTGCAGATTTCTTGTCCTCCAACATTCTTTAAATGGTGATATCCATTGTCAGCCCCCTTCTCGGCGTGAAACATTACCAATTATTAGTAGTGTTATTTATGTCTCCCTTACCAAGGTGTCTCAGTAACTGAAATTCCATCATTAGACATTCATTTCTTTTGGGCGCGGTGGCTCACACCTGTAATCCCAGCACTTTGGGAGGCCGAGGTGGGTGGATCACGAGGTCAAGAGATCGAGACCATCCTGGCTAACACAGCGAAACCCCGTCTCCACTAAAAAATACACACAAAAAAATTAGCTGGGCATGGTGGCGGGCGCCTGTAGTCCCAGCTACTTGGGAAGCTGAGGCAGGAGAATGGCATGAACCTGGGAGGCAGAGCTTGCAGTGAGCCAAGATCGCGCCACTGCACTCCAGCCTGGGGGACAGAGCGAGACTCCGTCTCAAAAAAAAAAATAAAAATAAAAAATAAAAAAATAAAAAAAAAACATTCATTTCTTTAAAGTTCACTTTGCATAATACAATATCCTGTGCAAGGGATACCTTGCTAAATACATCCAGTTTTCAGAGCCACTCTCCTCCTCTGTGAAAGGTGGTACATAGCAGGTGATGCCTCTCTATTTCCAAGCAACTAGGGAAGGAGGAAAAGAGTGCACCAAAAGGGTATTAAGGAACAAGAATGAGCTTTGTTTCCTTTACAGTTTTGCTTAAGGTTGTTACTCTTCACTGTAATTCTTATCAAAGTTATTGTCTTTATTTATGACAGAACTTTCCAAGGTGAGCAAGAGGTTCTACCCAGTGTGGGTGCTAATTACCCGACAGTCCCTGAAACTTCTCTCAGGTGTCAATAGTATTTTCTCCCTTTTTCTCATATATGTTAATTATTCAGTAGGATTAATGACTTATCACTCTGATTTCGGCAGTACGGCGAATATTAGTCAGCCTAACTGCTTAGAGCAACATAGGATCTGAATAGCAACAGCAAGATTTACCTTAATGCTTCAAGGAACAGTTTCTTGAGATAAATCAACAAATCCCTAATTGGGTTACAGTAATCAGATGTGCCCACAAGGGTTGATTTTGCAAGTGAAAGATTGAAAAGAGAAATATCCTAAGATAAATCCAATTAAAATTTTTATTGAGAGATAGAACAGGAAATCTAAAGGAGAGATAGCTCAATCTTTTGAATTGAGTGCTGAATTAGGAAATAGGGTTGCTACAGCTTTTTCCAAGCATCTTTGTTTACTCATTCTCTAGCCCTGGGGAAGTCGCTTCTACTTGGCATTCTCATCTATTGGTAAAATTAATTAATCCTATTGATAACATAAGATGTTGCTCCTTGAAGTTTGAAGGTGGCATGTAAATAAATTGCTTAAAGCCTTTTGGAATTGCATTCAATAAGACAGATTCTCCATGGTTACAATAAGCTACTTCCTAGCTAAAGGTAAGAAGCTAAAGTGAGGAATCCTGATGATGTCTCCATATTTAAAACAAACAACTTTGGTTCTTGTTTGGGTGGCTTTAACCACCTTGTAGTGAGCTTAGGGTTCCTGCAGGTGCTGGAGCCCTTCCTTATAAGGAGCTTTTTATGTATTAAACCATTTCCTGAGGAACAATAATCAGAATTTATGTGCCAGCCTCTGTTAGAAGCACAAAATATGTGTTAAAATTATTTCAGCCTCGTTAAAACCTTTTGAGGTAGATAGTTAATATCTCCAATTTATTGAGAAGGAAACTTAACACAAAAAAAAGTAAAACATTTTTCCCCAATTCACTAACCTACAAAGTCGTAAAGCTGGTATTTGAGCTTTTGTTCTTCATCAACAGGCTGTTTTATCTCTTTATAGTTCTTTGAAAGTGTGTTAGGACTTCATTAGAATATAAGGACGGCATGAATGCAAGTATCAGGAGAATCAAGAAAGTGGCTCTTTCAATTTCTTGCTCTTGCTGGTTCATCGATTCAAATATTCCTGGAGCATCTATCATATGCTAAGTGCTATGCTAGGTGATGGGGTGTTCCTTGCCCTTATGGGGCTTACAGTATGGTGGGGAAATAGACACTAAGGAAGTAAAAAAAGAAATATATAAGAGCAATATAAATAGTGTGAAAGAAATAATCATGAAGTGGAATGAATATCAAGGTACAGACCCTGTTTCCATAAGGTGGTCAGGAAGGACTTCTCTGAGGAGATGGCATTGGAACTAACACTGAAGGATGAGGAGTCAGCAATGAGAAATTTCGGGACAGGGATGGAGAGTGGAGGGAAGGAGAAGGTTTTATGCTGAGGGAGCACCTGGTTAAATGCCTTGAGGAGAGAAAGAACTTGTTTGCATTTGAATAACTGAAGCAAGGCTAGAGTGGTTGTGTCTTCATGAGGAAAAAAACTGGCTCTGTTTTTAGATGTATTTGCAGCTGAAGTATTAAGATTTCTCTTTAAAATAATGAACATTTTATTATTTCTAGTACTTTGCGTATGAATTATGCAAGAGTGGGATTTGAAAATCACTGTGTGGTGTGGAGGAAAATCTGAGCAGTTATCAGTGTGTGTGATGGTTAATACTGATTGTCAACTCAATTGGATTGAAGGATGCAAAGTATTGTTCCAGGGTATGTCTGAGAGGGTGTTGCCAAAGGAGATTAATAGTTGAGTCAGTAGACTGGGAGAGACAGACCCACCCTTAATCTGGGTGGGCACCACCTAATCAACTACCAGCATGGCTAGCATAAAGCAGGCAGGAGAAGACGGAAGAGCAGACTTGCTGAGTCTTCTAGCCTTCATCTTTTTTTCATGCTGGATGCTTCCTGTCCTTGCATATCAGGCTCCAAGTTCTTCAGCTTTTGGGCTCTTGGACTTACACCAGTGATTTGCCAAGGGCTCTCAGGCCGTCAGCCACAGACTGAAGGCTGCACTATCAGCTTTTCTACTTTTGAGGTTTGGGGACTCAGACTGGCTTCCTTGCTCCTCAGCATGCAGACGGCCTATTATGGGGCTTCGCTTTGTTACTGTGTGAGTCAATTCTCCTTAATAAACCCCTCTTCATATATACATATACATCTATCCTATTAGTTCTGTCCCTCTAGAGAACCCTGACTAATACAGTGTGGTATCTGCTCTGGGATGGGGTACTCCCATGGCCAGCAGATTTTGTTGATACATAAGTGGAGGTAGAAAGGCAAGAGGCATTTTACTAGAGGGGACAAACTGTTGGCTTTCTATTCAGACTATGAAAGACCCAGAGGGGTTGGATTGTACCAAATGAACATCTGGATCAGATTTTGTTCCCCTGAATCTCAGGCACCTTCTGAAAACTTATTGGACTCTTTGGATAATAGATATGATTACTCTTTGGCTTGATTCTTCAATTCAGCAAGTAGTTCCCATCCCCAAATCTATTTCTTGAAAAAAAAATTAACTTGTCTATTTGTTTCAAAAAGAATCAGACAGAGGCCCTTGGAAATATTATATCTTGATCTAAATTCATAGGGTTTTTTTCCCCTCTAAAATTGTACTACATACTCTTCAACTTCCTTTTGAATGCCATTTGATTTTTTATGTATGAGACAAATGTATCATACAGTTTGGGTTAGCAAGAACTTGCAGGAACAATTGGCCACCTTTCAACTGAGATATTTTCCAGAAACAGGGCTTTAAAAAGTAGAGACAATCTTCCTTCCTAAAAGTCTAATCCAGGACCATTTCCTCTTATATTCTTTTTAGGGCTAACCTTAGGACTCTCAAACAAACAGTTAGGTATGTACATACACACATACCTGCAAACACACACCGTTGAATTAATCTTTCAGGTGCAGCATGGAATCTGAGGCAAAGAAGAGATTACTATAAACATATCTAGGCCAAAATGCATGGAGTTCAAGAAGAGGAAAAAGCAAAGAATTGTAAGATTCAGAAAGAAGAGGTGAGCATCTCAGCCATCAACAATCACATTGGTACATTGCACAAGTTATTTACAATTCAACTCCTGCTCTTGGTGAATCAAAACCTTGTTTGGAAATTTCACTGTACAAGGCTTCTTGTCTTCTTTGCCAGTGGTCATACCGTTTTTTCCAACTTTTCCAGTAATGAAGGCTGGTCCTATGTAGCATATGCTTTCCGTGCCTTTTATCTCCACTAGCATGGCTCTTCAAGTTCAGAAGCAAAGACTTTGGGATCAGATTGGATTGAATCCTGGCTCCACCATTATTAGCAATGTGCTATTGGGCAAACCATTAACCTCTGTGGATCATCCATAAATGGATAGCTTTGACCAGGGTTTCTCAAATTTTGGTGAAAAGCTAATAAAGAACACAAAGGACAAGTTCATTAAAGGAGGACAAGGCCTGGGACATTTTTCTTTTTATCAAATTCCCCAGGTGATTCTGATACCCACCAAATTTCAAAAACCACTGGCTTTGGGGATTAAAGATAAACTAATGCAACAAGCACCTGGCCATCAAGAAAGGTTTCCTAACTGGGGTCCTGTGGTAAAATGGAAAGGAGTTTTGTCTTTGGCATTCGAGATGTGAATTTCTATGTAAGTTCCATTGCTTAATAACTGTGGCAGTTTGGCAATGTCATTTAATTTGTGTGACACATGGTGTCCTTATTTGTTAAATAGGAATAATGCCCACATCTAGGGGTTATGGGCTTAATGGATTAGGTGACTCACAGCAGGTGACTGATGAATATTGGCTGAAGTATAATCTCTTGCTACATTTAGATGTAAGTATTTGTATAGAACCTTCTACACAGAGAACTTATATGAATTTGACTCAATAAAAACTCTCAAAACTTGGCTGATTACATATTTATTGAACATAGAATTGAATGTATGAATGCCATTGCATTTACCCATGACATACAATACAAATTTTGACACAAAGTGCTTTGATTGCATAACATATAGTTCCTATATATGCCCTCACTTTTAAACTCTCCATCCAATTTCTCACATCCATTCAATAACCCGAGTTGACTGTTCCAAAATACTAGGGAAATATTTTGCTTTACTGAGTTAGAAATAATTTTTATTGACTATGTGCAAATCCTCTTAACACACGACTAACATCTCAGCTAATGGCAAACATAGGTCACAGTTATTAAGCCATGCTCTCAAATTTAGCCATTCTCTCACTTTATGAAACTCAAAATCCTTCCCAAGTTGTTAAAAGATTTTATACAGACCTCACAGTCTTCAAACTCTCTGATGCTGAATAACCTGAATAACAATTTTAATATTTATTAGTCATTATGATTTCTTTCTTTTTTCTTTTTTCTTGAGGAGCAGCCTCTCTCTGTTGCCCAGGCTAGAGGGAAGTGGCATGATCTCGGCTTCTTGGCTCACTGCAATCTCCGTCTCCCAGGTTCAAGCAATTCTCTTGCCTCAGCCTCCCAAGTAGCTGGAATTACAGGCACCCAACACCACGCCTGGCTAATTTTTGTATTTTTAGTAGAGACGGGGTTTCACCATACTGGTAAGGCTGGTCTCGAACTGCTGACCTCAAGTGGTCCGCCCCCCACCTTGGCCTCCCAAAGTGCTGGAACTACAGGCGTGAGCCACCACTCCTGGCTAAAATAATTTCTTATCACAAGAAAACTCCATAGGGTTATACAAGTGACAGAGAAGCAAATTCAGTCTGGCCTCTGATCTTGGTGGCAGAACAAAGAAGGAAATCACTGGAGGGCTGGAGGTGGATGAATGAAAGCCAGAGAATAGAAAATGAGCATCAGCATCCTTAATGACCACCCTGCTTGAACAATCCCGCTTCCAATAAACACAAAGAAATCCACAAGCTCCAATGAGAAACAGTCTTGAAGCAAGGATGAGTTTCTCTTGTATCCCATTGTTTTCTGTATTCTGAGTGGGTTCAACCGCTTTAGACAGCAGAGCCTATATCCCTCTCCTCAATTTCCACAGCCCCACTTTTCTCTTATTTTCTTTTTCCGCTCCTTTCTTCTCGCTCTCCTTTTCTATGATCTCTTTTGTCCTTTAACGAATGAGGTTGTAAAGGAAAAGTTATTCCATATTGTCCCTTTAAGACCTCCTCTCCTACTCAACAAGCCCCCTTCTAGACTTAATGGGCAAAGAGTGGACCATAATACTATTTGAAACCAATTCAAAATCCTCCATGCTGACAGCTTACACCAGGAGATACTTGATTTAGGGACATTCATTAGAAAAATATATAATACAACTACAAATTTCCCTTCAGTTTTTCCAAAGATTTCTTTATTAAAATGGCCAGAAGGACAACATTTATATCATGACTAAATTTTAATAGTGATCTCTTGTGTTTACAAGGAGATGTTTATGCTCACTTATATTTTGAATGTTTTATCTTCTCCCATTGCATAGAGACAGACTACTCTGCTCACAGGTGAAAAAAAAAAAACCACATAAAAGCCTCAGTAAAACCAAGTGACTGAAGAGAATCAATGGAAGTTTGTTTACATTTTACATTAAGTATAAGGCTTCAACAGAAGCAAGTGCTGTCATTCTTTGAGCCACATTCATTTTTTGCCTTTAAAGCCATCATGACTAATTAAGAAGTCCTCTAGGGGTGAAGCCTGGGCATAGGTAGGTTTTCAAAGCTCCCCAGGTAAGTCCAATGTGCAGCCAGTGTGGAGAAAACACTGAGATGGTAAGAAGGCACAGGAGATTCTAACTTCCATTTCTCAGGACAAAATAGAGCTCATGCCCCTGCCCGGCCAGTCACTGTCTCATCATCTTGTCTTATTACCTTTTCGTAATATTAACTACCATATAAAATTATCTTTATATACTTTATGTGTTATTTGCATACAGCCAGTCTCTTCTTTTGGGAATGTAAGCTCCAGTGAACCCAGAACAGTATTTGCTATAAGGTAGTTGGTCTGTTATATATTTGTCAAATAAATGAACTAAAAACTGTTAAACATCAGCTTTCTTGTCTGTACAATGAGCAAAATACTACCACCACCTTCCTTGCTAGACTGCTGTGATGACTCAATGTAATCATGTTCATGTAAACTAGTGGGTAATGTGAAATCTTAAGAAATGTTAGTCTTACTACTACAGGACATTAACCAACTCCCCAAATTTCCCACAATAGCTCACAGGTTGAAATTTCCAACATGAGATTCCCTTCTTTGGATTTCAGCTGACTATTGTTAAAATAGTCAGCTGAAAACCTGAGTATTGTAGCTTCATTACTTTGGTGGAATAATATTAATTAGATGAGTTCTTGTCAGTTAGCAACCCTAAAATATAGAACAAGTTAATTTTGAGTTAAGTTCAAAATGTAGGGAAGTTCTGTACTATTCAGGCAGGGCAGCCCCAAGTTGTAAGAACTGGCTGTGGGGAGAGAAGGGGAGAAGGGGATAGAAAACCTGCAGGGTGTTGAGGACATTGGGTTTCATTGGGACCTGAAAAGGGAGAAGGAAGTATAGTACATGAATAACAAACTCTGTTGACCCTGGACTAGGGAGATCTACAAGCAGCTTTGGTCAGAAAAGTGAAGCAGACATACTTTTAGTCAACAATAGTTAAGTATCCTGTGGATAGTACAAATGATCAAATATATCTTCTGATCCTATGTCAACTCTTGATGTGTTATTATGCTGATTTTATAAAAGGGAAAATGGTACTCAAAGAGGTGGTATTTTTAGAGACAGGGTCTAGCTATGTCATCTAGGCTGGGGTACAGTGGCACCATCATTGCTCACTGCAGTCTTGAACTCCTGGACTCAAGTGATCCTCCCACCTCAGCCTCCCAAAGTGCTGGGATTAAAGATGTTGAGTTTTTAAGGAAGCAGCATGTTATACTGGTTAAGAACCTTGAATCCTTAGGCAGGCTGAGTTAAAATTCCAACTCCAACATGTACCAGCCATGGGAGCTTGGGCAAGTTAGGACTCTGAATCA
Organism: Homo sapiens; assembly: GCF_000001405.40. Lineage (NCBI taxonomy): Eukaryota > Metazoa > Chordata > Mammalia > Primates > Hominidae > Homo > Homo sapiens. The sequence continues at coordinate 70,946,413 of NC_000009.12, forward strand.
GTTTCCTCCTCTGTTAAATGGTAATAATAATAATAATAATAATAATAATAACAGCAGCAATATTCTAGGGTTGTTATAATTAAATGCATTAATATTTATAAGGTACTCATAATACTGGTACAGTGTGGGCACCATAAAATCATACACAGGATATATACAGCTAGTGGGCAACAGGACTTTTTAAAGCTTTTAAATTTATGTATCTATATCAATGAATTTTCACACATTAAACATATTCATGTAACAAGCATCTAGACCATGAAACAAAATATTACCAGCACCCGAAATCCCTCCTCATCCTCCTTTCCAGTCATGTAATGCCCCCCACCTGGTCCCCCAACCAAAGTATTCAACATCTTAACTTGCAATACACAGAATAGTCTTGCCTGTTTTTGTACTTTGCATAAAAAGGATCATCTAATGTATAATCTATTGCGTCTTGCCTCTTCCACTCAACATTATATATATGAAATTCATTTATGTTGCTGTATGGTATACAGTGCTATACAGCATCCACCTGTAAATTGACCACAATTTGTGTATCCATTCTGTTGTTGATACACTTTTGAATAGTTCCTAGATTTAAGCTATTACAAATAGTGCTGCTATAAACATTCCACTAACATTTTTTGGTGAACATGTATACGCATTTTATTTGGCATATACCTATGAGTGAAATTTCTGGCTCATAATGTATACATACAGTCAGCTTTAGAATAAACTGAAAAAAGAAAGCAGTTGTACAATCAATACTACCATCAGTAGTGTGTGTGAATTCCACTTTATCTTTTTCATTGCAGTTATTCTGGTGGCTGCAGAGTTTCATCTCATTGTGGTTTCACTTTGTTTTTCCCTGATGACTAATGAAATTGAACACCTATTTACTGGATACTTGGATGTCTTCTTCTGTGAAGTAACATGATTAAAACTTAGGTTTTTCTAGGTCAAAGCCTGTGCTCTATCTCCACTTTTTGTTTTTAAGAACTGCCTCCCTTCAAAGCTTTCCAGAGAAATATAAGTACTAATTTAGAAACCAAGGGTATCCACTATTTTTATTTTGTATTCACTTTTTTTTCCTTTTGGAATTTAGAGAATTATCCTCTAGTAATGGAGAATGGAGAGAGGGGTCTTCCATAAAATGCACTTTTGCTCTTCCTTTTGTTGTTATTCAAAGTGGAATTAAAAATTATCTTAGCTCTGCAGGCTGGCTGAGAGCTCAGAGCTCAGAGAAGGTGGGGGGATGGAGAGACAATAAGGAAAGCTGCCCTACTTCTGGAGGCTCCAAGACACCATTTTTAGTGACAGCAACGTGCTTTCAAGAGCCAGGTGTGTGTGGGTGGGGGAAAGAAGGTTGGACTTACGTATGAGAATAATGACAATACAGAAAGCCTCTGGGTATTTTCCAGGGAAATGCAGATTGTAGCTTTGGATTTTAAGTTTTACTTTCACTGTTAACACATGAACAGGTATTCCTAGGTTTCTTGCACTTCCCCCAAATCTTTCTGTAGCAAAACTAAGTAGGGGAAAGTTACTATTATAAGATGTATCACTTGTAAAACATTTAAATTGTTCCTGTTTTTCTGTTATTTATGAGAGTGCACAGGAATACCACATAATTCCTTAACTTGATTTTATAAAAAAACACCAGCCTTAGTATCATCCAAAATACAGCTCCTATATTTTTACTCTCACATTGAAAAGCCAATTTTTTTTTTTTTTGTCTTTCAGATAGAGCACTAAACAGCTCTTCCTTTTCATTAAAGTATACCAGCTAAATAATATATCATCTTGGCTTATGTTTCAATCATGCAGTTTTTCTTCTCCTGGACTTGAAAGAAGCTTCTTCCTTAAGAACCCCTTCTCAAATATAAATTATTATTATTTTTTAGCCTGGAAAAGTTGGGTGGGGAGGTACATTGTGAGTCACCTATGTCAATCTGAACATTGCTGAAAACGAAATATACTTTAATAGTTCCAATGGTATTCATTCAGCCTTATTCTGACCTTTCCTTGTTTTTACTCTAATTAAACATAAATCTTGAAAAACAAAGAGCCCTTTGACGACTATAATACATTTTTGTACTGTGACATGCCCTCTGGCTTAAGGTGTATCTATAAAGAACTGAGACTGTGACTAGCAGACTTGGCTTCAGGTTAAAGATGAATGGATCTACTAACAATTGGAGAGACTGTCTTCAAAAGCATGGTCATTGGAAGCCTATTAAACATCTCTGTCATTAGGAATTTAGAAGCAGCAAACATAATTTTTGCTTTTCCAGGAGCTGGTATTTTGGCCAGCATTTATGCTCTCCAGAACTTCACTGGTGAGCCCAAATGGTAGTCTTTAGCTTCCCAAGAACTTACAACATGACATTGGACCTGGAGGCTTTTTTGATATGGATTTGCTTGAACTACTTAAACCGTTTTTCTATTGCCAAGAATAGTAATTAATGCAGGAAGATGCTAAGTTTTTCACTTCAAAAGTTTCATCATATTGTATCCTTACTACAGACAGGCCTGCTGTTTTGCTGATCCTGGCATTTTTCTTGATGTTGTGTTTTTAGGGAGAGAAAGTCAATGACTTCTTTTTGATTCAACAATTAGACTTAAATGTATGTATTCATTCAATTAGTATTTAAATCCCTATTACAGGCTGTGCATGGAAATAGCCCTGGACAAGCAGTATTCTATAGGAGAGACCAAATTCATAGAGCTCACAGGATACTGGGGTGAGGGAGGCAGTAATCAATAGGCAGAAACTAATGAAATGGTATAGGGTGGGTGGAACAGTAGTCTTTTTTTTTTAATTTTTAAAAATAATTTTTAGTAGAGATGAGGTCTCACTATGTTGCCCAGGCTGTTCTCAAACTCCTGGCTCAAGTGATCCTCCTACCTCAGCCTCCCAAATTGCTGAAATTATAGGCATGAGCCACCATGCCTGGTCAGTGGCACAGTATTCTAAGCAGATGTAGCTGTGTTTGGACAGCACGGAGGGCAGCAGACAACATGGAGACCCACAAGGACTTTCATGTGGCCACACCTTCCAGTAAAAGGAGGAAGTGAAACCGAAGAGACTGGCAAGGGCAAGATCCCAGAAGGACTTCTCCCCCATGCAGGGGAGTTTGAATGTAATTTTTTTTTTTTTTAGTGATGGGGTCTTGGTCTGTCGACCAGGCTGGTACAATCATAACTCGTCATTTGCCAAAGTCTTGAACTCCTGGGCTCAAGTGATCCTTCCTCCTTAGTCTCCCGAGTAGCTGGGACTACAGGTGTATTCCACCATACCCAACCTGAATGTAATCTTAAAGGCAATAAATGGGAAGTCAATGAAGAATTTTAAGAAAAAATAACGGGATGAGCATCAGATACACATTTATATGAGTTAGTACAAACTTGGTGAAGGTTTCTGGAGGAAATTTAACATTCATTCTTTTCTAGTGGTGGAAATCACCTCCTTCATCTGAGACATGGGATTCACTGCCTGGACAAGATAGGTCTGTATTTCTTTCCCATGCCTAACCTACAGGCATGTTGATAGAGTCCATGTGAAACTTGGATGCTAATTTGGCACTGCAGTTTGGAAGAATGCTAATGCAATTCACTTTGGCATGACTAATGATATGTTCCTACCTTGTTTATACTAAAATTGAAAAAAAAATCATTTGAAGCCTCCCTTCACAGTCATGATATTTCTTTCAAATTGAGATGGTAAAGTCTGTATAGTATTGCAATTTCTAGCAAAATCTTTTAAAGCTGCCTTATTTAACAATTTAGAAAATATTTAATATGCAAAATGACTTTCTTTTTTAGGTAATACCACAACAGAGTTGCATTTACATTCACAGCAGAACTTGACTTAAGGCCTTGAAAAACCTTTTACAGAAATCTCTATTGGCTTTTAATAAAGAGCTGTCAAAAGCTCATGATGGTATTATTTTTCAAGTGGCCATAATGCATTTTTGACTTGATCCATTAAACATAGATAGGAAAACCTCCACAATAGTTTTCATGGATTAGGGTGACATATTATGCGCTCCTGACAGTATGGCAGAAGGAAAAAGTAAGGTAATTAGGAACAAATAAATTGAGACTACCTAGTATTACATGGATTACATGGGAATCCTAGTGAATCTTTTGGGAAAATGCAGCCCTATTGAGGAACAGCGTTCTTTGTGTGGAAGCACTGAGAATGGCCACTCCACAGTGAATGGGCAGAGACAGGTTTGGAAGCAAATGGAATTAACCAAAATGAAGGAAAGAGGAGAAAACCAACATTAGAAACTATGAATTCACTGAAATTAAGAAGCCAAAAAGACCTGCTAAATCTCATCCGACTTCTTCAGCTTGCACTGAGGCCTCTCTTCTCAGAGCGCATCTACCTTGCTGTTTTATTTAATTTGTTTTTCAATTATTTAGGTTTCAAGCTTTCCTGATCTCTTACAGGAAAATTTTCCAATTTAATCAACTTAGCTTGTGGGAAACCCTTGCTAGATTTTGCATTTCAGGATGCATACTTGGTAGATGCTTTAATAAATAATTATGTTTGAATAGGTGAATAGATAGAAATGTCAAGAAATAATAAAGATAAACATTTTGAATATTTTTTCAGTTCAACACAAGTAACTCTAAATCTGCAAACTATGTGACTATGGTAATTTTTTAAAGGGTATAGTGACAGAATTCTATTATTATGTAAGTAATCAAATTATGCTTTAGAAGAGTTTGATATAAATTCATACTTAAAATATGAATTCATATTTAAAATACGAATTAGGAATGTAAAAGATCCAGGAAAATATAGGTATAATATTAAGAGGTAAATAACATTTCTTTTAAAATTATGACATTTTATTCAATTTTATTCTAGTACATTGCTAGCTCTCCCTCATTCAACATACACTGTAAATCAGGAATACTGTACAATTTTGATTTTTTGTTTTTGTTTTTGAGATGAAGTATTGCTTTGTTGCCTGGGCTGGAGTGAAGTGGTGCAATCTCGGCTCACTGCAACCTCCACCTCCCAGGTTCAAATGATCCCTCTGCCTCAGCCTCCCAAGTAGCTGGGACTACAGGCATGCACAACCACACTCAGCTAATTTTTGTATTTTTAGTAGAGACGCGGTTTCATCATGTTAGCCAGACTGGTCTTGAACTCCTTACCTCAGGTGATCCGACTGCCTTGGCCTCCCAAATTGCTGGGATTACAGGCATGAGCCACCATGCCTGGCCAGAATTATGAATCCTTAAGAATTTGAGAAACAGGACAGGATGTAAGTATTGTTGCTTATATAACCCAGGAGGAGTAAAGCTCATTGATAATATTTCTGTTACAGTAAATGCTTGAGTTTCTGTACTAACTTCCAGGGAAATATGGATTTTGCAGAGCTAAAGGAATGCCTTAACTAACAAACATTCAAACAAAGAAGCCATATCGAGTCACTGCATTTAAGCTCTCTAGAATTTCTGATCAACTGAACAGAGCTTTGCTCTGAAACTCAAGGCTGACTCTGCCAACAATGGCTGCTCTGAGGCAGACAATAATGCAGATGAAAATGATTTAGGGGAAGAACAAGGTCAAGATGCTCCCTGGGATTTATAATCCAAGAAGCCTTGATTTCACCTCCAGAATGCAAATGCAATGCCCTGGTTTGAAAAGCACCATTCTCCTAACCATAAATGAACCCACATTTCTGCCCTAAAAAGATCTGCTCACTCTTTTTCAGCTAAGACTCTAATATTTGATGAACCCATGGCATTAATGAAAACAGATTTTTCTTTAGCAGCAAGTTTTATTGCTCATTTTACAGCCTGATTCCATAGCCTGGGAATGATCTTGCTACTATAACTGCAATTACATCTGAATTCTTAAGTGGTGTGTTAGGGCATGTTTTTATATTTGGAATTCATGATACTGTTCTTAATAGGGACTTTGGTAATGACCAAAAAGACCCTTGCTAGTGAGATGTGACAAAAAGTTGTTCATATTACATAAGCAGAAGACTTCTTACACTGGAATAAAAATAATATAGAGAATGCACAATTACGTAGCTCATTTCAGGCATACCAACATACTTACTTGTTTTGAGTTATCACAACTCAGTGTAGCAGCCTTTCTGATAGGCACCAGGAATTTGGAGATTAATAAAACATGGTCAGTTTTTGGAGGAGCTTAAAGTCCAGTCTTCTGAAAGTTAAGTAAAAATTCATCTGGAAGATGTGATAAGGGATTGAAGGAAAGAGCGAAAAATTGGAAGTTTGACAGACGGATTAACAGCTGAGCATGGGTGTTGGGAAAATGAGAGTTCATTGAGGCTGTAGTGACAAAATCTTGTGGGGGATTGTTGGGAGACGAGACTGGATAGGTAAGTAGGAACCAGTTGCTGAAGGGCCTAATAATGCACGTGAAATATTCTGGATTTAATCCAGAAAATCAGGGAGAGCCTCTGAAGGACTATTTACACAGGGAAGCGACAAAATTGAATTTGATCATCAAAAAAAATGATAAAGCATTCAAACTATTTTTCTGCAGCTATGCCAAATATTGAGAAAACAATTTCTCTACTGACCAAATAACATAGAAATGGCCTCAAAGATAGGCACTTCTACCTTTCTGGTTAAAATGCTATACTGCTAAAGCTGGACGGTCATCTACACCACTGGGATCCAACATGCTTCATGCTTCATTGCTACTCAACAGAACTTCTATGGCACAAGGGAAAGACAAAGTCTGTGACATATCTCAAATCTTCTCTTTTCTTTCCCCATAGTGGAGAGTTTTGCCTGAAAATGTTTAATGTAGTGGCTGTACAGTTTCAAAGTGCTTTTGTTTTTCCACAGTTACTTAACCATTTGAAGCCCTGAACATAAGGGTGGATGATTGGGAGACTGTGTCCATGAACATTCTTTCAAATCAAACTTAGTTTGAATGAACCAGTCAGCCTTAGGGGAAGATTACTGTGGGTAATATATTTCTGCTGGTCTCAAACAAACAAACAAAAAGAAAAATAAATACAGTTAAAGTAAGGACATGACATCATTTTCTGAAAAATGTGACATTGTCTTGCGTTTTTAAATGTCTCCTGAGCACACACTCTTTTTGGAAACCAAAAAATATAATTTTTGAGAAACTTGATTATATGTTAAAATTTTTGAAGTTAATTTGTAGGCCGTAAAAATGGTATTATTTAATATGAGGTGAGATTACTACAGAATTTGGTTACAAACCCAAGAATTTGGGTTCTAAACTGACTATCCCTCCCCACCAGGTTCCAAAGGTAATGTGTGTACATATAAGCCACAAGCTCTAATGCAGAACACTCCAGTGAGTTGGGAGGTATCCTGTGGAAAACTCATGTTACCTAAACAAGGTAGGCCGGAAAGACCAAGAGCCAAAGCAGGTTGACGGAGCTGCCCTAACCTTGTACCTCTTGGCCAAGTCCAGATCTCAGACCTCACCATGCACAGGCTGTCATCCAGTGCCAGCCTCAGAGAACTCAAAGAGCAAGATGAAGGGAACATTTCTGTAATGCCTACTGCAGATCTGGCCTCAAGAAACTTCAGTGGGTCTTCTCAGGCTGGGGCATCAGAAACATCCCTGAAGAAATTACATCCACCTCCAAAAATACAGAGAGAAGACAATGATTTTTTCAGGAAGAAACAGGACTCCTCCACTCTGATCATTTCGGGACAAAGATCAGACAAAAGCAGAAGGAAACCAAAGAGAAGGAGGGAGAATCAGCTACTTCTCTAGTGTTCTGTGAGGAAGTCCATGTAGAGAGAGACTATGACCACCTCTCTCCCTCTTCCTTCCCTGTTCAGGACAATAAAACATCTCCATTATTCCTCCAGCCCAGTGGCCAGTGAAATATCCTTCAGCATGTCCCGCAGGCCTCTTTGGTGGTGCAGTGAAATGCCTTAATCCTGACTCAACTTGGTGATAAGCTTGGATTAAGTATGTAGAGGAATGTGAGAAGGAATGTGAGAAGGAATGAAGACTCCCAACTTCCTACTAAAAGAGTCCTCTAAACTGCAATCACATCCTGTTTCCTTGTCTCTAAGACTCATTTTTATAGTATTAACATCAGTGATTTGGGGGCATGTCTCATTTATTTGATGTGTAGATTTTACGTTGCTTTTTCTTTGAAAAGCTCTTATCGATAGTGCAACCCCTAATCAGTGGAATCTTAGGATTATAATAGTATACATATGACAGTAGAAGAATAAAATCTAGTTTCACACTTAAAAAAAACTCTGATTTAGCATTTGAAATCTGTGGCTTATAACTTTAGTCTTTTCATGCAAATATTTTTAGGGAAATGGTTTCGAAGAGCAACACTGCACCAGCTTGTCTGCTGTCAACTGCACATCACCATACATCCTCGGGGAGAAGGCCGGGCCCTACGCTTCCTGGGGTCCCTTGCCAGCTACATTCCAATATGAATTATGCCAAAGAGAGTCGTTTCCAGGAGATCTGGAAAGCAGAAGAAAAGCAGCCTTCAATCTCCAGCAGCAGCCAGGTGAACAGTGACAGATGCCTATGGAAGATTTTGCCAGGGGCTTTCTAGGTGAGTGCCTGCGAGTTACTTACTTAGGTGTTGCAGGCAATTAAGATAATCAGCTATAGCTTCTGTGTATTTCCTGCGTTTTCAGAGTTCTTGAAACTTGAAGCATTTTTTTCCCCGACCTTTGTTTCTATAGCCCATCCAACAGTTATATCAGCCTCTAATTGTCTGTATTACAGTCTTTTATGCTCGAGGTTCTTTGAGAGACGAAAAAAAAGTGGCAATCACATTCTTCTTTTTCCTGTGATACTCCTCTGCCAATAGCAGACAAAAGTTTTAAACAGCTTAGGGACACTTGTTGGAGGCTGTTTCCATGTTAAAGAAGAGATTACAGAAAGACTGAAGGCTATTCTTTGATCTTATTTAGTTCCCTTGTCTCATCCAATTATTTTTATTTTCATTTATACTTCATGTTCCTGTCTTCAGATATCCTTCTCTGTTCCACATGACTGTATAACATCAGTAGAAGTTACCATGTCTCTAGTTCTGAATGCTTTTAAGTTCATGTTTATATACATTATCTCACTTGATTTTCACGGCAATTTTATAACTCAAGTGGATTGACATTATTTTTATTTTACAGGTAGGGAATTTGAGACCCAGATATTTAAGTGGTTTATTCAAGGTCACATGGAAAATCAAGGAAAGCGCTAGAACTAGAATCCAAAATTTTTGACCACTATTCCAGAGTGTCTGATAGTATTACATTAGCTCTCCAAGTAAGATAGCAACTGCCTGCTTATAATACTTTTGATCTGGGCAAATTACCTACAGTATAAGCCCCATGAACTCCAGGTAATTATCTCTTTCCCTGTGGGATAGAATCCAAGTCTTTGTCAATGTTTTGAACCCCACCCATCAAATTAATCTAACAAGCTCAGTGGTAACCACGAGCTCACTGGGGGCAGCGCTATTATTGTTATTTGGCACATAATATACTTGGTATGCTGAAAAAGTATAATAATGAGAGTGACAGGATATCATTATCTCTGACAACCTTTCAGTGGCCAATATCAATTAGTTAGTGGTCTCATACCTACTGAATGAGTTTTTATATCAGAGGAACTCCCAATATTCTAACTGAGCTATTTAGCACTATCATTTGAAGGGTGCCCGATTGAGAATCACATGGACCTAAATGTTTGTTTACTCAAAGATAAGTGTTTCAGGATAAGGATTAAGGAATTGGGCATGTTGGGCGTAACAGACCACAGGCTATACTTATATGAATAAATGGAGAGCTTGGACAGTTCTTAGGATCAATCTTTCTTTAAGAAATCAAATAAATAAAGATAGCCTCATCTCTACCAGGAGAAATACACCTTTTTTTTTTTTTTTTTTTTTTGCCTTAGAAAGCACTGGCTTCTGTTAATTAAACATTTCCACCCAAAGATAGCAAATTTTAAATAGAAAAAAAACAGGAAATATATGTAATCTACAATAAGTCTGCAAGGCAAATGGAATAGTTGTAGCAAGCTCTTAAAGCAAAGGTAAAGATGTTGAAAATATATTAAAACTTACTGTTGACTAAACTAGGAATCTGTGGATATATGTGCATATATTTATATGCATATCCTATCCAAATGTATAAAGGTCTTAATGGTTTACTTCTTAGATTAAAAAATTCTTAGGCTGGGCATGGTAATACGCCTGTAATCCCAGCATTCTGGGAGGCCAGGGTGGGAGGATTTCTTTGAGGCCAGGACTTTGACAGCAGCCTGGGCAACATAGCAAGACCCCATCATTACAAAAAAATTTAAAAACTAGCCAGGTGAAGTAGCACTCATCTATAGCCCCAGCTGCTAGGAAGGCTGAGGCAGGAGGATCACTTGAGCCCAGGAGATCAAGGCTGTAGTGAGCTGTGATCACACCAATGCACTCCAGCCTGGGCAACAGAGAAAGACCATATCTCCCCTGCCAAAAAAAAAATTTCTTCTAAATTTTGACATTTAAAAAAAATTTTAATTTTAGTTACATTTCTTTCTTTCTTTTTTTTTTTTTTTTTGATACCAAGTCTCACTCTGTCACCCAGGCTGAAGTGCAGTGGCATGATCTCGGCTCACTGCAACCTCTGCTTCTCAGGTTCAAGTGATTCTCCTGCCTCAGCCTCCTGAGTAGCTGGGACTACAGGCACGCGCCACCGCACCTGGCTAATTTTTTTTGTATTTTTAGTAGAGACGGGGTTTCACCATGTTGGTCAGGGTGGTCTCAAACTCCTGACCTCAAATGATCCACGCACTTCGGCCTCCCAAAGTGTTGGGATTACAGGCATGAGCCACTGCGCCTGGCCAACATTTTATTTTTAAAGGAAATACTTTTTCACTAGACTTGTGTACAATTGCAACAACAAAGTCATCTTAGAAGGAGAACCCATGAACTGTGAAATTTAGGCCCACTGAGCACTTATGAAGCATCGACTACTTGTTACCCACTGCTCCGGGTACTATCACTGCTGAGAGGGGAGGTGCTCTGGGGTTAAAAGGACTGAATTACCCAAGCTTTGTCACACAGGGGTTGTGAAACAATCATGTATCTTTTCTTTTAAATCCTTAGTTTTCACACCTATACCTCATATTTTTTTTTGAAGATGGCATCCAACAAAATAGGTACTTAAACTATTTAGCAGCATGCTTGGCTGCATTCGGTTCATAAATACTCATTCCTCTGTTTTTCAAAAGTCTCATAATTCAAGTACTTTGCCCAAAGTCCTCAAACTCAGCAGCTGTGCTGCTTCCCTTTCCTCCAACTTTCGCAAATTTCATCTGTTCTATGGCATCTACTATCGAACATCAGAAAGAAGAGGCAGAACTTAACAGTTAGGAAACAGACTTCCTCTACTGTAATATGAAAGTCCTCTTCTAGATTTTTAGCACTCCTTACAAGCTTTGGCCTTTGTAAAAGGATGTTATGTAAAACAAACAAACAAACAAACAAAAACAAAAAAAACTGTGCTTTGCCTTTGGAACCTACTTCCCTGGACATACGCTCTGAGTACAGAAAGAAGAGGCTTTAGCAACCAGAAAATTAGGAATAGCATGTATGAAATTAGACATGGAACCTTGCAACTTTGAGACAGGCACAGAAAGGAACATGGGCTGACAAGAGATGGATGATCTAAGGTCGCCTTTCCCTTGGGAGTGCTCCCTGATAATGGCTGTGGCTACTATGTGATATCAGCAACCCCAGGGCAGTGACCCCTTTCCATTCTATACCCCAAGCATGGGAAACAGTTTCAAAAGGGTAGGCTATTTTTGCTAGCAAAGTTTGTATGGTTCTGTGCTACATGGGCATATCAACATAAATTCACTAGAGGTCCTCTCCTTTGATGATAATAATGATTATAATAATAATACTATGCTCACAGTATTTTTAAAGTACAAATGGCTTATTATAACATATAGCAACTAGTTTACAGTCCCACCAACAGTGTAAAAGTGTTCCTATTTCTCCACATCCTCTCCAGCACCTGTTGTTTCCTGACTTTTTAATGATTGCCATTCTAACTGGTGTGAGATGGTATCTCATTGTGGTTTTGATTTGCATTTCTCTGATGGCCAGTGATGATGAGCATTTTTTCATGTGTCTTTTGGCTGCATAAATGTCTTCTTTTAGGAAGTCAAGGTGGTGATTCCTCAGGGATCTAGAACTAGAAATACCATTTGACCCAGCCATCCCATTTCTGGGTATATACCCAAAGGACTATAAATCACGCTGCTATAAAGACACATGCACACGTATGTTTATTGTGGCATTATTCACAATAGCAAAGACTTGGAACCAACCCAAATATCCAACAATGATAGACTGGATTAAGAAAATGTGGCACATATACACCATGGAATACTATGTAGCCATAAAAAATGATGAGTTCATGTCCTTTGTAGGGACATGGATGAAATTGGAAATCATTCTCAGTAAACTATCGCAAGGACAAAAAACCAAACACTGCATGTTCTCACTCATAGATGGGAATTGAACAATGAGAACACATGGACACAGGAAGGGGAACATCACACTCTGGGGACTGTTGTGGGGTCGGAGGAGGGGGAGGGATAGCATTAGGAGATATACCTAATGCTAAACGACGAGTTAATGGGTGCAGCACACCAGCATGGCACATGTATACATATGTAACTAACCTGCACATTGTGCACATGTACCCTAAAACTTAAAGTATAATAATAATAAAAAAAAGAAAAAAAATATGTCACCTGTAAAAAAAAAATGTATAGTAAATATTTGCTTGTGTATATTCTTCTCTCAATTTTGCACATCCCTAATGCCTACTATCCTGAGTCTTAATGGATGCTTATTACAATTTAATACAATAATACAACAATAAACATGATAATAATAATAATTAACACAGCCTTTGAAGTGTCCTCTGTGGGCCCCAACATTCTGATGTCCAAGTACTGGATGATGGCAGAAGGGCAAGATGTTTTTGAATGAAAGAAATGGAAAGTATCACTTTAACAAAGAGAAAAAAAAAAGGAAAAAGCACCAAAAAAGAAAGAAAGGCATGCTCATTTGGCAGTCAAGGAACACAGTCCTTTTAAAAAGCAATCCTCTGCCAAGTTTTTGGCTTCTGTTTGTTGTTGTTTTAAAGGTAAACACAATTAAGAAAGAAAATAGCAAGTTGTTAAAAGCACAGCTGAATATTTATGTTTTCCTTCTGAGACTTCTGGGCCTATTTCTGGGGATCTTTCTTCGCTACTGAACATCAAAACTCAAACCACCACAAAAATAACTCTTCCGCACCATTTTGCCTTGGAAAAGTGGTAAGTTTCATTTTCCCGTCCCTTTTAGATTGCGTTATAATTTCTCAAAGTGAACATCAACGTTATAATTTTCTCTTCCATTTCACAAAACACACACTTTTGTGTTCTGAAAATTCCATGTTATCAAGCCTTAGCAGGCAGTAGGGTAGAGCTATCTGATCTCATCTTAATTGCTTTAGCCTAGATAAGTAACTATACTGATGATAAGACCCCCAAATGAGTTAATAATCATTAGGGCTTATTCTTTTCTGAACTCTTTGAATTTGTTTTGCCAGAGAGGCAACTTCAGCTCTTGCCTGCGTGTTTGTGGGAACTCCCCAACAATCTCTTAGTCCATTGCAAGTCTGCTAATTCATTCAACTCTCGTTCTTTTTTTTTTTTTTTAACACCTGTGTGGAGACATAGCTACAGTTAATTCCAATAAAGTAAGTGTCTGAATCAAAACTTACTGTACGTGAACACTCATTTCAAACTGTGGACATTATGATGGGATGAAGAAAACAACAGAGAGGAGAGTTAGTGAACAGCATCTCAGCTCTGTTGTGAATGCCACTCAAGCTTGCTTGTTATGAAGTCCCTTCTGGCTGCCTCCAGGTGATAGTCCCTCCCATCCATGGAAAAAGGTCTCTCTGAAAGATATTGCAGCTTGCATATTTAATTGCTCATCACAGACTACCTTTTTTCATCTTCTTATGATTGGAAAACCTTCTGGGACACCTGGGAGATTGTTTGGAGAAGTACTTCCCATCCCTCTGAATATTGGTATTTTGAAGCATGATGATAATTCCTCAGAATACAAAATGCTTAAAGAGCGATGTTGTAGCAGGAATACTGGGAGGCAGGAAAGTCTGAGGCCTCCTCAGGTGGTTGCTTTCCCATGGCGAAGCAAATATCCACATAAAACAAGCTGAGGCTGTATTTACAAGCATAGCATGGGTGGGCACGTGGGTACTTTCTCGTTCTCACATGCAACATACCAGAGACATGCAAATGTGCCGTGTGTACACTGTCCAGTGATGGCTTCAACACTCTCCACATCAGTCTCCTCATCTCCGTGTTTCCCTGGCCACCGCTCTGCCTTTCACTCTGTGCTGTGCTCATGTCTCTCCCCAGATGGAAATGTTCAATGATTTTGTGCTGTGTAGGATCAACTTCAAAGCCCATCACTGAAAGTGTTCCTTAATATGGGGTTAACAGCCTGGAGTAGACAGAATAATGCCTGTACAGATGTCCACACCTATCTTAATCCCTGAAACCTGGGAATATGTTATCTTACATGGCAAGAGGGATTTTGCAGCTGTGATGAAGTTAATTACAACATAAGGAGAAGATCCTGGTGGGCCCAGTGTAATCACAAAGGTCCTTACAGAGGAAGGCAGGCGAGTAGGAGTCAGAGAGGAGATGTGATGACGTAGACAGAGGTTGGAGCAATGTGCTTTGAAGATGGAGGAAGGGGACACAAGCCAAAGAATGCAGGTGGTCTCTAGAAGCTGGAAAGGCAGGAAACAGATTCTCCCCTACAGTCTCCAGAAGACATACAGCTCTGCAACACCTTGATTTTAACCTGTACAACCCATTTTGGACTTCTGACCTATGGAACTGCTGTATAATAAACTTGTGCCATCTTAAGCTGTTAAGTTTGCAGTCATTTGTTACAGCAGCAATAGGAAACAATAGGAAACTCATCTTCTACCTGTCTCTCCTCATCTCCCTGAAGCCTCAGGTAAAGCCATGCTTGTTCACCCAGGGTGTTTTACAGAGCCTGACTCTGCAGCTTTTATTCATCCTGAAGTCACTTCTGTTTTCTCTGAACATCTCTAGGAATTATTCTGAGACTACCTTAGATGTCCTCTTACTCATAGGCAGTATTATAACATTTCTACTATTACTTTAAGCTAAATTTAATTTTTTGTGACTATTTTAGTTTTCTCCTTTAACTAAATTTTAACTTCTCTGGGGATGGGGCTTATGTCATATTATTTTCTTGTTTTACCCAGGATCCCTAGCATGATATCATGCACAAAGAAAGCATTAAATTGGTATTTATAAGTTTGGTTTTTGTAAACTGAGACATATTATGTAATGCCATAAGGGGATTTATTATAAAATGCTCAAGTAGACTCTCTTTTTAACTGCTTCATAGAATTAAAACTGGCAGATTTTCATAGAGACTCTAATTTTTTGAATTAGCATCATAGAATGACTCTATAGGACTGTGATTACTGATCAATAATAGAAAATTAGGAAATAGAAAACAAATTATAAAGATGATAGGAAGGAAATGGTAGGAGAACTAGAGAAGGCACTAAAATTCTCAAAGACACTTTCCCAGGTAAATCATGACATGCCTTAGTGCAGATGTAACACACAAAATGGACTGATTTAGCCTTTAAACTTTAGAACTTATATTGAGGCATTTATGTGGCCTCCAAGCTCCTGTTCAATGCCAGGTAGTGAGGGTGTTTCCCAGTAAGGTTATAGGGGAGAGTGTCATAGACTCCCATTAGTTTTTCCACCAAGAAGCTCTCCAGTGATGAGTTAAAATCCACAGATGATAATCTTCCCTAAAGGATCATAGTAAAATATTATAGGATCTGCCTGTATCACGGGCCTGTACATCAGCAGTTAAAAGCCAGGCTCATAATCAACTGCCTAAATGGAAATCCTAACTCCATTTCTTAGTGGTTGAGTAAGCTTTCAAGTCTCTCTGGTCTCAGTACTTCAGCTCTGCAATGGGGATATTATAAATACCTCTTTCACTCACCTATGGTAAGGACGGAATGAGATGCAGTAGTTTCCCCCTATCCATGAAAGATATGTTCCAAGACTCCCAGTGGATGCCTGAAATCATGGATAGTACCAAATCCTATGCAACATAAACTATGTTTTCTTTTATTCATACATACCTATGATAAAGTTTAATTTATAAATTACAAACAGTAAGAGACAAACAACAATATAATATACTCTAATAAATGTTATATGAATGTGGTCTCTCTCTCTCTCTCAAAATATCTTACTGTATGGTACCTTGCGTAACTGAAAGAATGGAAAGAGAAACTGCAAAAAGTGATTTTGAATACCAAATCACCGGGGGGACAAGGGGACTGTCATGTATGTAGAGTGCTCAGCGGAATGTCTGGAACATAATATGTCCTTATGAAAGATAAATTGCAGTTACTGTTATCTCTGAAAATCTTTTTGGGTCATTTTTGTAATCTTTTGAAACACAAACCAGTTGAGCCTGTTTCTAGATGAATGGAGAAGAAAGAGCTGCTCCATAGGAAGAAAAGGCACAGAGAAAAGGAGAATTAAGTGGTAGGATGAAGACCAGTGTTTAAACAGTAGACCTCAAGGCAAGGTAAGCTCTAGCAAATGTTTCCAAATCAATCCACCGTTATCATTAGCATTTCTGTATTTGTATGCACTGCTAGTGAAAACAACTGGGAAGGATAAAAGAGTCATCTTTTCTGGCAACTGGCTGGAAGCCAAGCACCTTACAGGCTGCACAACTTCAACAGCATTATCATAACCACAGAATAAGGAAGACATCATTTCTCCCATTTTACAGCTTCAGAAATGTGGTTCAGTAAAAGCAGCTAGACACACCAAACAATACATACCATTTTATTCCATACAAATATAGTTTTTAAAGAGGGGGTGCAACATCAAATTTTAATGTTAGAATTCAAGAGAGTGGCTAATCTGGAGAGGAGAGAGGACTAGAGATTGGAGGGGCCCAAGAGGAGATTTTGAGGGGCTGGCAATTGTCCATGTCTTGGCTTGGGTGGTGGCAACACAGACTTGTTTGGTGATAACACTTCGAGGTATGCATTGATATTTTGTGCGCTTTTTGCAAGTGTGCTGTATTTTGACTAAAATGTTTACAAAAATGAGGCTTGGAAGGAGTAAATAACCTGTTCAAGTTCACGCTGGAAACCTCCAGAAGAGTATGTATTCATACTCATGTTCCTCAGACTGGGCACCAAAATCTACAGTCTTTGCCAAGCTCTGCTATCTTGAAAGTGGGTGAATAAACAAATGCATCTCCTGCATCAACAGTAGCCTAAGCTTTGGTCTAGAAAACTTCTCTCTGGGGTCAGAAAGAAATCTTTTAAAGCAAGACTTTAAAATTAAAACTAATAAAGGCCAATTATAATATTAAAGATTCTACCACCTTTATATTTTTCTCTTACAAAATGTGTTTTCTCTGGTGGTTTCTTCTTTTGGCTAGGGAGGTTTCTAACCTCAGTTTTAAATTTCATAGAGTTTTCTTGGCAAATCAGTGACTACAGATCAATTTAATGAGTGATTTCTCAAAGGAAAGTTCAAATTTCATCTAGAACTGCTATTCTGAAGTAGCATACGCTGCCTGGGTATTTGTCAGCATTATTTTTATTCTTATTATTTATCCCAATTATGATTAAGATATATTTTCTACTTATTGTCTGTCTTTCCTAAATTAGATCATAAACTCCAAAAGGGCAAGGACCAAGCTTTTTTATTTTACAGTATATAACCCATGCCTACAATAAGCTCAAAGCTGAGGTTTTAGGTGAATGAATGGATACTTAAGTTAATGAGTTAATTAACAGAGAGGTAACAGAAGAACCAGAGCTTAAAAACTATGAGACATTTTGGTAAGTGGCAGAAATGTGTTACTGAAGTGAAGGCAACAATCTCAGTATCATTGCTGTTTTTTACTTGTGGTTCCTCATTCTGTTTCATTTCCCTAGATAACTGGTTGGGACAGCAAGCATTCACTGAGAAGTAACTAATTTCTAGGCTCTGTCAAAAGGCCAGGAAGAATCTACAATCCCCGTGGTTGAGGAACTCACAGAGAAATTTCCAGTTGTATTCTGAGCTGATGTGAATTATTATAAATAACAAGTTTCAAGCAGAGCCTTAGGTGTGACTCCTGTCCTTGACTGATTTTCATAAATCACAATCTGTATATGAATAATAGATATTTTCATTAACCACAGGGTTTCAAATAAATCACCTTTTGCTTTCCAAAGATTCTGCTTAGGTGTCTAGTTCTATTTCAGCAATCAGAAGAATTTTCTAAATCTGACCTTTTCTGACTCTTTTCTGTTATATGGGACAATAAAAGTTGAGATCAGTCTGTATTTCTCTGCCTCATTTTAATTTTCTTTGTATAATATAATGTGCACCATATTTAGCTTGTGGTTGTTTTTAATTTAGTACAGTAAGCCAGTATCTGAACAGAATCTCATTGTTATCTACATTCTGTTGTTCCTAATCTTATCATGCCCTAGTTCTCTAACTCACTCACTCTCCCCCATCTGACTTCTAGCTTCTCCCAGAATAGCTACAGTGTCATGCTCTCAAATTATCCTTTTTTTTATTTATTTTTTTTAAATTCACAGTAAAAGCAACTCATGGGCATTTTCCTTTGGCACATAAAATAGTTCCATTGGTGCATCAGTCAGAAGGCCAAAAGATTCCTTGCTTTCAAGAATAGCACTGAACATATTTATGGCATTTTAAACTCAGTAATTATTGTACTTTGATTTTACAACTTCAAAAAAGGTGGTCCCAGTAATAAGTAATGTGCTAAGTTTAAATTAGAACTGTTGCATTTTATCCCCCCCTTTTTGAACAAAAATGATTTTGAAGACCAAATCACAGATTTCAGTGTAGTCAGGAAGTACTAAAATTTTATAACAATCAAGTGACACAGAGAAAAGAGTCATTAGTTTTGTGACTGTATTTTAAAAAGAAGACATCAAAAACCTCTTCTGCATTTATTGAGACAACCATGTGGTTTTTGTCTTTAGTTCTGTTTATGTGAGGAATCACATTTATTGATTTGTGTATGTTGAACCAACCTTGCATCCCAGGGATAAGGCCTACTTGATCGTTGTGGATAAGCTTTTTGATATGCTGCTGGATTCTATTTGCCAGTATTTTGTTGAGGGTTTTTGCATCATTGTTCAATATCCTATGAGGCCAAGGATATTGGCCTGAGGTTTTCTTTTTTCATTGTATCTCTGCCAGGTTTTGGTATCAGGATGATGCTGGACTCATAAAGTGGGTTGCGGACAAGTCTGTCCTCCTCATTTTCTTAGGATAGTACCAGTAGGAATGGCAACAAAAGCAAAAATTGACAAATGGGATCTCTTTAAACTAAAGAGCTTCTATACGGTAAACAAAACTATCAACAGAGTAAACAGACGCTACAGAATGGGAGAAAACTTTTGAAAACTATGCATCTGACAAAGGTCTAATATCCAGCATCTAAAAAAACAAACAAATTTACAAAAAAAAAAAACCACAAAGAAACAACCCCATTAAGAAGTGGGCAAATAGCATGAACAGATAATTTCCAAAAGACGACATACATGTGGCCAACAAGCATATGAAAAAAAGCTCAACATTACTGATTAGAGAAATGCAAATCAAAACCACAATGAGATACCATCTCACACCAGTCAGAATGGCTATTATTAAAAAATCAAGAAATAACAGGTGCTGGCAAGGTTACAGAGAAAAGGGAGCACTGTTACACCATTGGTGGGAGTGTAAATTCATTCAACCATTGTGGAAAGCAGTGTGGCAATTCCTCAAAGACTTAGAAACAGAATTACCATTTGACCAGCATTCCATTACTGGGTATTTATCCAAAGGAATATAAATCATTCCATCATAAAGACACATGCATGCTTATGTTCATTGCAGTGCTATTCACAAAAGCAAAGATGTGGAATCAACTTAAATGCCCATAAATGGTCGACTAGATAAATAAAATGTGGTACATATACACCATGGAATACTATGCAGCCATAAAAAAGAATGAGATCATATTCTTTGTAGAAACATGGATGGAGCTGGAGGCCATTATCCTTAGCAAACTAACAAAGGAATAGAAAACCAAACACCGCGTGTTCTCACTTATAAGTGGGAGCTAAATGATGAGAACAAATGGACATATAGAGGGGAACACCACACATTGGGGTTTATTGGAGGGTGGGAGGAGGGAAAGGATCAGGAAAAATATCTTATGGGTACTCAGCTTAATACCTGGGTGATAAAATAATCTGTACAACAAATCTCCACATCAAAGGTTTACCATATAACAAACCTGCACATGTATCCCTGAACTTCAAATAAGAGTTTAAAAATGATATTTTAAAAGTTTAAATGTAAATCCCTGTCCAAGTTCAGAAGATTTAAATTTAATATACTTAATATATAAATGAAATGTTTGTAATTGTGAACTTAGAATTGGGTAACAAAGCAAAAACAAAACACAACAAAAACAATAACAGAAAAGAAGCAGTTTTCCCTTGTGAAATTCTTCTGGAACTTCTGGAACTCTAATGAGGAAATGCTACCTTTTCTTTTAAAACTGTGGTTTTCTCACAAATTTCATTCTAATGCTATTCAACTCTACCAAATGTGGAACATTTTAATTCTGCATAATTCCAGTTTCTTAGAGACGACTCTAAAGTCCCAGTTCCTTGGGGACAGTCAGTGCTAAGAAAGATCAGAGAACAGAGGAATCCCTGTGGGCAGGAGGGGAGGGAAGGTTGGAAAGATTTTGTGAAAAAGGGAAATCTTGACTGGGACTTGAGTGGGTTGAATTTGGATGGTAAGACATAAACTCTAAATATGTTTTTTTTTAAATTTTTTAAAAATATAAGCAGAAAAAGCCCATGCATACAGTGAGAGATAAAGTTAGATACATTTTCTGATCCAAAGAAATTCTGTGTTTACTTTGTGAACTTATACTACAGATAGTTGCATAAAATAATATGAATCACCATGTCACTTTATGCAAGTACACAAAGAACTTTTCATGTCTATTAGCATTCTCAAAGTGTGTCCCATGGAACACATAAGATGTTAATAGATGATCTCTGAATAAAGGGCTTCTGTGATCAAATTATTTGGGACCCCTCTCCTCTGAGTAAAACAAGACTCAACAATTTCTTTTTAGCCTTCCATAATTCTTAGCATCATTATGATGTGAATATTTATTGAGAAACTCTAAGAGGGTGATTTATATAGGGTTTTGAAAATTTACCTTATCATAAAACCTTTCTCTTGGGATATTTCAAGGGTTTAATGGTCCCCACAATACACTGTGGATAAAGCTAATTCATACTATCTCATGTGACCTCCATAGAAACGAAGCTGGAATTATTATCTCCATTTTATAGATGAGAATTGTGAGACTGATATGTCCTTTA
Organism: Homo sapiens; assembly: GCF_000001405.40. NCBI lineage: Eukaryota > Metazoa > Chordata > Mammalia > Primates > Hominidae > Homo > Homo sapiens. Next base: position 70,967,971 of record NC_000009.12, read on the forward strand.
GGGCCCTGCTCAAGTCACATCTCTTTTATGAAATTTCTCCAGGCCATCCAAGTCCTGGGTCCTTGCATTCATTTTAATAATGGTCATATTTACTCTTTATCCTTTTTCCATAAGAAATTGCATTGCTTACCTCTTTCCCTGAGTATCCTGTCTTCTCACTAAGGTGCTCTTTAAGAACTAGTATTGTGTATTGCATACTATGCAACCCTCATTGAGCCATATAATAGGTATACAATGTGCTTATATTGATAAATTAAGGGCTTCTTTACAGAAAGCAAAAACACTTAAAGATTAATGTCACTCAAGATATGTCCCTACAATGGGCAGGGCTCTGTGTTGGTTTTTCATCCCATTTTGGCAATGAATAGGTACTGAAGACTCTCCCGGAACAGACTGCATCAAATGGTGATTGTTATACACTCAAGTGGATTCCTTCCTTCCTTTATCATGCAATCAGTGCAGATTCTCAGTTCATATCTGTCCCTGGAGTCTTACTCCACCAGCTTGTATGAATCTGAGAGCCCCTCTTATGCTGGGATTCAGTTCTATTCCAAGGGTTCATATTGCACATTGTATTGCTCCAGATCACTCTGACTTTTAAAAGTGATCCAGGTCACCAGTGTAGCAAATATTAAATACTGTCTGTGAAATTGTTGTACTGGCTTCAGAGAAAAGGAGAAGAAAATGAACATTGTGGGATGGTTTTTTTTGTGTTTATGTGTCGGGGCTGTGATAAGTTCTTCGCATATATTTTCTCATTTGATGCTTACAACAATTATATAAGGTAGATAGTATTCTATTTTATAGATAAACGGTGTTGGGAAAACTGGCTAGCCATATGCAGAAAGCTGAAACTGGACCCCTCCCTTACACCTTATACAAAAATCAACTCAAGATGGATTAAAGACTTAAACATAAGACCTAAAACCATAAAAATCCTAGAAGAAAATCTAGGCAATACCATTCAGGACATAGGCATGAGCAAAGACTTCATGTCTAAAACACTAAGAGCAATGGCAACAAAAGCCAAAATTGACAAATAGGATCTAAATAAACTAAAGAGCTTCTGCACAGCAAAAGAAACTATCATCGGACTGATGAGGCAATCTACAGAATGGGGGAAAATTTTTGCAATCTATCCATCTGACAAAGGACTAATATCCAGAATCTACCAACTATCATTCTCAGCAAACAATTACAAGAACAGAAAACCAAACACCGCATGTTCTCACTCATAAATGGGAGTTGAGCAATAAGAATACATGGACACAGGGAGGGGAACATCACACACCAGGGCCTCTCAGGGGGTGGGGGGCTAGGGGAGGGATAGCATTAGGAGAAATACCTAATGCAGGTGACAGGTTGATGGGTACAGCAAACCACCATGTCACGTGTACACCTACATAATGAAACTGCACATTTGACACAGGTACCCCAGCCCTTAAAGTTAAAAATAATAAGACATTATGTAAAAACTAAGGAAATCTGAATAAAATATGAATGTTGTTAAATAATAATGTGTTGGTCATGAATAGCCAATACTATTAATATTAATTATTAATAAACAATGTTAATGAATAAGAAATGTAATCTCAAAGAGTTTAACTTCTTAGGCTTTATAGTGAAATAGTTGAATTTCATGAATTCTGCAGATAGAATATTGTGTTGAAATCTCCTGCCTCTTATAAATTGTGTGATTTAACCACTTTCTGTCTCAGTTTCCTCATCTGTAAATAGCATAATAATCCTACACACCTGCAGGATTGTTGTGAAGACTGAATGATTTTATATATATATATATATATATATACACACACACACTAAGAAATTATATAATTATGTGTATGTTATATATATATTTAAGAATAGTGCTTGATACATACTGAATGGTAACTCTTATTACCACTACTATCATTACTATTCCCAGGTCATACAGTCAGTATGTGGTAAAGCTTAGATTTGAAACCAGGTCTATAGGTCTCGACACTATACAGCAAAATCAGTATCCATGTGGACAGTGACAAAAGCAGGGTATCAATTAAAGAGGAATCATAAGCAGCAGAAAGAACAAGAACTTTATCATCAGACAGAGTTGTGTCTGAATCCCAATGCAACAAATTATTTACTGTATAACTTGTATAAATTAGCTAACCTCTCCAAACCTCAATTTTTTTGTTTATATGGGGATGTTAGAACCTCTACTTCAAGGTTATGAATTTTAGAGTTAATGTATGTAAAATATTCCCACCAGAGTGACTCTAACAAAATGAAAACCTTTATAATGAAAATAAATGATGCCCCTTAGGGTCATTCTGACAAGGAGGTTGGGTAAATCAAGAGGATTTTCCATTAGACCGCACCTGCATCAGAGTCCCTTTAAAGTCATTCAAAAACAAAAAGCAAATTAAGACTAATTCCTCAATTAAATCCGTACAAAGGTTGTCAGTCACTCCTTCTGGAACCCTGTGCTCATTTATTATCATTCAAGATATTCCAAGGACAGACTTGGTACAGCGATGGGCCTTCCGTGGGGAGTAGCTATTTTCCTAATGTTGTTTTTATCTACTGTCTTCTTTCCTGCTACTCTCCTCTCTGTGGTGGTTTCTTTTTCTTTCTGGAGCTTCACATCAATGTCCTGAATAACATTTGCCCATTATCTTGTGTTTCAACTATATTTACTGCAATAAACTGTAAAAGACTGAAGTTGAAATGAAAGCTGGTGATGAGGCCAAAGTGAATGCTTCTAAGCAGGGAAGCTTCTCTGTGCGTTGTGTTGACCACTGACCTAATAACCAGCTGGAAAGAAGACTGGCACTTGGGAAACATCATTTTCATCCTCATTAACCTTGCTGAGTGGTCTCCCCAAAAGAGAATGTTTGAAGAATGGCTTATCACCTATACATTTTTTCATTTGAAAGATACAGGTCCATGATATGACATTCAGAATGAACAAGTAAAAAACCCAAACTGAAAGAAAATAGAAAATTTTTTGCCTAACTCGTCTGGCAACCAATCCAAGCCTAAACTGGTGTAAAGCTATTTAGATTTCTTATCCCACTCGCTGTTATACACAATTAATGCTGTGTATGATTATGGGATGCTGCCTTAGACTCTACTAGGGTGCTATGTAATGTATGTTACATCTGTTGTATCACTTTTCTAAAATCTGAAAAACACTGAATTATAAAATGCCGACTGTAAAGGATTATGGATCTGTATAATAAAAAATCCAAAGTTTTGTATACTTAACCACTGGTTTCTTTTCCCCTTCTACTGAGTAATCTTCACCCTGCCCTCACACTGAGCTAACCTATAAGACACTTTCTGCTCCCTCAGCCACTCGCAGCATATTGAAATAGCTGACACCCATCAACATAAACGTTTTTTTCTTGCCCTTTTTAATGCCTTTCATTTATCCCCTTGGTGATCCTTATTTTTTCACTGCTCAGGTAGCTAGGCTCTCTATTCACCGCTAGGAACACTCTCTACCCACTACCCCATCAAAACTTGTTGAGAACAATGGCATGAAAAATGGCACCCGAATCCCTATTAGGGATGAATTGTCTTTCAGGGGGGAAATGAATTCTTGTGAAGAAGAAAGTGAGAAGCCCTAAAAATATGAGTATTAGTAAAAACTCAAGAAAGAAAATAAGAAAGTTAAGCTGTGCTCTATGAAAAAATGAGATAAATTTGTATTTTGGTTCTTAGGAACCAAAGAACCCCATTCTAGAGGGAAGAATGGGGAACATATAGGACTGAGAAGAGGTAAGGAACCATTTGGGAAGTAGATTGTACTGGGGACACTTCCAGTGAAATATTACAAAGACCTAAAGCAAATATACAAATGGACAATAAGCACAGGAAACAATGCTCAATATCATTAGTCATTAGGGAAGTGCAAATCAAAACCACAATGAGATACAACTTCACACCAACCAGGATGACTGTAATGAAAAAGATAACACTAACAATAGATGGTGAGGATATGGAGACACTGCAACCTTCAAACACTGTTAGTGGGAATACATAATGGTTTAGCTGCTTTGGAGAACAGTCTAGCAGTTCCTCAAAATGTTAACCAGAGTTATATGACCTGGCAATTCTTTTCCGAGGCATATATCTAAAAGAACTGAAAACATATTTTCATGTCTAAACTTGTACATAGATATTCATAGCCGCATCATTCATAATAAAAAATGCAAACTATCCAAATGTCTGTCACTTGATATGGTATACAATACAACGAAATATTATTCAGCCATAAAAAGGAATACAATTGTGATTCATCCTGCAACATGGATGAGCCTTGAAAACATTATGCTAAGTGAAACATTATGCTAAGTGAAAGAGCGTAATGTTTTCAAGATTCATCTATGTTGTCAGATAAATCACAATTTTATACACAAAAGGCCACATAGAGTAAGACTCCACTTACATTAAATGTTCACAATAGGCAAATCTAGATATAGAAAGTAGATTAGTGTTTGCCAGGGACTGGGATGAGCGGAAATGGGGAATGACTGCTAATGGGTAAAGAGTTTCTTTTTGAAAGAATGAAAGTGTTCTGGAATTCGAGAGTGATGAGGGATGCACAACTTGTAGTCTACTAAAATCCACTAAATTATACACCCTAGAAACTTTATGGTATGTAAATTATAACTCAAAAAAGTTCTTCTTTTACTTTAAAAAAAGGAGTAACAGTGCTTCAGGACTTTTTTAAGATCTTGAATAAGTCTTCGGACTTGAATCAGTGTAGATGTTACTTTTCTATGTCTCAGTGGACAAAGAGAATCCAGGCTGGTAATACTTGTAAGGCTTTGTTCAGTAAGAATTATTCAGGTTAGTGCCCACTTTGATCCACCAATATTTATTATTTTCTGGGGATGTTGGTATATCTAAAGGATCAGAAGCATGGATTGACATTACCCACAATTTCTGCCTTCCCATGTTCTGACTTTGGAATCTAACCCCTACATAAGACACACCTTATTATTCATATATGATATCTGTATAATGCCTTTGACTTTTAAGGCATTGTGACACTCATACTTTCAACAATTATTAATATTTCCAATATAAAGATGAAACAGGTGAGACAAAATAAGATTTTAAGTGACACAGATAGGAGGCAGGCCCTGGAATTTGTTTCTGCTGAATTGTAGTCCTGTCCTCTTTAATGCTTACCATGTACAATCATTTATTCCACTGACTTTCTTATCACAATAATTACAGGTTGTGGGTGGTTAATATTAGTAGGGGACTCTTTTTATCAGTCTACATTATCATACTGACAAGGCCACTGCTTATCCTGCTTCCTTTAGCTGAGCTAGCCTGAATTTAAGAAGCTCTCATTCACTTGTGACTGCATTTAATTTCTAGTAAAAATGACTCATGTAAGTATATTAATTCTTATGAAGTCTTCCTATTGGTTTGTATATGAGATTTCAAATCTTATCAACTATACCAATATAGGAAAGTTAGGCCATTAATATCCTACACTTTATGAGACATTTGCTTTTTTTTCTGAGTTTGTCTAGGTATCTAAATCATTCTCACTAAACCCAAATGTACAGCATCCTTAAGTTAAAAAATGAAAAAGATGACTCATGGGAGCTGATTGTTAGGATCTCTTCCCAACTCCATGTTGTGGCATCATGTCAGTAGTATCAAATCAGCTATTTACTCCAAAGAAATTGGCAAATGCTACAAATCATCATCTTCATTCCCTCCTCTGACCTGGCTATTAAACATCACTCACCTAGAACTTTCATTGGAAAGAAATAAAAAATTCACACTAACATCAATGGAAAGGGACTAAAAATTATAACAAAGATTATACAAAATACATTTTTAATAAAGTTCTGCAAATCACACAGCATAGAATTTGTCAGTTTCAAAGGCATGATACAACTTCTTACCAACAGACAGAGGGTATTCTAAAGCAATGGATGTCTAAAAGGACAATCTTCCTAATAAATTAAATGAGTTGCTATTTATAAAATGCCTGCACATAGTTAATTGTAGTATATGTATGCACTACATAAATGAAAAGGAATTATACTTACAAATGTTATTAACTACCTACTAACTAAAGAAACCAACAGGCTAATCCTGAAAAGTAATTCAGTCATTATAGTTTGAAGGAATTCTTTCTCTTTGTATAGCGTAGTAAACTTACTGAAGCATTATACCTGCTTTTTTTTCCCTTGATACAACAGTTTCCAGATATAAATGAGAAAGGTATTTTGTTTTTAAACAGAGGAGAAATGTGTTTAAATAATTTACGTGGCCGGGCGCGGTGGTTCACGCCTGTAATACCAACACGTTGGCAGGTCAAGGCGGGGGGATCACGAGGTCAGGAGATCGAGACCAGCCTGGCTAACACGGTGAAACCCCATCTCTACTAAAAATACCAAAAATTAGCCGCGCGTGGTGGCGGGCTCCTGTAGTACCAGCTACTCGGGAGGCTGAGGCAGGAGAATGGTGTGAACCCGGGAGGCGGAGCTTGCAGGGAGCCGAGAGCGCGCCACTGCACTCCAGCCTGGGCGACAGAGCGAGACTCCGTCTCAAAACAAACAAACAAACAAACAAACAAACAAATACAAAAAATTAGCTGGGCGTGGTGGCACATGCCTGTAGTCCTAGCTACTCAGGAGGATGAGGCGGGAGAATCGCTAGAACCCAGGAGGCGGGGTTTGCAGTGAGCCGAGATCACACGACTGCACTCCAGTCTGGGTGACAGAGTGAGACTCCATCTCAAAAATAATAATAATAATAAATAAAATAACTTATTCAAGGACAAAATTTAAGTAATTTACACAAAATTGGAGTTATTTACACAAAGACAACAATTCAATATTGATTACAGTTCCACAGGAGTGATGGAACATCAATTTTTTTTTTTTTTTTTTTTGAGGTAGAGTCTTGCTCTGTCACGCCCAGGCTGGAGTGCAGTGGCGTGATCTTGGCTCACTGCAACCTCCAACTCCTGGCTTTAAGCCATCCTCCTTCCTCAGTCTCCCAAGTAGCTGGGATTACAGGTGCCCATCACCACATCTGGCTAATTTTTTGTATTTTTAGTGGAGACAAGGTTTCAGCATGTTGGCAAGGCTAGTCTTGAACTCCTGACCTCAGGTGATCTGCCATCTCAGACTTTCAATGTGCCGGGATTTTAGGTGTGAGCCACCGCACCCCGCCTGGAACATCAGTTTCTTTGGGAAGCTAAAGACAATTTTAATGAAGGAGTTGTTGAACGGAGTCATTTTATAGTATCATGTTAGTCCTATCTTCAAATTATATCTTTAAGAGTAAAAAAATAAAAGGCTAATATAGGATTCTTCAAAGGAAAAGGAGCTTGTTACTTGTACCACAGCCATTTCAAGGAAATACGTAGTGGAAAATCATTTTGACCATCTCTAATGTTGTGAAGACCTCCATGTGACTCTTGAAAACAAATATAATACTGCCTAGGGCTGGCTTCAAGTCACACTATATTTTATTCATATCAGTAGAAAAATAGATGTTTATATGTACAGTTACCTAACACTCTGTAGCCACAATTTCTGAAGAAGTTTCTTAATTAGTTGCAATGGATAAAATCCATGCAAGCCCTTAAACCTTGGGAACCTCTCAGGGAAACCTCTATTAACTCACCACTTGCTAGAAGGCAGCTACAGCTCAAAGGTTAAAGATTTGCATTCTGAGGTGTTAGAGTCACCTAGGGGCTCACCCCAGCTAGCCCTTGTCCTATCTTGGCCAGCCTTCCTCTCAGTAGGCAGCATGGTATTATGGAAGGAACATACTCGTTGGAACCAGATAAGGTGGAATAAAATGTCAAGTCTGTCATCTATTAGCTGTGCAAACTTCGGCACATTACCTAACTCCTCAAAGCCCAGGTCCCTCATCTGTAAGAAGGTGGATAATATGCTCCTTGAATGGCTGCTGTGAGAATTCAATTAATTTACCCAAAGCGTCAAGCATAGTGGATACGGCACATTTTAATTCCCCTTCTTTCTATCCTTCCTCCCCCAGCCCCTATCTCCATTCCCAGCATGAGAGAATTCATGGGTAATCTCATTTAATTACATCTAGCACGTATTTTCAGTGCAATCACTTAGTGCAAATGAGTCTCTTCCCAGTGTGGTGAAGATTATCCATGGTGAGATTCCCTGGACAGTACGGGGAAGGAGAACACAGATATGCTCTCATTCCTGGTGCAGAACAACTCAGCATGACACATGGGTCAAGAAGGAGCAAGGTGGATTGAGCATCCTCTCATGAGCCAAAACCTCAGGAAATGAAGGATTTATTCACTGTGAAGGAAAACAGAACAGGGAAACTCAACTTCTCCTACCAGAAGGTCACACAGCTAGTGATTTTTTTACTCCATTCAACAACATCCACACATGGAAGGTGAGTGTTCCCTGGACACCAGGCTACTAGGCAGAATGTCCAAAGCATATGCCGGAGTAAAGAGATGCAAAAGAATCCTAGCCCATCTCAACTATAACGTCTAGACAGTAGAGGTGTTCTTAAAGTGTGGGCCCCAGCCCAGATCTACTGAATACATGGTTCCCAGAAATTTTTATGTACACTACAATTTAAGAACGTATTCTAAGTGTTTATGTCTTTAAAATGGCAGTATGATGCAGTGGTTAAAGGCCTGGAATCTGAGAGCCAGACCGCCTACAGGAAATGCCTGGCTCCCCATTTCAGTAGCTGTGCAATCTCGGGCAGGGTTAACATCTCTATGCCTCAATCCCCTCATCTGTTAAAATGTGCAAAATAATAGTCCCTATCTCACTGAATTATTGAGAAGGTTAAATGAAATAATTTACCAGCAAACTGACGTCTAGTGACTGCCTCAAAAGTGGTAGTTATTAATGGAGTCCTTGCCTGAGAACAAAGGACACCAGGTGCTGCCACTGATGGACAGTGGGCAGGTTTCTGAATGACCCCTTCGAGTCTCCATTTCCTCATTTGTGAATCACCACAGTGCTATTCCTCTCTCATTCTGGGGATTTTATTTTTAGGAGAGAAAGACACAGCAGAACTTTATGAAGGGTAAAAAATATTTAAGAAACATATGTGATACAAAGACTATAAACTATGTTTTTGCCATATGTTGGTGGGGAAAGGGGTGCATCAGTCTGAACTGTTTTTATTTATTTATTTTTTTTTTTGAGATGGAGTCTTGCTCTGTCACCCAGGCTGGAGTGCAGTGGCACGATCTCGGCTCACTGCCACCTCCGCCTCGCGGGTTCAAGTGATTCTCCTGCCTCAGCCTCCCAAGTAGCTGGGACTACAGGCTCGCGCCACCATGCCCGGCTAATTTTTTGTATTTTTAGTAGAGACGGGGTTTCACCGTGTTAGCCAGGATGGGCTCCATCTCCTGACCTCGTGATCCCCCGGCATTGGCCTCCCAAAGTGCTGGGATTACAGGCGTGAGCCACCACGCCTGGCCCAGTCTGAACTGTTCTTTACCCACACCACTTCTGACACCAAATAAGTGGTTTTTGTCCCACACCAACCAATTCTCCAACTCTCTGGATACCAACTGGGCATCCTGTAATTCCTTTCGATTCTGACACTATCTGAAGTTAGCACAGACCCCACACATTAAGGGCTCAGTCCCACAAGACTTCCTCCATTTCAGACACCAACAGTCAGTCTGGGTCAGTTTTATTTCTGAGTGACCAGCTGTAAAGTTGGGAACTCTCACAGCTTCTTCCTTAGGTTCAATAATTTGCCAGAACAGCTCATGGAACTCAGGAAGGCACCTTACTTCTTATTGCTGGTTTGTTAGAAAGAACACAACTCAGGAACAGCCAGATGGAAGTGATGTATAGGGCAAGGTACGTGGGAAGTGGCACAAAGCTTCCATGCACTTTCGAGGTGTGCCACCCTCCTGGCACTTTGTTGTATTTACCAACCCAGAAGCTCTCTGAATCTCATTTTTAGGGGCTTTATGAAAGCATGATTGGTTAAATCATTAGGTGTTTGTAATTAACTTAATCTCCAGCCCCTTTCCCCTCCCCAGAGGTTGAGGAGTGGGGCTGAAAGTCCCAACTCTCTAATCATGCCTCGGTCCTTCTGGTGACCAGCTCCTATCCTGAAGCTACCTAGGGGCCCTCTAACAGTGGCCTCATTAGGACGAGAGATGCTCCTGTCATCCAGGAAATTCCAAGGGTTTTAGAAGCTTTGTGTTAGGAACCAGGAACACCTGCCAAATACGTATTTCTTATAATTACATCTAGCCACTGCTAGCTGTAGCGCAGCTATGACTAACCTGCATATACAAAATGAAAAATGTTTTGATGCTTCTTAGGGCCATTGACTGCTTATATATTTATGTCCAGTGAGCAAAGCACATGCAATTCAGCCAGTTAAGTGTAAGAAAAACCAGCCCATGACTACTCCACTTGCCTTTAATACAGTATATTTTACTCTTTTCCAGTCAGCTAACATAACTCAGAAAAATCTCCTAGGGGTTTTTTTCTCTTCTCAAAACTTACGCTCTTTCTCTTCCAGCAACAATCCTAATTATTTAGTGCATCCACAACAGAGATGCTTTTAGTGCTTCAGAGATATCATCCATTGAAGTTATTTCCGATGCTTTCATTTGCCACATAAATTTCTGAAACACTGCCTCCATGAGGAAATGTACTGTTGTTCCCGTCATGGGGTAAGACATTTCGCTTGGTGTTAATGTGCCGTCGGCATAATTTAAATTGTTTCATAAAACACCAATGTATGAAATGGAAACACATTTGTTTTGTTGGCAGATGGCTGTTTTATGTGGGGAAGTGGGTCTCATGGCTACACACTCACTGATGCCCTGCCAGTGTCTTCAACAAAAAGCATCGAGCTTAGACACCACCTGTATTACAGGAAAATGAGCAAAATCACTTCAAACTATTCACACTGATACTTTTCCCACAAATGTTAGAGAGAAGCATGCTAAAAAGAGATTTTATTTGTTTCCCAGGGAAGAAAGGAAATCAGAAGATTGAGTGTTACTGCCCTGGAAGACATCTTGAGATGAGTCATCTCAAGGAAACACTTTTCTAGGGCAGGAACTAATTTTCAACAACTACAACTACTTTCAGGGTTCATTTGTGTACTGCTTCGTGATCCTAGTGACAGGTCAATTTATATACAAAGTCCCCGTTGGGCTAAAATGATTTGTCTTTTCCAGCCCATACCTTTTGATTGGTTCTCCTTATCCCGTTACAACTCTCCATTTGCCATTCCATTGCCCGTTAACCTACAGACCTGGCCAGACATGGGGCGCGGAGATTTCATTCATTCATTTATCAGATATTTATTGTTTGCCTATATGTGACACAGACATGGGAAAAGTGGATGATTCACTCATGCTAAGTACAAAGGTGAATATAATGCATTGTTAGATTTCTAATTTTCATTTGTCATTCTACTGCATTAGAGGAGGCAGAGGGGAACATGAAGGGGGGATCCAACTGTATACATAAAAGGAAAACACGCAGAAGTCATTTGTCACCCCCAAATTAAAAGAAACAGCAGAATTTACTGGTATTTATTAGATACTTGCCATACATAAATACTGTGCTCCTTGGTGTAAGTAATTTAAATTGACAATCCTTGCCTTGTGGGAGTTTTATTCTAACATAAGTGACCTAAATTCAACCAACACTCTTCACAACTGCAGCCACCCCCTACCCACACAAACTGTCATAGTCTGCTCAAGGCTGCCATAATAAAATATCAAAGATTGGGTGGCTTAAATAACAGAAATTTATTTTCTCACAGTTCTGGAGGCTGAAAAGTCCAAGATCGAAGTTCTGGTAGGGTTTTGTTTCTCATGGGGGCTTCTCTCCTTTGGCTTGCAGATGCCACCTTCTCACTGTGTCCTCACTTGGTGGGGAGGGGGAGAGGAAGGGGTAGGGACACAGTCCTATGGGATTAGGGCCCCATGCTTATGCTTATGACCTCATTAGCCTTAATGATCTCGTAAAGACCCTATTTCCAGCTGGCCACATTAGGGTCTAGGGCTTCAACACATGGATTTTGGCAGGACCCAATCAGTCCACAGCATGTGTGGCCATGCATGTGCGTGCACACACACACACACACACACACACACACGGAGTACACTAAGCCAAGAGCTAATGCTGTGGTGGGAGCCCTGGTTATGAAATATTTACATTGAGGATAACCTGAGTCAGGCGTTGTGGTGCCAACCGTCTGCTACCAGGAGGAGAGATCAGCAACACCTCTTTTCATTTAGCTAGAAAAGGCTGTCTAGAGGAATTGGGATTTCCAGAGATCTTTGCAGGGCAAAAAAGAAAGATCTGAGTGACAGCAGATAGGATGGGAGGAGCAGAGGGAGCAGCAGCATGATCACAGTCAGAAGGGGGAAAGAGAGAGAGAGAGAGAGAGGCGAAGGAGGCCAGCTGGGAGGGTTCTTGTTTTCCTTTTGCTTTTCTCAGATGGTTTCTGAAGTGGTTTTCCTTTGTGTTCCTGACATAGTAAGCTAATCAGTGTTGTCTGTGTGTAGGTGTTCATTTTCCCTACTTCTGCTCACTTCTGGAGGCTGCTCCCCGGGGTTCTGAGGCATCTGCTTCTTGTTCTTATTTTGCTCCAGTCTCTACCCAATCTGACTGATTTACTCATTCTTCTGTACTCCTCCTGTTTCCATCTCTTTTACTTACCACCCCTAATTTATTCACTCAGTAGCACCCTGGCCCCTGCCAACACATACTGTCTTTAACTACTTTACCTTGAACTTCTCTCTGAAAATAGGACAGAGGTGATCAACTGAAACATTCTTTAAATGTGGGAACCCAGTCTTTGGGTGCTTTGTGCTGTTTTCGCCTCATCTTCCAAGCTTGTTTTGCCCTATAGACAGGCATACTGTTATTGACTCTTCTCCCCACCTTTCCATCCTCTCCTATGTTTTAGGACCTGAAAAGTGTATTATATTTATTTAAGGAATTGAAAGCAATTCCGATACATATGTACACATGCATGTGAGTATGCATACACACTCACACAAACATACAAGAACGTGTTTTCTTGGGTGATGGGGAAGCTCGAGTCACATTAAAGTGATTGATTTTTAAATTACCATGAGCTTTGATTCATTTATAGCCTGTGTCAATTCTTCATTCCCCCATCCCCACAGACCTGCTCACTTCTAGTGACAAAGCTGACAATGTGATTTGGTCCAGAGCTTCAGAGGTCTTGATTTTAGAGCCATAATATATGAAAACTGTTCTGTTGATTTCTTCTGCAGTTTTATAGCGTAGAAGAGCTTGAAAATAGAGTAAAAGCATCATTAGTGCGATCCCTTTGATTTAGGCCTGCAGAAAATTTCCTAATAAATTATGAATATGATGTCTGGAAGCACATGATTAGCTCATTAGCAAAGATTGTTTTCTTGCCTCAGCTGGAAAGGAGATAGAAGACATGTCATCTTGAAAAGGTGGGAGTGTCAGGCAAGGTCTGAGTGTGAAAGGAGACATTTGCAGAATGAATTGGGAAGTGCCTAAATATTTGCTGACATCACAATGTTGCCTGAGGAGGTACTGGGTTTTAGTCCTGGCTCCATCACTTTAGGCACCTTCAGCAAGTCATCAGTCTCTCTGCATCTTGGTTTTCTTGACTGCAATATGATGATAATAATAGGTCCTAAATTATATGGGTATTGGGAGGATGAAATGAGGTAATGTAGGCAAACATTTGGCAGAGTCTGGCTCGTTGTAAGTACTCAATTAATGCTAATAACTATTATCATGCAAGGATGATAACATCTTTTCCCCCATTTCATTTTGAAGCTCCTCCTTCTAAGACACACATAATAGAAAGTTCAAGAAAGCAATAGAAAAAAACCTTAGACCCTTAGGAAATATTATCTTTGTATTATCCCCAAACAAATTGGACTCCATCCAATAAAACACTAACAGTGTTCTTAGGAGGTTTATAAAATGTTCTCGAGCAGATGGATTCTAAAGTGCCTTGATATACTGGTGTAACTCAAGCAAACCTTACAAAGTTTCCTGACATTTCTCAAACCTTGAAACACTGGGCCTATGTCATCACCTAAATCTCACCCAACTTCACTCCTGGGTTCTCCCTATCTACTCTCCAAAACCAATTTCACCTCATTACAAATATTTTCTTTTCCTTCTCAGTCTCAGCTGGCTTATTTCTCCAAGTCAGTTATAATGTACAACCTCACATTCTTGGGTCAATTTACTGATATCGTATAACAATAAATTCACTATGTAAATCTCAAAGGGGCTTTCAGTTCTGCCTGGTAATCTTTCCACCACTTCCCTGGTACACTACCTCTCCTAATTTCTATAGTGACTATTTGAAACATCGCCAATCTCACATCAGAAAACCAAAGCTTTTTAAAGGGACCCTCTTGAAAATGACAAATCCACTGACCTAGACAACAGTCTTCATCTTCTTCTCTCCTGGTAGATTAAAATAGCTGTTCCTTCTATTATCTAAGATTTCAGTCCCTCTCCTCCAGTCTCCTCAAGAACCTGAGGTAGGTTACCCACTTTCTTCTCCTATGAATCATCTAACACCTTTCAAATGGATCCTTCCTGTCAACGTTTAAATATGTGCAGACCTTAGTCACCTTTAAGTATGTCTCTCTCATCTTCACATCCTAGTTTATCTTCCAGCACATATTCATCCTCCTCTCTTCAAAGACAAACTTGTTGAAAGTTCTCTCATTATTTTGTTGTTTTTGTTGAGATGGAGTTTCCCTCTGTCACCCAGGCTGGAGTGCAGTGGCCCAATCTCAGCTCACTGCAACCTTCACTTTCCAGCTTCAAGTGGTTCTTGTGCCTCAGCCTCCTGAGTAGCTGGGATTACAGGTGCCCGCCACCACACCTGGCTAATTTTTCTATTTTTAGTAAAGATGGGGTTTCGCCATGTTGGCCAGGCTGGTCTCAAACTCCTGACCTCGTGTTCCACCTGCCTCGGCCTCCCAAAGTGCTGGGACTATAGGGGTGAGCCACCACACCTGGCCAAGTTCTCTAAATTTTAAGTCTTTCTTTCCTGACCCTTCATCCTACTCAACCCCGTGAGTCTGTAATCTGTGCCATCATGGTAGCATTTGTCTAGGTAACCACAGACCTCCATATTGCCAAATCCACCGAACTCTCCACCACATTAGACACTGTAAATCACTTCCTTCTACAACCTCTCTTCTCTTGATGTTCATGGCCCCACTGCTCTAGTTTTTTTCCTATCACCCCCATCATACTTCACACTCTTTTGTAGGTTGATGCTGCTCTTCCAAGCCATTAAATACAGGAGCTTCTCCAGGATCAGTTCTAATACCTCATATATTCTCACTTTTTACTACTTTATCCACTCTTTACTGCTTAGACCCTTCAAATCAATATATCCAAGTGCCTACCAGATATACAGACTTAGATACTTCAAAGGCATCAAACTCATTCTATTCAAGATCAATTTTTCTCTTGTGCCAGCATTTTCTCTCTCTTTACTAGACACCTCTGTGGAAATAAACAGAGCATGCAAAGAAGAATAGGAAAAGGCCACTGATTCAGAGCGTGCTAGAGCAAGGGAGTCAGCCACCATCACTTGTGTCTGGCAGAGACTTGTGGGCAGGCAGAGGAAGGAGAAAGCTTTACCATAAAAAACAGAAAGGCTTTAGAGGTAGCCTGATTACAGGCTGTTGGAATGGGGAAGCTGTAGACAGGATAGCTAGAAGTGGACACCCTGTGTTATTGGTTAGGGGCATATATTTGACTGTTCAAAGTTGATCCTATCTTGAAAATGGGGGAAAAAATAGAGATGCTGCCAGTTATTAATCAAGTCCTGGCTGTTTAGAGCCTATTGTTACAAAGATATTGTTTGGCTTCCTGGACTGGTTGCCAGAGACAGTAGTTTGACTTCCTGGACTGGTTACTCTACATAGCAGGTTGGCTTCCTGGGGTGGTTACTGCAGATTGTGGGTCAGAGTTCATTTTTATCGATGGTCTGGCTGTGGTTCCTTTGTATATTCAGTTTCTCAGCTCCCTCAGTCCAGCTATGTGAGCCAGAAATGGAGGAGGCACTAGAGCATGCTAACAAGAATGTGAGCTCTGGAATCACACTGTGTTTATTTCACAGGTCCTTCACATATTTTCTGTGTGGCTTTCAACAAGCTACATAAATTTTAACTTTAGTTTACTTACAATAAACATGAGAGGAATGAAGACTTATCTGAGGCAGATACAGTCATTGCCTGCTACATAACAGCCACTACCCCTACTTGTTTTCTGAGAGTGTTAAAAGCATTACCCATTCTAAAGTTCTTTCTGCCAATAGCCTGAAATTTAAATTAACAGAAGTTCTATAATTTGAAGGCTGGCAGTGTTGTAATAATGCAATTATTTGGTTAAATTTGTGTAAACACAGAGGGAGAGGCAGGAGGTTCTGCTGAGAAAACAGTGTGGCCCCTGGCATCTTCCAAACACTTTCTCTTAATCACAAAATTCAAAGGAAGTGTCTTCCCATAAAACAGAATACACTGTTTTATATAGTTCTAACTGGATTCATTAAAATAAAAGCTACTGGGATTAGCAGGTGAAATGGGCCAGTGACCAGAAAACAGATATTCTCAAGGATTATGCACAACAGGGGAGAAAGTGATGTAACAACAGAAGCAGAAATTGGAGTGATGTGGCCAGGAGACAAGGAATGCTGTCCCACTCCAATGCTGGAAGAAGCAAGGAACAGATTCTCTCCTGGAGCCTCCAGAAGGAACAAGCCCTGCTGATGCCTTCATTTTAGTCACTCAAGACTCTTTTTGTGTTTTTGACTTTCAAAATTTTAAGAGAACAAATTAATGTTATTTTAAGCCACTACATTTGTGGTAATTTGTCTAGCAGCAATAGAAAACTAATATGTCATCCGTATTTTATTTACCTTGCAGAATATGAGGTCATTCAGAGTTTCCTGAATCTTTGTCCTAGGTTCTAGCTTTTTGCTGTTGGGTTATCTCAAATTAAATGCATTTTAACATGCAGATGTGAACAATAACCAGCAGATGATATGGAGTACCAAAGAAACAGAACAGAGAAATGGAGAAAGTAAAAGAACATGAGATCACAAAGAAGGCCTGATTATGCAATTATTACCTATGGGGGTTAGGGATAGCTGTACTGCAGCAGAGGCAATTGGAGCCAATATTACACAGTCCTTAAGCTAAAAATGCCAGAGGTAAGCCTGAGACCCAGTGCCGACTAATTTAATTAAGAAGATCTCTGCTGGAAGGTGTCTGGGAAAGAATTTTCTTCTTAAAGAGAGATGGATGAAGGTAAGACTTTTCCCTCCCTCCCTTCTTGTTGGGTATGTTTGGTGTGAAGATATGCCATACAGATCTACTGCACCTATTTGGGCACCATGAGGAAGAGGCCAACAAAATTCTAGAGAAGGCAACCCAGTGCTCTGGCAGTATTGAGGCTCCAAACCAGCCCTGGGTATGTATATTTCCAAGCTTCTTGTTATGCAGGAAATGAAATGTCTGTATCAACCAAGACATTTTTTAGTTAGGTATTTATTATTTGTGGCCAAAAGCATTATAATTAAATGCTGTGTTTCTTTTTTAAATAAAAGTTGTCTTCTAAATTCATCTAAAGTACTTGTTGCTAATCTCAGTTCAACAGACAAGTGATTTCTGAGACCTGACTTTGTGCCAGCACTGTGCTGGGCCCTTTTGGGAGGTATAAAAATGAACCAGATATAATCTCTGCACTCATGCAATCTATGATTTAACAAGGGAAGGGAAACATATTACAGGCAGAATATAATAAATCTTTTATAAAAAGACTAACAAAGCCATGAGTTGGAGCGAGAATGAGGCACTGGGTGGAGTACACTCAATACCCTGGTATACCAAGGACAGGATGGAGGGAGAATATTTAAAACAAAAATAAAGTCAACAAAAATTCAGTCTGCTTTTTATTATTATCACACTCTGGCAGTTCTAAACAAAGTTAATGATAAAATATTCCTTCCAGGAAAATATACTTTGTGGGTCTAACTTCTAGACAATTCTGTGGTTGCTGTTGGGTTTTAAGGATATACATGTATGTGGCCAGGCACTGTGGCTCATGCTTGTAATACCAGCATTTTGGGAGGCCAAGGCAGGAGGATCCCTTGAGGCTAGGAGTTTGGAGCTAGCCTGGGCAAGACCCCCATCTTTACCAAAAAAAATTAAAATTAAATAAAATTAGCCAGGCATGGTGGTGCAAGACTGCTGCCCTAGCTACTGGGGAGGCTGAGGCAGGAAGATCACTTGAATCCAGAAGTTCAAGGCTGCACTGAGCTATGGTAGTGCCACTGCACTTCACCTGGGCAACAGAGGAACACCTTGTCTCTAAAATTAATAATAATATACATATACTTTAACTTCATACATCTTTATTACTTATACTTTAATAAATATGCAAACTTGGTTGCATGTAATCATTTCAAGAACAAGTTTATAATAATTCAGAATTGTATGATGCTTTGAGATATTTCCCCTTGAATCATCTAAGTCAAGCAGACAGTTCCCATGTGAGGTGGATATTATTATCTCCATTTCACAGACAAGGAAACAAAGACCCAGAGACCTATGGGGACTGGCTTTTGGTAGTTAAATTAGTAAGTGAATTAGCCAGTTTTGGAAACAGAGCTATTTTTCCCCTACCATATTAATCTACCTCTTTAGCATTTGTGATTTCCCCAAAATATATGTGAGTAAAATGTGAATGTGCAAAAACAGATGTATAATCTAGTGGAGCCTCTTTAGATCTCTGGTATCAGAAAGGATTAACACCTCAGAGGAGGACACGGTATATCAGTCTTTTATTATCATAGTCATCCCTCAAGGAGTATCGTTTAACCAAAAGTGGATCAGTGTCTTCTGATAGAACTTTCTAGGTGATGGAAATTTTCCATATCTGTGCTGTATCTGTCCAATATGGTAGCTTTCAGTCATGGGTGACTTTTGAGTACTTGACATGTATCTAGTGTGACTGAGAAACTGAGTTTTTCATTTTACTTGATTTTAATTAATTTACATTTACATTTAAAGTAAACATATTCAGCAGTATAGGAATGCGTAATGTATTATTTATCTCTTCCAGAAAGTTCTACAGTGGAACTCTATCATATGTGCATTAAACTGAATTGAAATCATACGACTCAGCAAAATCAACATAACAACTGATGACAACAAAAACAGCCATATAAACAAAAACTGTTGGGCATTTTAAAAATACAGAATGGCTCAAAACTTAAATGCTTGATCTAGTGCTTAAGTGAAGAGAGTAATGTCTATTCTATCCCTTTATTCAATTTTCAAAAACAATTTTGATTTTATGTAATTTTTGTATTTCCTGCTGAATTTTGAACACAGGCTCTGCGTAAGATGCAACTTCTATGTGGTCTATTTGATGTAGATGGTAATTGAAACATATGGAGCATTTAGACAATTCTGCTTCATTCTTCCATTTCTTATGTCTTTTTCCTAAGGTCTCTAAAATCTATTTTATTCCCCAATATTCCATGAATCAATATGCCATTACTTTTAATGGCAAAAACCGCAATTAATTTTGCACCAACCTAATAGAACTTGTGAAAACAAGTTCAAAGAGGTTCTTTCTGTCATTTTTATCATTCTGAGAATATAGTCATATACATACTATAAGATATTGTTAATCTAGTAATCGATTGACTAGGAGTTTCCATTAAGTAGTACTGCTGCACACCAGTAGAACAATGATTAATTCTCTGTTGGATCCTGGAATGTCTTTGGAGGTTTCAAAACTTGTAACACTGTATTAAAGTATTCATATATTTAAAATTATTTAAAAATTTTATTTTATGGATAATTAATAAATCATGCATGTCATGTAAATAATTAAAAACATTCCAACTATAGTATACAACAGTGGTTCCCAAATGCCAGACCTTGGATTAGTGTACTCCTTATAATTTATTATCATTGCACAGAAAAGTGAGAAACATAAAGAGATAAAAGATGGTCTTATATTCTGTAATTATGTTCCTCTAAATTTTTTGGTGTTAAAATATCTGTTGGTAAAGTAAGCAAGCTTATGTAAGTCACTGAAATTCTTTGGAATCTCTTGGAAACACTGCTATTGAGCAAGAGTTCTTAAATTTAAGATTTCTTAAATTTCTTGAGATTTCAGGCTGTGGTCTAGTGAATCAGAGCCTAGAAATGAACGCAAAGCTTGCCACTGATTAAAATACATACTAATGTTTGAGAACCACAGATACAGAGCTAAGCATATAGGCTTTGAATCCAGATACTCTTAAGTTTGAAATCTTGCCTGGTTGTTTTCTAGCTGTGTAACCTAAGAAGCCTTCATTGTCTCACCTGTAAAATGGAAGGGCTGTTAAGAGCATAAAAACACTAATCATTGTGAAGTTTCTAACAGCAATTCGTCTAGAATAGAAACCTAAGACAGTTAGTTCCCTACCACTGCCCTTACCCTGACTATGCTAGGTGAGCGTCCACTGTATACTTTCATATGTGTATTTTGGTAGGCAGAATTTTAAGATGGGCCTCCAAGATTCCCAGCCAGTGATTATTCAATGATGTGAATCTAGGTACTGCTGTGAAGAAATTTTGCTCATGTAATTAAATTCCTCAAATCAGTTGATCTTAAAATATGATTATTCTTGTGGGCCTAATCTAATCACATGAGCCCCGTAAAAGTAGAGTTTTCTCTTGCTTGTTGCACAAGAGGATGTCAGAGAGATGCTCTTGGACAGGCAACTCTTGAAGAAAGGCAGCATCTGTGTTGTAAACTGCCCCTGGGCACTACATGGGAAGGACCTGAGGGTGGCCTCTAGCTGCTGAGATCAGTCCCTCACTGAAAGCCAGCAAGACAAAAGGATTTCCTTTCCACACTACTTGGAAATGAATTTTACACTAATGTGAAAGGGTTTAGAGGGAGGCCTTTCCTGAGTTGAGCCTCCAGATGAGGATGCAACTGGCTGACTTGATTTCAACTCTGTGATACCCTGAGCAGAACCCAATCATGCTGTGCCAGACTTCCAACCTACTGAACTGTGAGATAATAGATGGGCATTGTCTTAAGTTTCTAAGTCTGTGATAACTTGTTATGTGGTGATAGGACACATACACTATATACATATCATGGAATCATATGTTTATACTTTAAAAAGATGATATTCTTTGAAAAAAAATTCCTCCTGTTGTCTTTTTCACAAACACCTAAGCTTATATCTATAACATAAATAAGAAATGACGGTTTTCATTTTCCAAGGGACAAATGGAAATAAAAAGAGCATATCCACTATTTTGACATATCACCAAGGACTACATAAATGTATGCCTCTTTCACTCCATCTCCTTTAGTTTGTAATAAATCCTCTACAGTGAAACAACCTTCCTATCTTGCCCACAGGCTTAGCTAAACAATCTAGAAGCAACAGCAACTGAACTTTTAACTTGGTGAAACAGCAAGCCCCAAAGGTTTACAACTGTAAACAGCTTTCTCCCTTATTACTGTTGTTGACTTTTCGTTTTCTTAGTCCTTCTGTAGGGTTTGGGGTGGGGGTAGGATGGAGGTTACGGTGTTGGCATTTTCTGCCCTTCTGACCTGGACCAAGATCAAAATTTTCTTTGAAAAGGGAACATTAAGCTTTATATGTTGTTCAAGGTAAATCCCAATGGGTTTGGAGTGTTTAGATTAGGAACTTGGGCATTCATCCTAATTATATCTTCTAATATACTTCAAACAAAAATAAATCTTGTCTCTAGGCTCAATTAAGTTAGATATAATAGAAGCATGATGATCTCTTTTACAACCTGAAGCAACTACTCATGGGAATCTCTATTTCCACAGAAAGCATGTGATCATTCTCCCATGTAAACAGTGAGAATAACACCTAACATTTATTAAACACTTCCTTAGCCAGACCCTATTGAGGGCACCTTATGTGTGTTAATTTGTTTAACTGTCATAACATTTCTCTGAGAAAGGTACTGTAAATTCTAAACTTATGCCTTTTGTACAATGAGGAAACTACAGAGTATTTAAATAACTTGCCCCAAATCACATAGCTAATAAGTGGAGGAGTTCAGAACCTAGAAATTCCGGCTTTCAAGCTGTGTATTTAATACCTATTCTATTCTGAGACAAGATGCACTATTTCTCTCAAAATCTGCTGCATGCAAAATGCAGTGTTCGGTGGCAGATGCAGGGCCCTCGTGTCAAAGAATGTTGTCTCTACTTGGAGTGGTAAAATGTACAGGCATGAAACAACAATACATCTAAAACCAGTAACTGAGTCCAAACATTCCCTCTCCTTCACCACTGTTATTGGCAGTAAAAATGAATGAGATTGCCTGCTTTAAAACTTCTGCCTAGAGCCCAGACAATTCAATAAGTCACGGTAAAACAAACAGTACAGTTTAAGAGTTTATAACAAGATAGAAGCTTTCAGTTCAAGTTATGAGATAAAAAGGTCTTGAACGGTGATTCCCTAGATCCCTGTTCCTTTATCATATGTGCTTGGATCCAAAACACCCTGGGTTTGAAATGTTTGCATTAAAATGAAGGAAGGCAAAATTCACTTCTCTCAGTCCTGGGCTATTTTATTATTATTTGTTGTTTATTATTACTGGTGTCACCATTTTAAACTGTGTGTGTGAGTGCACACACAGGACTGCACATACATGTGGTTAAAAATAAACAAAATAAAGGCATAAAATGCACAAAAGGGATGTTCCCCATCCCTCTGGCGGAACAAATTTTAGAACTACTAAGTTTTCTTCTTGCCATGTTCCAAATGGGCTTTGAAAATACAACCAGCACAACTGTCTCACTCCTGACATAGGCTTCCTGAAGCTTGCATACTCAAAGTTCTGTAAATTAAATAATATCTTAAATAAAGAGGGTACCTATTTATAGACACATGTAATGAATCCTTTCTAATATAAATAACTGTTGTTGCAATGTTCCATTTTGGAAGTTAATATGTGTTACATTGGGTTTAAAGGAACTGCTCAGTTGTAGGCTTTCTCATCTCTCACCTGAACCAGAATGAAATCTTTCTAATTGCTTGCCCTTCCTTCAGCCTCAAAATATCCACCTCTACTCTTTCTCACTCCCAACTTCACTCTTCATATTGCCTAGAGAAGGGGCTCTTAACCTAGATTCATGGATAGAATTCAGTGGTCCATGAACTTGCATAAACATTGTCTTTATTTTCACTAATTTATTATTGAAATTTATTGTTTACATATGTTATGAATTGAGACAACAATCCACAGTATAATATTAACAGCAGTTGTGACTTTGTCACCAAACAAAATCAGATGTTTTTATATCTCATTATAGTTGCAGCAAATATTCCCACATATCATTTATAGTCACCACCATTCAAAATTACGATAGTTATTAGACTTGCTGCTAGATCTTGTTATTTAGTGTACTAATAAGAAGCACATATTTGCTGTATCATAATTTTTAGGAACTTGATAGCTGGATTTCCATGCAATTGGTCTCCTTTGAAATACTATGTGTCTGTTTTTTTTTTTTTTTTTTGAGTACTAATAAGGGATCCATAGGCTTTCCCAGAGTGTTAAAGAAGTCCATGGCACAGAATTAAGAAATTCTGTCTAGAAAGATATTTCTAAAACAAAGTCCACCTTAAGCTACTCCCTTAACTTAAATTTCTTCAGTTGCTCCAAGTCCACACCAATTAGCATCCAAATCCTTTGTGGCTCATAGAAGGCCTTCCGTGATCTCCAAGCCTCCCTCAGCTGCCTCATCACTGGTGTGTTCATCCTTGTACTCTACATTCCATCTGCTTCAAACTGTTTCAAGTTCCCAGATACACTGAGCCATCTCAGCTTTCTTGTGTTCTGGGCATGCTGTTCCTTCTGATAAAAATGTCTTTCCTCACTTTACTGCTGGTAAATCCTACTTATCCTTTGAGGCCCAGCTCCAGGTAGCCTCCCTCTTGACACTCTGTCTGACATACTGGGTCTTTATGCTTTTCAGACTCAGGACAATCACTCATTTCTTTGCTCCACTCCAGTACACTCTGCCTGGGCACAGAGTGTCACAGTTATGCATTTACAAGTTACTTCCTTTAAAAGTGAGTATGGGAGCTCCTTGTACCACTTGTGCTACAATGATGCCCAGCACATTGTGGTCCTTTTGTGCATATGGGCTTGACTCTTGTCTACAACTGTTAAATGAAGAAGTAAATTTTGAGTTGGCCTACAAGCTGGTGTTCTAGTCAGTGTAGGGCTCTCTACTGTGTAGGATGTGGGACTACCTAATTTGCTTTGCTGATAGCTTCTTTGTGAAGCAGGGCTTCTACACTCCAAATATTAGTGATGAATTCTCCTGGTCCCTCTGGGTAGATTAATTCTGCCCCCAGCCCGTTCATTCAGCAAATATTTATGAGAGTCTACTATGTGCTGGGTACTGTCTGGGGATTCAGCAGTGAATGAGCCCTGTTCCTGTTCTCTTGAAGCTTATAATGTAGAGCAACACTGTCTAACAAAACTTTCTGTGGTGATGGAAATGATCTATAATATCTGCACTGTACAATACAGTAGCTGCTAGCCATATGTGTGTACTGAGCACATGAAATGTGACTAGTATAACAGTAGAACTGAATTTTTAATTCTATTTAATTTTAGCTAATTTAACTTAAATAACCATATGTTGGCAGTGGATACCATATTGACAAAGCTATTCTAGAGGGTGTGTGGTAGAAATGAGTAAGTGAATAGGAGTGTGAATAAATAAATCAGAAAACAACCAAAAATAAATTTTAAAAAATCTTGGATATTGAAAAGTGCCAACACAACAGTGATGTTGAGTCACTGAGGTGTCGGGAAGGTATTACCTTCCTTTGAGGAGGTGACATTTGGGTTGACACTTGAGTATCAGAAACATTCTGCAATGGGAAGAAATGATAGGAGAACTCTAGGCAGAGAGAACAGAAACAAGTACAAACCCCCAAGAGATTTATGTGCTTGGTTGAGGGACATAAAGACCAATGTACCTGGTGTGCAGTAAGTAAGGGGTTGCGGCAGGACCTGAGGGCATAGAGGAGCTGGTACCATATTGTAGGACTCTGTAAACCAATGTAAGGAGTTTGGATTTTTTCCAAGTACAATGGGAAGTCATTGGAGGGTTTTAAGTGAGGGGACATCATAATTTTATCTGTATTTCATAAAGCTCATGCTGATGGCTGAATGAAGAACTGACTGTGGAATGGAAACCAGGAGTCTGGTCAGAATGATTACAGTACAGGTGTGAGGTGATGGCAGTTTTACATTAGGGTCATGGTAGTAGCCGTGTATAGAATCGATATGTATTCTAGAAGTAGAGTTAACAATATTTTCTAATGGGCTAACTGGGAGGGGGTAGCAACAAAAAGAGGAATCAAGAACAACTCATAGAATGGGCGCTTTAGCATTGGATGATCCTCCTATTGACTGGGATAATAATTGGAAGAGGGGCAGGCTGAAAAATCAAAAGGTTCAGTTTTGGATATGCCAAGTTTAAAATACCGATTAGCCATCCAAATGGAAATGCCAAGTCTGGAGTTCTGAATAAAGGTCAGAACTGGAAATGCAGATTTGAGAGTTACCAAGTCGAGATGGTCTTTGACACCAAGGGGGTGCGTGAGATTATCTGTGGAAGGAGCACAGGCAGAAAGAAAGCGCTCCACTGCAGTGAGCTGAGATTGCGCGACTGCACTCTGGCCTGGGCGACAGAGTGAGATTCCATCTCAAAAAAAAAAAAAAAAAAAAAGAAAGAAAGAAAGAAAGAAAGCACTCCAGGGGGATTGAGGATGCTGACCAGCGTTTGGGTAGGGTAGCAATTCCCTTCTGATTAAGATTCCTCTCTCCTGGGGGGAAAACAGGCAAATTGCAAGAACCTGGCCATCAGAGTCCCAATGACATTCATGTCACAGAGGCATACTGTGATTGTTGCACTGAGCAAAATGGGTACAACTAGGGAGTGAGAAAATGACCAGTTATTAACGGTCACTATGTTCACCCACAAGCACTGGGAGACTAGTAATAGCATCTCTATTTCACAGAGAACGTATTTGGAATGTAAATAAATAGTCATGGAGGTCTGAGTCCTGATTCCATTCTTTATTGGCTGTATAACCTTGAACAAGATACCTAATCTCAAACTTCACTGATAAAATAAAGCTACAGAGAGAATGAACTAAATATTGTATAAAATCCCAATACCTAACACATAAAAAATGCCCAAAATATGTTAGCTGTTGATACAAAATACCTTGGCCAGTGTTAGTAATCCCAGTTGCTAGGTGACAGGCCTAGGAAGCTTACCCAGGTGTATGTAACTCCAAAGCCTATGATCTTTCCACCACTCACTCCATGACTCCTGGGCTTGAAAACTACCTGACTTTGACTCTATTCCTTATTTTTCTTATATACTTCTCTAAAGCTCCTTACAAATAATTTTTAAATTTAATTCACTTTTTTTTTTCAAAATTGGAAGTTAACCTATGTGGTTTCCTGAAGCTGGCTCTGCCTTCTGCTCCATGGCAGGGAAGTATACACATTGATACGTATGCCCAGAGAAATTTTCCCCCTTCAGTATTTTTCCCTTTCTGCCTCCAGACCATCTTACTCTCCAGGGGAACCTCACCAGCTTACTCAGCATCCAGGGCTCTCCAGCAAAATATAAATCACTGCTCTTTTCAAAACCTGCCATTAAACACGTGCATCAGCTAAATTCCTGCTGACTCTGCTTTTGTTGTGCATTCTATCTAATAAACCCTCAGCCTCTTTGGATGTCAGAAACAAAGAAATGGCATACAGTTTATTTATCCCTGCTGATCAACTGGAAACATGAAGCTGGCCTGGGATGGTCACCTCTAAAACTCTTTTCCTTGTTTCCTGCAGGGCATGTTCTCCATCTTTCTTTGTATTTGCACAGATGATTCATTGGATCCATGGGGATGCTCCTGGATCAACAACCACAAGTCACAAAGGCAACTTTTGCAAAAATCAGAGCATGTAGGTCTTCATGATTCCAGCCGTGTCTTCTCTCTCTGGGTGTGTCTGTGTGTGTGTGTGTGCATGTAATCTCATCAGCATTTTCTTGCCTTACACTAGGCTGAAAATTAGTCTACAAGTCTCTACAGTATAACACGTGGGTGCTGACTAGTTTTTAAGATGTCGGCATTTCCTAAGGTTAGAAGACCTAATTAACTCTCTTTGAACTTCCTCATCAGGGTCTCCTAAAGAGCTTTATTCAAGAATATGTTATAATCAGCAGTTCAACAAATTTTCTCTAGTTCAGGGGAGATAAAAAGTGGAAGACAGATGGATTACTTACTGCTTTTAACTCTTATCTTTCCTAAAAGTGTGCATGTTAGGTGATTACTTTTAAAAAAATTCTCACCATTTTGATTTCCAAACCCAAACACACTGGATCTATTTTTTTTTTAACTGCGTTATGTTTTGGCATTTGTCATCCCTGCACATCTAGAGTCCTTGTAACAATTAGGGAAGGTATCTGGTGAGACTTTTTGACATTTTTTCTCCCATTAGGCTGTGGCACAATCTAGTAAAGAAGAGTGAGATGTTGCTTGCCTCGTCATTCGTCACACCAGAACAAGAGCCATTTGTTTTAATTAGCTATGTCAGAGGTTCCTAGCATCTTTCCAGACGTATGGGCAAGATGACACATAAACTCAGCATGCCAGGCTCTTAAAAAATAATTGCTCAAAATAAAGCCATGCAAAACCCAGTTGCTGTCTGACCCATACATACAGAGTCACACAAATGCTTATTTACTTAACTGTCCCGTCTTGGTGTCTCAACTTTGGTCCCTAATTGCCATTTCTGACAATTCTAGAAAGAAACTTTAATCTTGTCACTTTTCCCTCTATAATTCCCTGGAGCCTTAGGCTTTATGTGTCTCTTTATACTGTAATGTGGAATGCATTTTTGAAATTG
Organism: Homo sapiens; assembly: GCF_000001405.40. Lineage (NCBI taxonomy): Eukaryota > Metazoa > Chordata > Mammalia > Primates > Hominidae > Homo > Homo sapiens. Next base: position 70,995,998 of record NC_000009.12, read on the forward strand.
GCTTGGGTTTATTTTCCCCAGTGGACTGAGAACAGCTGAAGGGCAATTACTGTGTCTTACTCCTTTTATAATCACAGAATCTAGAGTTCTACACATTGAAGGTACTATGTGGTTGAAATAATAAAAGGTCTTTCTTAACCTTTTCAGGCTAATGTGAATAATCAATGATATCTTCATCTCAGAAAAACCGAACACATATTTATAGAACCAGAATTCTGCAGATTATATAAAGGGGTTAAGAACTTTGATCTTCAGACAGGGGCTCATTTTGCTCAGTTTATCTAGAGGATAAAGGCATAGGTGGTGAAAGGCATAGGTTTAATATTGTAGCTGGGTATCATGGGGAATCTGATAAAGAAACAATCTCCACTTTTCCCTACTCTACAGTGACACCAAGGTGTCACTATGCCCATCTCTGTCCACTGCTAGCAAATCCGGACAGTCAAACCAAGTGAACAAGACACTGAAGAACACTTGTTTTGTTGGCTTATGAAGGATTAAGCAAGCTAGGATGCTAAAAATATGGTTCCACCTCACCTTTACATCCCACAGCCATGGCATTCAGATTATGTGCAAGGCCAACAGTGAATCGTTGGCTAAATCGCAATGTTAAAGTGCACTGATTTCTCACCTTTAGATCAGCTCCCTGTCTAATTTCTATTGTACTGAATGCTCTCTGGTTTGAGAGTTTATTTGAATTTTTTTCTTTTCACTTTAACAGTAGCTTCAAGTTTTCTTTTTTGGTTTTCTGTCTGCTTAAATTATTCCCAAAGCTTTAACATTTATTATCTAGGATTTTAAATTAACTAGAAATGTGGATTAAAATTTCTTCAGATCTTATTTGGCTCCTATGAACAGGTAGATGTGGGGAACACATTTTGGATCACAGGAAGTTTTGGAAGGTTTGCCATTCTGTGTCACAAATGAGAGCAAACTTCTAAACAAACATGAATATATCCTTTTAATACGAGTTTATGACTCCTGTTTCTTCTGTTTAAGGGCTTCTTCTTTGACCAACGTCAGTATATTCTCTTTAATAAATGGAATATGGTTTGTTGCTCGCATCTTGAGAAGTACCTAGATGGACGATATATTTCAATGACAGAGATAAAACTGATTTATAACTTCAGAAATGCACTTCATTTTTTTAAATCTCTCTCCTCCTACCCCCTTGTCACATTTTTATACTTACTATCTTAATACTTTTTTTTTGTTTTTTGAGATGGAGTCTTGCTCTGTCATCCAGGCTGGAGTGCAGTGGCACGATGTCAGCTCACTGCAGGCTCCGCCTCCTGGGTTCACGCTATTCTGCCTCAGCCTCCTGAGTAGCTGGGACTACAGGCTCCCGCCACCACACTGGGGTAATTTTTTGTATTTTTAGTAGAGACAGGGTTTCACCACGTTAGCCAGGATGGTCTCGAACTCCTGACCTCGTGATCTGCCTGCCTCGCCCTCCCAAAGTGCTAGGATTACAGGCTTGAGCCACCGCGCCCGGCCCTATCTTAATACTTTTTTTTGGTTTCCTTTCACCTTTTCAAAATATGACTTTTCCAGATTCTTTCCTAGGACTACCATCTTCATTTTTGTTTTCATTCTAGCAAATCAGAGTAGAGGAATACCTAAACTGTGCTCCTTCTCCTAAGATGGGAGACTGGCATGTTTTGCAGGGCGCCTAATTGATGTCTCCACATGATCTTTGTAGGCCACACTCTGTAGTTAATTTCACCAGTTCCTCAGCGTACAAGGTTCCTGGGTATCAACGTTAATTATAATTGACTGTGGATTTCTACTAGAAATTTCACCTTTTTTTGCATGTTTGGGAGGGTGAACTGTTGTATCCTTCCTGATCTTCTTGTGTGCCTACCTTCTCTGAATCCATAGTAATATACGAAGTTTCAACACTCCTCTGATATTCACTTACATAGCATCCAATAAGATCACTCAAAGCCTCACAATAGAATGTCCCACATCCCACAGCACACAGCCCACACAGTAACAAGAAATACCTTGTCCATATGCTTTCAAGACTGTTCCGATTGTTCTCGGGTTATGGGTGTTGCTGAGGATTTCTGTTTTTAATTTTATTCTTTCTTTATACACACCATATATAATGCTCTAATTGTTTATATATATACATATATATACACATATATATATACATATATACATATATACACATATATATACATATATACACATATATACATATATATACACATATATATACATATACACACACACACACACACACACATATATATATATATATTTTTTTTAGTATTTTTCTTACCTGACATAACCTCTTTTACCAAATTTTCTTTGGATCACTGTCACTATTTTTTAAGTAAAAATGTTACTTTCTAGAACAATTTTAGGTTTGCAGCAAAATGGAGAGGAAGGTACAGAGATTTCCCATGTATGTCCTGCCCCCACACATGCCTTTCTATTATGAACACCCCCTGAGGGAGGTGAATTTTGTTACAACTGATGAACCTATATTGATACATCATCATAACCCAAAGTCCATAGGGTTCATTGGTGGTGGTGTACACTCTGTGGGTTTAGACAAATCTAGAATGGTATGTGTCAACCATTAAAGTATCATACAGGGTAGTTTTACTGCCTTAAAAATTGTCTGTGCCCAACCTACTTGTCCTCCTCCATCACTACTTCTTAGTTGTTTTCCAGTCCGTTCTTCCTTTCCCTCTCCTTCCTGCTGTTTACATTATTCCCATGAGAGGGATGTATTATTTACTCCTGGAACTCGGATTACAGCACCATGAAAATGGACGATTTCACTATTGTGATCTGGAAGTCCTAGAACTGCATTTACGTTTATTTTGTAATAATGGTCTTTATGTCCTCTTTAAACTTTTACTTTCTCCTCTCTTATCCCCTGCTCACTCATCATTTTTATACTTTCCATAATTTGTGCTGCATCCCTCCTCTATACAAGGCACTGTGATGGAGGGTAGACAGACTTACCAAGCATGGTTCTAGCAAACCCCCTATTTCTGCTTAGCTGATAATCACTACCTTCTTTAAGCTCCTTGGTTCCTTTCAATTTTACCTCAAGATGAGTTTCTCATTTTTCTTCAGTTCCAGTTGCCTTTCATAGAAGAGAGCACACTGGGATGAAAGCACACAGCAAAGATGAGTCAGATTATCTGGCCTACCCCCTACAGGGCCTCACTAGAAAAGAAAGAACTGTGAAGGCTAGTAATATACTGTCTATCCATCCGAAGTAGATCATAGGTGTGCTTTTAACTGAACTGATTTCTCCAGTCTGGTGAATGGGGTGGTTTCTGGACATCCACAATTTCTTGTTCAACCTCCTTCAGGTAGTAACTCAGGCCAGAATTTAGCATCATTCTTAGAATTTACTAGGACAGGGCACAGCTGTACCTGGGCCTGAACGTGATCTGAAATAATAAGCAGAATTGGTGGTATCACCTTGGTTGGATTCAGAGGAAGAAAAGAAACCTTCATGTTTTATGGAATACAGAAGGGTAAAGAGTTCAGTAGATACCATCATAGGAAATGAAAGACTGGAAACTCCAGTGTATTATTTCTCTGTAACGATGCTTCCGGAGAGCACTTGGCTACCATGCATAGTGTCATGGAGCTGGCATACTTTAATTGCCATTATTTTTGGCAAGATGGCATTTTAAGTTTTTGTTCCCTAACTGCAGGATGGATAAATACAGTATTTGACTCATATGTTGATCCAAGGTTATTTTTATTCTCCAGCACCTTTCAATGTCACGCCAGAAAAAGGTGCAGCTCTTTCTGGGCAGTCCTCCTACAGGCCATCTAAAATATCCACACAGGGAGCATTCCTACGGCTTTCAGGAGCATCTGAAACAATCCACAGTGTGTTTAGCAGAAGTCAGTTGGGGGAAAGTGTGCTCTTTTTCTCTGTCTTCAGCATTCAGGCTGTTTTTAAAGTCAGAATGCTTTGCAAAGGGAAGAACTGTGCCAAGTCTTTATTTTCATATAATGCCATAACCTAGTGTTTTGGGGACCTCACTTATCCCAAGAAAGCTGTTGGGGATGGCCCCTGCAGAGACAGCTGACCCAAATTGTGACTTCTCTGAGGGAAGGGAAACCCCTCTAGGACAAACAGGAAGCGATCTTTCAGCATAATGTATCCCATTGGGAACAAGTAAACAGTTTGCTTTTCAGTTCAAAGCAGTGAATTCAAGACACATTCATCGGTTTTGGCTCAATGTGACTCTAAAATCAAGTCAAATGGAAGGACTTTACAATTCAGAACCTTAAGATTCTATTTGGCTGAACACTGAGGTTGAAGTGTTGAATTCCAACTCATTTTTGTTATTATTTTTTCTTCAGTCATTTCCAAAATACTGCTAAGTTTTGGAAATAAAATAAAGTGCTAAAGTGGTTTTCAGATCCATGGCCAGGCCTCTGTGGTATAAAAATAATTCCCCAAGGTATGGTGTTCAATGAAAAGTAAGTGTTAACGTATATATAAACAACAAAAATCAATCTTTCTTAAGTTGGGGTCTGGAGAAATTTAGATTTCCCTTTTCAATTTATTTGACTTTTCTCTGGAAGTTAATAGTTAAATTTATCTAGTTTTATTACCTTTAGAACTAATGAAACACAGTTCACTGGTTAAATAACATAATCATCTGCCAACATAAAGGAGAAGGATCTTACCCCTTACTTCATTAACCAAGACCCTTCACATAGTTAACAAGAAGCTGGCAATACAATGTACATATGCTACTTAGTCTATAGAGCTGACACTGAAAAGTGAGGTGGAGTCATTTTCTAATTTTTTCATTAGTATCCATAAAATAAAAATCTTCACAGAATCAAGATAAATCACAATTACACCATTTTCCAGTCTATTAGTCCTGCCATTCCCATAGAAGGAACTGATATTAGTCTGATAAGTTTTGTTCCCATAAATTATAATGCCAGCTACATAACAACCAAAACACCTTTTCTATTAGAAAAGTCTCAGAAGATTACATGCAGGATACAAAATGATAGTTTGGCCTACTAAATTCCTCAGTACTAACGAATTGTCTTCATTCTCATACAGGAGAGATTGGTGTAGCACTTGTTCAAGTGGTAGTTCATGGGTGGGTGATTAAGCTAATTCTGATTTTTAATGCTCTTTGAACCCAAAGCCAGTTCCAAGTAGCTCCAGTCCTGAGGACCAGAGTCTAGGCTGGGGCAGGTGATGTGTGGCCCAGGAACCCTTGGGTCTGCCCAACCGTAAGCCCACATGGGGCTCATGTCTATAACCAATTCAGTAGTCATATGCCTTCTGATCCAGTTTATAAACTCTGGGATAACTAACAAATATAAAGATACAGAAAGAGACATACACATGTACCATTTTCCCTCAGGTTTTTGCATGTTTGTTCTTTCTATGAAGGTCATTTTAAACATCTTAATGTAACAGTGAACCTGATAGTTCTGGTATCTCATGGTTCGAGCACCAGAAGTTACTTTTCCTACCGATCCAAATGCATTCTGCACAAGCTTGCTGAATTACCTATGCAGGCCTTGGTACCACACAATGTCTATTAGGGAAAAAAGCCAGGAACAACAGAGACATTGTGAAAAAGAAAACCACTCCTTAGTTTTCCTCCTGTAAAAACATTGAGTCCCTAGCCTTGAAAAATGAGCCTTTCTGATGTGGAATCCAAAGAGAAAATCACTGTAACTGAAGAAACATGGTACTGTTGATACACCTGTGTCCAAACAGCTGTTTGAATTTCTAAACCTAAAGGGAGCATGAGACACATATGTCATCTATTGTGTGGTGGTAGCAACTTGGAACTTCTGTCACTTTTGTTTTTGCCTTTGTTGCTTAGTTGGCAGATGCAAATGTGAAAGATATAGAGGCTACACAAAATAGTTTTATATAACCCAAGGAACAAAGGAAATGCATTTGGGATGGCAGGTGTGCCAGAGACCAGGTATTTGGTCTTGTGTGCCCCCTTGTGGTTGACATGTCAACACAGACAGAGGAACTACACTTAGCAATCAGGTAAATGAAAGATTTGCTGCCTACCTTTCTAGCCTTGTTTCTTGCTATTCTGCTATTGCTTCCCTTTCTGTACTCCAGCCATAATGGTTTTCTTTTAGTTCTCAAATTTGCCATATTCTCTTTTTGTTTCTGCTCCTATGTCCTTAGAATACTCTCTCAATCCATCCGTTCGCCTAGTTAACTCTTACTCATCCTTCAGAGTTCACCTTTGAAATCACTTCATCATGGAAGCATAACCTGACTTCATGTACTAGGTCACTGTTGTTTACGCTGCAAGCAATGATCAGTTGCTAGAAACACTTCTTTAAATCGAAATTGGAGCCAGCGGTTTTAGCTTTTGAATCTTGAAAATAAGTATCTGTCTCAGGAAACTGTCTAATACAAGTGGCCACCTTTCTTTTTACTGAGAGTTCTCAGAAGAAATGAAAGACCGAGTTTAATATGCACAACACAATTATTTTACATTGATGATGTTCCTAAAACTTCATCCAGTATATTGATCATTTTTATCCTTTGACTCTTTTCTCCTTCCACTATATACGTCTACTTTCTAGTAACACCCCTAGACTCCTTTTCCCCTATCATACCTATAGTATCACAGGCATTCAATTAACATTTGATTAGGATAATTTATTATTTTTAACATTATTGAAATCGAAATCCAAATTCTAATGAATTATAAATAAGTAAAAGGCATAGCTCTAACTTAAATAATCTTTATTTTTCTGAATGATTTGAATGCAAGTTGTAGATAAGATGATACTTCATTCCTAAATATTAAAATATGTACCTCTTAAGAATAAGAATATTCTCCCATAAAACCACAATGCTAACATCGCAACCAAGAAATATAATATTGATAAGTATGATCCAATATTCAATCCATATTCATATTTTCCAAAAAGGTTTGTAATAATTGTCATTGTTATTGATGTTGGGTCCAGGACTCTATCAAGAATTACTGTATTTGTTTAGAAAGCCTCTTTAAGCTCTTTAAATATAAAACTAATCTACTGGCTTTTATATTTCTCTTTTTCTGGTCATTTGTTACATTGACATTTTAAAAGGGTCTTCGTTTCAGGTAGTTTTGTACAATCTTACTTGTCTGATTGTTGCTCCAAGACTAGATTCAGTTTAAACATTTTGAATCCTTTTCCCTTGCCTTAAAAAAAAAAAAAAAAAACACTTAACAGTATATCCTGTAAATCACTGCATAGCAGTTCAAGGATCTTTTCCCCATTTTCTGTGTGCCTCTGTGTATATGGCACTTTATTGTGCAAAGTTCATTCAGTCATTCTTCTATGGATGGGCATTTGGGTTGTTTCCAGTATTTTGTTATTACAAATAATGATGCAATAAATAATTTTGTGCATATGGTTTTTTTTTTTTTGTACTTGTTAAGGTATATTTTTGGGGTAAATTACTAAAATTGGGGCTGCTGGGACAAAGAGTAAATGAATATGTATATTTATTAGATATTGGTAAATCCCCCTCCACAAGGTGGAACCACTGTGCTTTCCCATCAGCAATGTAGGAGAGTGGCTGTTTCTCCACAACCTTGCTAATAGGATGTGTTGTTGATCTTTTGAATTTTTACCAATCTGATACATGGGAAATGTATCTCAGTGTAGGTTGATTTATGCGATGCTTATGAATAAAGTTCGGTATCGTTTTATTTTAAATACCATTTGCAGTCGGCAAGGTGGTGGAATGAAGAGCCCCCCGAAATCACTCCCCCCGTAAAAATACAGCTAGAAAGTATTCCGGAATAAGAATACCACACTGAATTCAATAGAACTCAAGGGAGAAGTAGAGAACGCCCTGGGCTCACGAAACTGACAGAAGCTGAAGCCAGTTAGAGGAGTGGTCATTTTAGACTGTGCCACACCCTCCTCCAAGATAGAATAACATCACTCACACAGAATTTCCTTAGACCCATGGTTTCTGAAGTGGAAGGAGAAAATATGAGGTTGACATTTGATCTTTCCACTAGTCTACTCTGGTCATGTCCCACAAGAACCACTGGGAGTACCAGGAAGGCTGAACCATCTGGGTTGAATTGGGGACAAAATGCAGGGGTGCTGATTGCAGTAACTGATGTGCAGGGTAGCTGCCCTATGCTCTGATCAGTGGAGAGGTCACATGGATAAGACTGGCCAGAGCCACAGTGCTGCAAGGGGGCACAATCCACTGAAAGGCTCAAATCCCTGGCTGAATTTCCCACAAAGCTCAGGTGCTCCTTTGGAGCCTTCCCTTGACCTGGAAACAACCCAAAGGCTGGTGATTAAGTAGTGGCACTAACTTAAGTCTTTCTCAGACTGGGAAACAAGGGCAGCACAACAATTCAGTTCCTGTGCAGTGTTTACATTCCAATGCTCACTGTAAGTCTTCCGCAATCCGGGAAGCAACCGCAGAATGGCGGTTAAGCTCCAGTGTTAAGTAGTAAAAGCCTAACACCACCAAAAACACCAGCAAAAGCTGGAACAGGCAAATGGGGGAGGTCTCCTCCTATATGCAGGCATCAATGTAAAGATGTAAGGATTATGAAAACCCAGAGAACTATGACATCACCAAAAGAAACAAACAAAGTTTTAGTAATAGAGCTAGAAAAATTTAAAGATCTATGAAATATATGACAAAATTCAGAATAGTCCTCTTAAAGAAGTTTAGGGAATCACAAGAAAATGTGGATAGATAACTAAATGAAATTTTGAAATATCCAGAAACTAGTGAGCTATTTTACAAAGAAATAGAAACAATAATAATAAAAAGAAATTCTAGAAATAAAGGATACAATAAATGAACTCATTAGAAAGCTTTAACAACAGACTTGATCAAACAGAGGAAAGAATGAACAATCTTGAAGATAAAACATATGAAATTACCTATTCAAAGGAACAAAAATAAAAATGAATAAAAAAGAAGAGTAAAGAAGGCTTATGACAATTATAGAACATCATCCATCAGACCAACTTCTACATACTAGGAGTTCCCAAGGGAGATGAGAGAGAACAAGGCTTAGGAAGCCAATTTGAGAAAATAATGGCTGAAAATTCACCATATCTACAGAAAGGCAACAGCATTAAGATAAAGGAAGTGGCCAGGCACAGTGGCTCATGCCTGTAATCCAGTACTTAGGAAGGCCAGGTGGGCAGATCACCTGAGTTTGGGAGTTTGAGACCAGCCTGACCAACATGAACAAACCTCATTTCTACTAAAAATACAAAATTAGCAGGGCATGGTAGGGCATGCCTGTAATCCCAGCTACTTGGGAGGCTGAGGAAGGAGAATCACTTGAACCTGGGAGGTGGAGGTTGTGGTGAGCTGAGATCGCACCATTGTACTCTAGCCTGGGCAACTAGAGTGAAACTCCATGTCAAAAAAAAAAACCTCATAGGCTCATAGGTTAGCAACCAAATTCAACCCAAATAGGAATTTTCCGAAGCACATCACCATCAAATTAGCAAAAATCGAAGCAAAGAAAGAATATTTAAAAACCAGCAAGAGAAATGAAACATATTCAATAGAGTCTCAATATAGCATTCAGCAAACTTTTCAGCAGAAACCCTGTAGGCTGAGAATGAAATGCTATATTCAAAGTACTGAGAGGAAAAAAAAACTGTCAACCAAAAATACTGTACCCAGTAAAGCTATCCTTCAAACAAGGAGAAATAAAAAGTTTCCCAGACAAACAAAAGCTGGGGGTTTAATCAACACCAGACCTGTCTTACAAAAAATGTTAAATGGAATTATTTAATCTAAAAGAAGAGGATACAAATGGGTAACACAAAAACATCTGAAGGAATACAACTCACTGGTAAAAGTAAGAATACAGACAAATTCAAAATACTGTAATACTATAATTATAATATGTAAGCCACTTAAATTTTAAGTATGAAGACTAACAGATAAAATTATTAAGACAATAATAAGTACACCAATTGGTTAGAAGATAGGCAATATAAAATGATGTAACTTGAAACATCAAAAAGTCAAAATGTGAGGAGGGGACGTGGTATTAAAATATAAAATTTGTCTTTGTTACACTTCTTTTGTGACCAAAGTTAAGATGGTTGCAACTTATTTAAAATAACCTGTTATAATCATAAGATGTTTATAGTTAGCCCCGCGTGTTGCCACAAAGCAAAAATCTGCAATTGATACACTAAAATAAGTAGCATGAGATCAAAAATTCTACTAGAGAAAATCACTTAACTACATCAGAAAATGGTAAAATAGGAAAAAAAGAAGAATGAATCTACAAAACACCATAAAGCAAGCAACAAAATGGCAGTAGAAAACCCGTACTTATCAATAATAACCTTGAATGTAAATGAATTAAATTCTCTAATTAAAAGACATAGTGTGGCTGAATGGATTAAAAAAAAAACAAGACCCAACTATATGTTATCTAAGAAAAACTCACTTCACCTATAATGATACACACATATTGAAAGTGAAGGGATGAAAAAACACACTACATGCAAATGGAAACAAACAAACAAGCAAAATCCCCACAGGAGAAGTAGCTACACTTATATCTGATAAAATGGACTTTAAGCCGGGTATGGTGGCTCACGCCTGTAATCTCAGCACTTTGGGAGGCCGAGGTGGGTGGATCACCTGAGGTCAGGAGTTTGAAACCAGCCTGACCAACATGGAGAAACCCTGTCTCTACTAAAAATACAAAAAATTAGCCGGGCGTGGTGGCGGGCACCTGTAGTCCCAGCTACTCGGGAGGCTGAGGCAGGAGAATGGCGTGAACCCGGGAGGCGGAGCTTGCAGTGAGCCGAGATCGCGCCACTGCACTCCAGCCTGGGCGACAGAGCGAGACTCCGTCTCAAAAAAAAAAAAAAAATACAAAATTAGGTGTGGTGGCGCATGCCTGTAATCCATGCTACTCAGGAGGCTGAGGCAAGAGAATCACTTGAACCTGGGAGGCAGAAGTTGCAGTGAGCCGAGATAGTGCCATTGCACTCCAGCCTAGGCAACAAGAGCGAAACTCCATCTCAAAAAAAAAAAAAAAAAAAAAAAAGAAAGAAAAAAAAGACTAAGTCAGGAACAGAAAAAAAAAAAAAGAAAAAGAAAGGGCCATTATATAATGACAAAGGGGTTAATATAGCAAGAGAATATACAATTATAAATACACATAAACCCAATATTGTGACACCCAAATATATAAAGCAAATATTAACAGACCTAAAAGGAGAGATTGACTATAAAACACTAACAGTGTGGGTACTTCACCACCCTACTTTCAGCAATGAACAGATTATCCAGACAAAAGAGACAGACAAACATCACAGTTAAACTACATTTTAGACCAAATGTACCTAACAGACATTTACAGTAAATTCCACTCAACAGCTGAAGAACATACATTTTTCCATTTTTTCTCAACAACACACGGAACATTCTCCAAAAAAACTGTATGTAAGGTCAGAAAATAAGTCTTAACAAACTTAAAAAAAAATCAAACTCATATCAAGAATCTTTGCTGACCACATGGAATAAAACTAGAAATCAATAACAGGAGGAATGTTAGAAAGTGTTCAAATTTATGGATATAAAACAACATGCTCTTGAACAATGAAGAGATTACTGAAGAAATTTAATAGTAAATTAAAAAATTCCTTGGGACAAATGACAATGGAATACAACAGATCAAATACTTTTGCTGTATGGAATACAGCAAAATGAAAATGAATACAAATGAACACAGCAAATGAAAATGGAATACAACCGATCAAACACTTTTGCTGTAGAGTTTACAGCAATAAATGCCTATATCTAAAAAATAGGGAGATAAATACACAACCTAATGTTATGCCTCAAGGAAGTAGAAATGTAAGAATAAAATAAACCCAAAATTAGTAGAAGGAAAGAAATAACAAAGATCAGAGCAGAAATAAACAAAATAGATTTAAAAAGTAATACAAAAGAACCCCAAAACGAAGAGTGCATTTTTTGAAAAGATAAATAATATGGACAAAAATTTAGTTATACTAAGAAAATAAGAAAGAAGACACAAATAAATAAAACTAGAGATGAAGGAGACATTACAACTGATACCACAAAATAGAAAGGATCATAAGAGACTATTATGAAGAGCTATACACCAATAAAATGGAAAATCCAAAAGAAACTTATGAATTCTTGGACACATACAACCTACCAAGATTAAATAATGAAAAAATAGAAAACGTGAACAGACCAATAACGAGTAACAAGAATGAAGCAGTAATATACTCCCATTAAAGAAAAGCCCAGAACCTGATGGCTACACCACTGAATTCTACCAAACATTTAAAGAAGAACTATATTAATACTTCTCAAACTGTTAAAAAAAAAATGGAAAATGCTTACTTTCTAAGTCATTCTATGAGGTCAGCATTACCCTAATTCCAAAATCAGGCAAGGACACAACAAAACCATAAAACTTTAGGCCAATATCCCAGATGAACATAGATGCAAAAATCTTCAACAAAATACTAGCAAACTGAATTCAACAACACATAAAAAGATCATTCATGGCCAGGCGTGGTGGCTCATGCTTGTAATTCCAGCACTTTGAGAGGCTGAGGCAGGTGGATCACTTGAGCTCAGGAGTTCAAGACCAACCTGGCCAACCTGGTGAAACCCTGTCTCTACTAAAAATACAAAAAAATTAGCTGGGCATGGTGGGTGGTGCCTGTAATCCAAGCTACTCAGGAGGCTGAGGCAGGAGAATCACTTAAACCCAGGAGGCGGAGGTTGCAGTGAGCCAAGATCACGCCACTGAACTCCCGCCTAGGCGACAGAGTGAGACTCCATCTCAAAAAACAACAACAACAACAAAAACCTTTACCATGTCAATTGGGATTCATCCCAAAGATGCAAGGATGGTTCAAAATATGCAAATCAATAAATGTGGTACATCACATTAACAGAATTAATTAAAAAATGATTATTTCAATAGAATTGTTTTTATTGGAAAAGCATTCCATAAATTCAAAATCCTTTCATGATAAAAACTCTCAGCAAACTGAGTATAGAAGGAACATACTGTAACACAATAAAGGCCATATATAACACACCCACAGTTATAAATGGGAGAAAGTTGAAAGCTTCTTCTCTATGATCTGGAACAAGACAAGGGTATCCACTTTCATCACTTTTTATTCAACAGAGTACTGAAAGCTCTAGCCAGAGTAATTAGTCAAGAGAAAGGAATAAAGGGCACTCAAAACAGAAAGGAAGAAGGGCACCCAAATCAGAAAGGAAGAAGTTGAATGATGCCAATTTGAAGATGACATGATCATATATATAGGAAACTCTAAAATCTTCACCAAAAAACTGGTATAACTCATAAAAAAATTCAGTAAAGTTGCAGGCTACAAAATCAACATAAAAATCATTAAAATTTCTATACACCAGTAGTGAACTATCTGAAAAAAGTAATTAAGAAAACAATTTTATTTACAATAGCTACAAAAGATACCTATGAATAAACAACCAAGGAGGTGAAAGACCTCTACAATAAAAACTATAAAACACTAATGGAAGAAATTAAAGAGGAGGCAATTAAATGGAAATATACCCCATGTTCATGGACTGGATGAATTAATATTGTTAAAATGTTCCTATTACTCACAGTGATGTACAGATTTAATGCAGTCTCTATCAAAATATGAAAGACATTCTTCACAGAAATAGAAAAAAAATAAATTCATATGGAAATATAAAAGAACCCAGAGAGCCAAAGCAATCTTGAACATAATTAACAAAGCGGGAGGCATCATATTACCTTTCTTCCAAATACATTACAAAGCTATAGTAAGCAAAAAAGCATAGTACTGTCATAAAAACAGATGCACATAGACCAATAGAACAGAATAGAGAACCGAGAAATAAATTCATGCATTTAAAGCCAACTGATTTTTGACAAAGGTGCCAGGAACACACATTGGGGAAAAGACAGTCTCTTCAATAAATGATGCTGGGAAAATTGGATATCCACATGCAGAAGAATTAAACTAGACACTTATTTCTCATAATATGCAAAAATCAACTCTACATGTAGAGAAGGCTTAAATAAAAGACCTGAAACTAGGAAAGTACTAGAAGCAAAAATAGGAAAAATGTTTCATGAAATTGGACTGGTCAAGGATTTTTGGAGTAAGACCTCAAAAACATAGGCAACAAATGCAAAAAAGACAAATGCGGTTACATGAAACTAAAAGACTTCTGCACAGCAAAGGAAATGAGTAACAGAGTGAATAAACAACCTACAGAATGGGAGAAAGAAGTTGCAAACCATGCATCGGACAAGGGGTTAATATCCAGAATATATAAGAAACTCAAATCAGCTCAATAGCAAACAAACAAACAAAAAAACAAAACAACAACAACAAAAAACTCCAAATAATCCATTTGAAAAATGCCCAAAATACCTGACTAGACATATCTGAAAAGACGACAACAAATAGCTAACAGGTACATGAAAACAAATGCTCAACATCACTCATCATCAGGGAAATGCAAATCACAGCCATAATGAGATAGCACCTCATCCCAATTAGAAAGGCTGTTTTTAAAAAGACAAAACGTATATAATAACAAATGCTAGGGAGAATGTGAAAAAAGAGGAACTCTTATGAACTGTTGGTGGGGATGTAAATTAGTACAGTCATATGGAAAACAATATGAGCGTTCCACAAAAAATTAAAAATAGAACTACCATATGATCCAGCAATCCCATTACTGAGTATGTATCCAAAAGAAATGAAATTGGTTATGTCAAAGAGATATCTGCACTCCCATGTTTATTGCAGCACTATTTGCAATAGCCAAGATATGGAATCAACCTAAGTGCCCAACAACAGATGACTTTATAAAGAAAATGACACACACACACACACACATACACACACACACACACACACACACACACATAAATAGTATTCAGCCATAAAACATAATAAAATCCTGTCATTTGTGGCATCATGAATGAATCTGTAGGACATTATTTTAAGTGAAATAAGCCAGGCACAGAAAGACAAACACTACATGTTCTCACTCATATGTGGAATCTAAAATACTTGATTTCATAGAAGTACAGAGTAGAAGAGTGCTTACCAGAGGCTGGGGAGAGTATAGAAGATGGGGAATGGGAGAGACTGGTTAACAGGTACAAGGTTACAAGTTTCTGGTGTTCTATTACACAGTAGGGTAACTATAGCAAATAACAATGTATTATATATTTCAAGATAGCTAGAAGAGAAGATTTTTGAGTGTTATTACTACAAAGAAATAAATGTTTAAACTGATGGATATGGTAATTACCCTGATTTAAACATTACATTATACATGCATTGAAAAAGCACACTGTACCCCACAAATATGTAGTTATGCCAATTATAAACAAAAAATCATTTTTTAAATTATAAAATAAATAAAAGAGACTACTTGCACAGTATTTTCTGTTAACTGTGTTTTTCCCCATTTTTATCAAACTTTTGTTATTTCATTTCCTATAATTTTTAAGAAGTTCTTTATTAGGAAGATTAGTCATTCATCTTTGTTATATCTGCAAGTATTTTCTCCAAATTTTAATTTGATTTTGAATTGTGTATCATGTTTTTATGTAAGAAATTTTATTTTATGCAAAATTTATAAATTTCTTTACTTAATTGCATCTTGATTTTAAATAATAATAAAAAGGCTTTACCCATATAGGGGTCATACAGGAATTCATCCATGGTTTTTTTTTTTGTTTTTTTGTTTTTTTTCAGACAGTATCTTGTTCCTGTTATGCAGACTAGAGTGCAGTGATGTGATAGTGGCTCACTGCAGCCTAGCTTTCCAGGTTCAAGCGATCCTTCCACCTCAGCCGCCCGAGCAACTGGGACTACAGGTGCACACCACCATGCCTGGCTAATTTTTTTATATTTTTAGTAGAGATAGGGTTTTGCCATGTTGCCCAGGTTGGTCTCGAATTCCTGGGCTCAAGCGATCTGCCCGCATTGGCCTCTCAAAGTGCTGGGATTACAGGCATGAGCCACTGCTGCTGGCCTATGTTTTCTTTTAGTACCTGTATGTTCCTCTTTTTGTTTTATGCTTAGATCTTTGACCCATTTCAAGTTTATTCTGGTACATGGTATGAGGTATGGATTCAACTTCATCATTTTGCAAATAGGTATTGTGTTTTCCCAACATAACTTATTAAAAAGGTCATTTTTAGAGATTAGAGATATTCCAATGATTAGAGATACCACTTTTTCAGATATTACATTTCCATATACATGTGAGTTTATTTTTTGATTTTTTTATTTCATTCTTTGGTTCACCTGTCTGTGTGCCAGTTCTGCACTGTTTCAAATATAGGAGCTTTATAGTTGTTTTTTTTTTTTAACATCTGGCAGAGTTAACCTTCCCTTACTGCTATCTCTTTTAGTATTTTCCCAGCTATTATCAGATGTTTATTTTTCCATGTGAACTTTACAGCCAACTTGTTTACGTCCAGGAAGAATAAAATTTAATGTATTTATTAGGAAATTATCACATTTATATATTAATTTGCTCACCTCTATTTTTGTGTCTTTTGTGAAAAGTGCTTTAAAGTTTTCCTCATACAGAGCTGGCACATTTCATGACGTGAAATTTTATCATATTATTCCTTTTAATTCCTTTTGTTTTGTACCCATGAAAGCTAATACTTTTTATATATTTATTTTATATTTTAATATTCCACTGAAATTTTTTATGGTTTGTGTTGGCTTCTTTATTGAGTCTCTAAGATTTTTTAGATATTATGTTATCAGTCAATACAGACAATTTTATTTCTTTCCAGATTTCTTTAGTACATTTGCTCTTGTTTGATCTCATTGGCTGATACATCCAACACAATATTAAATGATAGTAAGATACTGGCCATTCTTGCCTTGTTCCCAATCTTAATGTGAATACTTTGTGTTTCTTCACTGATACTGGTATTTGGAGACACACATACACAGATATAGATATGTACACATACACGCATATTTGTACAGATGCTACACATATACACACAGGTCTATACATGAGAGAGAGAGATGGTTATATTAAGCAAGGATTCATTAATTCCTATTTTGTTGATTTTGGTTTTAAATCAGGAACGGGTGGTAAATTTCATTAAATGCATTTTTTTCTTTGGAGATAATATGACTTTTTTCCTTAGATTTACAACTATAGTAAATTATACTGGTGGATTTCCTGTTACTGAAACATCCTTGCATTTCCGAAATAAATCTTTCTTAGTCATAAGATGTTTTATGATGTGGTGTTAGATTTTATTTATTATTTTTACAATTACATCTATATATGAGACCAGGTTAATGCTTTCTTTTTTGTGTTCTCTTTATAATATTTGGAATCGATGCCATTCTTATTTCGTGAGAATACTTTGGAAGCTTTTGGGTTTTTTTTTGTATTTCTATGCTGTGAAACAATTTTTGTACATTTGGGATGATCAAGTCTCTGAAGGTTTGGTAGTATTTATGCATGAGACTATCTGAAGAAGTGTTGTTTGGTGAGGTGGTTCTTTGATAACTATCTCTGTGGAAACCAGTTTAAGTCTTTTATCTCTTAAGCCCAATTTTGATAAATCATATTATCCTAAGAAATTACCCATTTCAGTTAGATTTTAAAGTTTATTTGCATAGAGTAGTATAAAGTGGCCTTAATGATTTTTAAATTTTCATTATTCCTTGGTGTTTATCCATTGCCATCTCTTGTTTTGTACATTTGTAACTTTCCCCACAAATATATACATTTTCCCCTTAGTTTTGATAATCATTTGTCTAATTGATGACCTATATTTTTAAGAACTGGCTTTTCACTTATTTCTTAATTCTACTGTTCTATTTTCTGCCACATTCATTCCTGCTCTTATAGTTATTATTTTCTCCCTTCTGCTTTCTTTTGATTTATTCCCAACTTCCTTACGGAGTGTTTTTGGATTGGAAATTTTTTCATTTATTTATAAATTTTTTTACTGGCATAAGTATTGGAGGCTCTAAACTCTTCCTTAATCACTACTTCAGTTATATTAACAGATTCAGATATATAGTGTTTTTAACATCATTATTTTGTAAAAATCCTGAAATTTTGGTTTATAATTATTATTTCAAGAATAGTTTAATAGTGAGTTTTATATTTAAATTTCCAAGTGGGGCATTTTTGTTATTTCTTGTTCTATGAATTGTAAGCAGAAAATATTATATTTTTGCATTTTTCCACTTTATTTCTCAGAATGTCATGACCTAACATATAACCTAATACATGATTATTTTTGTGAATGTCCTATGTATATTCTCTATTATTGTGGTGCAAACTTTGATATACAAAAAAATCCACCTTGTTATATAGAACTTTTATATCTTATTTTTTATCTGTTTGACTTGTTTGTGTGTGAGAGTGGAAAATCTCCTGTCATTCATATTTCTACTTCTTGCATCTCTCTGAATTTCTGCTTTACAAAGTGGCTTACTTTTTGATAGATATTAATTACTAAGGGCCTTCATTGTGTATCGTGGCCTTTAGCATTATAAAGCATCCTTCTTTGTTTCATTTGGGCCCTGAATTCTATGCTGACTAATATCAAGATGGCAATTGCTGATTCCCTATGGCTTGGAATTGCCTAGTATACTTCTAGTTATTTATTTTTAGCCTTTGGAATCACTTTTAGGCATATATTGTATACAACATTGAGTTGAGTTTTGCACTGTGAGCTAATATGAAAATCTTTTTTTCCTCTATAATTTGTGAGTTTAATTCATTTACATTTATGGGGATAGCTTATATGTTTTGTCTCAACTTTGTGATATTATTTTATGCTATACTTATTGGTAATTTGATGATTTACTATATTTCTTTCTCCATATAATCAGCTTTCTCTTTTCTTTCACTTCTTTTGTTATTTAAGAAAGTTTCCTTTTTTTCAGTATTTTTCTTTGCACTAATGCCTTTTATAATGGCCTTATGCACCTGGCCAATTCTTTAAAAAAGTAATGCTATAAGTATTATTCTTTCCAGTTACATTTCCTCAGACTAACATGAGTCAGATGGGCTCACTCTCCTGTTGCATTTGGTACCTGAACCATAGATGGGCTACTGTTTAAAATACTGACTCCCTCTATTTAAAATTATTGTACCTTTAAGACTCAAATTGCATGCAAATTGGTCCTTCAGTTGAATGCTCTCAGTTCGGTCGCTTTGACAACTTCTCATAAATGTTGAGACACTGAGCACCTACCTTGTACCTTGGTAGCTACTCAAAAGAGAATTTTCTATCTTCCTATTAGTTGTAGGTAATGCCAATGTGGAGGCTGAAATGCTAAGCAGTGAATTATAATTAACACTTCAGCCAGGGGTTGGAATAATTTCCCATGTTCCAGATAACCAGACTTATTTAAAGTCATGGAACTCTGATGGAATAAATGGTTTGGACAAGATAAAAATCAGTCTACATTGATCTAAGAATGTGCTATAAGCAAGTAATGGCATAAACACATTTATTCAAGTGGTTGTAAACTGCTATACTTAGAAGACTTATTCTGTTTTGATGACATTTAAAGAGGGTTTCCCTTATCATTTCACTTTGAATTTTATTAATTGGGTTCTCTCACATTCATTCTGTGTTCTGAATTGATAATCCAAAACGTTCTTTTTTATAATAGGGTAAATGAAAATAAACTCAACGAACCAGAGTTCTTTAATAATTTTATTCATTAAAGATTTTGGATAGATTTTTGTTTTGAATGGAATATTCATGTGTCACACTGAGGATCAGGTATTGGGCAGTTCCCTTGACAGGGTTTCCTTTAGCCTAATAATAATAATTCACAAGAGAGGTAAAAAAAATTCTAGGCCGGGCACGGTGGCTTACACCTGTAATCCCAGCACTTTGGGAGGCCGAGGGAGGCGGATCACGAGGTCAAGAGATTGAGGCCATCCTGTTCAACATGGTGAAACCCCATCTCTACTAAAAATACAAAAATTAGCTGGGTGTGGTGGTGCGTGCCTGTAGTCCCAGCTACTTGTGAGGCTGAGGCAGGAGAATCTCTTGAACCCAGGAGAGGAGACTCCCTCTCAAAAAAAAAAAAAAAAAATTCTGAAGATATTACCAAATGTGAATGTACTACAGATCTCATTGAAATCCTTTAAAAAGTTGTGATTATACATGTGTGGTGTGTGTGTGTGTGTGTGTGTGTATCTGTGTGTGTATAATGTAATGTTTTCCATTTTAACCATTTTTAAGTGTACAGTTTGCTGGCATTAAGTACATTGACATCATTGTGCAACCATCACAAAAATCCATCTCCAGAACTTTTTTCATCTCCCTAAGTAAAATCATGTATCCAACAGTAAGTCATCATTCCTCCCTCCCTACTCCCAGACCCTGGCAACCACCATCTTACTTTCTGTCAAATTTGATGATTCTCATATAAGTGGAACCATATACAATTTGTCCTTTTATGACTGACTTAATTTACTTAACATAACATCTTCGAGATCCATCCATGTTATAACATATGTCAGAATTTCCTTCCTTTTTAAAGCTGAATGATATGCCATTATGTGTATATTCCACATTTTGTTTATCCATTTATCTGCCCATGGACACTTGGGTTGATTCCATCTTTTGGCTATTGTGAATAATATTGCTATGAAGATTATGATACAATTTTTTTTTCCTGTTTTCAATTCTTTTTGGTATATACCCAGACGTGGAATTGGTAATTCTATTTTTAATTTTTTGAGGAACACGTTCTGTTTTCTACAGTGGTTACATCATTTTATATTTCCACCAACAGTGTACAAGTGTTCCAATTTATCTACATATTCACCAACACTTGTTATTTTCTGTTTTTATTTTTTAAATAGACATCTAATATGTAGAAAGTGGTATCTCACTGCAGAACATGACTTTTTGTGCTTGTATTTATACTACAAAGTTATAAATGTAAGATTCAGATTTAACCACTTGAGCATTGTGCTATGTGCCAGATATGTCTATATACTGTTAAAAATATTTTCACATTTACTGCACATAAGAAGCTCAGCTAATCTACTTCTCACATAAATTCATCAGAGAGACTTTCCAAAATGTTCCCAAGAAGACATGTATAGGACAACCATGATATATTTCTGCTTTGCTCAGTTTTCTTATCTCTTTGGAGAAAGATTAACCTTTTAAATAAAAGAGGGCAAGAAAGGAGAGAAAAAAGGAACTTAAAAGATATAGAATGAACAGAAAACAAATAGTATGGTGGCCTATTTGAACCAAAATATACAAATAATTACATAAAATATAAATGGACAAAAATTAAAAGACCAATATTGGCATGATGGATGGTAAAAACAAATAAGAAAACAACTAAAAATTCCCCACAAAACTAAAAAATGACTATATGCTGATTACAAGAAATGCACAGTAAATATAAGGATGTAAAATGTTTAAAATAGAAAGATGGAAAATATATTCCATACAAATATGACACAAAGAAAGACAGGCTAATATCAGACAAAATAGGATTTAAGGCAAGAAACATTGTTACAAATAAGGTTATTTAATGACAACAAAAGGCCAATTCACATAAGAAAATTAATGTGCATATACTTAATTATATAATCTTAAAATTTATAAAGCAAAAATTGATAGACCCAATAAAAGATAGAAATTCCATAATAATCATCAAAATACATAACACACCTTTCTCGAAACTGATAGAATACGCAGGAAAAATGTCACAAAAAACATAAAAAATAAGCAACAGATTTGACCTAACTGACATACATAGAACTCTATACCCAACAATGGTTGCATATATGTTCTTTCCAAGTAAAAAATAATACTTGCCAAAATATTTCATATTCTGGGCCATGAAACAAACCTAAATAAAATTTTCAACATAAAATCATGTAAATGTTATGATCACAGAGTAACTAGCAAGGACTTCAAATAACAAAAAGATAACTGAATGATCCCCCGCTGTTTAAGATCTGAAAAATACATTTCTAAATAACCCATTGTTCAAATATAAAATCAAAATGGAAGTTAAAAAGTGTTTCAGAATGAATTGTAATGAAAATATGACACGTTATAACTTGAAGAATATCTCTAAAGCTGTACTTCCAGAGAAAATTTATAGCTTTGGTTGAATATATTAGAAAAGCAAAAAAAATGCCTGGAAATCAATACTCCAAGGTCTATCTCAAGAAGCTAGGGGAAAAAAAGTTAAATCAAAATAAAAAAGAAAAAAGGAAATAATGAAGATAAAAGTAAAGATTAATGAAATAAACAAATAGACACAATAGAATGAAAGAAGCAAAAGGTGGTTTTTAGAAAAGACAAATGAAACTGATAAAATCCTAGCAGGACTGATTAGAAAAACAGAAAAGTTGCAAAAAACCAATCTTGTAAATGTAAAAATGGTCATCGTCATATAGCCAGCAGACATTAAAAATAGATTTTATAATTATTTGTATGCCAATAACTTAAAAACTCAGATGCAAAGGGAAAATCCTTAGAAAAATAAGACTCAATGAAGCTAACAAAATAAAAAACAGTAAAGTATGAAAATCCTATACCTTTTTAAGAAATTTCATCCATAATTTAAAATGTGATAAAGAAAACTCTAGGCCTAGATAGAATTTCTTCCACATATTTAAGGAAAATATAATACCAAACTTAACCAAATACTTCAGAGGACAGAAAAAGGGAGAATATTTCCCAAGTCACGATGAAGCCAACAAACCTTGATACTAAATCCTGACAAGAACTTTATGAGAAGATAAATCACAAGCCAATATCTTAAAATCTTAGGTAAAATATCCTAAACAAAATGTAAGTAAATAAAACTCAGTGATATATAAAAAGAACAGTACATTATAACCAAGTCAGGTTCATTTCAGGAGTGTAAGAATGGTTTAATATTCAAAATTATATTAATTCACCACATTAACTAAAATAAAAAGATGAGGATGATAATATTAATATGCTTATGTCAAAAATGCATATAAACAACTAAGAATAAGAGAAAATTTCTTTCAAATGATAAAGTTTATCTACAAAACAAACAAACAACTAAACCCTACAGCAAATATGATCTTTAATAGTAAATATTAAAAGCTTTCCTCTGGAGACCTGGAAAAAGATAGAGATGCTTGTTATCACCACTTTTGTTCAATATTTATTGGAGGTCCTGGTCAGTGCAATAAAATAATAAAATTAAAAGAATATTGGAAAGGAACTAATAAATCTGTTATATGACTAAATATAGAAAAGAATTGTAGCAGTACAAAAAGACTCCAAATAAATTATAAAAATTAATACATGAATCTGCTAAGGTCATTATCTAAAAGGTCAATATATAAAAATCACTTTATTTCTGTATATCATCAATTACTGAGTAAAATTTTTTAAAGTTCCTGTTTGCATCAAAAATCTTTAAATGCCTAATAAAAATTTTAACAAAAGCCATGGAAGTACCCAGAAAAATACAAAAATATTGACAGGAGATTTTTAAAGACTTAAATAATTGGGGGGAATATATACTAGATTCATGGATTGGAATATTGATATTGTAATGATGCCAAATCTCTGCAAATTGACCTATAGATTCAATGCAATCAGAATCCCATTCCCAAGAGGATTTTTACAAATTGGCAATCTGATTCTAGAATTTAAATGAAAATTTAAAGGCCCACAAATAGCCAAAACAATGATAAACTAGAATGCTTACACAACCACATTTCAAGCATTCATATAAAGCTAGAGTGTGTCAGTGCAAATAGAACAAGGCAACAGAATAGAGGGTTCAGAAATAGACCCACTCATATATGGAAATTTGCTTTATGACTAAAGTTTCACTGTAGAACTGTAGGGAAGGGATAGTCTTTTAAAGAAATGGAACCAAATTGGTTGGATACTCACATGGGAAAAATATATTTTGACTACTACTTCACACTATACATAATTTATTTCAGTTGGTCTTTGATCTAAATATAAAAGGCAAAACAACTAAGCTTCTAGGTGAAAAATTAGACAATATTTCTATAATCTTGGGAGAGTAAGATATGTTTTAAATGGGGGTGAAAAAAAAAACCAAGCCAAAACAGAAAAGTTGATACACTGGACAACATTAAAAATGTCTGCCTGTAATCCCAGCACTTTGGGAGGCTGAGGTGGGAGGATCACTTGAGCCCAGAAGTTCAAGATTAGCCTGGGCAAGAAAATGAGACCCTGTCTCTACAAAAAATAAAAATAAAATCAAATAAAATTAACCATGCATGGTGGTGCACACCTGTGGTCCCAGCTATACAAGAAGCTGGGCAGAAGATCACTTGAGCCCAGGAGATTGAGGCTATGCTGAACCATGTCTGTGCCACTGCACTCAGCCTAGGTGACAGAGCAAGACCCCGTCTTGAAAAAAAAAAAAAAAATTCTGCTCACCTAGACAGTTTTAAGAAAATAGAAACACTAAAAATGGGATGATTTATTTGCAAAACACATAAGCAGTAAATGGATTTACATCCAGAATATACAAAGAACTAGCTGGAAAACATATGAAAATGTATTCAATCTCATTAGTCATCAGGAAAATGCAAATTAAACCCACAATGAGATAAAAACATCTACTCTCAAACTGGCTAAAATTAAAACAACTGCCTAGACCAAGTTTTGGTGAGTTAATTGATCAAGTAGAATTCTCATACACTTTGGTGAGACTATAGAACAGGAAAACTTAGGAATACTGTTCAACAATATCTACTAAACTTGAAAATTCTCATAGTCTACAGTAATTTGCACAGTAATTGCACTTCTAGCATATGCCCAATGGGAAGTTTATATCTATGTACTCAAATAGAGGTATAAGAATGTTTATAGCAATATATTCACAATAAGCTAACTAACTGGTTAAATACACCCAAATGGCCATCAGAGTTTGAATAAAACATTGTGCTATTTTAATACAAGAGGCTACTTTGCAACAAAAAAAAGAAAGAATTACTGCTGAATGCAACTATATGAATGTCTTTCACTAACCTAATGTTAAGTAAAAGAATCCAGACCAAAAGACTAATATTGTATCTCTCAATTTATATAAAGTTCATAGCCAGGTAAAACAAATATGTAGTGTTTGAAGTCAGAATAATGGTGACCTTTGGGAAAGAACAAGTGGTGACTGAGGTAGTACATATGAGATTTTGGGAGGTGCTGGTATTGTTTTATTTATGGTGAAAACTTATTAAGCTATGCAGATATAATTTGTGCTTTTTAAGTATGCATGTGCTTCACTAAAAAAATTCCGAAAATATTGACAATTTATAACTCAATAAAAAGTGTGTTAACTCAAGTGTGAAGTAATCTGAAATGTGACATAATTTTGAGCAATTCATGGGGATAATCGATTTTAACTTGGTATTAGGAACCTTTGTATTGAAATAGACAAGGGGTTGTTACTTAGCACGCTAGGGAAATGGGTAATGAGATCTTTTTCAATTTTAAAAATCTAGTAATGTCTATTGACCTTCAACTTTTAAAATCAAACTATAAATAAACAAGACAATTATCATTACAAAACAATGTAAATGTTGAAAAGTTTCACCAGGTATAAGACGAAATATTTGAGGTCAGATTTGGGGAAGCAGTAATGTCATACAAAGTCGGGAGATCAAGAGATGAAGCTTCCAGGATTCCTTGAAGGTGCACAGGTGATCAGTGAACAAACTGGAAATCACAGTTTAACCAGAGGGGAAGGAAGAAGAAGGAATAGAGATGAACTGATTTCAGTAAGACCTTATATATCACAGCAGAAGGTAAATGCATAATATTCAAAGTTGATAAACCAAGAGGTAGCAATATATCATTGAGAGATAAATAGGCAAAAAACAAAAGAAGCTAAAATGCAAACAAGTAAAAGGTGTTGCTTACAGGAGGTTGGAATGAAGATGGTGACTGGGGCCAAGGCTGTTGCTTTTTATTATAAATTAAAAATCTATAGGATAGAAAGGCACAGGTTTCAAAGCAGCTAAAGCAAACTTGAAAAAGATTTAAGTGGGAGGATTCATTCTACCTGGTAGCAAGTCTTACAATATAGCTACATTAATCAGGAAAATATGATGTCAGCAGAGATTGATACACACATGGATTAATGGAACAGAATAAAGAACCCACAAATAGACCTACACAAATATGTCTAACCAATTTTTGACAAAGGTGCAAAAGCAATTCATTGGAGGAGTGGATAGCTTTTTCATGAAATGATGCTAGAGTAATAGGACATCCATAAGAAAATAAATACATGAACTTCAACCTAAACCTCATGTGTCATACAAAAAAATAATTTAAAATAGATCACAGCTGGTCATGGTGGCTCACACCTGCAATCCTAGCACTTTGGGAGGCTGAGGTGGAAGGATAACTTGAGGCTAGGAGTTAGAGACCAGCTTGGGAAACACAGCAAGACTCTATCTCTATAAAAACAATTTTAAAAAATAGCCAGGTATGGTGGCCACTACCTATAGTCCCAGCTACTCAGGAGACAGAGGTGGGAGGATATTTTGAGCGTAGGAGTTTAAGGCTACAGTGAGTCATGATGTCACCATTGCACGCCAGCCTGTGTGACAGAGCAAGACTCTGTCTCAAAATAAACAAAATAAAATAATATGGTACAGCATAATAAAATAAAATAAAAATGGTGCAGCAAACTACCATGGCACATGTACACCTATGTAACATACCTGTACGTTCTGCACATGTATCCCAGAACTTAAAGTATAATAAAAAAATAAATAAAATAAAATGGATTACAGATATATATGTAAAATTTAAAACTATAAAAGTTTTAGGGAAAAATGAGAGAAATCTTTGAGGTCTTGGGCTAGGCAATGAATTCTAGCCTTGAAACCAAAAGCAGAACCCATAAAAGAAAAATTTGATCAATTGAATCTTATCAAAATTAAACATTTTTCTTCTTTAAAAAAACCCTGTGAAGAAGCTATAAAGCAGACTTGGTAAAAATATTTGCACACCTCATATCTGACAAATAACTGTTACTGAGAATACATAAAGAACTCTCAAAACCCCCAAGTAAAAAAATAAACAATTCAATTAGAAAATCTGCAAAGACACAGACATTTTACTAAAGAAGAAATAGAGGTGGCAGATAAGCACATGAAAAGATGTTCAAACGTAATTCGCCATCAGGGAAATGCAAATTAAAACCACAATGAGCTGTCACTACACATCTGTCAGGATGGTGAAAATAAATAATAGCAATAATACTAAATGCTAGTAAGGATGGAGAAAAACCGGGATTCATTGCAGATGGGAATATAAAAGTGCATAGTTACTCTGGAAAATAGTTTGTCAATGTCTCATAGAACTAAACATCAGCTATTATATAGACTAACAATTGCATTACTAGGTCCTTATCCTAGAGAAATGAAAATAAGTTCACCCAAAAAAACCTGTGCATGAGTATTCACGGCAACTTTATTCATAAGAGCCCCAAAGTGGAAACAACCCAGATGTCCTTCAACAGGTGGCATGTTAAGCCAACTGTGGAATACTACTTAGCAGTGAAAAAGAAACAAATTTTTGATGTATGCAACAACTTGGAAATGTCTCCAGGGGATGATGCTGAGTAAAAAAAAAAAAAAAAGTCAAACTCAAAAGATTACATTCTGTATGAGTTCATTTATATTAAACATTTGGAAAGACAAAACTTTAGAAATGGAGAACAGATTAGTGGCCACTAGGCCTTAGGGGTAGGGAAGGGAAGATGCAGGAGGGAGAGAAGGCGTAGTTATAAAAAGCGTGACCCAAAAGGTCCTTGTGGGGATGGAACTCCTCTGCTTCTTGACTGCGGTGTGGTTACATGAACATACACATGATAAAATTGTATAAAACTAAATACACACACAAATGAATGTAAGTGAAACTTGGGAAATATGAATGAGAGTGGTGGATTGTACAATGTCAATGTCCTGGTTGTGAAATTATACTATGATTTTGCAAGATGCAAAATGTATCATTGGGAGAAATCAGGGAAAGGATACACGAGATCTTTTCATATTATTTCTTACAATTGTATGTAAATGTAGAATTAGCTCAAAAATATTAAAAAACATATAAATAAAAACACAAAATACTTTCTCAATAAATTTGAGAGAAAAGATGTGTGTGCATATATACATGTGTATGTATATACACCTAGGCATACCCATTGGGACAGAGGGGCCAAGTATCAAGAACTGAGTCACTATCAGGATCTGGAAAAGAAATAATAAAGTAGATGCAAAGAATAAAGTAGATCAGAGAAGGAGAAGTAGTACTGGGTGAGGCAAAGGGAGATTTGAAGGAGGTGTTAACAAGCTTTTACTTAAGCAGGGATAAAAATCCAGGCTAGGTATATCATGATGTCTTCTTGAGCAGAATACATCACTACCCAAAATATGTGGTAGAGTATAATTCTTACGAGTGTGAGCTCTAAAACTGACTTGCTGAGATTCAACATCGACTCTGTTTACTCTTAGCAGTATTACTTTGGGCAAGTTATCGAAACTTCTCTATGCCTCAGGTCTTCCTAATACATGAATCACCTAGGGTTTTGTTAGGAGGGTTAAATAAGTTAATGCCTATAAAAAGCTTAGAAAAGTTCTTGGCATTCAGTCAGTCTTAGCCAACTGTATTATCTGCCAGCAGCTCATTTATCAGAGATGATAGCATAACGGTAAGTTTCCTACTTTTTCCTTGTTATTTATTGTGTTCTGATGCTTTGACTATCTGAAATCATCCCACAGTGTCTGGAGGACCTGATCCTCTGTATCTCTAATTTCTAAAGCTGTTTGAAAAAAAGGGAAGGAGCACAGTAGTGTGTAGGTGGCTGCTTACCCATCCAGATACACACAATGCTGCTTGGAGAGGGAAACTGGTTCACCAATACCTCTCACTGAACCCTGTCTCTTTGTAGCCTTGATTTACAACATACCATTGTAATGTGAATCTAACACAAGTTAGTAATGATTCTGTAGTTTCTTCACCCCCTTGGCAATGTATTTATTTCTTACCAAAGTAAAAATGTATCATAGGTAATGCAATACTCATTCCCCCAAATAGAAGCTATAATAATCACTTTCCAGCCTCCTTGATTAAATTTCATCTTATTTTGCAATTCCCTTTACTAATGAAGATTGACAGATAGTAATGATCTAGACAGATGTTGTCAGCTCTAAAACATCTACAGACTCGTTCTGCTTCTCCGAGTGGTGCAGAAGTAGCTAGCTACTGAAGTAGCCCTGAAGTCTATATAACAACAGCTGTGAAGAACTCCACTGTGCGACAGCCTGAGCTTCACTGGCAAGGAACACATGATTCATCGGAAAGAAGTAATTTTCTTAAACGTATGGGCATGAAATATGTAAGACTCATACTTCAGAATGAACTATAATATGATCTCTCCTAGGGAAAATACCATTTCTGTAATACCGTACATTTCTTATTAATAAAGACAAGCATTGATTTAGCAGCCATCACTGTTGGTACAATATACACAATATGTAGCGCGCAGAAACAAAAAGCCAGATGGAGGGCAGGTAACTCTGTTCTGGAATTTCAGCTTGCATCCAACAGAGAAAATGAGTTTGGGTTTTTTTCCTGCTTCTAAGATAGTAGAGAGCAGTCTTCAGCCTGGGCCCTGTTCCTAAGAGCCTGCTCCAAGATGTCCAACTAAACACAGCCAGGAGGAACATCTCCCACTGAGGGAACAGGACACCAGGAAGACTGGTGAACTCAGAGGAAAGGCATTGAGAGCAGATGAAGGGAAGACATAGATGCTGGGCTGAAGAGGGAGGCTGCCGGGAACTGAAACTCACTGCTGGTCCCCAGTGACTACTGCAGAAGGGGTGAGCTGAACAGGCAAGGAGCAACCTGCTCTTACCATGGGCCTCTGGAATCCCAGCAGGAGGAGACCTCTAATCTGCCATGGACACTTGTACTGGCAGGGAAAGTTGCCTAGAGAAGTAGTCGGGGCAGAACTGCAGCCAGTGCAGAGTCCAGAAGGTTTGGTGTGGGAGTATCTATAGTGGAGCATGGCCAGGAGTGCCCATTCCCTTAGGCACAACTTGCTCCCACAGAAGACTTTAGCCCTAGGGGATCTGTCAGTCCTGCACTCTGCAGGGCAGTCTTGCGCATCAGATGGGGCAGGTCTGACCTGAGCGCCCCTCCATCTGCTGGCCTCTCCCAGGGCCCCAGCCTGGCTGCACCTGCATGCAGTGCAGCCACCTGGTACCTCCTGGGGGCCCACATCATAGCTGCTGTGCTGGCAGACCATGCTTGACCAGCAGAGTGCTCCAGCAGAGCAGCCCCGATGAACACGCACCAGCCTGCCCATTCCCTCTGCTGCCTTTGCCTTCATGTACTCGCCCATGGCCACCACCCACATTGTTTTCCTGGCAGCCATGTTTGCAGAGGAACTCTTCCTTCCCTTCCCTGCCATCATGTGTGTGCGTGTGCACTCTGCCATGCCACTGCTGGGCGTAAATGAACCCCACCATTCCTCCTATCACCTCATAGCCATTGCCATGGGAGCACTGGTGGGCTCGAAGCCCACCAGCCCTGCCCACTCCAGTGCTCTGCCCCTGTGCTGACGCTGACACCGGTGCAAAGAAAACAGTGGACTCCCCTGCACCCTAAGCGGCCACCACTGCCAGTGTGAATGTGCACAGAGGGAGCACACAATCCTGTGCCCATCAGTGTCCCGCCATCATTCTAACACCACCACTGGCACCAACACACACACAGTCGCAGGTGGGGGACCCTGGCCCCCCAAGTTGTACTGCCACCACAGATGCTGCATGGTGGCTGGGGCTCTGGCACCTACAGCACCCTGCTGCTGCTGCTGAGCACGCACCCTGCTGCACTGCTGCTGCCACTGCTTGTGGCACATGCAAACAAGGATGAATCCTGCTGCCACCACCCTATGAAGTACTTTGTGGCTGCCACCACCCATCAAAGTGTTGTGACCAGCAGTCTGGGAGCACCTCAGCCCCTCCAGTGCAGAAGGTTCCTAACCTCAAGGAGCTAGATAACAAAGCCAGGGCCCAATATCAGTCCCCCAGAGTAAGAGCATACTGTCTAGGAGCCCTGAGCTGAGCCTTGACCCCCTCAAATCTTCCAGTAGTGAAGCTAGTCCACTGACCACCTTATACCATCATCAAACCCCCAAGGTCATGGACTAGGGTAAAAGAAAAATAAAATCCATCCAAAGGACAGCAACTTCAAAGAATGAAGGAACGTCTGCCTACAAAGATAAGAAAGAACCACCACAAGAACTTAAAAAGCCAGAGGGTCTTCTTTTCTCCAAACAAACACACTAGTTCCCCAGCAAGGGTTCTTAACTGGGCTGAGATGGATGAAATGACAGAAATAGAACTCAGAATATGGATAGGAATGAAGATAATTAAGATTCAGGAGAATACTGAAATCCAATGTAAGGAAGCTAAGAATCACAATAAAATGTTACAGGAGCTGACAGACAAAGTAGCCAGGATCAAAATCAACATAATCAACCTGACAGAGCTGAAAGACACTCTACAAGCATTTCATAATGCAATTGCAAGTATTAGCAGCAGAATAGACCAAGCTGAGGAAAAAATCTCAGAGCCTTGAAGACTAGCTTTTGGAAATAAGACAGTCAGACAAGAAGAAAGAAGAAAGAATGAAAAGAAATAAACAAAAACTCTGAGAAATATGGGATTATGTAAAGAGACCAAATCTATGAATCACTGGAATCCCTGAAAGAGATGGAGAGAATGGAAGCAACTTGGAAAACATATTTCAGGATTTCAGCCATGAAAACTTCCCCAACCTAGCTAGAGAGGCCAACATTCAAATTCAGGAAATGCAGAAAACTTCTGCAAAATATGTCACAAGAGGATCATCCCCAAGACATAATCAGCAGATTCTCCAAGGTAGAAAAGAAAGAAAAAATGTTAAAGGCAGCTAGAGAGAAAGAACAGGTCACCTACAAAGGGAAGTCTATTAGACTAGCAGCAGGCATCTTAGCAAAAACCATACAAGCCAGAAGAGACTGGGGGCCTATATTAAACGTTCTTAAAGAAAAGAAATTCCAACCAAGAATTTCATATTCTACCAAAGTAAGCTTTATAAGTGAAGGAGAGAAATAAGGTCCTTTTCAGACAAGCAAATGCTGAGGGAATTCCATACCACCAGACTTGCCGTATAAGAGCCCCTGAAAGAAGCAATAAATATGGAAAGAAAAGATTGTTACCAGCCACTACAAAAACGCACCTACACACATCAGTGATACTATAAAGCAACCACACAAACAAATTAGCATAACAAAGAGCTAACAGCATGCTGACATTATCAAATCCACATGTATCAATACTAACCTTGAATGCAAATGGACTAAATGCCCCAATTAAATGGCACAGAGCAGCAAGTTACATAAATAACCAAAACCTAGTGATATGCTATCTTCAAGAGACCCATCTTAAATGCAATGACACACATAGGCTCAAAATAAAGGGATCATGAAAAATCTACCAAATGAAAAAAAAAAAAAAGCAGGAATTACAATCCTTACTTCAGACAAAACAGACTTTAAACCAGCAAAGATCAAAAATGATTAAAAAGGGCATTCCATAAGGGTAAAGGGTTCAATTCAGCAAGAACTAACTATTCTAAATATATATGCACCCACCACATGAGCACCCAGATTCATAAAGCAAGTTCTTAGAGACCTTGAAAGAGAGACTTCAACACCCCACTGACAGTGTTAGACAGATCATTAAGGGAGAAAACTAACAAAAGTATTCAGGACCTGAGCTCAACACTAAACCAAATAGACCTGATAGACACCTACAGAACTCTCTATTACAAAACAACAGAATATACATTCTTTTCATTGCCACATGGCATGTATTCTAAAATTGACCACACAATTGGACACAAAACAATGCTCAGCAAATGTAAAAAATTGAAATTATACCAACCACTCTCAGACCACAGAACAAAAAAAAAAACTTTTTGGTTAATTATGAAATTAAGGCAGTAACCAAGAAGTCCTTTGAAATTAATGAGAACGAAGATACATCATACCAGAATCTCTGGGATATAGCTAAGAAATTAGTGTATTTTTATCACTATCCAAATTCACAGACCTAAACTTAATGCTTAAAATATTTGAGTGTCTGAGGATTCCAGATAAAGAACTCTTAACCTGTAATAAGACCAAAGTACTCACATGAAGAGAGAATAAAAGATAAAATACTAATAAAAATAAACTTAAATGGAGGAATTATTTAATATGCTCTGTGTATGCTTGGATTTCTAGTGCCAAAGATGTACCCAATTCAGTGTGGAGTAAAGGCTACATCTTGAAAGATGAACAAAAAATAAAATAACACCAAATTAAGATATAAATATTTTTCTCAATAAGAAGTCTGAGATTTATTTGTTCCAAATTTAAATGTTACATGAAATATGATACAGGAAAGGAAATACCATGATAATGTATAGACAATCTAAGCTTATGACAGAAAGAAGAAAATCAATAGATATTTCAGTACATATGTTCTTGAGAGTAGTCCTTCAGGCATTATAAAATCTTTATGAATCAACATTTATAATGATGTAATATGAGAGACCTTCAGCAAAAAACTGTATCAAGTTTTTTGGGTCCTTATATAGATATGTGCTCAAATGCCAATATTATAGATATTAATAACAAATAAACAGATAACTGGAATTTAGGAAAGAATATTTCACAGGAAAATTATAGGAGAATTAGGGCAATGACATTGCTTTGGTGGACTGCTCATATTTGAGTCAGGTACCAGTACACAGACTGACCCCTGAGCCAAAAGGAGCTACTCAAGGGGTCCAAGTACGTGAAATCACATATTGAGGATTTCTATAAAGACAAAATGTCAGATTCACATTCTCTTTCAACTGACTCATATACCTTTAAATAAAGTATAAGATCTCTAAGTATACACAGACAAATATTAATATATATTCATCGTGGTTATCTTAGGCTCAGGAAATATATTTCATTTCTTACTTTTGCTTATATTTTGTAAAGTTTGTTTAATAAACATATGCTACTTTTATAGTTAGAGAAAGTTGTTTAAATTATTTAAAAATATTTTGCCATTGCAAATTATTTCAATCCTAAATTTTAATGAAGTTTAAAGATTGCAGACCAGGCACTGTGGCTCACACCTGAAATCCCAGCACTTTCGTAGGCCGAGGTGGGCAGATCACTTGAGGTCAGGAGTTCAAGACCAGCCTGGCCAGCAAGGTGAAACCCCATCTCTACTGAAAATACAAAAATTAGCTAAGCATGGTGGCTGATGCCTGTAATTCTAGCTACTTGGGAGGCTGAGGCAGGAGAATCGCTTGAACCCGGGAGGCAGAGGTTGCAGTGAGCCAAGATCATGCCATTGCACTCCAGCCTGGGCAACAGAGTGAGAAGTGAGACCCCGTTCCAAAAAAAAAAAAAGATTGCAAAAATAACACCCAGGTATCCTTTGACTAATCAGATGCTAAATGACATTTTAAGAATATAAAATATTATTTTATATAGATAAGGTTATTAATTTGGGAATTTAGTGCAGCAATTATGCTAGCTTTGTCACAACAAATAAATGTATTAATCTGTAAAAGCAAATTTATGAATCCACACTTAGGATTTAGTCAATGATATTTGGCAGTTTTACCTGGGCTACAAAGACTAACTAAATTTAAAGCTATTTCTCCCAGAGCTTTTCATTTTAATTCTTGCATTTATTATGCTGATATTGACATGAGACATATGAATCAAAATTACTCAGGGTATTCATTGGTTATCAATAAAATTATTTGAGTCAAATGTTGAAATGTTGAACTTATGGGATTTGGGGGTTTATTTCAGCATTTCTGTATATTTTAGCCTTTTCTAGATAATATCTTGGGCTGCTACTGCTCCTCACTGCAGAATTAAAATGCTGCAACCACATTAAGTCACATGGTCTCACTAAATGTCTGAAAAATTAACATTTTTAATATTATAATTCTCACTTTAAAGATGAAAAAAACAAGATACTTAATGAGAGTTTAGGAAAGATGTTCATTCATTCTTTCAACTCACACATATACATTGAATGCCAAACAAATTATTAGGTGCTAGATATAGTCTGATGAGCAAGACCAACATGGTCTCTGCCCTTGCAGTGCTTAAAATTAGATTGCTATAGTAGTAAGACAGCAGAATTATGGTTAGCCTCATTTGAGTTTGAATATCGGTTCTACCTCATAATTCTCACTAAACTTTTCTAAGCATCAACTTCTTCATTTATAATAAGATAGTGACAACTCCTTGGTCAGGTTGCTATCGAGAATGGAGGCATTACAGATGAGATATATAGCATAGTAATCAGCATGCAGTGATACCTAAGAAAGCCAGATACCTGACATAAAGTAGATATTTAAGAAAGCATGCCCACTATTGCTATGTTTGTGTTTTCTGTTGGTAATATTTTTAGTAATATTAAAAAATATCATGCCAATTTATATTCCACTAAGACCACAGAATTTCCCACTTCTGAGATCATGGGAGATTTATACATTCCCTTTTTATATGTAAAAATCTCAACTTCAGGGTCAAGGCTGGAGCCATTGGGGTAATCCTACCCTAAATGTGTTTGGCCACTAATATTTTCACAGAATATATTTCATGAATCATAATTTGAAAGCCATTAAAATTTGACACTTCATACTTATTGTCCTAGAGGGAATAATACAATATTGGGACCCATCCAACATGTATTTACTAATATCTGGTTATATTTGCAAATATCAGGCTATAAATCCACCATTAAGGTTAATATATATATAATTATATATATATATTATATATATATATATTATATATATATAATTATATAATATATAATATATATATATAATATAAATATATATATATATATTATATATATTATATATATTATATTATATTATATATATATAATTATATAATATTATATATATTATATTATATATATTAACCTTAATGGTGGATTATATATACTATATATTATATAATATATTATATATACTATATATTATATAATATAATATATAATATATAGCAAGCTAATAGGACAAAAGAAAGAAGCAGAAACACTGCAGAAGTGAAGAGCAGAATAAGAGGCTAGTCATTCTAAATCTACATACATTTAATAACACTTTATTAACTAGAGATCACATAAAAGAGAGCATGATGAAAGATCTGGACCCACAGGTTAAAAAAGTGATTTCCTGAGTCCAATTAACCCACCTGAAAATGTATACATTTATTTTTTCTACCACTACACTGAGCTGTATGTGTCTATGTGTGTTTCAAATCTGTTTTATAACAGTTTTTCAGTGAGGATCCTTACTATTAGTTTTAGCATTTTACCAATGTATTTTGAGGTAGTGAGGTATTTCATTTCTTAATAAGCAAAGACATGCTGGATTAATCATTGAGTTTGCATTATAAAATTCCACTGGGAATAAACACACATCTAAGTTTTAAATTGTTTCAATAAGAACTTAATTGGGGAGGTTTGGAGATATATTTGTTGATTAGAGGTAGACAATTTCTAGTGTGTCAGAATATTGTCCTTTGGTATGTTATTTTGTGTAGTACATGGCTATGCATACCACCATGGGTTCTCAACAAATATTCATTAACTGAATTTCTAGAATCTGCAAGGAAGTAACCTTTCTGCCAGATGTATTTTATATATTTGGATTAAATGTCACCTTTCTTTTTGAATTACACTCTATTATTTCCTGGACTCCATTTAGCTACCTACCTATTCATCATAGCTCCATTTACCTTGATTAAAACTCCCTGCTTTACTTAGTGCCAATTATTGATTATAAGCAGAGTTAAGTAATCAGATTCTATTTCCATCTGACTCTTTTGGCACCTATCTGATAGTTCACTGAGAAGTCATCTCTCCATCTTAAGTGGGCTGGGGCTTGTAGCCCTTGAAGCAAGAGGAAATGTGGTATTTAAAAAGAAAGGGTCCTAGATGGTTGGGGCTTGTAGCCCTTAAAGCAAAAGGAAATGTGGTACTTAGAGAGAAGTGGTCCTAGACTATCAGAAAGTCAAACAGCCAGACTAAAGCGTCCTAAGTAAGATACAAGTTGTACTGAGAGCAAGGTCCCTGGGACACGGCTGCTTTTAATATACACAAGCCAGCACAGTACTTCTTCACTTAATGTCATAGATAAGTTCTTGTAAACTTAGTTTAAGCAAGATGACATACATAAAAATCAATTTTACCACAGGCGAAGAGATAGAAATAAGAGTTAAGTTCCTATGGTATATTTCTGGTCACAAAAACATCACCAAACTTCTAAATAAAGACTCAAAACACTTCTAATAATAGACACTGAAATAAATTTGAACTATACATACATTTAAGATTAATAAAAACAAGTAAGAGTATTATTTACCCAAGTTTTGGTGAAAAAGTGAGTGATGATGATCACAGTGGCGATGGATTAAATAAAAGAATAAATGTTTGCAAAGTCAGAATTGCACCTTCTCCTACCATGCAGTTCAAAAACAAGAACCAATATGGCAGGCTTGCTGAGAGCTTTGGGGTTGCATGGTTTGTTGTACATTTCTATGATTATCATATACTTGATGAATTTTTATTTGATAATAATTTGCGTGCATTCATTTGTTCAGTTTCTAACTCACTTATTCCAGCTCAGGGTCACGGGTGGCCAGAACCTGTCCCAGCAGCTCAGGGCACAAGTCAGAAACCCACAGTAGTCAGGCTGCCATCCCATCACAGGGCACATTCACATACACCGACACTCACTCACACTGGGACTGTGTAGACATGCTAATGAAACTAACACGCACATCTTAGGGATGTGGGAAGAAACTGGAGTACTCAGAGAAAACCCATGCAGACATGGAGAGAATGTGCAAACTCCACATAGACAGTGGCCCCAGCTGGGAATCAGTTTCCTTTTCTTGTCAATGTTACAACAAATCGACATGGAACAAAACAATGTTATTTGAAGACCTACTGTACTTCGAAGCCGCAATCTCTGACTGCCATGATAGCCTCATCTCAGCTCTGCTTGGCATAGTAGAGATCCAGGCAGTACTGAACTTGGTCAGGAAGTCTGGGTCATTGGCTAAATGACAGAAGGATTGGTGGGGAGTTCACATTTATTGATAATATTTATTAACTGAATATGTTTCTTTAAATTGAGCTTATTCCCAAGAAGAGGTAAATCTTACTGTTCTATTGAGTTGACTGAAACATGGGAAAAAAGAGAGGTGAATATTTCATTCATACAATTTTAGGTGATCCTATACTGGGTTTGGGGTCACTTCTATGTGTGATATATAGGATTCAATATCTGAGATGTTAGAGGCATCCCATACCTCTAATATCTAGGGTGTAAGGGTGGGGTGTGCAGCAGTTAAATGATATACTTGGGGGTGGAGGTGGGCAGTGGTTTCCTTGAGCTGGCTCGATTCAGTTTGACAGCTGACTCTGTGCATTTCTTCCCAATTCTGTGCTCAGTAACATCATCTCGGTAGCTTGAAATCAGTCATGGTGGGAGTATTTACATCATGGAAATCAACAATGCTACCAATTGGGGTCTTTACTATTTTTTTTTTTTTAGAGAGAGATGTTGGGTTGTTGAATGCTGTTGGGTTGTTGAATGCTTATCAACACATCATTCAGTGTGATGTATATATGTATGTCCATATATATGTATATATGTATACATTCTAGAAATTTTATTTCTGAAAAATTCAAAATAACTTTAAATTTTGTTCTACCTCACACGTGCATTTAAAAAATGGTCAAAATATATAATTTTTTTTTGCTACAAAATATCTTAACACTGTTTCCTCGAGCTTATTCCTTGTTTACAGCGGCAATTTGTAACTAATCCCATCCTGTTGGAAATTCCAGCCCAATTCTTTCCTTTAGCAGGCCAACTCTTTTGTTGTAGTTAATCAGAATTATTCCAAAAGCTTTCTTCCCTAAATTCATTGCTTTTTCGTAATTAGTAAAAACATGATTGACAACCATTCAGCCAACTGCACTCATCAAGTAACCAGCAATTTATAGAGTTTAGATTGTTAAAAAAGAGAAAGATGAAACTACCAGGAAGACCAATGGATGCAAACTTTACAATCTTCCCAGAAATTCTCCTAATAACAACAACTCCCACAATCTAGAAGCTACTTTTAGAGACTTAACATATGTTAAGAAGAGGCACTAGAAGGCATAAATTTAGTCATTCATATATTGTATAAAAACACAATTAATGTACTCTTTGGCAATGTGCGGCAGCTCATGCCTGTAATCCCAGCACTTCTGGGAGGCCAAGGCAGGCAGATCACTTGAGGCCAGGAGTTTGAGACCTACCTGGCCAACATGGCAAAACCCTGTCTCTGCTAAAAATACAAAAATTAGCCAGGCTTGATAGCACATGCCTGTAATCCCAGCTACTCAGGAGGCTGAGGCATGAGAATCTCTTGAACCCGGGAGGCAGAGGTTGCAGTGAGCCGATATTGTGCCAATGCACTCCAGCCTGGGTGATAGAGCAGGACTGTCTCACAAAAATAAATAAATAAATAAAATAAAAAATAAAACAAAAAATGTACTCCTTTATCAAACTTTTACTGGGACTTGCTGTAGTAAGGACCTCTCAGAAAAATTTCACAGTTACTACCCTTGAAGAACTTATCATTCTAGTGAAGGCCATAAAATATATGGTACAAATTATTAAATAGAGACAAGTAGAGGATGTTATATAAAGAAATCTAGTGTAACTGAATTTACTGTACACCATATGAAACTCAACTTGGTGATGCAAACATAGGCTTTTTTTTTTTTTTTTTTTTAATTTTGGGATTTTTTTTTCAGTTGTAGTAAGAAAAGAAACATTATCATCAGCCCTAACTTTATGATCTGGAAATGGAAGATTACAGATTGGAGTTTTAAAGTCTCTATCTTCTAAGCATTTAAGAGATTTCTCCTTTGTCATGCTACATTTTGACAAGTATGGGCATTAATTTATTAACCCTCAATTGATTGGAAGAGTCAGCTAAATACAATACCTTATTCCCTCATGGAAACAGCAACCTGAAGTGTGACTGTAATTGCTTCTTATCCAGATGACAGAAAGCAATTTCAGTGACTGCTTTACTTAATTAGGATGCATGCAGCATGAACCTCCAGGTCACCTATGTCTGTAAATTCTGCCTCTTCAATTTTCTTGAGAAAGCACTCCAGCACCTTGACATGGTTTTTAGCAAGCACATATAAACTCAGCACAACCAAATTTCACTTATTTATGGATATATTATCTACACTGCCTTCTGGTTTTGCCACAGACCCCGGTTCATTTCATTACCCATTTTCGCTTTCTGGGCATTCACTGAAAAGTTAACAGTGAAAAAGCTTCATTACCCATTTGTTGGCACAATATTTTTGAAGGAATAGGGGAACCCATTGTATTTGTTTTGCATGAGGAGAACTCTTTGAAACAAAAGCTTTTGGCCTTTTGCCCAGATTAAGGGAAGATTTGAAAGACGGCCAAGTTTGCATTAGTCTGAAGTAGCTGCCTACCATCATGAAGCAATGTGCAACACAGAGTTGTGCAAAACGACAGCATGGAAAACCGGACAACTGCTTTGCACCTTTGGGATGTCAACTAGGTGGTTCAATGGAAGGTGCAGATCAAGAGACACATGTACTCAAATATGAGTAAAAACACATTTCAAAGACACAAATCAGAGATTTTTAAATTATGTGATATTTTGGACAACCCACTACAACATGATTGTAGGCATTTTTCAAGCATCTATGATGATACAAAGCTATTATTGAGATAATAAAATATACAAGAGATAGTTGCCACACTAAAACAGCTTATGACCAAGAACAGTGGCAACAGTAAAAGTAACAGTAGCAAAACTACAAAAAGCATCTCATATGAAGTGTGTGTACTATGTTATATAAAAATTCATTTATTTCCTTTTAGGGTTATTAATTGAGAATTAACTGTATCTTGATCATCCAGTCTTGATCTATTCTTATTATGATTATTTTCAACTTATAGCAGCGAGGAAAGTTTCAACATATGGGTGCTTAGGTATATAAGACCAGTCTACTTTAACCAATTAGTAATTAGTCCATACACCTCAGAGTTAAGTCTTGGTATCTCAGGAAATACTAAATTTAAAGTTTGAATATGTAACACAAATCCAACAGTTTGACTGGATTTAATTTTACTGGGTTACATCCAAGAGTTTCCTAAAACTCAGTAGGGTTACAAGTGCTCCATGAACATTTTTATGTAAATATGTGATATGTGTGCATATAATATATGGCTTCAAAAGGAAGACACTTATACGTGTGTGTGTGCACACATGCGTGTGCGCATCCTTTGCCCATCCATTCAGCACAGCTCCTCCAAAATTGAGTTACACGACTGCACTTCTTGCTTACTGCAGTCTTACCCATTGTAGCTGACTGTGTGACTGTGTGGTTCACTTCACTTCTTGGCTAACAGCCTGCAGAACATCGGCATGATGAAGAAGACATGCACAGAAACCACTCAATGAAATGTATCACAGCAGATGTAATCAGTAATATGCAAGAGCCTATGAGCTATATAATACCTGTCCATCTGCCATTCTTCCTGCCTGTCCACTCACAGTTCTATCAAGTATGGATGCCACAGATAAGAGTCCTAATCAAGAAAAACCTGGATAACATCAGTCTTAGAAAATGACATTTATGCATTCAAATAAGTGGCACAGCCATTGTTGCTGTGCAGTTCTTGCTGCTAAGGTTTTTATATACTTTTATTTTCTTCTTCAGTCAAAACACAGTAGTGCTTACTGATTACAAGGAAGCAGAGGTCTAAGTATTGATTTTAATGAACCTACTGAATTTTCAACAGTCTTAGCTTAGTAAGGTAAAAGATGGAGTGACAGAGTCTAAAGTGTTTTCAAACAAATTTGTTTTGTTCAGGCCATGGACTGCTTTGCACTTTAGAGAGTTGGAGAATAAGTGAAGAAGCGCATATTAGGCATTTGAGAACACTTCTCCACTAATGAATGTAGATCAGGAGCATGATAGAATTTGAAGAGATCTGAGATGCCTCTTGTCTTTAAGTTCAAACCTTAATTTTACTAGTAACGAAATAGAAGTCCAGACAGGAAAAATAACTTATTCAAGGCCATAGAAAATGTAAATGCAAGGGCTAAAATCATTTTTACTGGCCTTAGTTAGATCCAGTAATCGTTTTCATTATGATGTGCTTATTATATAACTTGGCTGAGAATGTTTTGTTTCTTCCCTCTCTTCCTTTCTCCCTCTCTTCTTTCCTGTCCACTTTTCTCTTTCTCCCTAACAATATCTTTCCCTATTTCTCTTCCTCTTCTTCCCTCTCTCCTTATCATCTTCCCTTTCTTCTTTCATTTTCCTCTTTTGCTTTCATTCACTCATTCATTCATATATTTAACAATTATTTACTGAGTACCTATTATGTGTCAGGCACAGTGTTAGAAGCCAGGGATACAGATGGAACCTGGCCTTATGGAACTTACAGTCCAATAGGGCACATGGACACTGAGCAGGTCAGGGAAAGCTTTCTGCAGAAGTCATATTTATAACTGAGATCTGAAGGATGGGTAGGAGATAGCTAGTTACAGAATGAGGAGTGGGGATCACATTCCAAGCAGAGGAAACAGTACCTGCTGATGTCCCACAGCAGAAAGATGCTCAGTCAGTTCTAAGGCTAGAAGAGGCAGAACTGACCCACGAGGCAGTGGTAAAACAGTATCACTATTTGACCCTGTCCTCAGTGCATTAATAAATCAGGAAGAAACATTCTAAAGTAAACTTAAAAAAACAAAAAACAAATAGAGGGAAATGTATCATGTATCTTGCTAAGACAATGTTACCATGACCCATGACCTTGCATATTAATCACCTTTTTACCCACCGATTCTGGCACTCTCATGGAAGCCAGTGTGGTCAGCGTGGTGTATGGACAATGGACTCTGAAATCAGACAAATCACGGAACTGAACCTTCCCTCTGAACTTTCTGGTGCTTCAGTCTTGAGCAAAGCTTTCTGTCTCTAAGCTTCAGCTTTCTCATGTGCAGAATCAAGAATTCAAAACTACTATACAGAAGGCTACACAGAACACATGTAAAGAACCCAATAGGATGCCAAGCACATTAAGTACTTAAATATCCAATAAGCAGGTTAAAAGGTCTATGACATTTAAGTTTTAAGTCATAGTATCAGTAGATGCTTTTTAATAGGAGCAATGGATTTTTCAGAAATATAAAATCTATACTCTGTACCTAGATACTGCCAGAGATGGAAAATGTACATTTTCAAGAGAACATATTGGGTATGGAAATGCCATATGTAACCTTCTCACAAAAGTAGAGAAGGCTAATAAGCCCTTGGGCCATCAACATGGTCAACTCAGTCTCAAGATTATTCTTACTAATGCAGATAGACATAAACAGGTCCCAATTCTCAGCATTAATGGATAGAACAGGACTCACAAACATTGGAAATAAAATGAAGGGCATTTAAC
The DNA here is from genome assembly GCF_000001405.40 of Homo sapiens. Taxonomy (NCBI): domain Eukaryota; kingdom Metazoa; phylum Chordata; class Mammalia; order Primates; family Hominidae; genus Homo; species Homo sapiens. The sequence continues at coordinate 71,039,725 of NC_000009.12, forward strand.
TTTTCTCTGTCTCAGTTGTGTCTTCTGTAAATGGAGGTAATACCTCACAGGGTGACTTTGGACTATAATTATCATTATACCCTGTATCATTATCATTATGTATCATTGTATGCTATAGTTATTAGTATTACATCCTGTATCTGGGCCATAATACATGCTCACCTTTTGTATTCATGGAATATGATGGTCACATTTTATAATATGGGTTCAAAATTATAATATTTGATAATTTCATTATAAGGGAAATAGTTTTTAAAAACTAAACTGTTTCCTTGTTCAATAAATTTCATAGATGTTATGAAAAATCAATTTTTTGTCATAATTTTTACATAATGGGAATGAGAGTTAGAGTCCCTATGCAGGGAAAAGAAAGCCTGCGGCTCTTTCAAACAAGGCTTTACTGGTTCCAAATCTGTTTTCAATCTTACACAAACAAGTTTATTGCTTGAGTGAAAGCAAAAACCAAAATCTCTTATGTCTTTAAGCAGAAAGAGCTCCTAGCAGCTAGAGCTGGAATTCTTTATAAAAATAGTTTATTGCAAAGCACATACTATTTCTCAATATTTTTAAAGGTAAATATTAGTGAATGAAGCTCTCTCTATAACAGAAGTTTTGAAATTCATAGCTGTTCATCAACGTGGTATTGCTTTCCATACTTTCTCAGCAGTGCCAGCCCCCAGGACATTAACAGTTACAGTGGGATGTCAGAGATATTTTCTCATGCTGTATATAAAACATTTTACTTTCAGAGTGGCATTTGGTAAACTAGACTAATTCACATAGAGTAGCATCTCTTTGAATAAACACTTTTAAAAAATTGCCTTTGATTAGAATTAAAAACATCAGCATTTGGCAACCATCATGGTTATAATTGATTCAGAAATAAACATCAATGGATGCCAAAACAAGAGGAATAGGATATTTACATCATTGCAAAATAAAGCAGAGAAGAACAGAAGACAAATCTAGCAAGCATCACCTCAACTTAGGGATGAAAACTGACATCAGCAGGAATGAGAAACAGACATCAGGTGTCTTCCGATACAAGCCACTGGGACACACACCATGGCACTTCTGGGGCAAAAATGCATCACCTGAATATAATCATGAGGAGGCATCAGACAAACTCAAATATTGACAGAGTTGACCAAAAAACTGTCCAGTACTCTTTAAAAGTGTCAAGGTCATGAAAGATAAGGGAAGACTAAGCACTTTCCTAGACTGAAGGAAACGGAGGGGACGTGACGACTGGAGGCAACATGGGACCTAGGAATTTCTTTTGCCAGAAAGACATTTTGGGATGATGGCAAAATCTGAATAGATTACATAATATTGTATTCATGTTAATTTCCTGAATTTGATCACTGTACTAGTGTTAGGAAAGAGAATATCCTTGCTTTGGGGAAAGTCAAAGTATTTTAGGGTAGAGGTATACTATGTCTGAAACTGTTCTTAAGCAGTACAGAAGGAAATTGGGTGTGCATGTATGATGTATGTGTAGAGAGAGAGAAGGAGAGAAAAGGGGGAAGTAAAAATGGAAACATGAAAAAATTTGGTGAATCCAAGTAAAGTATATGGTGATTCTTTATAATATTTTGCAAGTATTTGGGAATTCTGAAATGATGTCAAAACGTAAAAACTTAAAACAAGTATTTTTCCTTCAAACCATAATAACCCTCTCTGTCATGACATGGTTTCTTTCTGGTATTGGGTTTGATTATGATCAGCTTGGTGGAGAGGTACAACATATCAGTGATGGTGGAAAAGAAGAGTAAATATATATGCATAAGTATGTTTTTCTGACTAACTCCATTTGATGGTTTCTTGGCAATGTCCAAATCGATGCATAGAAAAAGGCTGTTATTTCCCACTCGACCCAGCTCAGAGAAAAGACCAGACTCAGGTACGAGCCATTCACAAAAAGGTTTAGTTGGCGACCTTAGGTTGGATGAGGGCCAACTGCTACTGTCTTTGATATCTATACTTCCAGGCAGCCTTTATTTTCCCAGTTTCTTCTCCTTTGTCCTTAATTCTCCTCTCTCCTCTGAATTAAGTCCCAAACCTGTTCAGGTAGGATTTAGCCAATCTAATCCCCTCTATATTCAAAACAGAACACTTTACCCTGGACAGGCCAGTCTCCTCGTTGCCCTCAAATGATACTCAATCCTGCCTCAATATTTTCTCTTATATTGTCCCCTCTGTATAAAGATAATTAAAAATAATAATAATAGCAGCTACTAATTATTGAATACCAATTTCATGTGAGGTACTGTCCTAGATGCTAATCAATACATACACACACACAGAACCTAATTTAATCCATCCATCTTCCATGCGAGAGACATTATTATTCCCAGTTTTGGAGCTCAGAAATCTGAGGATTAAAAGCTTAGACAACTTTATTTTTAGCAGCTGGCTTTGTCTGTTCCATAACCATTTCCTAAAGTATGTACCTTAGAATATTGAAGTTGTTATTTGAAAAAAAAAAGGTGAGGGAAAGGGCAATGGTCAAATATATTTGGGAAATGCTGCATTGAATTAATTTATCAACTGAGCCTCTGCTGTGCTAATTTGTGTTGCTTTTCTTCAATGTTTACATATTACACAGCATTTCCCACTTCATGTATATCATGCCATTCAACAACTGCTTTAAAAAATTATTTGTTGCTGTTTTACATCATTTTGTCTTGTCACCAAAATAGATGGCATTTACATGAAGAACGGAATGTATCTTGTATTTGTTTCCTTCCTATGTTAAGCACATAGTGGGTGTTCGATAAATGTCCCATAAGTGGCAGGAACACGCTAAGCTCCCTACACCATCTCTTTTCTTCTTACAACATTCTTTAGTAGTTCTCCTTGAATTTCCATGCCTCCAATTTCCTATGTCCAAGCTAATATTTACATGTAAAAGAAGTGACCTTTGGATGTTCTGAAGTTGACTTCTAATCAGCAGTAGAAGTTTCTGCCCTCTGACAGCATTTGATTACATTTGGGTAACTCTTCATTCTCTTTTTACCCAGGTAAGAGTCAATTTTTCAAACAGCAGAGTCCTTAAAAGGTTTTGAATAAGAAAGGAAAAACGTAATTTAAATAAGCATTCTATACCTGGCAGTTGGGAAGAATGAAAGGGCCATAAACAGTTCATCAGAAAGCACCATGGTGTGTTAAAGTATAGGTAATAAAATCACAGTATCATTTAAGAAAGCACTATAGAGACTTTGAAATGACTTTGCTAAACTGCAAGAGTTGCATTAATTCCTGTTTCTTGCGATTACACATGAGCATGACTGCATTTGGAGGAAAGCAGTCACACTATTTCTGCCAAGTCCTTGCAGATTTATGTGAAAATTGGAAATTTCTGTATCTTTGCAAAACTGATCGTGAGCTTTTAAGCGCCTAAATGTAAGAACGTACACATTTTTGCATTTTTGAGGCTAAAAGGCTGTCTGACATATTCTCTCTCAATTCCTTAGTAGCCATCTACTTTCCAGAGAGCTTCAAACCTTGCTATATTCCAACTCTGGTAGTTAGTGGGTGATTGATAAACAGCTGCTGTATTTTGGATATGAGGTTGAAATTGGGGGCAGTTTCTGGGAAGAAAAGATGGAGGAGCCTGGAAGAGTTTACCACATTTAAAGCTATATTTAAGAAGTCTCAGCTACCAGAGCAAGTAGCAAGAAATGACTAGTGATTATCTTTAATGTATAGAAAATCCCTGAGTACATAAAATATAAAAGCTACAGTTCTGGGTACAATAGGAAGGAAAACTAGGACCCAGAACTACAGCTTTTTCTCATCTTCTCTTCATAGGCAAGTATTTTGGACTTTCCTCCATTTGCTGCATAGACCTCTTGATTATCATGTATTCCTATATCCTCCCACATCTATTACAACCACCCATCATTCTATTGAAATGATTTCCAAAATTTGCGCCTGGACTAGCAACATCAGCATCAGCTGGGAATTTTTTAGAAGGAGAAATTTTCTGGCTTCACTGCAAATCTGTGAAATCAGAATCTTGGGGTGAGAGAATGGGGACTGACAAGCGAATCTATGTTTAACAAGCCCTTCTAGGAATTTCAGTGCAGTATACCATCTGAACACCTCTGCCCTCTTGGAACTACTCTCTCAAGGTTCAGTCATTACCTCTGATTCACAAAGTCTAGTAGTCTTTCCTTAGACCTGATCCTTTTTCATCTCTGCATCATGTCGCATCACTCCTTGAGACTTCCCCTGCTTATTTTCTATAATTTTGTACTACCCCAACTGATTCTCTTTTTATCTCACAATATTCCATTATCTTTTTCATGAACTCCCCTCCCATTTTCTAGGCTTTTCCATAATTAAATCTCACCTTTTTCCACTGTGTACTTTCTCTCATGAGCATCTGATTCATCTCTATGATCTTAATTATTAAGTTTAGTCACAAGACTTTTAAAATTTTATTTTTCATCCAAGCCCCTCTATTAATCTCCAAGTTTGTGTTTCCAATTGCTTGTACAGAAATGGCATCTCTATGTTCCATGGACTCTTAAAAGAAAAACATCAAAACCCAAACACCCGGTCCTCACCACCCCTAAGCAGCTGCTCCCATTTCTGTCACCAGACTCGCAGAGAAGAAAACCCAAAGACTCAGGCTCATCTTTGGTTTTCATTCACTCCATGATCAATTACTTGCCAAGTCTCATTGAGTCTGTTTATATTCTTTGCTTTTCCACCAATTTTCTTGTATGTTCAGCTTCCAGTCGTCTTTCACTTTAGTTCTTTCTAGTTATTTCTACTAAGTTAATATTCTGAGTATTAATACGATGTTTTTATTGTATCATTATGAAGACATTCAATTATTCAATATCTGCCACCATCTCCTACAAAAAGTCCTACTTCATTAGCTTGACATTTAAGATGATCTATTATCTATGATGTGACTCCAAACTTCCTTTCCAGCATTTTTTTTCGTTTTTTGAGACGGAGTCTCACTCTGTCACCCAGGCTGGAGTGCAGTGGCGCGGCCTCGGCTCACTGCAACCTCCGCCTCCCGGGTTCACGCCATTCTCCTGCCTCAGCCTCCCAAGTAGCTGGGACTACAGGCGCCAGCCACCACGCCCGGCTAATTTTTTATATTTTTAGTAGAGACGGGGTTTCACCATGTTAGCCAGGATGATCTCGATCTCCTGACCTCGTGATCCACCCGCCTCGGCCTCCCAAAGTGCTGGGATTACAACCATGAACCACAGCGCCCGGCCATTTCCAGACTTAACTGTTATTGCTCTCTGTTGTATTTTGGTCAATCCAGGAGACACTCCATCGAAGAGTCTCTAGGATTTATTATCACTTTTAATACTCCTGTAGTTTTATTTTTACTATTTATTATTATTATTATTATTTTGGAGATGGAGTCTCGCTCTGTCACCCAGGCTTGAGTGCAGTGGTGCGATCTCAGCTTACTGCAACCTCCACCTCCTGGGTCCAGGTGATTCTCCTGCCTCAGCCTCCCGAGTAGCTGGGACTACAGGGTTTTATTTTTTAAATGCTTTCACCCAATCTGGAATACCATCTCAATCCTCCTTCCATGTCACCTTCTTAGGTTGTCCCCATCTGAATATTATCTTTCCCTTATTTTCACCTCCTTAGTATTTTTCTTATGGCAGGCAACACATCACAAGTTATTACACTAAAATGATTTCTCGGCCACACTGTAAACTCCTGAAGACAGATACTGTGCTGGCCTCTAAGTTTTCTTTCTCACATGAGTACCCGGTGTACAATTCGTTATATCACAGATACTTAATAAATATTTGTGTACTGAATAAATTCTTCCTGCAGATTGCTTATGAGATGGTTGATGGGTCTCATTAAAGAAGCAGCAATGAGGATGAGGCAGGGGGACAGATGAGGCATAAAAAATGCAGACAAGAAATTTTTGACTGGGAGAAAGAAAGAATAGAGTTTTCCTAAAGGAGAGACTTGGGAAAGTAATGCAGATTTGTTTTCAAATTGTGAAGAGTTCTAAACACAGGCTAAGAGACTCAGAAGACTACTCAATCCGGTGCTTCCCACAGAGTTTAGCGTACTATGTAACATTAGTTCTGATGAAAATGTTCAGGTTCTAACCCATAAAATTGGGGATTCAATAGCCAAATAATTTTGGAAAATTAGGCAAACAAAAATAAATAGGATTATTTATTGTAACACCTCCTAGACCTTTCCATTTGCTAATGTTTGACTTTCCAGGAGTGTCTACAGCCAGTGGTATTGCCTACACTTTTTTTTTTTTTGAGATGGAGCCTCACTCTGTCACCCAGGCTGGAGTGCAGTGGCGCAATCTTGGCTCACGATCTTGGCTTGAATCCACCTCCCAGATTCAAGCAATTCTCTGCCTCAGCCTCCCGAGTAGCTGCAATTACAAGCGCCCCACGCCCGGCTAATTTTTTGTATTTTTAGTAGAGATGGGGTTTCACTATCCTGGTCAGGCTGGTCTTGAACTCCTAACCTCGTGATCCACCAGACTCGGCCTCCCAAAGTGCTGGGATTATAGGTGTGAACCACCGCGCCTGGCCTTTTCTACACTTTTATGACCACTAAACTCTTTTATCTCAGAGCATTCTGTGAGAATAACATTTCTAAGGAATTCATGCTGGGAAACATCGCATGAATAACTCTTCACAACTCAATATTTTGTGAACTTTTAAATAAGTAAAGGCAATTTTAATATTCAGTATCTTGTAAATGGAAGAAATAAATTAGCAGGCCCATAAAGTATCAAGGGAAAGGGCACTTCTATTTTAAGTATCTAAATATTGTTATCTGCTTCAGATAGCCCTCCAAAAGGATTTCCAGGTTATCAGCTATTTGTTGCCTGTCTCCGGATCTATCCTCCCCGACCTATCACCCACCCTCCTTCCCTATTGTCACTTATTGAGATATTTTTTTCCTGGAGGAATCTTCTTAACAATTAAAGGAAGGTAGGAAAAAAGAAATTAATTATACACACAAACCCTTGAGGCCCTTATAATTTAAAATGGATTTACTATGACTTGAAAGTGTTGTAAAAGCAACATACATATTGAATAGGTATTTGTATAGGAGAACAGAATGAAAAGCTGATCAGGAGGAAATGGAGTCTACCTGGTCTTTGGCCTTTCACAGTTGTGTTCCATTGTTTTTTTCTAAATGCCATAAAGTTCACTTAAGGAATGTTCAACGTAATAAGCACCAAATACCATATACCTGTTCCAGAGTTACACATATGCCAAAATAGTCTTACCTTTGTAATCCCTAAGAACTTGACCATTGAAATATCTTGAGGGAAAAACACAAGGTTTTCTTATAGTATTTTATAAAGATGAATTCCTCCAGATCATAAGGGAAATAAAAGAGTGTGTGTGTGTACATGTAAGTGTGTAGAAAATGAACTTAATGAAATGTTTTTCCAGTAGATGGAAAAGGTCCCAAATTAATCAGAGAAAGGAGTTCACATGTGAATATCTTCTTGCCCAATTTGGAATTATTACCACTAGAGATTATTAGGAATTACCATATTCTAAGTTTGTAGATGTATAATAAATAGAGTATAGTCATTAATATGGCTCTTCAATTTTTTAATATGATCCTACTTTTTCTAGATTTTCTTCTAAGCACTCATATCCTCTAGCCTGAATTTATCATCAGGTAAGAAAATTTTAATAATTTTTTTTCTGAAATTCTTATGAAGTATTTTACTTGAATGTCCCAGAATTGGAATACATCATTAAGAATGTACGCATGTCACATAGAATGTTTAAAGGAATTCCACCGATAGGTTGATTTGACACAGGGTTTGAAATATGGCTGAAGCAAGCCTGTGGACAGCCCCTGTAACTCAGGCTATCCTCTGGATAAGATGAACATGTTGCTCATTCTATTATTTCCCTTGACATGATTGGATCTACTCCTTTACCATAAGCAAGAACTCATTCCTTTGTCATCAGCAAAAGCTAGAATGGCTAAATATGTTCCATAGTAGAAACTACAAAACTGTAAGTAGGTACATATGCAATTGCCACAGAAAATCATTGCTTTCAAGATACAAGACTACTGGCTGCATCACACACACACACACACACACACACACACACACACACACACACACACACTCACACAACAAACAAATGAAAAACGGTATGGTAAGAGCAGAGTCTTTGATTCTCTCATTTACCAGTGACTCACCAATGCTTTGTAGAGTGTCTGACGTATTAGGTACTTCATAATTATTTGTTCAATAAACGAATGAATGTAGGAATGTATGATTTTATTTTCTACTCTGGTCATATCATGATTCAACTTTAGATATATACTCTAGCATATTACTAGGTTGGTACAAAAGTTATCACAGTTTTTGCCATGACTTTTAATTACTCTTAATGGCAAAACCACAATTACTTTTGCACCAACCAAATATTAACACTTTTATTAAAGGAAGAAGAGTATACATTTTCATCATTCCATCCCCTACACAGCCAAGACTGGTGTCCTGTTGGGAACAAGTACTCAATATATCTGTTAAACAGAAGACTGGTTAAAAAACTGTCTCTTAATTTTTTAGAGTACTTAGGTATTTGATCACCTACCTCATTTTATGTCAAAGAATTCAGTAACCCCTCTAATCTACACTGCCCAGCAGGTAGCCTTTCACTAAGCTACAGGCTGAATGGCCACAAATCTTTATGTCCTTGGAAACACTTGACTCACTGGACATGCATGAATAGTCCAATCCGTCTTCCCCAAGCAAGCGTGCTGGGTGGTATGCGCTTTCAGCAACAATACTGTCATTCTCACTTACCATCTAAATCAGGAGAACTCTTGACTGGTTCTGTTCCCTCTCTAGGCACTTTGTTTATTGCTCCGGCCAGAAGGTAGAACCATGTTCCACTCACCCCATTTGATTCTATGATTTGAATCTACTCTGTTTGATGTGCTGGTTAGAGCTGGAGTCTTGCTTGAGAAAGGACATGAAAAATTGCAGGAAATCACAATCAAGCCTAGCAACATCAGGTGAGTGAAAAGCAGTGTCCAATTTCTGAGACTACCTCAGAAAGCAAAACCTCACCTGGATGCTGATGTGAGAGGAATATCTGGATGTATTTCTGTGAGATATTAAACAACTCAAGGTACTAGAAATCACTTAATGGAAAAGGGACATGATTTCTCATGAGGAGCCTGAGCTATGGCTCCATTCTTGCCCACATTAGCTATTATGAGATGAAAGCAGGTGGAAATTATTCATTCCCTTCAAACTCACATTCTTAAATGTTATCTTATAAAATAGCTTTATCCTAATCTTCTGCTTCCAGGGAAATATGACAAATGACTCCTCCCCCAGAGAAGGCTGAGGACCCTCACATACTTCAGCACTTCTTTGCTACTCTATCATCTTAGGTACAGTCATTGCTCGAGAGTCAGCAGGCATTATACATGACTCCATTGACTTACCTTTATTATTATGAGGCACAACCCGACTCCCTCACCCCAAGGCTGCTCTAACATGCCTTAGCAATATGATCCCCTCCACACACACGGCTCCACATCAGCCCAAATTCTCAGGGTCAGACTTGTAAGTACTCATCTTTCAGAGTATGAGGAAAACTCTCCAAAATATATGGTATGCATATATACTCCAAATCCTAGAACATATATACTGAAATATAGTATATAATATCAATACTCTCCAAAATATATTGTATTAACACTACTCTCACATTATCCATATCTGAAGTGAGTTTTAGATCTGAAAGCAACATTTTATAATTGTACTTAAACCAAATTAACCAAGTTCATGAGAGGAAAGGGGGAAAAGGGTGGCCTAAGGAGCCCAAGCCAGTAAGGAGGTCTGTATGTTGCCTGGGTTTGCAGGGGAAGAGAAGACATGGCCAGATGAGAAGGTCCCTGGAAGCAATTGACACTTGGCCATTTCTACCTTGCCTGGTCATTGTGGGTAGTTTGTGTTGTTTCTGCTGGGCTGCAACTCTTTGAGGGCAGAGGAGGTACTGAGGTGTAATGGAGGATGGGCTCCAGAGTCTTGGGAGACTAGATTAAAATCCCATTTCCTCTGTTTTCTAGTTCTGTAAGTTTGGGAAAGTTCCCTTACTTTCGGAGGCTCAGTTCCCTCACCTGTGACCCACAAGCTAATAATAACCTGCTTCCAAATCTGCCATACAACACTGTTCTGATAGTCAACAATAATGTATTGTACACTTAAAAACTTGTTGAGAGGGTAAGTCCTATGTTCAGTGTCTTACCATTCACACACACATAATATAATAATAACAACCTTCTTGCAGGTTATTATGGAATAATGTGAAATGAAATAACAACTGGACCCAGAAGACAGAAGGTGCTCAAAAGCCTTATTGTCTTCTATGAAGTGCTCCCCTCAGTATCATGCACATAGCAGGAATCAATACATAGAGAAAATTGTTAAATGGGGATTATGACTTATTCACCATTGTTTTGTGGGTATGGAATATGATGCTGGGGATGGAGGAGACTCCTAATTTTTATGCATATAAATAAAATGTACCAATTATTTATTGAGAGATTCATGTAGATCTCCGATACACCTTGGTAATAGAGAATTTAACAAATAAATATTAAAAAGTACAATTTGTATCTTTAACTAAGGCAGAGATAAGATACAGTTTTGCTCACAGAAATTAAAGTGTTTCCTAGACTAGTTTTAAAGTCCCTGCCATGTCAGACAGAAATCACAAGAAAACCAAAGTAATGAGTGGGCATCTCTCAGATTACTGAACTATATTTCATAATTATCTAATAAGAAAAATTATATCTTATTTGATGTTATGTATATTTTTCCACAAAAAAATAAAATCTTTATATACTACTTGTTGGCTAGAAGTGTCACTTTTAGAAGTGTTACTTTCCTTAAACACACTTCTGTTTATATATCAATAACATACCTGTACATTCGAAACTCTGGTGCACACCCATTTTTCAGAGAATTTTTACTCATCTGCAAATGGGCCCAAGCCCACGGAATGCAGGTCATCTACACTGAATGAACTAACAGTAATCACAGCCCTCATCTTGGCCTCTCTTCAAATATCTCTGGACCTCACTTCAAAGAAGAGGGCTCCCCTTAGTCCAGATGCATTTATAATACAGTGAGGGCACCTGATTAATGGGAGGGGAGAAGGACTGACTTATAGATTGACTAGCAATTGCCAAGGAAGACGTTGACTTTGGCTCACAAGAAATAACTCTCCTTCATCCCTAAACTTTAGTTTACTCATCTGTAAAACTTGTCACTGTTTTGAAAACTGTGTCTCCCAGTTCCTGAGGAGTTCTAGGGGAAAAGAGGGAGATGACTGGGCTAAACACTGGGTTTCTTCTTCAACTTGAGCAGCTTGTTTTCTTCATGCATTTTAAACTTTCCATTGCAGAGCTTTCTTTGAACAAAGTATTACTCTATAAAGAATCTACTAGATTTGTGGCCTCAGCCTCTACTTCGTAACTGGTTGGCATTCATTCAAAATGTTTTTAAACATCTCTTTTAGGACTCAAAAACATGTTTAAGTGCTAAACAGTTTACTGCAGTTTACTAAATCCATTACTAAACATACTAAATCACATTCATTATCTCATTTCAACATTACTGTGAGTTCAAGATTACCATTCTCCTTCATTTCAAAGAGAAAGATGCTGAGTCTCATAGAGGTAGCCACGTACCCAAGGTGCACAAGTAGTCAGTTATGGAGCTGACACATGAGCATGTGTCTCAAGTCCAATCATCCTCCACCCATAGCATGCCACTTCACTCATGTTAGGGGCTCCAGGCTAGGCTGTGCAAAATATGGACAGAAAGTGAAAATGGCGGCGGGGTGGGGGGGTTATATAGTCTTATTGTACATTCCAAATGTGCTCTGAATATTCAGGCCAAAATATTATTTAGCCGTTTCTTTTTATATCACCATAGAGTACTGCAGAACGTAGTTTTGGTGTTCATTTCAGTTTCATCATCTAGGGGAATATGAGGACAAAATATTATTTAATTTTACGCCAATTAGTGTTGAAGTCTGGCATGCCTTATCTAGTTCTATACAACATCTTCTGATCAAATATATATCTGAAATCAGAATAGCCCAGTCAGAGGGAAAGGAAACTGGGTGGGGTGAAGGGTGAAGAACATACAAAAGCAGCACTATGTTATCTCTAGGGGGGTTGTTTCCGTATCTCGAAGAAAAGAAAATTTGGCACAGAATTTGGCTTCATGTTAAGGGGACCTTTGTACATATTATTATCTGCACTTCATATTAGAGAAATCTGAAGTTCAGGTGAGTTAATGAAACTGGTAAAGTTCACACAGGTAGTTAATGGTAGATCAAAGATTCACAGCCTAGTGTCCCCAAAAATAGTTTTAAGAGATGCAGTTAAAATTAAACCACAGTAAAGAGATATGATCTCATTAAACCAAATAAAGCAAAATAAATGTATTATATTTAGACACCATATATTTTCCAAAGTAAATGTTTGTCGAAGGCTATTATAAAAGGGCTGGACTTTTATTGAATTCTAGAGCTTGGTGAAAAGAGTCTGGAAGACAGCTGTATCTTGAAAACCCACGAAGGAAGAAATGTGGGATGGCAGTTGGGTTTTGAGTACCAGTTCTCATTAGCTGGCTGTAGCTTCCTGAATGGCTGTTTTGAGAAAGTATTCTGAGGCCTTGACCCAAGTCAGCAGGAAAGAATTCCATATTCAATTAGCTATGTGTGCAAGGGGTGTGGAACCACAGAAGTGGTGGCATGAGTGCTGCATGTTTCATGACGTTTGCTCTATCTACTGAAATCAGAAAATCACTTACGCTTCTTGCAAACACCTTATAATCATTTTTAACAATGAAAGGCATTTTGAGACTTGCTGCCACGTCCATTCAAACAAACCAGATAACCATTCAAAAAACCCTACATCTCTAGGTATCATTCCAAAACAAACAAACCAGATAACCATTCAAAAAACCCTACATCCCTAGGTATCTAGGAGTTTGCTGAAAATGGCCAAAGTACCATCATCTACTATCTTCAGTGCACAAGCAAAGCGTATCTCACTTTCACCAAGTAAAATTAACTTCCTGAAAGTCAAAGAACAGGAGTCCATGTGAGATAATTAATTATTCCTCTTTTTGACTGAAATGGCCACTGGAAGCTATATTTTTATGGCAAATAAAATATTATACTACTATCAAGAAAATATAATAACAAAAACACTTTTACAACCACCGAAAGTGGATCTCAGTAACTCTTTTGTCACCAATAGTGCATATGGAGTTTCCTAACCAGCGAATAAGTATACTTCTTCTTTAGAACCATCCTAAGGAAAAAAAAAAAAAAAAAAAAAAAAAGCAGCAGGGAGAGAAATTGTCTCTTAAACAAGTCTTGCCATTCACAACCTGGAATGGACCTCAGGATTATAAATTTCAGTTTCCTGCTAAACAAGAATGTGGTTGAAGCCAGAACCAGCCTGACTGGTGTAGACGATGACGCCATGCTAGGCTACTAAGCTAACTCACCCTGCCTCAGTATCCTCACCTGTGCAGCGCTAGTCATCTAGTTTCCCAGCACCTTCTTAAAAGTGCCTCTTGTGTTATTTCAGCTCCATGCAGATTTTGAAGGGAAAGTGTCCCAGAAATGAAAAGGTATATTATTAAACACACACAGAGTTTGTGGCCCTGAGAAGTTAAGGTCTTCTCCCAATGTCATCCAGAAAAGCAGTGGCAGAGAATGAGTGTCAACCCGCTCAATGTGTATGAAACACAAGATAATGAAAGAGGTACAGATGCCACCTAAAATTCCACTGCCCAATTTTGACAATTGTGTTATTTTTCAGCTCTGTTGGAGATTAGAGAGGTTTTCATAAAATGTAAAAATACTGTAAAATGTCTAAGGGTCTAACTGTCTCCTGGTGACATGGACTTGGCAGCAGATGCTTCTTTCCGGTTCCTGGTCTGCCTCCTCACACTCCTTTGCCAGCACATTTCCAAAAGGTATGAGCCAGACCAGCGGATGCAATGACTGAGATTTTTCTCGAAGTTACTCTAAAGGCTAGCAGCATGAGCATCATTAATACATATTACTGGCCAACTATCACAAAACAGGGTCGGGATCCTTCAGACACTGGAGTACAAAAGCCTCCAGGCAACTCAAGAGCTTCAATGTAAAAGGTAACTTGTAGGAGAATCACTGGAGCACAGAGCTGGAAGAGGCCTTACATGGTATGGTGAAGGCTTTAAATTCAGCACGACTTTGCAGGTTTAGATCCTGGCTTTGCCTTATACTAACTGTGCTATCCACCATTGATATATGTATGCCTTTAGCATGATGTGTGGTACATGGAAAACTGTAGCTGGCATTGGGGCAGAAAGATGACTTTTCAGCTTCCTCAGATTAAAGATAAGGAACTTGGTCCAAAGAGGAAGCAGCTTACCCAAGACCACCCAGTGGTTGTACTGATTCTAAGCAAACATCACAGTTCCAAGAAGGCTGATTTTGTGGACTGGCTTGAGATGCTTCCCATGTGCAGGGGTGTGCATCTTTGGTTATCATTCAGGATGCTTGCTATGAAACTCTATTCCCCCCTTTAGAAGGCCACACATCAGCAATTTTCCTTCATAGGTATGAACTCATAAAGTTCATAGAATCTGTTGATGCTGCCCTTGAGATAGGTTATTGAGGTAGTTACGAAGTGAAATAAAATTTAATGCAGCTCAGCTTTTGTTTATGTAAGTCAGTCCATCCAGTAGTCCAGTAGCACTAGGTGCCACTTTTGTTTTTACTTTCATTGTCTGGTTTATCTGAAATGACCTGTTTCATCTATTAATTCATCAAACATTTATTGAATATTGACTGAAGGCTAAAACCACGCCATATCTTTTAAGGAATAAAAATATATAGTTGGCATCCCCATGGTTCTAATAACAAAGGAGCTTGCAATTTCACTAGAGAAGATGCTTTGGATAAACCTGAAGGACTGACTGGCAAATCTGAAGGGGCAGGATTGGGGCAGAAGGGTTGTCTGGAATCAGGTAAACCTCACCTGGTCACTAGGGCTTTGATGACCTCGGGAAAGCCCCTTAACCTCTTCAGTCCCCATTTCCATTCTATAAAATGAAGACAATAACAGTAGCTTATAATAACTTACAGGGTTATGGTGATCATTTTTTAAAATGATGCATATAAAGCCTTCTCCACAATGCCTGGCTGCTAGGCAGCACTCAACAAATGTTAACTATGTTTGTAGTTTAAGCAGTGGGTTCAGAGTAGATTTGGAGATTCTGGTTCATTGGAAACAAGTGAGGAAGTGAGGTATTATTAAGTCATGTTAAGGTTAGAGCTTAGGTTGTATTTCGACCATTTGGGAGGCAGCTTAGTGACTGAATATTTGTGATTTCAAGAGGTGGTTCGGACAGGGTACATTTTAAGAAATTTAATCAGGCAAGTGAGATGGATCAAAGAGGAGAGCAAATCAAGTCAGGGAGACTGGTTATAAAAATAATAATGTGGGTAAGAGTTAGTAGAAACTTAAAGATAGTGCAGTAGATAATAGAAATAATGAAGAGGCTGTCTGAAGATAATTAGACATCACTGGAGATAGATAATAAGATGGAGGAAATTATAGGTGTCTTCAAGATTTCACACAGAGTTTGGAAAAGTAAAGAATGATGAGTAATAGAATCAAGAGGGCAAAAACAAGGTGTCCAGCTTCCTAGTTCTCAGCATATATCTTTATAGCCAGAGCTTGTGAGTGGCAGGAAAGTATTCAACACACATCATGTCTTATATTCAATTGGAACATTTTTTAAGAAGAGTAGCCTCAGCTCTCAGAATTCAAATACATACCTATTATAGAATCTCCAGCCTTGCTGCTTGCTGTCTTAAAGGAATTGGTGATGTAGACAGAAGTCCTAAGAGTTCAGATCTTTATGCCAGTTCCTTAAAGACAATATTATATGTGCCAGGGTTGCTACAGTTCAATGTTAGTGTATCTTTCTGAGTTCATAAATAAATGTTGTTTTGAATGAATGATTTGGGAGTAAACCAGAAGAATTTCTGCCTTTGACAGACAATATAGTTTTAAGGGGACCACCCCTTTCTCTCTGTTGCTTTCCCAGCCCAACATCTAGAAATCCAGCCTCTTTCCCATATAGTCTGTATACAAATAACCTAATAGCTTTACCTACCATGTATTGGGCACCTGCTATATATCAGGCCGTGTATAAAGTATTTTAGAGCCATTATCTCCTCTAAGACACCCCTATCAGGTAATTATCATCCCAATTTTACACATGAATGGACTAGACCTAGAGCAAATTTTTCCAAGGACATTCAAGTATCTGACGGCAGAGCATGATTCACAACAAGTTTAAAGCAGTATCAAAACAACATCCTTGAGGGCATAATTGGGACTAGAAAAATTGAGGAAGAATATATTAATATTATATTCTAGTGTTTACAAAGCACTCATTGTCTGTGAATGGAAATTAACACACCAATCACAGTATGCTGCCTCTTGTTCTAATCTTTTCATATTATGTTCAAAGGAAATCTGGTTTTATTAACTTTAAAACTTCAGAGAAAGATGATTTAACTCTGATCCTTAGAATACACTGCAGAGATATGGATAATGAGACACTCTTCATAAATATAAAGATTAGGCTTCTTATGTCCTGTTAGAGTGTCACACTGTGAATTCTACCTTTCCAGGAGGGGTCAATAGGCATGTGTTGTGGGCTGAGTTTTGTCTGCCAAAATTCATGTTGAAGTCTTAACCCTAGTACTGCAGAATGTGACTGTATTTGGAGATAGGGTCTTATAAAAATTATTAAGTTAAAATTAAGTCTTCAGTGTGAGCCCTAAACCAATATGACTGGTATCCCTACAAGAAGAAAAAATTAGGACACAGACAGGCATAGAGGGAAGACTATAAGACATAGAGAGAAGATGGTCATCTACAAACCAATGAGAGAGGCCTCAGAAGAAACCAGTGCTCTGACATCTTGATCTTGAAATTCTAGTCTCCAGAACTGTGAGAAAATAAATTTCTGTTGTTTAGACCACCCAGTGTATGTTACTTTGTTATGGCAGCCCTAGCAAAGCATTGTAGCATGCTTGGATTCATCCACACTCTGGAACTTGTTTGGTCTTGAGAGGAAAATCGTATCAATGTATTGACTAAGATGGACAAAACAATGAGAGGAAATGTTTTGGGGGCTCCTGAAATTTGATGACAAGCATGGGTGCTGTGTTTTAGATTTCAACAAAATAGGGAAAGAGGATAAAAGATTTGGTCTGTAGTGTTACTTTCATTTTGTTAAGTCTCCAGACACCCATGCCATCTGCTCATGACCCCCTCGACACAGAGTTGGATTTCTATGCCTTTCTTACTGCTTTTCCACTTGCCCAGGGGATCCTATGGTCATTTTTTCCCTTTCCTCTGAAGGGCCAGAGGGGCAGTCCATTGCTCTTCTGGGCACATTTAACTGAAACTCTTGGGACACTTTCTCTACCATTGAGTCTATTTTTTTGTAGCCCTAGCTTGGGCTTGGATTGGTTGTTGTCTTCTCATTCTGCTTTTGTATTTGAAGCTAGTGTCAGATAACAGAGTGCTCTTAACAGCATTAGCTAGACTGCTGTTTAGTTAGACTGATGCAGCATCATGGATTTAAATCGTTTTCTGTTTTTATTCCTTGACGCTAGGTCTCTACCTTTCATTCTCATCTTTTCTATAGGTGTGCCATTGTGTTCTAAGAGATCTAAAGTACTAAAAGCAATGATTGCTATTTAAAGAGTGCCTATGATGTGTCTGGCATTTCATATTATTAGCTCTAATCCTCAGACCTATCCTAAAAGTTAAGTGTTATCATTTGCCTTTTATAGGTGAGAAATGTAAGACCTTAAGGAGATCATAATGAAGCCAAAATCTGAACCAAGTTCTGATGATAAAGTACATCATTTTCCCATTGGTCATGTATTTTCCAATTTTAGTCCTTCTCATGGCAATTTTTCAACTTTTCCATACCTGTAATATTGTCTGTACTGTTACTTTTTAACATTTGATTTAAAATAGACTCAAATTTTTACCTTTACATGTTTTAAGCAATAGGCAGTTACATGTCTGATGCAATAATTATGCTTTTAAAATATGCATTCAAATGAATAAAATCTTACACCTCATTTTATAAGAATATGCATTAAAATACATAAACATACAAGTCTAGAGTTAAAAAGGTCATCCATGGAGTACCTAACATTATCTTGTGTGTTATCAATGGTACAGATAGTATCCCTGTAAAAGAATGCACTAGAAATTGCTACCACTTCAGCAACAGAAAGAACCCAGGGCATAGTCCAACACAAGCCTTGATATTTCCCGAATAATATTAGATACATGTTTTAAGCAAGTTGTGCAGCCACATGGAAGTAGCTTTGTAAATATAATAAAATCTATAGCTTTGGCTGATGGATATAAGGTTGCATACTATAAGCCTGCATGGCTTATACCATTTTTGAAGCTCCATTCTCTTGTTTTCTCCTGCTGATTCTTCAGCTGCCCAGGCCCTCTTGATATTAATATGGGAATTAGGAAGCCAAACCAGGGACGGAGACTGCACAGCTGCACAGCTGCAGGAGGGTTGGCTCTGAAGGTTAATCAAATGGATACAGTGCTTGGTGAAGTCAGTCTCTTGACGGAGACAGTGGACAGATTTCAGAAATGGAGAGTAGGACACAGCTGGTCTACCTGATGTATCTTGTACCAGTTTCCAAAAATATTGCCTTCCCTGCCTATCTTTGGAGACAGAAGTTCTGCTGCAATGAATGCATTTCTATGACATGCTTTTCAAATTTCTAGAGTCATCTTTTAGGCTGTAAATAACCTGTAATAGACATAACGCCATAAGTCACGTTAAATTAACTTAAATTTGGCCTGAGGCTGCCTCTGTACCTCAAGTCCCTATATAGCAAACTGTAACCTAACATGCTATGTAAATAAGCCAAAACCTAACTTGGACTATAATAAACAGTTGAGTTTCAGCCAATCACAGGCAGCCAATTTATCACACCATGGTAGTCACTCAGATGATTTGTTTACTTTGCTTCTGTATCCAGACTATAAAAGCTCACTGCTAACACTGCTGGGTGGTGCTTTCTAAACCTCCACTGGTTTAAGATGTTGCTCCATTCATGAATTGTTCTTTGCTCAAATAAACTCTATAATTTCTCTGAAGTTTTTGTTTGTTCATTTTTTTTTTTTTTTTTTTTTTTTTTTTTTACCAGTCACTATTAATCCATACTATGCTAGCAGCTCTAGGTGGCAGGGACCATTGAAGAGAAGGGCTGGAGGAGAAAGACTTGTTAAAGGTTACCAAAACCAAAGAAGGAATGCGTTAAACATAATCATCTCCACTCCCTCCAGGCTTCTTGAAAGCATCTCTTCCTCACCCTCTTGCCTACAATCTCGGGATTTCCCTTGTTGCCAGGCTCCCTCTGCCTGAACTTCTCTAGGAGATTTCAGGCCTCCTGCTCGCAAGAGTAGTATATATGCCCAATGCAAACAAGTCAGTATAGTCTGGCTATTTATTAAAAAGTTAATAAAACCTTAAAACATATTCAAACTAGTTTCTAGACCAAAGGACCTAACAGTCTCCCTGGGTTGGACCCCGATCAGAGCAAATGTTTCCTGTTTAGTTCTGAGTACCATACTTTAAGGATACAGCCTGTGACAGCTAATGTTATATCAACTTGGCTGGGCTATCGTACCCAGTTATTTAATCATATTAATTTTGCTGTTGCTGGGAAGATGTTTTGTAAATGCGATCAACATCTATAATCAGTTGACTTTAAATAAAGAAGTTTATCCTTGATAATGTATGTGGGACTTATCCAATCAAGTGAAGGCCTTCAAAGCAAAAACTGTTTCCCTGGAAGAAGAAATTCTGCCCCAGGACTGAAGCATCAATTCCTGTCTCAGTCTCCAGCCTGTCAACCTGCCCTACATATTTTGGACTTGCCAACAACATATAAGCCAATACTTTAACAAATTATACGAGCCAATCCCTTAAAATAAACCTTTACACACACACATACACCCTATTGATTCTGTATTTCTGAAGAAACCTAATAACTGGAGCAGCCAAGACTACAAGGGGTCTGGAAACCAGGAGGGTGTGAAAACTATGGTATGAGGAGTGGTTGAAGATGTTGCAGATATTTACTCTGAAGGAAAGAAGTCTGGGTTTGACCTGAGAGCTGTATACATACATTTGAAGGTCTGAAATGTAGAAGAGAATCAGACTTGCTCTGTATTGCCCAAGAAAACAGAATTGTAGTCCAAGGTTAGAAGTTATAGCAGGCATATCTGGGATCAATGCAAGCAAGAGCTTGCTAATCATCACAGCTGAATAGGATTCCTTTTGAAGCAGTGACCTCCCAGGGACCAGCTTTCTACCATAACTGTGTTCTGTGGAAGAAAGTTAGAAAAGGGACTCCTTGACTGGGTGAGAGGAAAGACAGTGTAGCCTCAAAGCTCCTATCCAGCTGGACAGTTTCAAGACCACAGCTAACATTTCTCAGCATTTCCTTTGCACCAGGCACTGTGCTCAGCACCTTATGTTCAACTACTGAGGTTGGACAGATGATGCTGTAAGATCAAATGTATAACATGCTAAGGAAAAATATGATTCTTGGAAGTTCAGTAACATGTCCGACATCATTCAACAAGTAGAAGCACTATGTTTCAAACCCAGGCCTGTCAGACTCTCAGTGCTCCCCTACAGCTATTAAGGGGTAACCCTATGTGGAAACCTTTTATTTACTGTGCAATTGTAAGATTCAAAATCACAAGCATGGGCCATGAGTTGTGGTCTCTTTAATCTTTAGCATGTGTCCTAATCATCTGTTTGCTTGACTCCTTTCTATCCAATGTGACAAATCCATATGGGACAGGGCAAGCCCTTATTTGTCAAAGCATTGACAGTACTCTTTGAAAGCATTGAATGTATTCTTTCATTAAACTAACACTGGTTGACCACAGGTACTAGTCATCTAGGGATATGGCTGCAAACAACATAAGCTTGGTCCCTGCCTAGTCAAGCTACTTATACTTACCTGTGAGGGCAAATATTAAAATATATTTAAAACATTAATTGTGTGCCTTCATTAATTGCAATTGTCATCAATGCTGAGGAGGAGAAAAGCAGAGTACTCTGAAATTAAGAAAAAAGTGGGTCTTTATATCATCTGGGTCTTTATCCCTCTAAAAAGAGGGTCAGGGAAGATATTTCTTAACAAGTGTCGGCCAGGGTGAGAGCTGAAGAATGCATGGTACTCAGCCAGGTGCCGTGTACAATAAGACTCTGAAATAGAAAGCCACCTGGAGCACTGGAAGAATTGACAGGAGGTCAATGTGGCTGACTTGTTACGAGCAAAGAGGTCAGTAGCTTACTGTGTGGCTGAAGAGGTGGACAGAGGCCACTTCCTGCACTACCATGGGGAATATGTAATCTTTTTAAATGAATGGATAAAAGATAGAGATAACTTACTGGCTTGGGACATCCCAATCATATAGTCCTCAAATGCAGTTGCACATGGGGTTTGTGTGGTGTGGAATCAACAGAGGTGGCCAGAGACTGTTATTCCTAGAAAGTTCTGTCTGCAAAATTCACCCCTGGCTGGTGTCAGGAAAGTTGGATATTGGGAAGTTTCCCACCATTCCCAGGACAGATAAGAGTGACTTACTGTGCCTAAAATGTTTGAAAACAATATGGTTTGTGATAAACACATGCATTCCTCCTGGGAGTCTGGAATTTTGGTATGTACTAGGTGGAGAGTGGCCAATTTTTACTGTAACCAGTCCCAATAAAAATTGAGGTACTCAGTCTCTAGTGAGCATCCCTGGCAGACAGCATTTCATATGTGCTGCCATACCTCATTGCTGGAGCAATTAAGCACATCCTGTGGGACTCAGAAGGGAGATCTCTTGGAAGCTTGTGCTTAGTATCCTTGAACTTCACCCCTTGCATCATTTTGCTTTGCTGATTTTACATTGTATCCTTACTGTGTAATAAACCTCAGCCATGAATATGACTGTAGGAATCTTGGGAGTCTTCCTAGTGCATCTCTGGACCCAAGGGGAGAGGGGTAATGGGGACCCCTGACATAGATCCTGTGACCCCAATGACCTAAAAGCCCATAGTGACCATGGAATCAAATCTTCCCCTTTGACCACAGAAGACCTCAGAAATGTGGATTGGAATGGCCCCACTGCTCCCAGGTAACTCTAGCCTCTGCAGTTGCTATACTACCCTAGAACCTAGAAATATCTTCCGTGGTCCACAGCTGGGTAATAAAAATTTAAAGATATATAGCAACTTTCAATGAAGACTCATAATAAGTATTAAATAACCACCTGCAACCCCCAATGCTACTTCCCTAGATTTTCCAGGAATATGTCATCTTACCTTCAGGAGTTCAGAAAGCCAATTGTTTAATGCTCTGTGGTTTTAATCCACCTTCCCTTTATTAAAATGCAAGATATGCCAATGAGTCTTTAGGGCATTTCAGTTTTATGTCTTCATATTAAGCCAGCCAATGTGATGGTCTAAATACCCTCCTTTCTATGCCTTCAATTTGTTATTCAAGAGCAAGAAAAATTTTATATTCTGCTCATTGCAAGAACATCAATACAAACACAGCATAAAACCATACAAAAACAGATTTTTCAAAACATATGCCAACTTCACTACAGCCAGTGGAGTGATGCTTAAAACTGCTGATTTGCTTTCTAAATACTTTTGTTTCTTTGAGCAAATGCAAATTCAATATACTTACTGCTATGAATTTAATGTATCCCACAAAATTCATGTGTAGGAAATTTTATCCTCAACCCAACAGTGTTGAGAAGAGGGACCTTTAAGAGGTTATTAGGTCATAAGGGCTCTACTTCCATGAATGAATTAATGCCGTTATCATGGGAGTGGATTAGTTATCTCAGGAGTTGGTTCCTGATAAAAGGATGAGTTCAGCTCCCCTCCCCTCTCACTCACACCCTCTCTTGGCCTTCCGCCTTCTACCACAGATAATACAGCAAGAAGACTCTCACCAAATGTGGGCCCCTCCACCTTTGACTTAAAACTTCCAGAACTATAAAGAAATACATTTCTTTTCTTTATAAGTTACCCAGTTTGTGATATTGTGTTATAACAACACAAAAGGGACTAAGACACTCTTGCATTCTCAGGAGAGAAAAATGGCAATAAAATATTGATGAGACAAGAACTGACATGGAAGACAAACCTTGCTT
Organism: Homo sapiens; assembly: GCF_000001405.40. NCBI lineage: Eukaryota > Metazoa > Chordata > Mammalia > Primates > Hominidae > Homo > Homo sapiens. Next base: position 71,063,071 of record NC_000009.12, read on the forward strand.
TCTGAAGTAACAACTAAATAATACTGTATCTCCTATCTCTAGAATCCAGCCATACTGGTCACATCATCAAAGCAATCATCAAAGCAGGTCTTGATTCATGTCTATCACAGCACTCACCTTCCTCCCATGAGCCATTTGGGAAAGTCACAAAGCTCTTAAACCTGACATCCCTGAGGAGCCTGGAATGCTGCTCCTATGCAGGTGCTCCTTGATGGTGATCAATAGCTTAGCTGAGTACAGTTAGAATTCTTTTATGAAATCAGTAAATATTTATTGGGTACCTAATTCACACACGGCACGTGCTGTGTGTTGAAAGTGACATGGTCCTTGATGTTTAGAAACTGTCAGGCCTGGATGTGTAATCGCATGTTACAATATAATGAAATGGCAGGACTGTGTTGTTAAGTAACAAATGTAAATTAATGTTATAAGGTCAGTGAAGGGAGAATGCCCTGTGGACTGTAAAAATCTTCATGGGAGGAATCTATACTGAAAGATGAGGATTGGAGGGATTCAATAGTCAGAGGCAGGAGAGCATAGCTAATGGAGTTAATAATGAGCATAAATGCACATTCAGGAGACATTCAGTAGACAAAGATGGCTGAGGGGGCTGAGGGGAGGGTGGCTGTAGGGACTATTGCAAGATAAAGCTGGAAATGTAGACTGAGAACACCTGAGAATGCAGTATAAAAAGACTGGCATTCCTCTTGCTGATAAAGAAACACCGCCAAAGGTGTCTGTGGAGAAGTGGACCTTTTTTTCCAGGTGACATTTCCAGAGTTAAGGTGTAAGAAGAGAGATGTGGAAGAGACTGAAAGTCATTGAATAGAGATCTAGAAAGGACCCAGAACTAAAGGGCACCATGGCATGCCTATTGGAATGAGTCAAATTAGGTTGGAAACATAGGAAGGGGAAAAACAAGAAATGTATATGATAGGCAACATGAGTAAACAGCCAATAAGAATTTGAAACTCATGATATGGAGTTCCCATTAAAGAAGTTTCTAAAATATGATTTTAATACTACCCTCTCATATTATGCTGAACTTCTAGCTCATAACCTTCATCCTAATTGTCATAAAGTAATTCTTTTCGGTAAATCCTTTTACCTGGGAATTTATTCTCTCTTTTGTATTTCTGATAGTGATTACAAAGTTTTTCAGATTTTTATGTTGGCAAGTTAACACTGGAGGTCCAATAGTTTGGTGAAGTTGTTTTGAGTCTCTTGCTAATGGTTTAGGAAGTAGAAATGCTTGGAGATAAAATTGACTTCTATACATTACCAGTAAATCTAGACGTACTTTAAAGAGCTTAAAAAATTGTTTACATTACACAAGGTAAGTATCACCATGGTTTTTTTTTTTTTAGCCACAGTTTTACTTAATAGAGAGTTTTCAGTAGACCAGTAGACTATCAAGAGATGCATGATAAAGACATTTCCCCCTGTAGTTTTCAAATTTTATACTCAAGTTCTTATATTTGATTATAGGCATGAGCCACTACACCCAGCCTCAAGTGTTTAAAATTCAGTTTTCTTTACCTAAAGACATGAATGCATGAATTATAAGAGTGGTTATTTAGGAGGAAAAGCATGTAAAGGTAAGTTTTTAGAATTTAGACTGTTTGAAACTTTGAATTCACGTCAGTCAGTAGCCATTTTAAAACCCTACAATGACTTCATGTTCCTTGCTTTAATGTTTCTGTTGTAGTGACTAAATATTTGAGCCAAAATTCCATTAGTTCAATTGTAATAAAGTAATTTTTACAGACATTATTGGTTTATTGCTATCTTCTTATTAGCCCAGAAACTCTTGCAGGCTGAGATTATGTTCAAGTGTCTGGGGTAGGTTGTGGCACATTCCAGTTATTCAAAAAGTTGAATTAATATATAGGCACATTAGGAGGAGGCACATTGGAAGGAATTAGTTTTGAACAAGGTAAATTAGAGGTGAATGTCTAGCAGGAGTTGATTATTTATAACACACTTTATTGTAGCTATGGGATTGGGCTTGTAAGCAATTAGTTTATCAGAGCTTCCATAATATTTTATGAGTGAAACTTGTCCAAATCTCTGTACAATGAACAATGCCACAAAGTTGAGTTTTATTGTAGAAGGTAATAGACACTTAAGAACCTCAAAGCTAATGGATGAAGAAAACATGTTCAATCAAGTGGGACTGTCAAGTAAAGATGAATTTTCACGCTAAGTTATTAAAAATGCCACTAATTGGTTTAAAGTTCCTTTAGCGTTATATTTCTATGAAGCTCTGTTCTTTCTTAATACTGAAATCATTAAGCATACAAGAACAAAATTATTCCTTCTTAAATACCACTTTAATGAGTGAATCAATGAATTAGCCCTCTGAACACGGGAGAGTTAAGGGACCATCTGTGCTGCTACTGACCAGCTAATACAGTCAAATCACAATCACAGAATTCTGTGACTCAGTTGCTCATCTTACATTTCTAAACAATGGGGCCAAAATGTATTCTAAGTATTTTTAGGGCATATTATTAAGTGAATTCATTAAAAGCATCTATTGATGATTACAGCAAAACATAACTTACCTAAAATATCACTCATCAAATCACTTCAATTGTCCAAAGCAATCCTGGTAACCAGGAGATTAAGGAAAGCAAACAAAATTTGTATCACATGTCTGTGCACTGAAACTCATGCATTTTATACACAAGAACACACTCCACTCTTCACACAGAGTCTAATTTGCACACACTTTCTTATCAGCTTTCTAAGTCCACAGTAGGAGAGCAGCAACACAATACGTGTGAGCCTGGGCATTTCTAGAGACTGATATGCTAGAAAAACAAGCGATGACATATGGCAGTGGGATACTAAGAGAAGAGATCAAAAATCCAACAAATGCAGACATAAAACTGAACCAGCACAGCCATCTGGGACTTAAGTGTAGGGGAAAACTGCTGTCTATGCATCAGTACTTCTCAAGAATGAGGCATTGTTTATGTAATGATGGCCCCTAGTCACCCAGATTGCTTTGCTTCAGAAAGGACAGAAACGTATCACATATTTGAGAAATGTTCCTACCTATATGTTTAAAGTTAGAAAAAATAAGCTTCAAAACTTTACAGTTATAAATTCTATCTTCTGAAACATTCACTAAAGTGAAATACTTCATATCTTGATGACAATAATACCTAAACAAGATTTGACTTAGTGACCTTTATTATTCAAATATCGGCAAACTTGGCTATGGCATAGTTTGACACCTGAGAAATGCTAAGTTTCCTGAGAAACTGAGATGTGGTCTGATTTTCATACCAAGAGATAAAATCATAAGAAATGGATTCTGTGCAGACTTTCCAAGAAATTGCCCATTAACTTGATATTTGAAATTGTAAAAAATTCCATGACACAGGTCTTCCCGGTCATAAATAATGGATTCTATAAATGTTTGTGAATGGGGTCGTGGCAGATAGGATGCAGTCGTTAAGTTGTTTTAATACTGTTTTGCAACAGCTTAGAACAGAGAGGGCCTCTGATGGTCTTATATACAGAGTGGGGTCACATTTCATGTTGCTGTATAATTAACAACTCTGAGTTTTGGCATATCAAGATGTACACTGTTAATTACTGCTGACTAGCACTGAAGGCTGTTGAATATTAAATTATTCTCTTTTTTATGAGATGTAGAATCATGACTGAATGCAGTTTATTCTTCAGACCACCTTTTCCTATGTGGTCTATCCACAGGTTTTCCCCCTGTCAGTCTCTCTTGGCCCCTGTTCCCTCTTTTTATCTAGTCTCACTAGTGTCCACTCTTTGTTCATCTCTCTGAAATCAAAAGTTAACACCTTATAAGCTACACATTCATAACCCATATCAGTTATCATTCTTTTTGTTCTACAGATAGAGGTTTGGGAAAAAAACTGTTTCCTTCTATTGATTTTAGGGTTAGTGCCACGGTACCACATTTCAACCCATGAAGGCATTAATACAGTTCTGTCAGCTCTTGAAACTCCCACATGCATAAAAGCACTCCAACGATAGGCAAGAATATACCCCCACAGGCCTAAAACCTGACAGTGAACATGTACAGAAGTCAAGATGGCTTCAGACAAAACAAGGAGGCAATTAACTTCTAGGTTCCTTACACTGTGTATAGTATTTTCAAAGAATTTTTTTTTTTAACTAGCAAGGCAGCAGATATACTTTGTAGAAAATTTGGAAAGTGGAAAGTACCAAGCAAAAATTAAATTCCACTATTGCATGATCCAGAGATAACTGCTGTTGATCTTTTAGTATATAACCATCTAGTCTTTTGTCATTGAAAAACATATGAGTGGTGTTTCTTCATTTGAGAACTCATGTTGAAGTGCAGAAGTTAGCAGGAAAAGACTCCATAGAAAGAAACAGCATGGCACAATGATGAAGAATATGGGCTATGCAGCCAGAATGCTGGAGTTTAAATCCTGGCGAATAAATCATCTGTTTATACTTTATTTTCTTCACATAAAAAAAGGATGAAGATAACAATGACAATAACAAAATTTAACAATAATATCACTTACTTTCTGGGGAAATTAGGAAAATCAAATGAGTTAATATATAAAGTACTTAGGACAGTGGTTAGCATAAATTAAATGCTCAGTTAATATTTCCTAATATGAAGATTGCAGTTCCTGGTAACTGCATGTTTCTTGCCAAGGGCTCTTACTTGGTCACCTTCATGTACTATTTTTAAAGTCCTCGGAGATATCAATGACCACATACTAAGATCTCCATGTTTTGGCCCTGTCTCTGCCACTAATTATAATGTAACTTTGGCAAGTCATTAGATTGTTGTTTCATCACTGGTGAAATCAGGGTGCTAGGCAATGTTGGTGATTCTTAATTGTTTTGAGGAGCTCAGAAACTCTCTTGATGCAACACTTTGTTCATGATTTCAGGGCTTCCACTGACACCTGGAAGCCATTCTGGGGTGTTAGGTTAAGAATCTCCAACTTACATGCTCTCTGATGGTTCTTCTGGCTCTGATTGTCTATGGTGTTTAGTTTCATGGAAATGGCCCCATTCTTATGATTCCTGACCTATCAAAAAGGGGAAAGATAAGTTCAGGAAGCAACTCTTCTTCATGGAAGATTTCTCTGTTTTCCATCTTACTGGAGACTGAGTTTCCTAATTAAATGTCTTGCACATACTTTCAATTCTTGGTACACTCAGGAATTGGGAATTCAACAGAACTTATTTATATGCTAATTTGCTACAGAGGACTGTACTTTCTCAATTCCAAAGGAACAAGAGATACTCTGCTTCCTGCTTTCTGGCATCCACTGGAGTCTAAGGTGGCCTGAACACAGCCAGGGTGCCAAATGCCCTGGAAAACAAAGCCTGGCCCAGAGCACCACAATGAACCAGGTGGCAGTGGGACCAGGATGGTGCTAACTACCAAACATGATGTCCTACACAACTAGTATGTGCTTCTAGAAACTACTTACAGCTGTGTGTCTTAGAGTGTGGCCCGGGAATTACTGCCCCCAGATCATCTGGGTGTATGCTCAAAATAATGATTGCCAAACAGGACCTCTGTGTTACATGCTATGTGAGTGGCCATGCTGAAGTTGGGCAACCTGGGATAACAGTGTTCTGGTGACTGACTCCAAGCATACTAGTGAGAATTTATGAATGTGGAGCCTAGGAATCTGCATTTTCAAAGGCATCAAATGATTCTCATGTGTTCTCAAGTTTAGAACCTTTGTTATCCAAAACCTTGCTTGTGAACATATGGGGAAGGGATATGTCACTAAGAACACCCAATATTTTAGAACTTACAGTATTGCTTCCATCATGGTGGTATAATATGATCCAATCTATCAGATCTTGAAAGATAGAGATGATCATGGAAGCACTATAGAAAGTCTCAGAGCTTTGGTTTTCTCTGCAAATTGAGAATAATATGCCTATCTTTCAGGGTAGTTGAAGATTTAATTAAACAATGCCCCTTAGACTGGTTAAATAAACTTTGCCACATCCATACTGCAGAAAAACATATAGTTCTATGAAAGAATGAGGAAGCTGCCTATGTACTCATATTGAAAGCTAAGATATATTATGTGAGAAAAACAAAGTGGGCAGCAGTATATGTAGCACCAGGTAAGATGGAGTCTCACTGTGTCGACAGGCTGGAGTGCAGTGGCGCCATCTCGGCCCACCTCTGCCTCACAGGTTCAAGTGATTCTCCTGCCTCAGCCTCCCGAGTAGCTGGGACTACAGGCATGCACCACTGCGCCTGGCTAAATTTTTTGCATTTTTAGTAGAGTCAGGGTTTCACCATGTTGGCCAGGGTGGTCTCAATCTCTGGACCTCATGATCCGCCTGCCTTGGCCTCCCAAAGTGCTGGGATTACAGGCGTGAGCCACCGTGCCTGGCCAAGAATGTGTAATTGTGTTTATATGAAAGTGCAAAAAGAAATGAATACAAACGGTTACTATGGGGGTGGCATGACGGGGATAGATAGGACAGGTAGGAATAGGAGGGCCTGTATGCCAAAATTCCTTTTTTCTTTTTTTTTTTTTTTTTTGAGACGGAGTCTCACTCTGTTGCCCAGGCTGGAGTGCAGTGGCACAATCTTGGCTCACCACAACCTCTGCCTCCCAGGTTCAAGCGATTCTCCTGCCTCAGCCTCCCAAGTAGCTAGGATTACAGGTACACACCACCACACCTAGCTAATTTTGTATTTTTAATAGAGATGGGTTTTTGCCATGTTAATCAGGCTGGTCTTGAACTCCTGACCTCAGGTGCTCCACCCGCCTCGGCCTCCCAAAGTGCTGGGACTACAGGCGTGAGCCACAGTGCCCAGCGAAAATTAATTTTTTTAAAAAAGGTACTTTAGTGACTTCCCTCAACACCAATCTGTTCTGAGCAAGAAAAAGTAGGTTTAAAGCCACCAGTCTAATACTTTAATATGCCAAGTTATCATTCTGCTTAGTTTTTATTTTAATGAGTATTGACCATGAAATTCTATTTCACTAGAACAGTTGCCAAAACTCTCATCACCCCAATCAGCATATAAATCAAAGGAGAAATATCTGGTCAAAGTGTCATTATCAAAATGTATCAGTAATTTGTTTCTGAAATGGGAGGAGGAAATATCCTTGATCAGCAGAAAACAAAATCGGAGAAGTCTATAACCTACTGGTGAACTTTTTCATGCGGCAGGGTTTCTGCATCGATTGTTATGTACTTTGTCTACTCCATCAGGTCATGAATGATGCATGCTGCAACAAGAAATTCAGCTATACAGCTCTCTGCTGCTGATTGAAACAGAGAGGACTGTTCAAGAGCAGAGAAACATATCTTTACTTTGCTTTTAGCTCTGCACCAGGTTGTGGAACAAATCCACTGCAATTTCTGTAAGCTTTGTTCTCTAAATTCTCTTGGGCCAGATTTCTTATCAGATGTATTTTCCTTTTTTAAAAAAAAATCTAAACAACACAAAATCATAACAAGATATTTTAGAAGAACAACATTTGCAAAATTCTGAGTTGCTGAATATTCACTGTCAACTGATACCCATGCAAATAAAAACGTATTCACTTTTTTTAAAAATGATGAGGTTTGGAGAGGATGACAGGATAAAAAGAGATGTTTAATTTCTGAAATTATCTTTTTAGTGTGGTGATTATGTTTGTATAATATAAACATAAATCTTTGTCTCTGTAGCTAGTCTGAACAGAAATCTAATTTTTCTCATCGTATCTGCAGCACTCTCTATCCTAGAGTGGGGCTGGAGCTTTTTTCAACACAACTGATGGGCTTAAAATATACAGACTATTATTCAGTATATGTCAAAACCATAACTGCTGCTTTAAAAGATTTCTTATCAGCTCTAAGGTTGTTACAACCCTGTATTAGTGAGTCTCTAGAGAAAAAATGGAATGAGTCCAATGGGACCTCATCATAGAGGGCATGGGAGCCTGGTGACCTTCAATCTAGTGGACAGCAAGGAGCCTTACAAGGCTTTAGTTTTTAGTCTTCAGGGGTGATGAGTCAAAGAGCACTGATTGTCCCCCAGTATGTAGGTATGAGTTAGTTTGAGCCAATGAGATGTGAGTGGCAGTCACATGTACATTTCTGGGCCATCTCCTTGCCTTGGTCTCCCTGTTTCTCCCTTCCTTGGGAAAGAGGCCACCTTAGAAGCCGTGTTTTGAGGGTAACGGAACCTCCTGCAAGCCCTGGACTGTTCCTCAAGAAAGAAATAAAACATTCTTTTATTTGAGGCACTGTATTTGGGAATCTTTTGATTACAAAAGTATAGCCTGCACCTTAACTAATAAAAATGGCTTCATATAAGATAGTGTTTAGGAAATGAGCTTAGCTGTGGGTAATTAAGAATGCCTGGGGCCATAAATAGCAAATGATGAGAGATTGTTAGAAGGCTATCTACATGAGACTACAATCTTGACAATGAAATGAATAATATTAAACTGCCCAGAAAATCAAGAAATTTACAACAGGGAATTGTAATCCACATCCCACATCCTTTGCTAAAGATTCCTAATTATGCAAGACCAAATTAGTGCATTCTAGCAATCTTTGTCCACTGACTTGGTAGTAGAGTGATTAGAGATATGGAACAGAAAGAGAATTGACTTTAGTGCCAAACAGAGCTGGGTTTGAATCCAACTCTGCCACTTAGTAAATATAGGGTGCTGAGAGATTCATTTAACACTCCTGAACCTGCAATGTAAGTGGAGATACTAATAACCGCCTGTGACATGAGGATGCAGGTGGAGCCTCTAGAACAGGATGTGGTTCACATAGAGGGAATCAATACACTTCAGGTCTTTCTCTCTCTCCTTTACTCCTTCAAGGAGACATCACAGAAGTCCTCTTAGTGCCAGGAAAGTAAAAAAGAAATGGGTAAGAGGAACAAGTAGGAAATGGGATTCAGATGTTTTTGGTACTGGGTCTCTTGATTAGGTATTGGGTGGTAGAACTCATAGGCCCAGACCTGTAAGAGATATTTTCAGAGAGGAGCTAATTGAAACCAAAGTCATAAAACATATGTCCATCTGATTTCTTTATATAGGAAAGCCCAAACATTTCAGATCTAGTTTCCAGGAGTTTATGGAACACCTTCATTGATGGCAAATTCTACATTTTTGAGATTTCTCTATTTGTCATTACAGTTGGTCAGCATCAAGGCCACAGTTTGCTTTTAGGGTGGTCATGAATTAATTTTTTTAAGTTAAGATAGTTAAACCTATCATTATTTCTACAAAGCATTTTGTCTTAGATTTGCCTATTTATATTTCCCTGTGAGCATGTCTTTCCATTCATCTCTTCGATAGTTAACACTTATTAAGCACTTACCATGTGCCAGATCTCCCATTTAAATCACCTAGTAAATACAATATTAACTCACTTAATCCTCCCAATAACCCAAGAGGCAGGTACCATTACTGCCCCATTCCATAGACAGGAAAATGCAGGATAGATGGATTCAGTTGTGGGTCCAATATCACACAGTTCTTGGGTTGCAGAATCAAGAGCTGGACCCAACCCGTCTGACTCCAGAGCTTGTGCAGTAATAGTGCCTAAAATAAGGCACAATATCATGCATTGTTGAAGGCCGAAAGAGTGAGGGTCGTAATCAACTCAGTATACCACTGGAGGCTATGTGAGTAAACAGCAAACTGCTCTCACGAAAGCAGGATGTTGGAAAACTGACAAACTGCATCTGCTGCCCACAAGGAATGCTGAGGGCAGTCACAACCAAGGCACAAGTGTTTCTTGTGATTAGACACATCTGAAGCCTGTTAGCAATAATGTGAACTTGTGATCAATTAAGCAGCTGACCAGTCATTACCTCCTCCTCCCTACTCTTTCTACCCAGTAAAAAAGAAGGGCTGAAGAAGCTCGAGGTGGCTGCCTTTGCTCACTAGAAGCAGGGAGCCATCTTCCCCGGCCCCTTCCTTTAAAACAGTTTCCTTTGTCTTAAGTTTTCATTTCTGTGTTCATTCCCCTTTGTTCAGTCTCATAACGACAGTCTCAAGTAGTAACAGTAGTAACTGTCGTAGTGATGGTCTCAAGTAGTAATTGTGGCAGTCAGACATAGTGCATGAAAACAAAAATAATACTAAAACTTCGAACAGAAGACTATAAAAGCAGAAATCAAGTCATAAAGATGAGAATGAACGGGAGGAGGAGAGGTGAGACTTGGAAAAACAGGCTTAATGCAAGACCCTAAATTTGAGCCAAAGTCTTACTTTTGAACTTCTTGGCTATCAAGGCCAAAAGGAAAGTAGGACATGTGACGGTTCAAACTACATAGTAAAAGGAAGACCAGTAGTCTCAAAGAAAAACATATTGTATCCTTCTTAGCCCTTTATTTAATTTTCCAGTTCTGAGCTTGAGAAAGTGTAGAAGTCTCATCAGTGATTAGTTCCTGACAACTATCTAATTACTTTAATTTTGCTGGCCAGAGATGGAGCTTCAGCTACTGCTGATGTTCCAAAATGCCCATTGATATTTTCTTGAGTAAGAAAAGCAAGCTACAATATTCCTCCCTGTTCCATTCCATAGATTATCAATAAAAAAAAAACCCAATTTATTTAGAAAATGTTATTTCTTGCATTGCGTAATATTAAAGCACAGAGCTTTGCTTTTCAAGCTGGCAGCTTATATATGACAGGAACGCCATGATGCACAAATTAATTATTTAATTAAAAAAAACAGAAAAATATTGCTGAGATAATGTCAAGAAAAGAATGCTGAATTTTACAGTGGTACAAAGGCATTTATGATTATCTTACTTTTATTTCCCTGGGTAGTTATTTAAAAAGCTGGAAAAGCACTAATCTAAGGAAAAGGATATACTTCTATCATATAAAATTATTCAAATTTCAACTTTCATTGCTGGATTTTTTTCTGTATAAAGAATACATCTTTTGATTCTATTAAATTGGAGCTTTTCAGTCATAATAAGTAACTTCAAGAGTTACAACACGCATTTTTCTCTGACTAAAAGAGGCTAGCGGAACCATGATTATTGTTAACAATATAATTCACCAGCCCGCAATTAATTCTATTTTAGTAACTACCAGAACAGGTAAGGCATATATGGTTATCTCTTATTTAAATTATTGTCCAAATATTTTACTATTTTCCGTGCATAAGGCAAGCAGTCTGTGCAGCTGTTTCTCATAGTCTTTTACCCTGATAGGTATCTGAATAAACCAGTTACTAAGGAGAGAATTTCCTGTTAAAGATCTTTGCTTATTCCTGTTCATCTAATATTTATTTTATGTTTTAAAGGAGAAAAGAATATGACTTGGGGTCATTTTACTCTCTGACTTTGAAGAGTTGAGAGTTTTGGTTTTCTTGGGCCCTATTATGTTAATGGGAACATGGGCAGCAGACTTCAGCATCAGATTCCCAGTGTCCACATCCTGCTCTCTCTTTAGCGAGGTATTAGGCTGGTACAAAAGTAATTGCGGTTTTTGCCATTACTTTTAATGGCAAAAGTACTTAACACCCTCCTGCTTCAGGTACTTTTCTATCTAAAATAATGATGATAGAAGTTTCTTCCTCACAGGGTGGTTGTAAGCATTAAAAGAGATGACACCTGTAAAGTACTCAGAGGAGTGCATAGTCATAGTGAAATATTACATAGTACATTCTCAGTAATTATTCTTGTTGTACTTATTACTAAAAACATAGAGACCTGGCAATTCTGGATGCAAACAGAATTCATCAGTAGGTCACTGTGTTCATTTAAGGATAACTCTTCCTGGGAAAGGCTAACTTGAAATAACCCTTTTTAAGGAGAAAAAAACATTTTATCATAAAAAGTGAGGGTGAAAAGTTTGAATGAGACTTTAACCAATAATAAAGAAATTCAAATTATGGAAATAATTTATTTTATGCTATATGTCAGAAATTTAAATTATAATTACATCTATATGCTGACTTCTAGAATTCAACAATTCTAGAAGTCACTGTCATTCTAGAAGTCATTGACTTCTAGTCATTCCACAATGACTACATTGCACTTGTTTTGTTTTCTGATTTGTTTTAGGTTTTTGTTTCTGGTTGGTTGCATCAAGATTATTGATATTCAAGTAATTCAATTTTGAAGAGTCTATCCTTAGATTTCTTTTCTCCTTCAATTCTTGACTCAGCTAACTCAAACAGATTATCATTTGTTTATGGCTTTGCACAAGATTCGAGCCTTTCACCAACAAGACTGCCATCAGTGAAATTTCACATATTGAAGCATTTCCAATTTAACTCTGAAATTTGTTTGCATTGCATTTTGTTCTGTGTTTAAGTAGATAAGATGTCAAGTGGAGGGGGTTGAGTAGGGGCTAATGTTAGAAGTGGTCAGCTCATTTTTGAATATTTGTACATATCTTTACTTCTCTATGCAAACTTGTTCCCATGTGGATTTCGATAATAAATCCTCTGAAAACAACTATCCCCTCTCCTGTGCTATTTGGTAGACTGAATTTAAATATACGTCTGTTGTATCTTTAAAAACCTATAAACATTTGCACATCATAAGTCAAGCTTTACTTGAAAAAGCCATCTAATGAGCAGCTTGTGAGTCATAAGTAAATCACAAACAATAGATACCTGGGCCATTTATCTAAATAATATTTGCGCAAAAGTAAATATTAAAGCAAAATGTTTTCTTATTCCAATTTAGGGAAAACTGTAACTCTATTGGCATAAGGTTTATAATAGGATCTTGATGAACAGAAATACTGTACACTATTCTTAATTGTAATGTTCATGTCAACGGAGTGCATTAAGAGTAAATATTAGCTAGAAACATGGTAACTTGTTCCTCTACATGAAACACAAACAGGACAGAGATGGAAATCACTGGTCATAGCAAAAGGACCAAACTTTAGTCCCAATCCTTGATTTTTTTGTTGTTGTAGTTTTATGGTTTCATTGAGATATATTTAAGATACAGTTAAGTACCAACTGTACGTTTACGTAAAACAAACCAATGAAAATGAAGAATGATTAGAATGTGCGGGGGAGGGGGAACAAAAAGACATAACTAGTGGTGGGCTGGAGTCTGCTCACACAGGCTCAGGAGAGCTAATTGTTCAGTTTTCGGAAATTTTGCAAGACGGCTGTTTGTTAAACTGCGGTCAGCTCGAAATCAGACACAGGAGAGTATTTACACCATGAAACCAGAAAAACGCTATGAATCAGGGATTTTGTATTTTTCAGAGCTGGCTGTCAAACATTTACTAGCATATTACTGAATTTTGTAATAAAAACCATGAACTAATGTGCCACAGAATGAAACTGCCATCCCTAGGAAGAGAAAAGCTTTCCTCTGCTCTTGGGTTCCTGGATTGGGTGGACAGTTCTTGGCAGCAGCCATCAGCTGGGAAAGGGAGGGCTGCCACGCACCCAGGAATATACCTCTGCCAGTCACTGAAGATCAGTGTTCTGCTGCTGTTAGCATTCGCCACTTAGCACGATGAACAACACCCTCCCTCTTCCATCTCAAAAGCGTTTGACAAGATTGTACCTTTCCCTGCACCAGAAATCAGGGGAGAAAGGCAGCTGAGTTGGGAGAGGAGAAAAGCTGGGGAAAAGCTAATGTCCTTTCCTCAACCTCATACAAATCTATATAGGGTTCTCAATATCACAGCTCTTGAGCTTTAAAAAGACAGCAATGCTCACGGCCCATCTTGGAAATGTGAATTGTATCTGTGGCTGGATCCCAGGCATTAGGTACAGTGTGATTGAGAATCACTCACAAGGATCACTGAATAGAGCAAAAACTAGACTACAAACTCAAAGGCATCAGGGACCTGCCTTGTTTACCATCCTTTCTCTAATAACAGTTTCCAGGGCATACACTTTTTCAAAAACAGGAGAATCAATTTCCCTGAGATTCAAACACACATTTTCTACACTACAAACACTTGGCCTAAACAAGGGTTTCTTACGCCATTAACAGGTTATAGTCTTTCTTCCCTTTCAACTCCAGGCTGTAGAGCCCTCTCCTGTAGAGGTTCTAAATCCTGGCCATGCACTAGGATCAACCAAATAAATTCATACACCTAAACAGGAAAATACAGATTCCTGGGCTCCTTCTCTAACTTCCTGAATCAAAATCCCGTATTAGTGCCCAGGAATCCAGGAATCTACGTTTCGAAGTTTCCAAATAACTCAGAAGTACTTCTAGGTTTGGAAATCACTGGTTTAAAACACCAGACACTACCAAAGCCCATCCTCCCTCCAAAGATTACTGAAGGGGTTAGGGACAAACGTTATTACCTGTTGGCCAGTTCGCAAAACTCTTTCTCTAAGCTTCATCATTTGACTCATCATCACACACTCCTCAATCCCATTTCAGGTCATCTCTTTCTCACATAGATATACATATCCTATGTGAATTCATTTTTCTTTCCACTCTTTCTTCCAGGAAACAGTGGGTGTATCACTTTGTTCTGAATTGTACATAAATGCTATAGGCTAGAACTGCAAGATGTTTGAAGTTTGAGGTACCAAAAAGTACTATAAACATGAGTTCCTCTTTAGCAACACCACACCTAACTGAAAGCTTCTCACCTGTGCTCCTGTAACACCCGTTTTTACCCACACTCTGCCCGCACTAGTGGACGGTAGAGACCGTGAAGACAGAGAGAGAGGCATGCAGCCACACTCACCTGAGGCAGGTATACACAACAGGCACTATAGGCACTCCATATGTGCTTGATAAACTGAACTACTTATTGTTGCTAGATTCTATGTAAATCAGTTTCCTTTATACTTTCAATATGTTATAACATATTAATTCAACTCATAATCATTTGTTTTTGTCTTTTTTTTTTTTTTTTTCCTATCTCAGCACAGTTTTTCAAATGGTAGCCAACCACACAAGCTTCTTGGTGTACAGCTGGCTGGAGTATACTGGTCAAAAATTTTAAATGCAGATATCTTTTGAGCTAGCAACTCCGTCTCTAGAAAATCATCATACACATATATGTGCGCTTGTGGGCAAAAACATACTTGGGAGGAATTTTTGTATTGGGGAATTTTTAAAACAATATTGTTTGCAAAATAGTACAGATAAACTGCAAACATCTAGAAACCATCCTCTTTAGATGATTTGTTACATAATTAAGAAACATCTTTGAAACGAAATATACAGATATGCTAAAAAATGAGACAGAGAAGGGTATCTTTGTGCTGATATGAAATTTTCTCCTAGGTATAATTTTATGTGGAAATAAAGGAAGATGCAGAACAATATGTAAAGTATCTTCCCATGTGTATAAATACACACTTTTGTTTATACATAGTAAAGTTTCTAGAAAGACATGAAAGGAATTTTTAATAGTAATTGCTTCTTGGGAGAAAGCATTTGGAATTAATTATTGGTGATGAGATGTTAACAATATTTTTCATGGAATGCTTTCTTATCCTCTAAAATTTTTGTCATGGCCTGTATTACTTCTTCAATTAATTATGTTACAAAAATTTTAGAACTCACCATAATTAAAAACAGAGTTTTAAAGTAGTGAGTCTTGTATGCATAGATGTAGGTATAACATTTTGTTAAATAAGCATTTTCAATGTTAAAGGGATCACAAAAAGCATCTTCCCCTAATAATCTTGCTTTTTAAATAGTATAAGAGTCTCTCTGCTGGCAAGGCCTAATGAGTATAAAATTTAGACTATGTGCCTAGAATTTTAGCTAAATATTTTCCAATTTCATTTCAATTTAGAGCATAATAAATGCAGAAAGAAATCAAATCAAAACAAGAAGCTAAGCAGATACAAAGGTAATAAGTGCCATGACTGTCACCTTTTCTGCCCTGGCATCCTAGGAAGCTAGTGCCAGTGGTCACAGCCTGCTTTCCCCACTGATCCTGGATGCAACCTCAGAATCCTTCTCAAGGAACTCACCACCAGTTGAATAGAATGAGCACTATTTTTTTTTTCCATATCAGACCTAAACTCTCTACCTTCATACCTGCCTTGAATTCTTGGGGAGGCAGGGGTGACAAGCTGCTGTGTTGAGGCTAGCTGTTGCGTTGAAGATTGTTCTGTTTGCACAATCCAAACATCTCAAAGGAGAGAGAATGTTTGACTATATCTATCAGAGTTGGTGGCTGGAACTTGGGTAAACCACTAGAGTAATGCACAAGATGAGAAAACAAAAGTGCTCTCTATGGGAACAAAGTACCTCAGTTTGATCTATGGACAGTGGCAAGTTGCAGTTTAGAGTGAAGGAATGATTGTGAGGGTAGCATTCTGTGCTGTTCCCTCAGGATGGCTTCTGTCATAAGGAACTTGTGCCAATCTTTAAAGGAAAGGTGTGCTGTAATAAAGACCAGGCCAAATCAAAACTGTATCTCTGGAGGTGTGTGATCTCAGTTAAGTCAAATTACCAGTGACTTCCAGGAGATTTGTTTATTTATTTGGTAAAGTACCTGGGTGTGAAGCAGTGATATCTAAAGTCCCTTTCATCTTGCATATTCAGAACTGTACCCTCTGGTTGGAGATAAGCTGGAAAGTAAATAGTTCTTTATTAATAATGCATATGAGTCTTCCCAATGGAATGTAGTGCTTGGTTGTGCAAATTGCATCCATCTGCTTCCCTCCAGCTGGCTTAGTAGTCAACAGGGTTTGTCGGAGAGTCCAGGGGATGTGCTCACCAAGTGGTGCAAGTCCTCTTTCTGGGGTTGGATTAGAAAGGCTCCTATATCCTGAAATGGACTTTCCGCACTGCCCACATTACCCCCAGTGGTCTTCTGGTCACCTTAGGAGAGCTCAGAAGGACTTAAAGGAGAATCTTTGAGCCAGGCATGGTGGCACACGCCTGTAATCCCAGGACTTTGGGAGGCCAAGGCGGGCAGATCACCTGAGGTTGGGAGTTCGAGACCAGCCTGACCAACATGGAGAAACCCCATCTCTACTAAAAATACAAAATTAGCTGGGCATGTTGGCGGATGCCTGTAATTCCAGCGACTTGAGAGGCTGAGGCAGGAGAATCGCTTGAACCCGGGAGGCAGAGGTTGCAGTAAGCCAAGATCGCACCAATGCACTCCAACCTGGACAACAAGAGTCAAACTCCATCTCAAAATAAATAAATAAATAAATAAATAAATAAATAAATAAAATAAAAAGGGAGACTTTGTTCTCTACGATTCCCAGTCTAGTAATTGGAACGAGACAACAGTAACACTAAAGGATGCTAGCACCCTAATGGTGGCAGGACCCATAGATAACTCGGAAAAGTTTTAGCTATAGCTTCCGTAAGCTCCCCAACCCCCAACCAAACCAAATAAATATTACAAAGGGCCAGTTTCAAGGGTGTGCCAACCATGCATTGCAAAGATCCCCAAACTAAGAAGGGAAGCCTTGTTCTTGGGCTTTAAAACACTGTAGTAGCCATATTGACATTCTTAGTAAGTTTATTTTGTGATGTGGATTCTGTGTTTGAGGGATGATAGGACAATGAGGTAAATGCCAGGTCCTTGGAGCCTAGGTTCAGTGGCAGTCTTATCTCCCACTGCCTCCTTGGGATGAATTCCTGGTCATCCCCAACTCCAACTCTACCCAGCAACAGCCCTCTCCCCAAGTCTCTCCTTCAGGGTCCTAGGTGCACTCAGCTAGTAAGTATTCCCATGCTTGAGGAAGTGCAACATTAAATAGCAAATAAAAACACCATGACAGGTTGAGGGAGATACTACAGAAGAAAGAAACTTTTTTTCCCGCTTTCTGAATAAGGGGCCTGAATTTTTGTTTTGCATCAGGCCCGGTAAATTATGTAGTAGGTCTTGTGTGTACACAGTAAGCATGAACGTCCTTAAGTCCCTCCTTCCACTGGGATGGCTAATGCTAAACTCCTTCTATATACACATTCTGGAATCAACTGTGTACCTCATAAGGACAGTACCAAAAAGCAGGAGAAGGTGAGGGGAGAGAATAAAAATACCTGGCTTGTTGGAGGTAGGACTGTCCCTCTCAGCTCTCATCTTGGCAAGTCCAAGACCCCCCTCTCCTCGCTCCCACCTCAGCTTCCTGGATGTGACGCTAAATTGACATTTATCAAATTGAAATGTACTCTGCCTTTACAAGTATAAAGAGGAGCAATGGCTATAATATGTCAACAGACTACCTGGAAAGACAGGATATAGTCACAGAGAATGGTAATGAATAGTGAACATGCAAGGCAATCTGTGGACCTAATTAGGAAGGTGGGCTCTCAAGGAAGACTGCCTGGATTCCACTCCTGGCTTATCTCTCACAAATTGTGTGAACTTGTGCAAGCTGACCTCAGTTTCTTAGTGTGCTCATCTTTAAAAAATGGGATAATAAGAGTGGCTCCCTTAGTAATTGCTGAGAGGATTAAATTCTTACATTGGTGCCCAGCACGTAAAAGTGCTTATTCAATGTTAGATATAAAGGCTCAAACAAGGGAAGTTTTTTGAGAGACATAGAACAGTCAGGAAAAGATTTGCAAGATGCCAAGACAAGAATCCTTTATGGAAGATTTTTATGGCGTTACTAAGAAAATGTGACTTTAATTTTGGCAGAATATCTAAATAAAAATGCTTTATGCCATTGTTTGAAATTACACACACACATACACACACACAAACAGACACACAATATGAGCCCTTAGAAATAAGAAACTTGGTTTAACTACATGCTTTGTATCCTATTTCTGAAATCATTACCCTCTGCTTTTCAAATCTCACCGAGTCTTGTTTTGGCATTAAGCAATTCTAATGAAAGTGTACAAACATCTGTCTTACATTCTGGCTTTTTCTTAGCAACATTGCCACTTGGATTCATTGGACTTACAATTTATGATAATTATAAGTAAGATAAAAGCCACATTTACCTACCCACCAATCTTTTATTTTATTTTTTTACTAGCAGAACTGTATGTCCTCGCACAGATGTAACAACCTCAATGTTTTTAAACAAATCCATATTGAAAAGAAAGTAGAAAAAGTGAATCTGACTACAAATGTTTACATGTAGCAAATAGACTTTTTAAAATATCAATTTAGTTAAGTGTGTGTTCAGTTATCAGTCGAATACTCTCAACTGACCCCAGCGCCAATCTCAAATCTTGTAGGAATATATCAGATGTATGAAGTGCATTTTCCTTGGTAGTTACTGAAGGCAATTTGTTTGCTTTAGATTTGATTATGTAGTGGTCATTGCTAGGAGTAAATGCACAGATGGCCAAATAGCTGATGTTGAAAATAAAAGTTAGGAAACACTTCTCATGATGCCAATTTTCCTCACACTCATGACATGTTGTCTTTTTAGCAAGACTGTATCATTTTACTGTTCTGTAATGTCTTCTCATGTAATACCTACTAGCATAAGGAATAAAGGGAGGATCCCCCTAAGGTAAGTTAGAGCTGTGTTCTAACTTCATTCTAGGTAAATAAAGGGAATCTATGTTTGATGTTAAGACATAAGTCACAAACACTGTTAAATGATAGTTCACAAGGTACCTTAACTTCTCAGAACTTTTTGTGCAAAGAAAGATGTGAACTACACACTCCATAAGATGCATTCTATTCTAATTCTCTATGATCCTATCGTTAGTGGACTAAATTATCTCACACAGCCTTATATCCTGTCAAATCAAGGTTGTTACTGAAGTTAAAGTGATCTACATCAGGAAAAACAAATCAAATGGTTAATGATGTAACCAAGGGGGTGGTTTTACCAGGAACAGTGCTTCTGTGGTGATAGAGACACACCACAAGGAGAATCATGTAAAAACACAATAGATATTAAGTTTTACTTAAACTGTAAGAGACTTTAGAATAGCAAAAAGGAATTGTACAGGCAGGAACAGAACAGATAACATCTTAGAAGACAATTTGAAAAAGTCTTTACATAGAGATTGATATGGAGATTTCTAGCATGTCCCAAATAGAGAAATATTTTAAATATTTCTATGTGTGTGTGTTCCAGGGAATAGCCTTCATTTAAATGATATAATGTGATAGGTAATGCATTTCACAGAACCCACTGAGAGCTTAAAGACGTATGAGCCTGAATTCCAAGTGAATCTCTTGGAACATACAGAGATTGAAATGGCTGAGTGACTGTGTGAGATGAAAATAATTTCATAAGATGTAATTATTTTCAGTCTCATAATGATAACTACCATTTATTGAGTGCTTATCATGGATCAGGAACTACCCTGGATGATTTACAGACATCATCTCGTGAAATGCTTACAACATCACAGTGGGAAAATTTAATATCGGAAACAAATGTTCAGAAAGGCAAGCAACTTGCCCAAGGTTACAAGGCTGGTAAATGGGGAATTAAAACCCAAGTCTGACTGATTTGAAGCCAGTCCTCTTCCCGATCCTTCATCCTGCCTCTGTCTGCATTTTATTGGATGAGCCAGTCTTAAGAGCCACTTATTCTGAAATTGCAAATTTCACAATGCTCTGACTATACACTAAAATGTTTTGATGGATGGGAAAGTATGAAAAAAGGGGTGAATATATTCCTTATTTTTAATGACTATTACTTTATGCATTAATTATTTTTTTGCTGTAATCAGTAGGCCTGTACATTAAAGGGCATTTATTGTAACCAGTGTTGCATAAAAGTCCCCAAAATGTATTATTATGTACACACACACACACACACACACACACACACACACTGCACATATGTATGCTAATGTTGTGCCAGGTACTTTCTGAATATCTCCTATGATTCTCATGGCAACCTTAAGAAACTGGCAGCCTGTATATATATGCAGTGTGTATATATATCTATATATGTATATATAGATACATATATATAGTTTTTAACCAACTTTTTCTTCCAAGTAGTAGTGAAATATATTAAAGTCAGTAAATTTCCTGGCATAGGGCATCCGAACATACTTTAGAAGATTTATCTTAGCATTGAAATCTTGAAGTGAAGTGATGTGTACTCAGTCTATGTGGGAGACAGGGATTCTACAGAAGAAGGAGATTTTTGAAAGAAGGGAAGAAGGCAAGCCAGTCTTTGGCTCCAAGGACCTACAATGTGCTAATGTTGTGATAGGTACTTCCTGAATATTTCCTGTGATTCTCGTGGCATCCTTGAGAAATCGGCTGGCTGATGGTAGTTGAATAGATATGCTTGGTCCAGTATATACTAATTTTAACAATGAGCCACGTAGTATATTTATAAAATAAAAACTGCTCTAAGAATCTGTAATTGCACATGGCTTCACATAGCCAATAGGGAATGAATTAGTAATAGCATGAAGTGATCTTGGGCATGAATGAGTAAATGTTCTGTGACACCTACTTCTTGGTTTTAAAAAGATTTATTCTGACTTTGGTAAAGTTTCAGGATACAAAATCAACGTACAAAAATCAGTAGCATTTCTATACAACAATAATGTTCAAGCTGAGAGCCAAATCAAGAATGCAATCTCATGTACAATAGCCACACACACACAAAAATACCTAGAACTACATCTAACCAAGGAGGTGAAAGATCTCTACAAGAAGAACTACAAAACACTAATAAAAGAAATTCTAGATGATACAAACAAATAGAAAAATATTCCATGCTCACAGATTGGAAGAATCAGTATCATTAAAATGGCCATGCTGCTTAAAGCGATCTACAGATTAAACACTATTCCTATCAAACTGTCGATGTCATTTTTTGCAGAACTAGGAAAAAAAAAACTATTCTACAATTCATATAGAACCAGAAAAGAGCCTGAACAGTGAAAGCAGTCCTAGGCAATAAGAACAAAGACAGTGACATCACGTTACCCAACTTCAAACTATGCTGCAAGTCTATAGTAACCAAAACAGCATGGTACTGGTACAAAAACAGATATGTAGACCCATGTAGCAGAATAGAGGACCCAGAAGTAAAGCCACACACCTTTAGCCATCTGATCATTGACAAAATCAACAAAAATAAGCAATAGGGAAGGGACTCCCTAGTCAACAAAATGGTGCTGAGATAACTGGCCAGCCATACGCAGTAGAATGAAACTGAACCCCTACTTTTCACCATATACAAAAATTAACTCAAGATGGATTACCGATTTAAATGTAAGACCTCAAACTACAAGAATACTAGAAGAAAGCCTAGGAAACATCATTCTGGACATAGGACTTGGGAACTAATTTATGACTAAGTCCTTGAAAGCAATTGCAATAAAACCAAAAACTGGCAAGTGGGACCTAACTAAACTATAGAGCTTTTGCACAGCAAAAGAAACTATCAACAGAGTAAACAGGCAACCTACAGAATAGAAGAAAATATTCGCAAACAGTGCATTCAGCAAAGTTCCAATATCCAAAATCTATAAGCAAATGAAACTATTAAACAAGCAAAAAACAAATAACCCCATAAAAACCTGGGCAAAAGACATGAACAGGTACTTCTCAAAAGAAGATACACAAGTGACCATGAAACTAGGCAAAAGACATGAACAGATACTTCTCAACAAAGAGCCAACAAACCATGAAAAGCAGCCAACAAACATGAACAGTGCTCCACATCACTAATCACCAGAGAAATGTAAATGAAAACCACAATGAGATACCATCTCACACCCGTCAGAATGGCTATTACTAAAAAGTCAACCAACAACAGATGCTGGCAAGGCTGCAGAGAAAAGGGAACACTTATACACTGTTGATGCAAATGTAAATTAATTGAACCCCTGTGGAAAGTAGTTTGAAGATTTCTCAAAGAACTTAAAATAGGACTACCATTCAGCTCAGCAATTCCATTGCTGGTTATATATCCAAAAGAAAACAAATTGTTCAACCAAAAAAACACATGCACTTGCATGTTCATTGCAGCACTAATCACAATAGCAAAGACATGAAATTGACCTAGGTGCCCATCAACAGTGGACTGGATAAAGTAAATGTGGTACATATACACCATAGAATGCCACACAGCCACATAAAAAGAACAAAATCATCTCCTTTGCAGCAACATGGACACAGCTACAGGCCATTATCCTAAGCAAATGAATGCAGGAACAGAAAACCAAATACTGCATGTTCTCACTCGTAAGTGGAAGCTAAACATTACATACTCAAGGACATAAAGATGGCAATAATAAACAGTGGGGACTACTAGGTGTGGGAGGGAGGGAGGAGGGCAAGGTTTGAAAAACTAACTATTGGGTCCTATGCTTAGTAGCTAGGTGATGGGATTATTAGTATCACAAACCTCAGTATCATGTAATATACTCATAGGAAAAACTAAACCTAAAATAAGAGTTGAAAAAAAAGAAAGAATTTTTTTAAAAGATTCATTCTCATTTTTTCTCCTCTTCTCAGCAACCTTAAAAAATGAGGTATAAGTCTAGATTATCATAATGGACCACTGACATAAATTCATTGCTTAGATTTAGATGCCCATCACCAACCAGCTGAAGATGTCTTTTTCTCCATTCATGCTGAAAATCTAACCAAAAGAGGTCAAAGTATCAAAGACCTGCATATCCTGTCAGGATAAGAGGGAACTTCAGGTTGATGGAGAGTAAAGTCTTCTTTTTCTAATTGGCCTGGTTCTCTGTTGTTATTTCATTGCAGTGCAAACTTTCTATGCAATTCAGCTGTTCCTCTTCCCTTGCAGAAGCTGAAAACTGTGCCTCTGCCTAAGGAAAGAATCTAATCTGCCACTTCACTACTCATAGGAAGAGATGGGAAATGTGATGAATATTTTTCAGGGTGATGCTAACTTAATATTCTAGGCAGAGCTAGGAGTAGGTTAGGATGAGTGAGGCACCATTTCATGTACTTTGCACTGAGAATTAGTGCCTCTTGAAATTTACACTCTCGGCACTTCACATGCCTTTCTCTAGTCCTGGCCCTGATTTGAGAAGATGAGAATTATGCCTGAGCATTTTATTTCCTTATGAAACTACCGAATTTCCTGCTGCTTATGATCTCAATAGCCATTGACTCCAAAGTCTCTGATTCTTGAAAATTTTTGGACACCATTGCTTGTCTCTTCGTGGCCTCAAAAACTTTTATATATCTCTGGTGACTGGGAAATTAAAGCCAGACCCTCATCCCTCAGCAAGAACTTTTTAACCCAATCTTACTTTTCAGCCTTATCTCATATCCTATTACTATTCCTCGATCCCATCTATGCCCATAGAATAGCTTTTCGCCTTGCTACTTCTAGCCTTGTGTCCAAGTTGTGATTTCCTCTTGGAAGTTTTACTCTCTTTATGCTTATACTGTGCTTATACAGGAAAGTTCAAAGCTGAATTCAAATCCCATTTCCTGGGAAAGATCTTTTCATATCCCACCAATACAAATTCATTTTTTTCCTCTTGTTCTATCACTGCCTTTTGTTTATGACATTGAGCAAGCATAAATCTTACTGTGCCTTTTATTTTTAAAAAATTATTTCCATTTATGTCTGTTCTATGACCACCCTTTGAACTCATGGAGGGAAGATTCTATTTTGTTTGTCTTGATACCCTTGTAGAACCCAGCAGTGAAACTGCATTTGGTGGGCCCTCAATATATTTGTACCTCACTGCATGACTGGGTACATTCTTTATTAATGTAAAGTGTACTTGGCTTAATAAGCTTTTGGCAAGAGAAAGGAAGAAGCAGTACAAGTTTATTTCCTTATTTTAATCAGCACAGTAGATTTTTAAACATAGGCTGTTGCATGTTTAGACCAACTCTACTGGGTAGAAAGACTAAAAAAACACTTCTAACTAATAACGGACTTCAGCAAGAATACATGGTATAATTGTACTTTGAAAATTATAATCTGCATGAATACAAAGCAATTAAGTATTAGAAGTTCAAATATTTGGAAAGCTCAAAATATGTGGACATGATGTCCCTTGAATTCAAATGTTGATAGGAAGAAATTGCATCTATTCATCCACCTTAACCCTTACATTGTTATTTATGCTTTAATGAAGTGTTTATTATGAGTCCCCATTGTGCTTGATATTGGGCTAGGTGCTAGAAATACAAAGAGGATGAAAAACTCTGTTCTTTAATGAGCTCTTGTCAACAATCAGCTACAGTAAAAAACATGTCGGGTTACAGTGATTCCTCAGCCTACTATGGAAGACGAGACACTTGAGACAAGCACTGAGAGACAGAAGTATTTATGAACTAATATTACGCAGAGTACAGAACACTTGATTATACCCGAAACGAGAAAATGGATTTTGGGATGGAAGCTGCTCAAATAGATTTTGAAAGTTGACTGGGGCATTTGCAGATGGCAAGGAAGGAACTGCATTTTATGAAATGGGAACAGTGTAGAGAAATACCTGGAAGCCTGAATTAGCTTGTTGTACCCTCAAATCTAGTATATCATATTTTAAAAGACTGACACAAAATACACTTGGGAACCAACATAATCTTTAGACATAATCTAATGACACTTAACCATACAAACTAAACTACTTGGTTAACAAATATTTCCAAATATACATATGCTGCTTCTCTCTGGCTCTAGACTCAAGCTAAATAACATTACTTAATTGTAGAAAGTCCAAAACTGTCTGTGCCTACCAAGAAGCCAATTGACATTACTAGGTATAAGAAACAGAATTTCAAAAGCGTAATGAGGTTTCCTCATTTTTATCTAGTTCAAGGTAACATAATTAGTATGTGGATATACATGAGGTCATTTCCAGCTGTAAAATTCTGTAAATCTGCTTCATTAAACTTTCCTTTTTTTGAAAGACTCTCCATGATCCATTGGTTTTGGATGTCACTTCATCCAAACTTTTTATTCACACTTGCACATTGAGTTGAGATGATAATCTACTTAGGCAGAGAGGTGGAAAGAGAGGGAGAAAAGGGTATAATGGAAACTTGGGGTGGTGAGGAAAGAGGAGATAGCTTCTGATAGAAGCTCTCTGTTTTCTTCTTTCTCTAGTACATATCTCTGAAAAATAATCATGGTGCTATATTAGCTGCTCTCCAGGGCAGAAGGCAACCTCAAATACCAAGCCAAGCTTGTAAATCACATATATGCACCATATATATATTATATATATGATATATATTGTATATATCATATATATTATATATGAATATATATTTTATATCATATATGAATATATATTTTTATGATACGTGAATATATATTTTATATATTCATATATAACATTATATTTGCTTATAGTGTTATATAGTTTGCTATATAGTCTCTATATCACTATAAAATAAAACAACTTTTGCAAAAGTGTTTTATAAGCTCCAAACATGCTATACAAAGATAGAGCATACATGGCAATATATACAATACATATTTTTCTTAGATAGCGTTTCTACCTCCATATAAGTAGTCTAGTTAAGGAGAGAAAAAAGACAATAACAGACTGTGTCTATATTATCTGTATCTTCCTTTATATCTCTTGAAGGTGTTTCTCTGTAGCTAGAGGCATCTAGGTACTACAGAGCCAGAAATTGATTTAGAATTTTTTGTCAGATGTATAAAATAATATTTGGACAATGATGTGAAAAAAAAAACACCAAAGAATCATAAAATTATGTGATAAATATCACAGACATTTAGAATAAAATTGGGTCTTGGAAATCATATAATATACTTTCCATTCAGTCCAAGAGTTAGCAACCATAACCATGGTCTTCAGTTCTCTGATGAAGACACCCAGAGATAGAAGAAGCTCAGTGTCTCGTGAGGAAGGCCACTCAGCGGATGTCCTGAGCATCCTAGTGTTTGCATCTTTGAGGTCATATCCTGAAAGCTTATAGGCTGCCATCAGAGAGAGGAGCTCTACATCAGGGTGTCCAATCTTTCAGCCTCCCTGGACCATACTGGAAAAGAAGAATTGTCTTGGGCCATGCATAAAATACACTAACACTTAAGATAGCTGATGAGCTAAAAAAGAATGGCAAAAAAAGTAATAATGTTTTAAGAAAGTTTACGAATTTGCATTCGGCCACATTCAAAGCCATCCTGGACTGCGTGCAGCCTGCAAGCTGTGGATTAGACAAGCTTGCCCTACATTAATACAGGACAGCATAGGGCAGGGGCGGTGTCTGTGGCACAGTAGAGTCTTAGCACTCTGGGAGTTACTGGGAAGAGATAAACCTACCTTGATGGTGAGGGGATTGAACAAGGTCTTGTGGAGTAAGAGGCATTTCAAGCTTTCAAGGACAGATTGAATGTAGACATGTAAAGTAGTGGAGAAGCATTATGGACAGAAGGAATGGCATGTGCCAAGGGACAGTTGCTAAGAAGACTTTCCTTAGCTGCAAACTGTCTCTCTGAAACATGCAGCAACTATTCTACTATGCAAGAAAACATAATTCCGTATCTTTAAGCTAGTTCTCACAAGCAGATGAAGTTGTTATGTCCCTTTTCCTTGATATAAATCTTCTCATCCAACAATTTCCAGATCCACCACCAACCTGGTCACCCTCCACATCATGCCCTCATCTGTATCAAGGTGTCCCCTAAGAGACGCTTCCCAGACTGTTGCAGTGCTCTTTCCTCTTGCCTTGGCCAGTACAAAAGCAGTGGGACAACAGCTTTTCTTGCTTTGGGTTATTTCTGTTAATGGAGGAGTCCGGCAGCACAGACTAAGTCACTGTCTCTCAAACTGCACTTAAGTTCAAAGCTGGCTCTAGCAGTCATCCATTCTATCATCTTAGACAAGTTATTTAACTTCTCCAAGCCTCAAAATTTTCATTTGTAAAATAAGAATAATGACTACCTACTTCATGGGATTACTTTCAAGATTAAATGAATATTTAAAACTATTTAGTACTGTGCCGGGCATATAGGAAGTACTTAAAAAATGTTAGGTACTATTAGTAATACAATCAGTCATATGTAGTGATTTTTAAGGCTCCAATAAAATTTTCAGACCCTTGATTTATATCCACAGTAGGACATTTTTCAACTCCTCCCCCACCATTTATTTTTAACAGGCTTCATAAAATTTACTGCCTTTTTTTCTGTTCTAAATTAAATTGTACTTAATGTTGCTGGGGTCAGGAGCATTACTACCTTTGGACTTTGGCTTGATAAGGAACAACTTGAGATCTCAAAGCTTAAACACACCATGCTTACCATTCTCTTACAGACAAGACATTTTATTCTTTGGTATGCTGACAGCTTTTATTAACAGAAGTTGTATTGATTATGTTAAAGGATAAAGAAGATCAAATTTCTCTTTATGGTCTTTGTGGTGGTTATCTATTTTTCTGCTACCCAAAATTCCTTTCACCCACTGCTGGTAAACGAAACCCAAACTTTTAAAGAACCACCCTTCTCTCAGTCTTAGTCATTAGCTGGGGAATCCATCCCAGTTCAGGGTTGGAGAAGGTAATATAGATGTAAGGGGTCAGGGCACTGCCTACCCCTTACAACAGTGGCTGTTTGGATTTGCCATGGGACTTCTGATCAGAACCTTTGAAATACAATGATATGAATTTGGAGTTGTTGCCGTTACCTTGAGCCACAAGAGGGGATCTTGCCGAGAATGAATACAACGCAGATCCAGGGAGAGAAACCCAATATTTAGCAACATTGTGCACCTGAAGCCAAACAACTCCTGGGGTTTCCAGTTACTCCAATAAATTTCTTCTGTGATTTTAAACTGGTTGAGATTGAATTTACTGTCATTTTCAGCTTGCAACCAGTCATGTCTAATATAAATGAAATCACCAGTTACATGTATTGATAAAGAAAATCAATGATATAAACCCTAGAAAAGATCGGTTTTCGAGCATCATCTAGTATTTGAAAGCCCATAGAGAAAGGCAGCTTTGACTATTGTGAATGATTAAGGTATATAGGAGAATTTTGTTTGGGTGCCCCAAATTTAAAATATCATAATAGTCTTGGTTTCTAGCTATCCAAGCACAAGCATGTATTATTTATATTATCTTTGTATCTGTATCACTACATCATCAGTCACATCTGTCTATACATAAAGAAACAGCCACATCGGTTTAGTAGTTTTCATTCTAATGGATAGTGAGTCTCTTTTAGGGGTCATGTCTTATTCATTTGCAAGCTTCTAGCCCAGCCTCTGACAGAGATACTTAATAAGTACTAAAATGAAACAAATAGGAATCTGTTGCTTTGGCCTAAATTGCCTTTATAGAGAAAAGAAAAGGCAGAGGTGTTGATGGCTGTAAAATGGGAGCACCCCTAATCCCAGAGCTCTATTCAAATAGATTCACAACACTATGAATGGTGCCCTCTGGAACTCTGCAGTGGAGCAACCTGAATAAAGTTTTTAAAACTATACAAAAGAAAACTCACTGATTACCAATTTTCATAAGTATGAGGAGACATGAATTTATTGAAATTTAATTGTGATTTCTTGTAAATTTGTTTTTCTAATAGCAGTAACACTAACTTCTTCAATTTACTAAGCATAGATTTTTTTTTAGCTTTTCTTTCTTAATACTTAATAAATTGTAAAATTAACTCAATTCGAAATTTTGGGATCTGGTTAGGAAGGTATTTACCAACAATAACAATTAGATTTCTTTGGAATTGTTAAGAATAACAAAGACAGAATACATTAGGTATTCAATTTCTTCCTGCTGTGATTCTAAATTTCTGATTCCTTAAGCCCAACATGGCAACATTCATTTAAATTGACAAAATTAATATCTTCTACTTTTTGGTCATTGTTATAATGTAGCTCTTACATTAAATGTTGTGATAAATTTATGAATGTCACAACATAGACATTCATTTGTTTAAAAATATTTGGTTGCCTCCCATCATGCTACCTAACTTCAAATTACACTAAAAAGCTACAGTAACCAAACAGCATGGTACTGGTACCAAAACAGATATATAGACCAATGGAATAGAACAGAGCACTCAGAAATACCACCACGCATCTACAATCATCTGATATTCAACAAACCTGACATGAGGAAAGGATTCTCTATTTAATAAATGGTGTTGGGAAAACTGGCTAGTCATATGCAGAAAACAGAAACTGGACCCCTTTCTTACACTTTATACAAAAATTAACTTAGGGTGGATTAAAGACTTAAATGTAAAACCCAAAACCATAAAAATCATAGAAGAAAACCTAGGCAATACCATTCCGGACATAGGCATGGGGAAAGACTTCATGACTAAAGCACCAAAAGCAATTGCAACAGAAGCCAAAATTACAAATGGGATCTAATCAAACTAAAGAGCTTCTGCACAACGAAAGAAACTATCATCACAGTGAATAGGCAACCTACAGAATGGGAGAAAATTTTTACAATCTACCCATTAGACAAAGGACTAATATCCAGAATCTACAAAGAACTTAAACAAATTTACAAGAAAAAAAAACAAACAACCCATCAAAAAGTGGGTGAAGGATATGAACAGACACTTCTCAAAAGAAGATATTTATGCAGCCAACAGACATATAAAAAAAAATCTTATCAGCACTGGTCATTAGTGAAATACAAATCAAAACCGCAATGACATATCATCTCACACCAGTTAGAATGGTGATCTTTAAAAAGTCAGGCAACAATAGATGCTGGAAAGGATGTGGAGAAATAGGAACGCTTTTAAACTGTTGGTGAGAATGTAAATTAGTTTGACCATTGTGGAAGACAGTGTGGCGATTCCTCGAGGATCTAGAACCAGAAATACCATTTGACCCAGCAATCCCATTACTGGGTATATACCCAAAGCATTATAAATCATTCTACTATGAAGACACATACACACATATGTTTGTTGCAGCACTATTTACAATAGCAAAGACTTGGAACCAACCCAAATGCCCATCAAGATAGACTGGATAAAGAAAATATGGCACATATACACCATGGGATCCTATGCAGCCATAAAAAAGAATGAGTTTATGTCCTTTGCAGGGACATGGATGAAGCTGGAAGCCATCAATCTCAGCAAACTAACACAGGAACAGAAAACCAAACACCACATGTTCTCACTCATAAGTGGGAGCTGAATAACGAGAACACATGGACACAGGGAGGGGAACATCACACACTGGGGCCTGTCAGGGGTGGGGGTGGGGGGCAAGGGGAGGGAGAGCATTAGGACAAATACCTAATGCATTCAGGGCTTAAAACCTAGATGATCAGTTGATAAGTGCAGCAAACCACCATGACACCTGTATACCTGTATAACAAACCTGCACGTTGTGTGCAGGCATCCCAGAGCTTAAAGTAAAATTTTTAAAATAAAATAAATTTTAAAAAAAACTTAAAAAAATATTTGGTTGCCTCCATTTGCCAACCATTGTACTAGGTGCCAGGGATGTAAGAATGAAAAGAAAAGACAAAGTCCTTCCTCTTGTAGAAATTATTTCTGACAGAATTTAGAATTGAAAATTTGAATCGTCTTCTAGTCCTGCATATCCTCATTTTATTCTCTCGACTGCTTCTCTACTTCTTTTCTATTTCTATATGTTGTGTTCTGTTTTAGAGAATCCCTGTAATTCCATGAGAAATAGAAGAGGAATATAGGAGGAGAAAATTATTGGGTAAGGGCACAGATTAGGTTCAAACCTCAGCTCTACCATTTACTAGCAGTGTAAAATCTAGCTCTATAAACTTAATTTTCTTATAGGGAAAGAGAGCAATCTTATATATAAGTCTGTTGGGAGAATTGAATGCATTCGGTGCATAAAAGTATCACACACAGTGCCTGGCACAGTGACTACTCTGTGGTACATCAGATATTATTATAAGGGTAGGTACTAAAAATCAAACTGTGCCTCTGGTTTAATCATTTACATCATTAAAGAAAAAAAATCCATCCTCTATGATCACAGAATACACACACTCGACTCGGCAATATAATGTTGATCTTATGGGATACAGTTAGGGTTTACAGCAAGGGTGAGAAAAAAGACAGTCATAAGGCTCTCCAGTTTTGAAAGCACGCATAGCTCTAGAAAGGTCTAAGTCCTCTTAGCATACTCCATCCAAAACAACCACTTTGTATTCAGAAGAGCAGCCATATCATCCCCACAGATGACTATCTACAAAATGGACTGTAATCCAAGCCCTGGGAAATGCCTTCGTTTTTAACTGGAATAGGGATCACAAGGCATATTACTATTTCCCTTTTTGTTTCTTGGACTTCTGAGTGTCTGATTACATTTGGCTGTTAAAATTTAAGTGAACAAAAACTCTCCTGTTTTTACTAACAAAATATTTGCTTATTAAATGAACGCAGAAGGGGTAAAACTGACTCCGTCGTCATGTATAAAAGATGAAACCATTTTTTAGATTCCCTTCTTTTTCTTCTCTCATGAAAGAACATGAGATTGAGAGGTGAGGTGGGGCACGACGGGAGATCCTCTATTTAAGATCTTGCAGTTTCTTATGAGCTCTTACCACAAATCTTAAACAGGTAGAAGACTAAATTACCTCTTAAAGAATTTGAGGCCAGGTGCGGTGGCTTACGCCTGTAATCCCAGCACTTTGGAAGGCCAAGGAGGGTGGATCAGCTGAGGTCAGGAGTTCGAGACCAGCCTGGCCAACATAGCAAAACCTCGTCCCTACTAAAAATACAAAAATTAGCCGGGCATGGTGGCATGCGTCTGTAATCCCAGCTACTAGGGAGGCTGAGGCAGGAGAATTGCTTGAACCCAGGAGGCAGAGGTTACAGTGAGCTGACATTGCGTGACTGCACTCCAGCCTGGGCAGCAGAATGAGACTCTGTGTCAAAAAAAAAAAAAAAAAAAAGAAAGAAAGAAAAGAAAAAAGAGAGAAAGAGAGAGAGACTGACAAAATTTCCATTTACCTGTATTATCTTCTAATAGCTGTAAAGATTTATCCCTTCTTCACCCAGATAGCTACCAGAGACAGAGTGGACATGGAGTTTTCATCAGAAAAACTTATAAAATCACAATTCTCTTCATCTATGATCACATAGGTCAATTGTAAAAATCAAAGTGAGTCTGTGGTTTTGTGGAGACCACCTTGGCTTTATCCATTTAAGGGTTAAACAAAGGTGTTTATTCAAATAAGATATTTTCCAAAATTAGTTTTTCTTGTTTCTGGAGGACGAAGTATGATTTTAAGTGAAGTTAATGTTTCAAAACTAAGTTCATTTGCTCCCATCTTAAAATAGACCAGTGATCAGAAAAAAAATGTAAATTCAGAACAATGTTGCAAATGCTATACTTCCACCCAGAATTGAAACAGCATAGACTGTGAGTCCCTCTTATTTCAATCAATTTTGATATCTAGTTGCCTTTAAAAAAAAAAACTACTAAAAATTGCTGAAACTACCCTTCTAGGACCTGAAGGAACAAGGTAATCATGTCCATGGTTAAATTTTTAATTGAAAGTCATTAGAATAATGTGATTCTGAAAATCAGAGACAAAACAAAGACCACATACTATGTTGCCTCTGGGTGCTATGGAGCTCTTCCAGAGGCTTAGAGAGAAAATGAGACCCAGTCGGTGACAAGCTTAGAGGACTTCCCAAATGACTGTTGGAACCCCCATCCTGTGAGCGCATGCACACACACACACACACACACACACACACACTCTCTCTCTCTCTCTCTCTCTCTCTCTCTCTCTCCCCCTCTCCCTCAAATAAAATGTTGAAGGAGGTACAAGGTACAAGAACCTAGCATGGCACTGGCAGATTTTATTTACCTGGGGTGTTGCAATCATTATCTGTAAACAAACAGTCCTTCATAATTAAACATTAACTTCCACATCCACTTAACAGTGGTGGTCAAGTAAATTTATGTTTCTGAAGCTTCTGTGAGTGAATGGGAACAGACTATTTGGCACTATTTGCAAGAACATAAAAATTCAGAATTCAAAAATAATCAGAATTTACCTCTAGAACAGCTGCTGGAGTCTATCTGATCATCCCATGGCAGTCATTTCATTGATCACATGTATCACCCTGGCTCAAAATTGCTGGTGCTTCAGAGAAGAAGGTGGGGGAAGAAACCAATTCCTGTGACCTATTTGGCCAGCGCCCAGGCAACACTAGCGGTTTCCTATGTCCTTCCCGACTCTGGCAGCTTTCATGGTTTGCTGTCAGAAAGACTCTAGGATGGGTTGCTTTATAATGTTTGTTTGTTCCTTTTTATAAAAATGCTCTATGCTTATTAAAAAAAGAGAAAACTCAGAAAATATATAAAACAATAGAAATGGTTTGTAACTCTGTCTTGTAGTGATATTCAGAACACTTAGGATATATGGTATATATATTAGGATATACAGTACATGGATATCCTAACTTTAGGATATATACTGTATATACAACTGGTGAACATTTTATGTATATATACACATGTACATACACATATATATGTAGTATATATTAAGGGTATGTTTAATTTATGTTTGCATAGTATTTACACTTAATATTATGTGCATTTAACATATTTATATGTGAAAATATACGTACATTTTTTAGTTTAAAGGTTCTTCCAAACTTCTCTTAGCTTAAAACTTACTTATCACAGAGAACTTTCTGATACTTCCAATCCTGTATTCCTCTCTCATTGGCACCAGTGAATTTCCTCTAAAACCAAATATATTCCATATAGGACCAAAAAAAAAAAGTCCCACTATTCCAGCTTATGTGATCTCTGCAATTTATGGCTTAAAAATAGCTATAAATTGAATTCCAAGTGCTCAACAGTGCCATACAGAAGAGAGATGATTATCTCAACATCCTAGGTGACAAAATCACCAATCAGTGGTTTTAAAATACTTTGCCAACAGATGAAATACTTCCAGTTTCATCCAAACCAATAGATGTTGGGGCCAAGAGGAACTTGGGATGTAACTAGCAGCTGCCAAATATCACAGATGGCACAAAGTTAGAGACATGTGGAAAGGACAGGATCTATGATTAAATCTGTCCAGCAAGGGAAAGATGTAGATAAGAAGGTTCCTAAAACCATCCAGGACTCTCAAGTACATCCTGCCATGAAGAGGAAAAGAAAAGGATGCAAAAATTCACCCAATACCAGCATGTATTTGATACATGCTCAGGCCATGGGAATTTCACTGTGTGACAATAGCTGTGCAGTCAACACTGGGCCATGTGCAATCTATTTACTTATCTCTTATTAGCCCCTTTATTAGGACCATGGGTTACTCTGATATCTACTACTGACACAACCCCAAACAGAAAAGTAACAAAAAGAAAATGAAAGCAACCACTGAGAAATAAGCAGTAAAATCCAACAATTCTCAGTGTGAACCTAGTGGCACCTCAACATTAATTTATTTAGTGTGTAGGAATTAATGAAGCCTATTTTTACATCATCTGTTAGCTGGAGACCAAACTTGAAGAGAGGTAAAGGAGCAGATATGTGTGTGGAAACAGAGCAAGCCAGGCTGCTGGGAAGTTCCTACTGGTGTTTTCCGGTTTAACATAACTACTTTCACACACTATTCAGCTGAGTCGCAATTTATACAATGCTAGTAAGTAGTGAGTATATGCAGTGGTGAATGCTCCCCTATCATCCAAGCTTTGTTAAACAGATCATGTTATATGTGGTCTTGCAAAATCACTTAGCCTCGCTAGACCTAAGGATAATGAATAAAATTGGACCAGATGACCAGTTACATTCTTTTCAGCTCTAAAATTCTAGATAACTCCCATTCCCTGACCACACTGGCCTGGAAGTGGTAAATGTATGGATATAATTGTAGCATAATTCTCTATTTATAACCTCAAAAACTGGAAGATTACTCCTCCCCCTCAAGTGTTCTCCAAAGGTTTCTTGGAGCCCCCTGGAAATTTCAGTGGCCAGTGAAACCTATGACAGCATTTTGCAAATGTCACTACATCCAGACCCACCATTGAGGGACTGATACTCATGCCTCCCTAGGCATTGCTACACTTCCTTCTCTCCCAGAGCCATCAGTATGGTGTCATTGCCAGACTGGGCTACTCACACGAGGAGGAAGTGCTTATTCCCTAATACTTTGGCTTCACACCATGACACTGAAGCCAAAGCAATATTAGCTGATGTCTTAGTCCATCTGGGCTGCTACAACAAAATACTGTAAACTAGGTGGCTTATAAAAATTTATTTCTCACGTTTCTGAAGCCTGGGAAGTTCAAGATGAAGGCACTGGCAGATTTGGAATCTGGTGATGGTCCACTTTCTGGTCCATAGATAGTGCCTTCTCACTCTGTCTTCACATAGTGGAAGATGCAAGGCAGCTTTCTGGAGCCTCTTTTGTAAGGGCACTAATATCATTCAGGAGGGCTCTTTCTTTATGACCTAGTTACCTCCCCAAAGATTCCACCTTCTAATATCAACACCTTAGGAATTAGAATTTCAACACATAAATTTTGGGGGGGTATACACATTCAGACCATATCAGTCAGTACTTGCAATATCTTAGACACTTTATAGAAAAAGAGCTCTCTCACGTCTCACCATTATATTTAACTCATAATCCTCGCCTCCTTTAAGTGTACAGGGTAGGTACAATGTTATATGCCAGCTCACCCCTCCTCTCTGTTGTGAGACTTTTTTAATGATTCAATAGCTTGTTTGTGATTTTACCTTTAGATGGGTTCCCCCCCTCAAAAAACCTGGGGCAAGCCCATTATGCCAACCATCCACATGCCAGGATAGAAAATAAGAAAATACAACTTATGCTCAACCTGAGATCCATTCTATACTTGTGTTATAATGCTAAGCTTTCTTTTATTCATTCAAAGTTAAGCTCTTTATGTTACTTTATTTGATCTTAACAACCCTAGAAAGGAGGTGTCATTATTACTCCCTTTACAGATGAGGAAACTGAGGTTTAAAGAGAGTAAATCCTTTACCCAAAGTCAGCAGTTATTGAGATGAGACCAGAATATGCAGTGTAACCCCAATGACTATGATATCCTACCTCCCTATTGACGTATACTGATTGTTTTATGTGTTTGACAGTGTGCTGTAGTCTCTTATTTTTACAATGAAAGAAGTTGTACATGCCTTCATTTTAGAAGTTTTTCCTGACACAGTCTGACTTCAGATCTTATTGGTCACATCTCAAGGGATAGATATATTTCTGTTTCATCATGTTTTACAAAAATAAATTCTTTTCTGATTTTTGATTCTGATTTTTAGATCTCAAATTTTAACTCCATTGATTAACAAGTAATTTAATAAATAAATATTTAATCAACTACAATAACTCAGGAAAATTTTGTTAGTCTCTGAGGGAGATTTGAAGATGCCAAGTCAATGTCTTTACCCTAAATGAGTAGACAATCCATCTAGCAATAAAGATACAAGCATGAGAAGATAAGAAACCATTGAAAAATTAGAAGTAAAGGATGCTCAAACATCCAGCCTCATTCCTTCACTCTCAGGAAGTGACAGCCTCTGGAGGCAGAAACTCTAATTTTAAATCCCAGCTCATCACAACAGTTCCTTCAGTCTAATTAACCCTAGGAATAATTCTAGTTCCCTTAACTATGAATTATGAGGATACTAACCCACACTCACCTGGGAGGTATATACAAAGTAATATAAGTAAAATGTATAACATACTACCTGGCATACAGTAATCATTTCCTAAATCTTAACTATGATTATCTTAAGATGATTAAAGCATAAGAGTCTCCACTTCCCTTCCTTGCCCATCAGAATCCTTGTGCCTCTAACTGCTCTGCCTTTCGTCTTTGAAGATGAAGTTCACTCCTTGCCCACTGACTTATTCAACGAATATTTATATTGTACTTCCCATTAGACTTCTCCTTTGCAAGAAAACCCCTTTGCCTTACACAAAGTAAATGCTTAATAAATAGTAGCTGTTATTAAATTTGAATGAATGAAAGGAAGCTTAGAGTCGTAACACAAATGCACCGTGGATCTCAGGTTGAGTGTAAGTTACATTTTCTATCCTGGCAAGTGACATGACTTATTCTTTCTTCTTCCCAAATCATGGTAGCATTTTTAATCTCTCTTTCTCTACTTGCTTTTTCTCATGTATCTAAAACCTAAATAAACCTTTCTTCTGGGCCATGCCACACCAGATGCCCACCTGCTAGGTTATCTCTCCTCCACTGCTTATTCTCTCGAAATAATACACTTACTGCCTCTACTTCTGACTAACTCATTTACTCATTCATTCAGGAAACAAATGAGCATCAGTGATTTCAGGATTGATATTGTGGAATAAACCATAAGTATCTCTGCTCTTGAGACATGATCTCTGCTCTTGAGATGGTTGTGGATTTTTTTTCCTCTTAAACACCCACAATACCTCCACAGTCAGTCGCTCTTGATCAAACAAATCACTCAACCCAAGTCTTCTCTTAGTCCTCACTGATTTCCTTCTTCCATGGAAACTAATGTAGGAAAATGTGCCAAAGCAATCTGAAATGATTATTAAGACTGTTTCTAATGACCGAAGGGAAGGCTGAATTTTGTGTGTATGTGTAAGTGAAGACAGGGCTAGGAGAGTACAGGGAGTACAGGTAGGATGGGATGATTAATTCCCAAGGATTTAGTTCAAACTCAGTTAAAGAACTCTAAAAATTGGCACATAGCTGTGTTGTCAAAGGTGAATATCACACAAAAAGTCTTTCATTGGAAGCAATCTGCACAGGAAATAAACTTAATTTCTTCAAGGTAATGAAAACCAAAGACATCACTTTCTATGCTGTAAATGCACTCTTTGTAGGCCTTCTGACCCAGTTTAGTGACTAGTTTAATATTCAAAGAGTAGATATGTCCTCTTCACTTTAGAAAGTTTGATGTTTGAAGACAATTTAGGTCATTGGCTCCTGTGACAGCATTTCCCCTGTGAGAAAGCTACATTTAAGCATCCATCTCTTGTATTATTGATAACAAACTGGTAAAGGCCATGAAGTCCAACAGCTTTGTCTCTGGGCCATTCAGAAGAAGCAATTAAATCAAAACTATTCCAGCTTTCCTTTTAGAGGAATACCTCTGTGCTCTGAACACCAAATCTGTGAAGGTGGAGTTCCAGCATGCTTTTTTCTTTTCAAATATATTTTAATCATCTTCTCCATACCAAAGCAAAATCAGAAATGACATCATAGATACATTAATTTTTGGCTAATCACATAATCACTATTACCTTGGTAGAAAATAAAATGTGTTCTTTCAGATGCAGAGCAAACACAGCTTTCCTCCATGCTTCTTACTCCCATGATTTTGAAACCACCCGTCCTGGAATCACCATTGTTTCTATGTTAGTCTAGCTCCACTTGGGATTTCTAAGGGCTGAGAATGAATTTTTACTTGTCATTGAGTTTCTAGTTCCTAGTCCAGACTTTGTCACACAGCTGATTTCTGCAGATATTTGTTGAACACGTTTTCCCCTAAGAACATTTCAAAATGTTAAAATGTAAAAGTTCGAACTACTGAGCATTGCACATGAAGTCCTTCCTGTTTCTGGTCCTAGCTTATGCTACACTGCCTACTTTTCCCTCATGCCTACTTTACTCAGGTACCCTGATCAACTTAAAATCACTCAACATGCCATGCTTCTTCACACCACACTGCTTCTGCACATACTCTTTCCTCTCCTTGGAATGTCTTTTATTTCTTTCTTTCCTTATTGAAATCTTAATCACCTTTTAGATTTGCCCAACTCAAATACAATCCCTTTTATAGTTAACTTTTTCCTCAAGCAAAATTAGTTGTTTCACACACTGCTTTCTTGAATATCTGGTATGTTCTTCTACTACATTTTTATTAGAAAGCAATATGATTAATTATTCATGTCAATTTCCTCCCATTAGTTGGTCAGATCCTAGACTGTAAAGATTATGCTATTTTCATCTTTGCATTGCTAACGTAACACATGGAGCTTGAAACATGGGACATGGTCAAAAATATTTATTGGATTGAATTGATTTCTAGTTCTGAGTCCATTACACATATATGCTTTGCCATTTCCTGATAAACCAGACATATTTACCTTCTTTCAATATTTGTTTTTGAACAGAATTTGGAGGGATAAAAATTTTTTTTAGTTAATCAAAGAAGTTGCTTTTTAGTTTAAGTAAAAACCACTATCTCAAATCCTTTTTGGCATAAGATTCATGTAAATAAATAAAATGGATAGTCACTGTGGTCATTTTAAAAGGCCCATCCTCAATAAATTACATGCTGAATTGCAGTGTTTGAAACTGTATCAAACACTTGTATTATTTTTCTCCCTTGAATTCTGATTACAACCAAAGTAAATACCCCTATTATGCTTTCTTATTGATAAAAGGAAAGAAAGTTATTAAAAATAGAATGGAAAAATTGAAAGAGGAACCTTAGAACAAAGTATTGAGTGCCTGCTCTCTTATTACCTGAGTATCCTGTGAAAGCTAGTCTCTCAACCTGCTGAGGTCAAAATATGATCATTTGAAAACTCTACCAAGTAAGGTCTGAGATTTTAGAAGTCAAAGTTGAAGGAAAAATTAATATTAAATATTGGTAAACTGTGTCATTGTGATATTTAAAATTTATTTAGAGGAGACAAAAAATATCTCACTGACTACAGAGTCCTGGAACAAAGAGGGCAGAACAATGACCCAGTAAGTCTTCAAAATCACTCAAGGTGGTCTAAATATAACTGATTAAAGAAGTAAATGTGGATGGATAGGGAGATAAAGCATGTTCCCAAAGACTATCTTTTCTTCCTATAACTCCACAGAGGATAACCACAATTACATACAAGTTTTTATCTCCAGCATGCAGTATGGCATCTCACGCATAGCACGTACCTGGAACATTTTTTTGAAGGCATGAATTCATGAATCAACTTATGACAGACTATGCCCTCTTTCTGAAATGTGGACACTTTTCATCAAAACCAAGCTCTGTGAAATAATGGAGCAGATGATCTGACCCATGCAGCAATCCTTTTTTTTTTTTTGAGACAGAGTCTCGTTTTGTTGCCCAGAATGGAATGCAATGGTGCAATCTCGGCTAACTGCAACGTCCACCTCCCTGGTTCAAGCGATTCTCCTGCCTCAGCCTCCTGAGTAGCTGGGACTACAGGAGCGTGCCACCATGCCCATCTAATTTTGCATTTTTTTAGTAGAGATGGGGCTTCACCAT
This sequence comes from Homo sapiens, assembly GCF_000001405.40. Classification (NCBI taxonomy): domain Eukaryota; kingdom Metazoa; phylum Chordata; class Mammalia; order Primates; family Hominidae; genus Homo; species Homo sapiens. The sequence goes on from NC_000009.12 coordinate 71,104,118, forward strand.
GTTGGCCAGGCTGGCCTTGAACTCCTGACCTCAAGTGATCCACCCACCTTGGGCTCCAAAAGTGCTGGGATTACAGGTGTGAATCACCATGCCCACCCCATTTAGCAACTCTTTATGAGTGACCACTACTACTAATATGGACACATTCCTAGTGGCACAGCCAACATTTTGTAAAACTTCCTGATGTTAACTTCAGATAGTTAAATGTATAGCCTACTTTAGACTGATTTTCCTTAAAACCCATGAGCTAATTTGCTTTTATTTACAACTTGTAGCATTATGTTTCAAAACAGCAAAAACATATCGAATGCTTCTCATGTGTAAGGGCATATTCTCAGAACTATAGGTGCATTAACTTATTTCACCACAGTGAAAAGTAATTAATATTATTAAACTGTTCCTGCTTTATTCAACCTGTCTCAATCACAAATTCCTCATCTGAAAACCAGAGATAAGAAGGCTTCATTACTGAAGATTAAACAACGTATAAATCATGCATCTTAGTCTCCAACCACAATAGTAACTCAATAAAAGTTAATTTTCTTCCTCTCTTTGCTCAACTTTACCCGTTAAGTTTTTTTTGCTGTTGTTATTGCTTTTAAAGGTATTTCTGTATGAGAAATTTAACATCACATTACTCATTAGGGAAATGTGAATTATAATCACAATGAGAAAAAGCTATACAGAATGGCTAAAACTAAAAAAAGAAAAAGACAATGCCAACTGGTGAGAATGTGTGACAACTGAAACGCTTATATTGTATGTTAAAGGGAGTAGGAAATGGTATGATCATTTTGACAAACTCTTTGGCAGTTCCTACTAAGGTCAAACATATACCTACTCTATAATCCAGCAATTCTATTCCTAGGTATATAACAAGACAAATGAGTGCTTTGTCCAACAAGAATGTTCATAGCAGCTTTATTCACAGGAGTCCCAAATGGGAAATAACCCAAATGTCTACTAACAGGAAAAAAGATAAATCAGCTATGCTGTATTCATACAACATATGCACAGAATGACAGACTGAAGAAAATGAACAAATTTTAGGAGCTTGTTGAGTGGAAGAAGGCAGACACAGGAGTGCATATTGTATGACTTGACTTACACAAAGTTCTAGACAGGCAAAACTAATATAGAGTGTGTTTTGTATACTTTAATGTGATGGCCAATCAGATGTGGCCATGAGAGGAGGCACAGGAGAGACTCAGGAAAACAAAGGTTATTATCTTCCCAAGTCCTAGAGACAGGAGGCACTGTATGCCATGCAGGGTCACATGGGAAAAACACCAGGGTGGTTAGGAGGCAGAAGACGGGAGCTACAGGACAGCTTAGACCCCAGCCTTTGCTGGGGTTTCCTAGGGAATGGCAAGGCAGGCAGGGTAATCATGTTAGGATTGGCTATTCTGAATAATTTCAGTGGACTGTAAGCTATGGGGTGGTCCCTAGTTGCCTGGTACCTGGCCTTGGGATGATTAAGGCAGAGGAATATTGTGTCCTGGGGTGTAAGGGCCAGATAGAAGAGGCATGGCTCTGGATTGTTAGTTTGTATATCAAAGCCATGCTCCTGGCTAAACCTTGCTATCTCTAAGAACTGGCTAGCCCTAGGAGAGGCGTTCTCTTCTCAGCCAGAAAAGTCTTTTAAAGATGTCAAATCAGTAAAATATGCAGAACGTAGTACGTGTATACACACACACATACAATACAGTGATGGAAATCTGACAGTGGTTACCTTGGGTGGTAGTGATTGTTGTGATATTAACTGGAGAAGGTCATTAAAGAACTTTCTAGGGTGATGCCAATTAATACGTCTTGATATGGGTTGTGGTCACATGGCTGATTTTTTTTAAATATTATTGAGCTTACAGAAAAAATTCACAAATTCTACTGTAAGTTATACTCAATTCAAGAAGGTTTTCTTGATGATGTTCTACTGTTCACTTAAGTAGGATACCTGTTAGCAGCTTTTACAGGATGGTGGAGGATGACTATACTAGAAAAGTCAGTTTAGATGTAAAGAGCAGCTATCCGGAATTCATCTTGGTATTTATTCAGGACACATCTGAAAACACATGTTTTCCTTTTGCTCAGTGATACGCCACTATTGACAACTGCAAAGTAATGCTCATGATATGATTTGGATATTTGTTCCTTCCAAATCTCATGTTGAAATATAATCCCCAGTGTTGGAAATGGGGCCGGGGGGAGGTATTTTGGTCATGAGGGCAGATCCCTCGTGAATGGCTTGGTGCCCTCCCCATGGTAATGAGGGAGTTCTTGCTCTGCATCCACAGATCTGGTTGTTTAAATATCCTGGCACCTCCTCCCTCACTTTCTTGCTCCCTCTCTTTCCTTTGACAGGCCTGCTTCCCCTTCACCTTCTGCCATGATTGTAAGCTTCCTGAGGCCTCCACCAGAAGCACATGCTGGCCCCAAGCTTCCTATATAGCCTGCAGAACCATGAGCCAAAATAAACCTCTTCTCTTCATAAATTACCCAGCCTCAGGTATTCCTTTATAGCAATGAAAATGGACTAACACTGCTCACTATTCCCTTTGCCTAACATTTTATAGCTGTCCAGAGCAAAAGAAAGATGTTCTTGCCATAGCTCTTGTTTACTATAATTCTCTTAAGGCTGTTATCATTCTGGATGAAAACATTTTAAAACGTATAAAACAGGATAAAATGTTTCTCCACAATGAGACAGTTTGCAAAGTTGTTTGGATATGGAAAATGAGTTTGCCAGGGGGTACAAAAAAGGGAAAGAAAAGTGAAGATCCCTCCTACAGTGTAACCCTCTTAATAGAGCATCCTGCAGTGGCTGAGCAATTCCCACATTTAATGACTAATGAATTTGGGTTCGCCTCTGCATTTGCGCAGCTGGGGACAATGGTGCTGTCTATGGAGCTTCTTTGAGGCAGAGGGTGAGGAGGTGGCCACATTGCACTTCAACTTGAGCAATGTAAACTAGGCAGACTGTTAAACAAGAATGAGCTGTACATCAAAGCAGTATACATTATAAATATACCCCCAACCCTGCACAGAGGCAGTCCCTCACGCCACTCTCTTCAGCCCACTCCACCCACGACGTGCCCCTCTACTTCATACTTCATTCCCTTCAAGGGAGTTCCCACTGTGAGCAATAATCTCTAGCATGCGTCCTTGCCTTTGCCTGTACTGCACCACTGTACTTAATCCTGAATAGTTTTTTCTGCCCCTTCTTCTGGTTGGTATCTCCTTCAGTACTCAGCTCAAGGGTTATCTTTTCAAGGAAACCTTGCCCATCTTCCCAGCCTGTATTTGGTGTTTCTATCCCTGCTCACCAATGTGAAAACATGTATCAAGTTATATTGTTATTTCCAATTTCTTTGTCTCCTCAATTCCAATATTAGCTCCTTTTGATCAAAGGCCTGTTCTTTTCGTCTTTGAATTTCTAATACCTAGCAGAGTTTCTGACACTTAGCAATAGATGATTGTAGAATGAATAAGTATGTGAAGAGTAAATCAGTTGGGGGTGAAATGTTAATTTTATACTGCTGTTTTGATGTATGAATTGCTATACACTTAAAAACAAAACAGTGCTCATTTGACTGTTTTACATTTGTATGAACTATTATCCTTCAGAAAAACTTCAATGAAAGCAGGAACATTCTGTTGAAATATTAATAATCTTTTATTCTGAACTCCTTTAAACATGGTTAATTTTTCAAAAATCATAAAAATTTTTTACCCCATATTTAGTTTACTGTGACATTACTTCCAAACAATGTGCTATTTTCTTTCTTTTTTCAAGGACATAAATTTGGGATGTTGCAATTTCAGTCAACCAGAAGAATTGACAAAGCTTGTGGAACCTTTTGTCAGTGGTGAAACCATGAACAATGGGAGCAACTCAAGAAGGCATTTACGGGGACATCTGAACACATCCTGCCATCTTAGGGTGGAACTCTAAAAGCATTTCTTCATGATTTCAATATGTTCCTCCAGTGAAGGAGAGTCTACTACTTATTCCAGACTCTCTAAGCCTCTTAATCAGAAATACTGTCTTTATAGTATACCTAAAATCAGATTCTGTAGTTGAACTCCATTTCCTCTTGTTATATATTAGCAAAAGGTATAGAAAAATTGTTTATCATTACTTGCAGAGTGAAATCATAGTTTTAGATCGCTTGCCATGCCTTCTAGGTCTGGGTAGATTCCAGAACCATTAAGCTATTATGTGTGTAGGAAGTTCATGCTAATTGAGTTAGTGAAGCACTGTGCCTGCATCCTTGCTAAGAGAGGCTGCTCCCCTGCCATATCACCTGCTAGATGAATGGGTCTAGGTGGCCATTTTTAAATCTTGTGACTCTATTTCTCTGACCAGAGCTAAATAAACAAGGGTCGACATATCACCAAACCTTGGTTAATGAGATTTTCCATAGGAAAATGGGAGAGGATAAACTAAGGAGACAGAAGGAAGGCAACTTCGAGATTACAAGGAACTAGGCACTATACCAAGTGTTAGCAGAATACAGAATAATAGACGAAGCTAACTTACAAAGAAAAGTATAAAGTAGATGGGCCAAGAGAGGCAGAAATGAGAGACTCCAGGGCCCCGTAACAGAGAAGTCTGGGTCCCTGTGGCTGTACTTCATTTCAGTCATTGGTATTTTAGAGGTTAACTTTAGAGGAAAATTTTTATTTAAGTTATCATGAGTTGATTAACAATTATCTATGTGATAGTTAATGTTATATGTCAACTTCTCTGGGCTGTGGTGCCCAGAGATTTGGTCAAACATTATTCTGAGTGTTTCTATGAGGGTATTTTTGGATGAGGTTTACATTTAAATTGGCAGACATTGAGTAAAGCAGATTACTCTCCATTATGTGGGTGGGCCTCATCTAATAAGCTGAAGGCCTGAATAGAACAAAAGGCTCACCTCCTCCGAGCAAGAAGGAATGCCAGCAGACTGTCTTCAGATTTTATCTGCAACATCAGCTGTTCCTGGTTCTACAGCAGACTCGAGCTAAAATTTTCTGGCTCTCCAGCCAACTTAAGCTGCAATTCTCTCCTGAGTCTTCAGCCTGCTGGCCTCCCTCATCAGCTTTTGGACTTGTCAAGTCTCCACCACTGCATAAGCCAATTCCTTAAAATAATCTCTTTCAATATATATATACATCCTACTGCTTCTGGTTTGTTTTTTTTTTTCTGGAGATTCCTGACTAATACAATCTACAATAACTCCAAAGTGAAAGCAGTTGCACATAGATAACATGCATCCCCTGAGTCTAGTTTATTACAAAAGACTCCTTGAATTCTGTTAATTTGCATTGCATCACTTTTGCTTTATTAAGTTGAAAGGAACGGAATTCATATAAACTGCATACCAACTATACGCAAACACAAACATATTAATTTATGAATAATACAAAACAGTATTTTTATTATTTCAATTTATAATGAAAGACACTAAGACTCAGAAAAGTTTTCTATCTTGTCAATAATCATTTTGAGAATTGGCCGTTTCATTCTTTTTGTAGTCAAGTACCTAGACAATCTACCAATGTTTATTATTAATGCATGATATAACTCTATAATCTAGTTGGGCCTCAGATGAAGAGAGACGGTAACAGGGGCAAATACAAGATGCAGAGGACTGCAGGGAAGGAGTTTGGAATTAGAAAAGTCCTTAATATGTGGCTTAACCTATTTGGGCCAGAATCTTTTTACCTATAAAGAGGAGTAACTGAACCCACCACATTTGTTCACAGCGTTGCTATGAAGCTCATTTCATTTGATGTAAAGGAAAGTACCCTGTAAATTGAAAAGCACCTTTCAAATGTTAAGCTTTTATTATCATTTCATTTTCAGTCCCTGTACATTTCAATATATATATTTTTGTGAATAATGACATATTTTGAAGAACTGAGACTGCATCAATTTTTTTAGAGGGAGAACAAGTATTCTCCTACCCCTCATAAGATAGCCCACCACACACTGCTCCCCAATAAGCACGAACGATTTAGTCTCAATTTCCCTCAGACACTGAGCAGTTTCAAGACAAATAGGAACATCCAAATGGCTTTTCCGTCATTCCTAAGTAAATTCAAGAATGTTAAAGGTGGAAAGAACCTTAAGGATCATCTCATAGTTGGCAAACTGTGGAGCACAGGCCAAGTACCACCTGCCTCTCTTGTGTACAGCTGTTAAGCTAAAAATAGTTCTTACATTTTAGAATGGTTGAAAGCAATGAAAATTAGAATATTCTATGACATTCGACAATTATATGTAATTCAAATTTCGTTGTTCATAAATAAGTTTTATTAGAAAACAGCTATGCTCCTTTGTTGTGTATTGTCTGCGGCTGCTTTCATGCTTCGATGTAATATGAATTGAGTATGGCAGTAGAGGCTGCATGACGCATAGAGTAGTTACAATAGACTACATGAGCAGTTGCAACAGAGGGTGTATGAGCCACAAAGCCTAAACCAGTTACATTCTGGCCTTTTATACAAACCTTGCCTACCCTGATCTAACCTTATTCTCTCATTTTATAGATGAGAAAGCTGAAGCATTGAAAGATAAAACTACTTATTCTAGGTAACTCAGCTAGGATATTAATTAATGCAGAATCAATTAAGAGCTGAAATTCCATTTTTTGTCCGTTTGATCATGCTGAAATTAATGACTAAAATTAGCTATAGTTATACTCATCTTTAAATTATATAGCTTGCTTGTATAAATGACTAGATTTTATCTCAAAATCTTTGAATGCTCACATGAGCTAATGTCACATAAAAATTTGTCTTGAGAAAGTGAAATATTTTCTTCACTTATTCATTGAAATGAAATGTATATTGCATTGTTCTTAAGCAGTTCTAAGTAGAAGTTATTACAGAACAAAATAATGGTAAAAATTAAACATTTCACTGGATAACCATCAATCAAACTGAAAAATATGCTCTGCTTTTGATTTAAAAAACAACATATATGGAACATTCAAACATTTTCAGACAAATTGGTTACATTCGATTTTCTTACAAGAGATGATTGACAATAAGATGAGAAAATGATTTCTTAGTCTGTGTTTAGTGAATAAAACTGGACCAGTTAATTTCCCAAATGTAAGCTAAATTTCAATTTCTTGTAAAATGAAAAAGAAAGTGTGTCTAAAGTTAAAGCATTCCCTTCCTATCACTAGGAAGTATCTCTTGGGATTCCAGCAAAATCAATTACGTACCCACCCGTTAATATCTATTTTCAAGGGGAAATGTTTAAACAGTGTTGCCAACTGGGGGTGATTTTTCCCCTCGCCCCCAAAGGATATTTGGCAATATCTGGAGAAATTTTGTTTTTCCCAATGGGGATGGCATCGCGGGGGTTGGGGGGTGCTCCTGGTTTGTTTCAATAGAAACCTGAGATACCAATAAATGTCTTACAAAGCACAGGACAGATGTCCCCCACAACAAAGACTTATTAAGCCCCAAATGTCAGTAGTGTTGAGGCTGAGAAATCCTGTTTTAACGAAACATCATTAGGCTAGCCCAAAGCTTTCAACGACCCTGCAAACTTATCTGCCAGGTCCTAAATGTTCAAGTGATCCTTTATTTGTGGACTAGCACAATAGAGCAAATATTTCTTATGGAAGCCTATATGATAGCTCATTCTTTCCAATATTTTCTTCTAGCGAGATTATCACAGAGATTATGCCAGCAAATAGTTATTTGCCTTCTTTCCAGCCACATGTATTATTGATCTTAACCAACAAACAGTAGCATAATTTTCTAATAATTCTGATCTCTTCCATAAGCAAGTTATTTTGACTCTGATTTATTTTTTCCCTGTAGGAATCTGATAAGCTAAGATTTCTATTTGACCTTGATCCATGATACATGATATAGTAAAATAACCTATGACTAACAGAAAAATAAATCCTAAGTCATATTTACCTTCAAACGGAAACACCAAAATATTTCAGTTGGGTAGAGCCTACACAGTTATCTCTAGACATTTTCCAAAGACATATTTAGAGGATAAAGCAAGGGTGGCCCCAGCAAGTTTAACAGTACAGTTTTTCTTCTAACAGTATTTTATCTATTTTACAATGTAACCCAGTCAATAATATTAAAGGAAATATATTAACATATGTTAGATCACCATATTAAGAAATACCTTTTCTCCAACATGATGAATAGATGAGATAATTTTTATCTCTCACTTTCTCTTTCAGTGTATATTATCAAAGCAGATATCTGGTGCTACCTACAAAGATTCTTCCTTGAGTACATATTTTATTCTGGGTCACTTTCACTGAGCACGAAATATTGGTTTAACTCCCTAACTAATCTTCCAACTTGGGGAATCGATGAACTAAATCATCTCAAGGTCAAGGTATTCTTTAATCACAAAAAAATTACCAAGACCCTATAATACCATTTGGTTCCTCTGAGTAGCAACTTCAGAACACTAATCAAAAACATAGTTACTCATTTTCTCCAATATTTACCTATTCAGATATAATTCATCTAACACCCGAGACATTCTAGGCTCTCTGCTAAATGCTACACACACCAAATTGAACAAGATATGATTCTCAACTTCAAGAAGATTTTCAAAATGAGTTGGAAGAGCTAATAATACCACAACATGCTAAAAGTAAAGCTAGAAATACCCACTGATGTTTATGGACATGCAGGAGAGGCGAGCTTTATCTAGCTTAGAGGATTCAGAGAAATTTTTCTGAACTCATCCTACTTACCTGCGTTGAGCATTAAAATATGGGCAGGGTTAGCTAGGAGAAGGTCTGGTGCAGGTTTTCCAGGCAGTAGAAATAAGTCATGCAAAAAACTCAGCTACACGGAATTCCATGATTTGAGGAGGGGAAAAACAAGGTAAGAAGGCAGCAAAGTAGGCAGAGGCCAGATCACCTTGGGTCTTGTATTCCATGCCAAAGAGCTTAGGTTTTATTCTGCAAGAGATGAGGAATCACTGAAGAATGTCAAACACAGCAGCCTCTTGGTCTTACTTGCATTTTAAATGGACCATTCTGGTGGCTGTGGGAAGGATGGATTTGAAGTAGACAACACTGGAGGCAGCTGTAGTATTTTGGGCCCAAGTAAAAGAGAGACTGATTTTGGGAACTAGGAATAGACAGAAGGGGGTGGAACAGAGATATATTTATGAGGAAATCTGGCAGAACTGATTGGCTAATTACATAAGGATGGGAGAAAACAAGGCAAAAGGCACAAACCCAGGTTTTCCAGTTTGGGCAATGTGGTGAATGGGTGATCCTAGCAGTTGGGAGATAGTATAGAGGAAAAGGAGCAGATGAGAGGGAGCTTGCTTGATTCAGCAATGGCCACTTGATTAGGGCAGCAGTTAGACTTAATGTGCTTTCTCTGCTGCAAAGTTTTTCTGCCTCTAATCATGAAAGTGTACAGTCTCCTAAAGTAAACAAAGAGTGAGTCTGACATGCCATATTTTCTTTGAATCCGGAATACTACCTATCGACTACACATTTTTGGTATCTAAATTAGGTTTCCTGCATGATCCCTTAAAAAATAATTATAAAAGTCATTCAATGCTCTGTGAGCATGAGAACTTTAAAGATGTGGATACATTTTGAATCTATATAAATGTATAGAGAGATACTGAGTGCTCAATTTTTAACAATAAAAATGAGATACTGAGGCCTGGTCATGCCAGAGCCTAATTTTAATGAGCCAACATCTCTTTACTAAAGCATTACACTTTAGAAGCAGATATTCTCAAATGTTAAGTGTGTAACATTCATCTGGGTTGTTTGTGAAATCCAAGTTTGCAAGGTCCACCCAGGGGTTTAACTTAGTAGGTCTATGTGAAGTTACTGTCATCTGATTCTATCATAGATAGTCTTGGATCACACTTTGAGAAATACTGCTTCAAGTACTCATTGTGTTGGATAAAACTTTCTTCATGTAAGACAATTCAATATGTAAAATGTAGGAATTCTTCCTACCTTCCTTATCAGTTATCTATTTTATCTATCTATCTACCTACCTACCTACCTACCTATGCATTAAACCTTGAAGAATCTTTACTTATTTGGGAGAAAAGAAATAAAACTCATCAATGATATCCCTACACTACAACTCCTATGCATGTCCCTCTGAAAATGAAGTACAGAAGAACCAATAGTTAGATCTGAATTCCGAAAGGCTATTAAACACAAATCTTCTGTGTGATAAACATAAAAATTAAGTGTGCCCTTCCTAGAGATTTTGTTATACCTGAACCACCCCACCCCAGCAGTCACAGCACTGTATTTTTGCCACATGCTCAAGAGCCAGGAAAATTGTGTTCATTCTATTTTTTTCATATTAAATATTTAATATTAAGCAGCATTTAAAAAATTTTCCAAGTATAAAATTAATTGTAAATATAATTATGCTTTTCCAAATGAAAGCCCTAAATGTTCTCTTCCTCCTCCTTTCTGTCCAGAATCGTTGGTTAGTTTTTGAAGGTTGTGCGGTGGAGGTGGTTGGGTTGGGGAGTCTAGAATTATGGGCATCAGTTATGGCTGCTTCAGCCTTTGCCCCAAAGTGAACTGGCCACTTCTCACTTGGTCCTATCACATACCTTGGAATCTAAGGGACATGCCCTTGAGTGACCACTGCAAGCCCAAGGGCCATTCATTATAGCGGAATAAAGAAAGGGGGCATATGTAGGATGTTCCAGAATCTTGACCATGAAGACTATTTTTAGGAGCTCTCGTTCACAACCATATCTCCATCTAAGTTCAATAGCATAGAAAATTCTGAAATTTCACATCACGTGACTAAAAATTTTCATGAAAAAAATACAGAGAAATGATCATACAAACAGAAAATAAAAAGAAATAGGGAAAAACACTTCTTCAGATTCTATCATCTAGAACTCAGAGCAGGGCAGCTGAACTCAATTTACTTCTCTTTCTGTCAATGATCTTTCATGATTACATTCTGAAAATCTGAGAACTGTTTACTTAAAACCTTTTGCTCCCACTGTCGACTAACACAAAATCTGTTCTTCCCAGATACCAGCATCAGAGGGGCCGCTGAATTAAGTTTCCATCCAGCTCAGCTGAATCTATGGCAGCTTTTTTCAACGTGGGGTCCTTCCAAGAGCTCTGGACTTCAGAATCACTGGCAGAACAGTGAAAATGCAAATTCCTGAACCCACCACCTACCTACTCAGTCAACACCTCCGAGAGTGGGCCCTGACTATTTGCTTTTCTGACAAGCTCCCCAAGTGGTTCTAAGCATTCTTGGGATTTCATATATCTTTCATGTGTTTGTTCATTCATTAAACATTTGTTGAATACGTTTTGTTGGTCACAGCCTGTAAAACTCTTTTTCATGCTAGATAATGGAAAGGGAGAAAAAATATGATCTGAAAATTAATTTGGAGCCAGTTGAGGATACACCAACAGAAGAGCAGAGGGGAGGGTGTGGAACCGCTGCTGGGTAGGCAGAGTCCTGGCTCCCTGCAGGAAGTCATCTGGCAGGACAGCAGGGCCCTTTCCCCTTGAGACAGACCTTGCCAGGGACGTTACTGTGCCTCCAAGCATCCCAGAGTGCAGTGGCCCCTGGACTTGGATGTCCCAGCCATTTCCTCCTCACTCCCCAGTGACCACACATTTTCATTCTTGCCTCCACAAAAAAGGTCATCAGGAGACAGAACTCTCCAGAGAGACAGGAGGGTTTCTTGTTGCCTCAGGAATTTTCCTTAGGCTGCCTGAAGAACATTTCACAAAAAGGCAAGTCACATGGTTCACTGTTCAGCAGCCTGAGTCGAAGCCACCATTTGATACACACCAGACCATTTTCCCTCTCTGCTGGGTTTTAGTTTGGTCCCATTTTCTTTTATTCTTTTCTTTTTTTCTTAAGGAAATCTGAGGCTGGCAGGCTGAGATGGAAAGATGGAAGTTTCTTTTATTTGTAGCCATTAAAATTCTGCCTAACAATACATCATGTTTTCCTAAAAGCAGTTTATTCTTCAAGTTTCCCATCTTCAAGTCACTTCATGGAATTAGTCCATTACAAATATCCTGGCCTTGCTTGCCAGGATTCACTGATATATTCACCTAGACATAATAGGTGTGCATTTCCTCTCTTGTGGTGGAAATTTAACTGTTGCTCCCTAGGATGTGGCTGAGTACCCTGTCCAGGCTAAGCAAAGTTTCTGGTTTACTGACATCATTCTACCTCCTTTGTAAAGATTCAGAATTTTAGATGTGAATGGGACAACTTGAACATCATAAATTTAAAACACAATTGAAACAAATTTCAACATAATTATTCCTTGAAGAGTTTGAGAACACCAGAGGGAAATCAGTTCCTGGAATGCCTGAAATCAACTATAGAAGACAGACCAAATACATTTGGTTATTTGGATCTTACTTTGCTTCAGAGACAATAGAAAGAACATTGGTTATCATTATATGGAATTATAGAAGTGTAAAACATTAGCACTTGGGCAGAATTTGTGCTGATCTGATAACCCAACCTGATCATTGCTCCTTCAGTTAATTCCCTTGTGTTACCTACTTTAGGTAATACTTCTGTATCACAAAGAGAAAGGATAAAAAATAAGAGTTTGGGCTTTTGACTAGATTCCCCCCAAAAAAAAAATTAAAAAGGGAATTTACTATGTAAAACTCTACATAGTTTTATCAGAAGGCAGGGTATATAACAAAAATACAGTGACATTACTGACTGAATAGTATTTGCTTCAAAGAATTCTGCTATCGGACACTCCATGGGGCTCATCCTCATTAATGAGATGAGTGAGATAAGGAATAATATTCTTTACTTTTGTCAGTCCTACTAGAGACAATAACTGAAATACCCTTTCTAGCCCGGGAAAGAGGAACTTCCTTCTCAGGATCTTAATTCTTAGATGCTGGGACCACCAGCCAACCCTACAGCAAAGATAGAAACTCAGAAGTTATCCTAGATTCCTCTCTCCACCACAACTAGTCCATTTAGCAAGGCCCTGTTTATTTTACCTTCATTACTTTTGCCTTAGCCAGGTTCTCATCAATTCCCCAGGCCTCTAATCTAATCTTTCAGCTTCCAGTTGCATCATCTCACCCATTTTAGACACTACAGCCAAAGCAACTATACAATACCTAAATCTGGTGATCACCTCGCTGCAAAAATTCTTTTAATTGCCTCTCCCTCCCCCCTAGTTTCAAGATAATGGTCAAATGCTGTAGCTTAGCAGACAAGGCCTTCTATTAGGTGGGTGAAAATGTAATCGTGGTTTTTGCCATTAAAAACCTTTTGCACCAACCTAATATGATTTAAACACTGTTGTTTACCCGTTTCCTTCTTCCATTTTAATATTCAATTCTTTCAGTCCAAATAGACAACGTTCTTCAATGCCCAAGTTGCATAGCAGGCTTCGGACACTAGATCTAAATCCAGTCAAGACCCAAACCCTTCATTTTAAAGAAGACATCAAGTTACAGAAAGATTAAGTAATTTGCCCAAGGTCACACAGCTGGTTAGGAACACAGTGGAATTAGGACCCAGTGTCCAGGCTGACTTTTCCAGAATATAATTTCTTTATTCTATTTCTGACATTGCTTAAAGTGAGCAAACTCATATGATTTCTCAATATAAAAATTTGAAAGTCTTAAAAATGATACTAATCATTTGGTCTTCATTAACACACTGACTTAAATATCTTTCCAAAATCTGTCACAAATACAGTGTCCCCTTCTCCCAATGCAACCCATTTTTCAGAAGCCTTCCCTTCAGTAAGTTCGCCAAGACTTCAATACACAGAAAGCTCTCTGCCCTAAAAATAATCTTCGAATTCAACATGTTACCAAAATAAAATCTTCCAAATAAAACAATGGCAAAGATAGACCTGATAATGAATATGAAATATGCTAAGAACATTCTGTCACTGAAATAAACTTGACTTTTTTTGTGATTAATAGTAAGATGCAATCTTGAAACACATAAGAATAAAGCAAACGACAACAGAAGAGAAATGATGTAGAAAGGGTCCCATTTGAAATTTACCCATTTGAAAACAGGCTCTGTCTTTTGGCTATCATCATTGTGTGCCTGTCCAGAAATTCATTTCCAAGTTTTATTTCCAAATGCAACCCCAAATTCAAAATGTGAGTGTGTTGGCATGTTCAAAAATTGCTCTGAGATGGACAAAACAACAAATGAGATGCTTTCAGGAGGAATAATAAGTACATTCCAACACTCATTGGGTTTAATTCATACTTCAGATATCGGCCTTCCCCTTCTAATTCTTTTGTATCCTGTTTCTATTAGGAAATGGAAAATAAGGAAATAGGATTATGAAGCCATTTCTAAATATTAACGTGATACCAAAGGAAGTTAGCAAAGATACACACATTTTCAAGGAAAAGGATAGAAAGGGAAATTGGCTTGAGTCCAGTCTGTCAGAAATGGTGACTGATCAGAGTTTAGCTAAATCTAATCAAGCCATCAGGACCTACACTGCATTTACTGACAGGTAGGGGCACTGAGAGAGGGCAGGTCATATTAGAACAATGCTTGGAAGAGGAATAAGCACTACCTGTTGAATAGGAGAATTGGCTTTGTTACCTTAAGATTTCAATAATCTACTGGATTCCTAGAGAATCCATTCATCAAATTAACATAGTGGTGGTAGTATGGAGGGAGGTGGAACAAGAGAGAGAAGGGGGAGGAAGGGAGGGAGGAGAAAGAAAGGAAAGGACATAAGAAATACTGTTATTAAATATTTCATTTCTAGATTAAGCCAGGAAGAGCATTTACCAAAACATGCAAATTATTATTCATGAACTTACATTTTACTCAAAAGATAAAATGGCAAGAATACATAGGAACTAGCAAAGCAAACACAGGAATCCATAGGAGAAACATACAACAATCCATAGGAAAAAAATACATAGCATTCACAGCCAGAGAGTGGACAATACAATTGCTCATATACCAAAGCAGCTTTGCTTTCTTTCTAAGTATTGCTGAAAGAACTTGGTATGACTTTATTTTTTTAAGAGTTTGAAATGTGCTCAATATCTGAAGTCTCAGAAGATAGCTATGATCTTTCAAAAATACAGATGTCATTTGGGAAAAAAGTTCTCCAGTAAGGTTCCATCCTGTCTTTTAGATATTGAAAAAATGGGAAGGACACACAGTAATGCACTTTATTCAATAAATTATTACAAAGCATCACTTTAATAAAGGATGGTAAGATTGAGCTGTATGCCAATGAAAGTATGGCTGTAGCATTAACAATGTCTCCTGAAAGTATGGACAGCACTTTCAGTTAAAAAAGATGACAGAACTCACTCTCCTAAAAAGACAGAGCTTCTTCTAAAAGAAGTACCTCAGGTAGGTACTTCTCTGCTGGTTTTGTGACTAGTAAATGAATAACATTCTCCATTTAAAAAAAAACTAGCATATTAATTAATCATATATGGAGAGTGATAGTCACCTATCTGTCAAGAAGAGTTAAAAAGCATTATTTTGGGTTAAAGCTGATACATGACTTTAACTGAAAAAATGTTTCTCATTGCACTTCGAATTACTGGAGTTGAATTCTTTCAGGGAGACTTAGATATGCCCATTCTTTGCCCCTGACTCTTGATTCACTAGTGATTCTGGAGAAAATGTACACCAATTTGTTAATTCTCTGGCCTCATTCTTTTTCTTGCCCTATCACACATGTTGTTACAACACAGCAAAAACACACATATCCAAGGAAAAGTCTCTTCTACTACCCATACCCAAACCTGCCTTTCCTCCTAAATAGTCCCTAGGGAAGCAAGCCATCGCCATGACAACCATATGATGGGAGTTTGAACAGCACTTGGGGCAGCCTTTGTTGAAAGTTAATACCAGTTGGTGTTTAACAAGAAAAGGAAAACTCAGGCAAGGGGTAATACTCTGTTGTGAGGCACCACTTAGCTGTATGGAACTAACTGTCCCCATCAAATCTTACCTAACCAGAACACATCCTCAGAACAAAATTCTCCAAGTGTAACGTATTCAGGGCTAATTCATTAATTCTCCATTGTAGCCCACTGGACTCAATGCTCTGTGGTCACTAAATCAAAAGAGCATACATACTCAGGAAAAGAGAATTAAGAACTTTGCCTTTTTTAACTTCGAATGGATATAGAACATCAGAGATATTTATTTTTCCCTATTAAGTATTACCACCTTCTATTTACTGGGCAAAAATGCTTGTTTCCTGCACCTTTAAATCTAATTTGTGTTTTCCCCCCTACAAGAAAGATCATGAAGGTGGATTAGTACAGAGTTGTATGGACTTTTTCAGTATCTTTAATGCATTTGCTTCTGGAAAGAGAAGCGCTGCAGACACACGGTGGCAATTCCTGCTCAGGTGTAGTGCCATTCTTTTGTGTGACTCACAGCTAGAGAGAGAGCTGACATTCAATATATGTTTAACAATACTTTCCCACTACTGATTCCACTCAGGAGACTCACATTTTTATGCCTTTTCTAAAAACAAGGACACAAAAAAAGTCACTGTCTGAGGAGGCTCATTCTTTGTTCATCTTCACCTGACTGGCCACCTAACTACACAAAGCTTTTAAACTAATGAGGAGAATCCTTTGTTCTCTCTGGTTCCATTTAAAGGGAAAGTGGGTCGAAGGGCTTCCCCAGGGAGAGAGAAAGAAAAGCCCAGGAGCCAAACACAAGGGAGTAAGAGATTTCACTCCCACTACTATTCCCACCCTCCCAAAGAAGTTAATTAATTCTGTTTTAGGAATGGTTAAAAGGGGTGGGGGAGCACCAGGTAGCCCATTCTCTGAGACCAAAATCTCCTTCTCGAGTGTGGTTCGCACCAGCCTCTTGTCTCTGACACCACGGGGTGTGGGTGGGGGGCGTGGGGGGAGGGCAGGAGTACTGAGAACCTCTCTCCAGCCACGGACCACAGAGCCAGTACTGCATGCATTTAGGCTCCCCCAAAGGTGCGTCCCAGCCCAAGTCCCCAAGTTGGGTATTTAAATCTAAAAAGCACAATTAGCGCCATTCAAAGCTGCAAGTTACAGTACCTTCAGAAGTCTGACAGATGGAAGAAAGGCTGCGTGGCACAGCTTCCGGATGGTCCAGTTTAGGGGTCGAGGAGCATCAGCCTGATTCATGACCCCTTCCAAATTCCACCAGGAAAACAAGAAACTGAAAACCTGAGCAATGCCTAGAAAATAAACGGTCCCCCACGGCTCTGGCATCCCATGGTCATCTCCACACCTGCAAATTCCATTAGGGCAGAGGCTTCCTGGAACTTGGAAGACTAGTCAAGTAGCCTTGCCTGAGCCCCTGAACCTTCTTAAAACAGCCACCTCCCCTCTCTCTGCAGCCGTGCTCATGCATACCAAATGTGGCTGAATGGAGGCACACTGCCTGCTGCTTCGGGGAGGGGATGCACGATTTTGAAGAAGAGGGACAGCCTGCACAAAACAGCCTGTGGTCGGAGTCAAAGCAGCCTGCTCCAGAATGCGCGCTCCCTCTCCCGCTCTCCTCCCAGTAAACGCAGGTCAGGCGTTGGGGGGGAACCGGGGCCATTGCTTTGCTAGCTTGGTTTGGGGGGGAGCCAGGAGGATCGCAAAAGGGAACAAAAATGAAGCCAGAACGGGAAACTTGCACTTTCTTGCACAAAGCATCTTTGAGGGACTGAGAACTGGTACGGGGGGAGGGGTGAGGACACAGGGAGAGAAGGGGTGCCTCCGAATGATGAGATAAATGCTTCCCTTTTGATTTATGTGACATAATAAAGTGAGGCTATCATCAAATACATCTATAGTAAAAGAGATCTGTGTCGTGTTCTGAGGTTTTTATTAACCGTGATTGACAGTCTTCATCCTGATAATCGGTTGCATAGATGACAGACACTGAGACAGAAGCAAACTCAAACACACTGGGTTGTTCCTTTCATACAAAGCAGTTTAAACTCATGGGCATTTGGCTCACCTTTTAGAGATGGCAGTTTTTAAATGGGGGTTATCTCCTGGAAAGCCACTTGATACCGCTTCTCTGCAACACAAGTTTAACCCATAAAGTGCCACATGGGATGCTGTCTATAAAGAATGGATTTTCCTCAAGTGGGGTGTCCACCCCCATCATTTTCTAAGGAGGCTGTATGAAATAGTTGCTGAGTTGGAATGTATAGTCTTTAGGACTCCTGTGGTGAGAGAGAGAATTAAAGGACAGTTTTTCAATTTGAAGGTAGAAATTGGATAATTTCACATAGTAAGTTGGGACGGTGAGATGAGAAGGGAGTTCCTGACACAACCCCCCTTCGGCTCCCATGTACCCCCAGGCATCGGACCTCAGTGGGAGCAGTTGACCTGACAACTCCTATGGGGAGAATCCCCACATCCTTGGAGCATCGCCATCTTATTTATTTTTTCCTCTGTGACCATGCTGATTTTCCATTTCTAATTAACTTGAAGAGATTGGTAAATCCCAGCTCCATGACTATTATGCAGTCAGAGCTGAACTGGGAGTGGTGCAAGCAGATGTGATACACTGCTGTAATTCAGAACCGGGACAACACAGGCCCACCCCAGCATGAAATCAATACCTGACACACTGCGCTACAACACCATTTCACTCACAATGGTCTTGTGTCAAAAATTTAAGAAAGATATTGCAGAAAACTAGTCCACGGGTGGAAGGCAGACCATTGACCTACCTCGTATAGTAAAATTTATGTCTCTGATTATCTACCAAACAATATCACTTTAATAGATCTCATACACAGCTGATTCATTTTCTGTTACTATTCTATTTCCACAAAGGATTGAAGGCAGTATTAAAATAATAACGGCTCACATGTATCACCTAGCACAATGCATTGCATAGGTTTATGCCCATGTCAACCTTATGGAGTAGGTGTTATGGTCATTTTCTTATCTCACAGATTAAGCAAGTGAGGTCCAGAGAAATTAGTAACAAGTCTAACATACTAGTATAACTGGAATCTGGATTGAAACCAGTCTACTAGGCTGTAAAGACAAGCTTTCTCTTGTCTCCTATTTCTTTCAAAAGGGACTTCAGGAATAAAACCACTGCCTCTGTTTTTTGGTAATTTAATCTTACATAAGAGTTAAAGACTTTAAAGAAGAAACGCTCAGCATTTCTTTCAGATTATTACTTTGGTCTGATGTTGATGTATTAGTTAACAGCATGAATTCTGGAATCAAGCTGCATGGTTCAAATTCCAATTTTGAAGCTAGTCTTGGGAGATTTACGTACCTTCTTTGTGTCTTGGAGTCCTTATCCGTACAATGGAGATTAAAATAAACCCTTATGCCTATGGTTGTTGTGAGGACTAAATAAGCTAATATTGGCAAAGCACTTAGAACAGTGCCTGGCATATACTAAATACCTGTACCATGATCCATCTTCTGGGTAGCATGTGCTGATTCTGAGCTGGAAGCCCACTGACAATTTTCATTAAGCATGCATACATATGGTAGTAGGTAATGAAGTCAAGCAAGACAAATTAAAACTGAATGCTTCTTGTGAGTTACTATGAGTTTAATAAATGGGGTAAAGAGGAAGGTGGGAGACTGCAAGGGCAGCGTGGTTTTCCTCATGCAGTGTGGTATTCATCCAGTTGCGAGATGCTGCCTTTAGTGGGGAAGGCTCCAGCCTTTCTAAGCTTTTAAATGAACGCCCTTAAGTGGTTCTGTTGAGGTGGTGAGATCTCTGCTCCATGAAAATGCTGAAAAACTGCAATTGCCTACCCCCTGCCCTGCAGTATTTCAAAATGCTAAGGACCCCACAAAAATGACAGCATCATTCTGAAAACACATGGCCTTTGATCCTATCCCCTTTAATTTTACTGAATAACTTTGGTCAAAGAGAACTGTTAGAAACTATGCAGAGTGAGGAAGTAGGAGGATTCACAGCCCTCTCTAATGGCAATTAGAGGAGAAAAGCACAAAACCTTCAGGGAATTGATTTGGAGATTACACTGCAAAAGAGGTAAAAGATCAAAGAAGGATGACAGTGCATGAGAGGCAGTTTTTCTTCCATCACTGGGGACGCTTTGTGCCAGAATTGTTTGCTATCAAAACATCTAAAGAAGGGTTTTCAAGACCCTTCTCTCTACTTTCAAGAAATTATATTTTCACATAGAAGATGCCTTCCCCAGTTTTAGAGAGAGGTCTAATGAGAAAAAAAAAAAAAAGCAGAGAGGAGCAAGCCCAGCCCCAGATATTAGCATCTCACAAATTCAAAGTGCTTACTTATAAATCTTATGAATGTAGATGTCTACATATCTGCAGAACAAATTCTAGCAGGCTTAAAACTCTGAAATAATCATACTAGCTTTCAGTATCCTAAAAAATAGCAAGCAGGGCATATCAGATTTCTGTATTCCAAAGCCTGCCTTTGAGCCAACTCTAATTCTCTCCCGTGCTACAGAAAAGCCCACTTTCCACTGATTATCTTCCCTTTTTATTTTCTGTGTAAATGATACGAAACCAAAGAATCATGATGAAATTTGAGCTCATTCTCAATACTGACAAGGCGGCCATTGTATAGCCCTTCTGAATTCTTTCTTTTGAAGACCACGTTCCTTCTCTTCAAAAGTCATAGCACCCTCAATATAGTATTGTACCACTTTGCACCCTGTCTTCTTTATATCTTTTGGATGTAAAAGGAGCTGACCCATGAAAACCTAAGAAAACAAAAAGGAAATGACACAGTGACCAGGTAGTACAGAGAACTCAAAAGCCTCCCTCTGAAATGTGTTTTCTGCAAACAACACTAAAATAACAGTGTTGCAATGTAATTTTTCAGAGTTTATTATTACAACATTAAAATTCATAGGTATCTGGACATCAATTGTACATATATTTTCAGGCTCTAATATATGGATGTAGTGCACCTAGTGCAGAAGGATGATATTTAAGCAACCAGGGGAAAAACCAGGAACAAGCCCAGTGGTGAGCCTTTGTAGACACTTTCGTTTGCTTCAGTGTTTTGTAGTCTTAATATTAACGTCTTGCTTGCTTAATGATTGGCCTCTTTTATTAATTTTGTTGTGCTTTGAATTTTCTTTTTTAAATATTTTATTTTACTTTAAGTTCCAGTATACACGTGCAGGATGTGCAGGTTTGTTACACAGGTAAATGTGTGCCATGGTGGTTTTCTGCACTGTCAGCCCATCACCTAGGTATTAAGCCCCACATGCATTAGCTATTTATCCTAATGCTCTCCTCCTGCAACAGGCCCCCGTATGTGTTGTTACCCTCCCTGTGTCCATGTGTTCTCATTGTTTAGCTCCCACTTATAAATGGGAACATAACGGTGTTTGGTTCTCTGTTCCTGTGTCAGTTCGCTGAGGATAATGGTTTCCAGCTCCATCCATGTCACTGCAAAGGACATAATCTCATTCTTTTTATGGCTGCATAGTATTCCATGGTGTATATGTAGCACATTTTCTTTATCTAGTCCATCATTGATGTGCATTTGGGTTGATTCCATGTCTTTGCTATTGTGAGTAGTGCTGCAATGAACATAGGTGTACATTATCTTTAAAATAGAATGATTTATATTTTGGGGGATACATACCACTAATGGGATTGTGGTAGATTAAATACTTAAATGTAAAACCCAAAACTATAACAACCCTAGAAGATAATCTAGACAATACCATTTAGGACATAGGCACAGGCTAAGATTTCATGACGAACATGTCAAAAGCAATTGCAACAAAAGCAAAAATTGACAAACGGGATCTAATTAAACTAAAGAGCTTTTGCACAGCAAAAGAAACTATCATCAGAGTGAACAGACAACCTACAGAATGGGAGAAAATTTTTGCAATCTATCCATCTGACAGAGGTCTAATATCCAGAATCTACAAGGAACTTAAGCAAATTTATAAGAAAAAAGCAAACAACCCCATTAGAAAGGGGGCAAAGGACATGAACGGACACTTCTCAAAGGAAGACATTTATGCAGCCAACAAACATATGGAAAAAAGCTCAACATCACTGAATAGTGATAAATAGAAAAATGCAGATCAAAACCACAATGAGATACCATCTCACAACAGTCAGAATGACAATTATCAAAAAGTCAAGAAACAACAGATGCTGGCGAGGCTGTGGAGAAACAGGAACGCTTTTACACTGTTGGTGGGAATGTAAATTAGTTCAATCATTGTGGAAGACAATGTGGCGCTTCCTCAAAGACCGAGAACCACTATTTTTTTCAAAAAATCATTTGTCTCATGAACTTTATGGCAATTTATCATTTTTGTCAAAAAACATACTTTCCTGGTTCTTCCTTTTAACTTTACTCCAATAGAGCTATAACATTTTTAGGCATTTTTTGATGCTTATACTGTATTTTCCAAAATATTAGATCTCTTTATAGATTCCATTTACCTACAGGACAATCCTTAATGTATTTCCAAATATATGTTTTCAAACAGATTAACTTTTTTCCTTTCTTAAGGTATATTTCCCCTTTTGCCATCTTTTGTAGATAATAGATTCTAAAATACACTAAAATTTATTAAAATACATGACTCACTTTGTTAAGTAGGTTAAGCAGCATTTATTCCATATAAAATAAAAATATCTCATAACTACAATTGTTATCTATTCATTTTCCCTCCATTATTGGGACAGCATCTCTGACTGCTGTCCACCCTCTGCACAAATGCCTGTGGTGACAGAGAGTGGGTGAGTTTTTCAGACAGCCCATTCCATGATTGTACAGTTCTGGTTGACAGAAAATTCTACCTAAGACTGAGGTGAAATGTCCTTCCCTCTAACTTCCAAGTCAAGTTTTTCTCCCAGAGCATAGTTTTCCAAATGTATAAGGATACTTAACAAGCTCCACTCACACTTCCTCTTCTTTACATGGGGGATCTTGGGCCATTAATCATTCTTCACGTGATGGCATAGAGTTTTTAGGAAAAAACAAAAACAAAAACTCTCTTTAGGATTATATTCAATATTATGTTATAGGGGTACTTTAAATATAGTAGTCTCTTAATCCTCTGGAATCTCTTGAATTACTTCTCATAAAGGTCCTTTAGGAAGCTTTGAGGGGAAACTCACTAATAATTTAGCTTCTTTTTAAACATTGTTTCCTAAATTAATTAGAATACTCAACATAGATTTTAAGTAATAGCTGACCAAAACACACACACACACACACACACACCCCTGAACTGATGTGAGTAATTTACTCTTTTTCACCCTGACTTCTAACAGAGGTGGTGGCGGGTAGTGACGGGCTAATGGAAAGCTCATGCTTGTTTCAAGAAATGAGGAGGGACTGGACTGTCTGTGTTTCATCTTCCCTATCTTTATCTGTAACTTTGGAAGTCAGGCAGACTCTATCCAAACCTAAGTGCCTCCTCTTACCCACTATGTGGCCTGGGGGCAGTGATACAACTTCTCAGAGGCTTAGTTTCCACATTGTAAGAATGGGGTCTACAATAGTTTCCACCTCCAGGTTTTTGTGAAGGTTAAAGCAATTAGCACAGTGCTAACATAGAGAAAAACATATTTAAATTCAATTACTTTTATTGTTGTTAGTAATAGTGTTGTTATCTTGTTCACGGATACCACTGGCAGTGTATGTAGCATAGTCCATAAGCGCACAGGCCATAGACCGAATGGCCTGAAGGTAAACCCAAGCTTTACCATTTACATGTCACTTTGGGGAAGTTATTTAATCTTATCATGCTTTAGTGCCTTCATCTGCAAACTGGGGATAATAATATTACCTTTGTCAAAGGGATAATGTGAAATTAATAAGCCAATATGGGCAGAAACCTTAGAAGAAGTTCCCACACATGCTAAGAGCTAGAAAAATATTAGCAACTTATTACTACCAATATTGGAGTCATATGTGCCACCCTTCCCACAGCTAGTGATCTAGGAAAAGCAAAGCAAAACAAAACACCTTCATCTCCTCCTTTGTTTCTTCCAGTAAGAGAAGAAGCTACAGAGAACACATGAGAAGAGACCCACCTCTGACTCTCCTTACTGCTTTCCTCTGCAGTCCCATGAGTCCTTACTTTTAAAATAGATAGTGGTTATGAGAGGGAATCATATATTCCAATAATGGGGTGTAAAACTTTAATATATAAAAGGTCTCACTTTGGAAAAGACAAAGGTATATAAGCAGCTTCCACCTTACCAAAAATAGAAATCCTACATATACACCTACCAAAAAATGTATAACAGATATTCAAAGGCCTAGAGCTAAAATACAACTTTATTCAGCCTTGAAACCCTAAAATTTCCATTCACAAAGGGGATGGGGTTTTAGTATAATTCAAAAATTCTAATGAGTTCCCGGAGGCTTGTTAAAAATATAAGAATTTGAGATGTGCATTTCTGATCACTTAATATTCACTCTTCTAATATTTGCAATGCTATTCATTATTGTAAATGTTCTCTTTCTAAACTAAGTTTAAATATCCGCAACACATACACACATGTAAGCACAAATACACACCCACACACAGAATGTAGGTATTTTAGATACATTTTCATTATGAAAGCCATAAATTTGACCAACTTGATAAATAACTTACGAATTAATATATTTTAGGAGGAGACATTTAAGCAGTGAATCTCCAATTACTGCTTGAATAACTTGCATGAATTGGAGGGAGCTCAGCATTCACTATTAACAGTGCAGCTGAAGTCAGATTTCTTGGCCAATGGATACCCAAATCAAACACAAGTTCAAGCTCAAACCTCACATATACCTTCTCAAGCACCTTCTGACTCACACCAATGAAAGCTGAGGGCCTGCCCAAGCTACACACCCTGCCTTGTGCATCTGGGCTTCTCACACTAGTGGCCAGCCCTGGGTTGGACCATAAGGTCCGCTCACCTGGGAAACAGAGACATACTGTGATCTGGAAGATCCTCAAAGCAGTAACTCTGCTTGGTAGAGAATTTTAATAAAGAAAGCTAATGAAAACCGTACTTGCTATCTATTTTTGACAGCCTTCCAAAAAATGCAACATTGTTGATATTTATTCTGGTATCATATTTTTGACAACCAGGAGCCTTTCATTTTATTTTTATTAACATTAATAGTAATGGGAGGGATTAAATGATTTTACTTTATGAGAGACAATGGTCCAGTTTTTGTTTTGTTTTTCTCCTGATGAGGCATAAAATAAATGCAAACTACATGGATTTTGAAATCAGGGAGAAACAGATTTGAATCCACATTAAGTCACTGGGCAATTCATTTAACTTTTATGAGTCCTTATTTTTAAAATAGATAGTGGCTATGTGATAATATTAAAATGATGATTAATAACTTTTTTCAAGCACTTACTACGTGCTAAACAGTGTTAAGCACGTAGCTCATTTAGTTATCATAACAAACCTGTAAAGTCTACAGTATTGTTATCCCAGTATTACAGATGAGGAAATAGCCTCAGACTGGTTAAGAAACCTGCAGAAGGTCACGTGGGTGGTAAACGGACTTGAATTCAGGTCTATCTTATTCTATAACCCATGCTTTTACCCATTACAATATGCTGCTGCCAATTAAATAAAAATATTTATATAGGGTTCCTGCGGCTTCCCAAAAAGAAGCTGGTATTTGCTCTGACAAATCTGAAAAAAGGAAAAACAACCCAATGACCCTAACTTATCTAACCTAACACCAGAATCCTGCAAAGCACAGAAGAAGCAGTGGTTCTTCCAGAAGCTCTGGGTTTCTTTTATTTGCACGGCTGACTTCCATATCCCTTTCCCTACCTTCTAGTTACATCTGGCTGGCCTCTCTGTTGAGATAAGGATTGTCTGTACTCATTTGGTATGCTCAATATATAACACAATGCCTGAAACACAGTATTTATTAAATGGAAAAAGGGATGTTTCTAAATAACTTATATGATTTTTTGCAAATATGAGGTAAGTTTTTAAACATATACAAACTCATGTAATTATCAGTATTATCCAACTTTGATTCCTACCTGCATTTTCTAGTTGAGGAAACTAAAGCACAGAAAGATTAAATACTCAACCAAGTTTACACTGTAAGTTTCAGAGCTATGTTTTGAATTCAAAGATAAACTCTTGATATATTATATAAGGTTCAAAAACGTATACATAAAAAGTAAAATGTGTTTTTAAGGTAACTGATTTAGTTTCAGATACTCAAGTTTGGTATCTCAAAAAAATACCATGATCTATCATTATTCATGAGTGAAAGATAATATTCTAGAAACTTATGACGTTTGTTTCAATGACACAAAAGATGCACGTGGCCAGAAACTTTATGCCTGTTATAGTAAGTACAGACCAAAGGTATCTCTGTAACCATATAAGTAAAATTATATGGTTACAGGGATTATTCACATTTACTTGGACTTCATATAAAATGTTCAGAGTATTTAGGGAGAAAATAAAACAATATTATCAAGACTCTACTACTAACTTGAAGCTATTAAGTTAGAAAATGAAGGTACCAAAGATGAATTTGATTTATAGCAGCTTCTAAATTGGTTAATAAATCAGATTCTGACTGCTTTTATTCAGCATCCAGCCAAAGCCATCCGCAGGCGCCTAAATGGTACATGCGTTGGCACAGGGTATCTGGTTGACTGCATGGGACAACCAGCTGTCTCTGGGAAGCCTTCCTCAATAAGGAAGGAGAGAGATGATAATAGAGAAAGAATTATAATGTTCTGTAGTGCCTGATACTATCCCAAGGAAAAACTCATAATTATTGTTTTAGTAAAGAATAGGTAGATATAGCTGTAATGCGTATGTTTTTCTTTGTACTTTAATTAAATTCTTTGCAAGTAAACCTGTTGGCTACAGATCAGATGAGAGCATGATGTATTTACTTTTATGAAAACACCACAATTAAAATAGATCAAGCCACTCCTATGAGTAAAATCATCTAGTTCTCTCCATGGAGTTAAGAAAAACTCCGAACTCCTCGTTTTTGATAATGTGACAAATTTGATCCTGCCTCTCTCTCCAACCTCAACTCTTGACATTTCCAATTCATCATGCCTAACCACTTTTATTTCTTCTAGTTTTGTTTCCTGTCACGGGACATTTACATATGCTGTTCCCTCTTCTAAAGCTTTCTCCTCCAGCTCTTCATGAGATTAGCTCCTTCTCATGCTGGGAAACTCAGATTATATGTGATCTCCCTAGAGAGTCCTTCCTTGATCTCTTGAGCCCTCCTTCAACATTTATTGCAGCTCTTTGTTTGAATTCTTCCTGTACTTTTCAGAATTGGTAGCTATTTAATTGATTGGTTTATTTACTTTTGGCCTTAATCTACGAATGGAATGTAATTTCTATAGGGCAATTGTCGACTGTATCCCAGATCCTTGCAGACTGTCTGGAACATAATGGAAACTCAATCAAAATTTGTTGACTATAGAATGAACAAATGAAGAATGAGTGAACTAGCCATGTTTGTTATAATCATTTCTTGCAAGTCATTTAGCATTCCTTATGGTGACTATTGCTTGTCTATAAACTGATTTGAACACATACTGACTCTACAGTGCCCTTTTGCTTCCCCAAATCTCAACTCCAAAGCCTTAAAAAGTCTAAGAATTGTTTATTCAACTCTCAAAAAATTAATAAAAGGAAAAGTTCTCAGACTCTAAACTGCAGGTAGAGAACAACATCTACATACAGAAGAACTGGTTTTGGAAAAGAAAAGCAAAAGAGGAAAAGGAGTAAGTACAGGTATCAAAAATTCAATCTGAAAATAACTCAAGCTAGAGAATTCAATTGCCACTCATTAAAAATCTGGACAATTCATAAACATTTCCCATGATGGCAATTCATCAAAGGCTTAACTTGATGTCATAATATACCTTTATGAAGGCAACTCTCTATTTTACGTAAAGGCATATCTCATTTTGAAGGAGACAGGAACACTGAATTACCTATCAGCCATTTTAATCAGGTTCACAATAAAAGTAAAAATAGAAACCGATGTTGATGCCTCACAAAGTGGTTCAACAAACATATTCTGATCCATTACCCATAATGATGCTGAGATAAGGGTAAGAAAGATATTATCATCCTAATTTTACATCTGAGCAAACTGAGAATCCGAGAATATAGGTGACTTCCCCAAGATCTGAGTCTCGATCTCTTGTTCTTTGCCTTATGCTCCATGGCCCCTTCCCTCTACAGTTAATTCTTGGAGGGAACCACACACTGAGCATTATTTCAAAATATATATTTTTAGAAGAAAATATTGACACAGCAATGTGAATGAATCTCAAAATTATGTATGAAATTTTAGAAAAGACAAAAGTGACAGAAAGCAGAGCAATGGTTGTCAGGGATCATTCGGGAGATTAAATCAACTACAAAGGGACATAAGGAACATTTTCAGGGTGATAAAAATGCTCTATGTCTTGAATAAAGTGGCAGTTACACAACTGTATAGAATTGCTGGAATTCACCAAACTATAAACTCAAAATTCATGATTGTTTTGTACATTAGGAAAATGTATTGTCTTCCTTGACAATAAAAGAATTATGTCAAAAAATTTTAAAATTCATAAAAATATAAAGAATTAAAATGTATCTATTCTTCTATTATCCATCAATAACTGTTGATGTAATTTTTAGAAATATTACCAAGTATTTTAAAAATTATACTTCATATACAGTTTAATACACTTATTTTACATGAATTGATGTCCATATTATCAAATATTCTTAGAAAATACAATACTTAATGGTTTTATAGGATTTTATTATGTTAGTCAATGGAAGATAATCAGCTCACTTGCAATTTTAATGTTATAAATAATGCTATTATGGATATATAGTACAGTACTCAATCATATGTTTTTGTGCACATCTCTGATTATTTCCTTAAGATACAATTTAGGATGAAGGATGATTAGTTCATAAATCATGAATATATTTTCAGGCTCTTGATAGTTATTTCCAAATTGCTATCCAGTAGTGTTGAACCATTTTACGTGCCCCTCAGAAAAGTATAAGAACGTCCTTATTAGTGAATCATTGACAAAACTGGGCATATCATTAATTTAAATTAATTTTTGGCCAAGATAATCACAGAAAAAGAAATGTGTTATACATTTATCTGGTAACTTATAAAGCTCCATTTTTCCTGTGGCCATTTGTAATTCTTCTAGCAAATTGCTTTTTTTTTTTTTTTTTTTGAGACAGAGTTTTGCTCTTGTTGCCCAGGCTGGAGTGCAGTGGCACCATCTCTGCTCACCGCAACCTCTGCCTCCCAGATTCAATCAATTCTCCTACCTCAGCCTCCCCTCCCGAGTAGCTGGAATTACAGGCATGTGCCACCACACCCAGCTAATTTTGTATTTTTAGTAGAGATGGCATTTCTCCATGTTGGTCAGGCTGGTCTAGAACTCCCAACTTAGGTGATCCGCCTGCCTCGGCCTCCCAAGGTGCTGGGTTTACAGGCGTGAGCCACTGCGCCCGGCTGCTTCTTCTTTTATTAGAGTTTTAATTTTCTTATTAACTCATAAGAGTTCTTTTTATATTAAGGACATTAATCCATTGTCATGTGAATTGCTAGTATTTTTGTAGTTTTCCACATAGCTTTTAATTTTGATGATGTTGTTATTTACAAGAAATTTTTAACATTTATATATTCACTCTAGCAGCCATTTTCTTTATAGCACACACAGCAGATGTTATGCTGAAGAAAGGTCATTTCCAATCTAAGCACAGACAAACACTTACTTACATATTCTTATAAGTGTTCTATGGTTAGTAAGCTGCTTTGAAAACCACCTCTGCTGCATTCTTCTTCCTTACTGGTCTCATTATTTTGCCTACTATCTAAACTGTGTGTGTTTGTGTGTGTGTGTGTGTGTGTGTGTGTGTGTGTGTGTGTGTGCGCGTGCGCGCGCGCGCGTGTCTGTGTTTGCATCTCAATCTCTCTCTCATTACATTTTAAAGACTGAATAAAATTTCCTTGCTGATATTTGACCAAACCACAATCCTTTATTATTCTTTTTTATTATAGGCCCATCCAAATGGTGTGATAACATTTCTTAAGTAGCAATTGTGAATACAGGGATCTTCGGTTCCATAATATAATCCACAATTTGTTCTAAATGAGGCCTGTGGCTTCATATTTCCAAATATTCTTAAAAGATTTTTCAGCCAGGCACAGTGGCTCACGCCTGTAATCCCAGCACTTTGGGAGGCCAAGGGGGGAGGATCATGAAGTCACCATCCTGGCCAACATGGTGAAACCCCATCTCTACTAAAAATACAAAAATTAGCTGGGTGTGATGGTGTGCACCTGTAGTCCCAGCTACTTGGGAGGCTGAGGCAGGAGAATGGCTTGAACCCACGAGGCAGAGGTTGCAGTGAGCCAAGATCGTGACAGTGCACTATAGCCTGGTGACAGAGCAATGCTCCATCTCAAAAAAAAAAAAAAAAGGAAAAAAAATTTCTTTCTCACAAACATTATCTCCATAAATTAAAGAATCCAAATGCCTTCAAATCCCTGTCACCTTAGTCTTACAAATTCAATCCTGCATAATTCAATGTGGCAGTGATCTCTGCCACAAAGTTGACTGGCAAAAGCAGTGAGTGAATTGAATGCTATCTTATTGGTCTGTTACTGAAGAAATGTAACATAGATTTCTTAGTTTTCTAGAATCTAAGCCACTAGAGACTTTGAAGCTCAGAGTCAATACCTTGAATTAAGCTCTGTGGACTTACAGCCAGAAAATAGGGAATATCTCTTTCTAGAGCTGTCCACCTGGTACTAAATCAGTTGGGGAAAAATTCAGTGTGAAAACTCACTAACCCCTTGAAATAGAAAAGACTGGGCAAGAGGTAAACAAAGAGAAAGTCAATGACAGGAACTCTTACTGTAAACACAGCCTCATAGGAACATACCTACCTAAATCCCCAATCACCAAAATACTCCTTATGACAATTTTCAGCATGCTCAAATTATGTTAGTGACTCCTCAAGCATTCACCTAGAGCCAAAACTTATTTGGGTCTTAGGCAGGAATGCTCATAATGTCATCTTCCATTGGTATCTTATCCATATACTGGACTGCAAATTCTCAGTCACTCTTCAGCTCCCTATTCCTCTTTATTTAGCTTTCTCTTTATACAAATCCTTCCATCTGTCACTTCCAGTTCTGTTGGGGGGACAGAGAGAAGAGTGAGAAGCAGAAGCCATGGAGATTCAATTACATATAACAGAATGGGAATAGTATGGAAGTCAAGGCAACTCTATTCTTTTCCAGGCTGTACCCAAAAGTAGCAATGTGAACTCTGTCAGAGCACCTTGCTAGTTTGGGTCTCAGAATAATGTATATAATAAGAATGATGCTGATTCTCTGTTGAGTTCTTCCCAGGGCTGTTTAGATTTTAAGATTAGTTCCACTGAGTCTCAGATTCTTTCCATCAATCTCCAGTAATCCACAAAATAAGGCATTTTCAGCACTACCTATTTTGAATAGAAAGCAAATATTACTTAATACTACAGAGCTCATGCAACAAGAAAACCTAGGAGGCTAAACTTACCTAGAACATTGTGGGATTATGGATATAAGTAGAGAGTTTTGCATGCTACTCAAGTTTATGCTGTGGAACATCTGGCTCAGATATATTTGAGCATATGCTTATCTTCAGGCAAAAAAAACCCCCAGCAAATTACAGATCTGCTTCATTTTCTCAGTAGAATGAAACAGAGTCATACTTCTAGTGTTACTAATACAAAATACAAACATTATTTATTGTTTGCTGAGAAGTTATGTATATTTCTCTAGGTATAGGATTTGATGCCACACTTGCAGCATAACCATGAATTTAAGAGTTTAGTAAATGTATAAAGACACCATTTAAGTGTGATTTAATTAACATCAATTAGCTGGATGAATTTAATTCAATCAATTCCTCTACATGTCTGCTATGTGTGTAGCACTACGCCAGGTACTGAGGATACAAAGAGATTAATACATCGTCCACGTAAGGATTTAACACACAGACAAACTACTATAGAAGACAGGAAGTTCACATAGCATGTTAAGTGCTAAACTAAAGGTAAGATCCAACTGGGTATTCAACCTCTTAGATAAGCTGAAAACATCAATTATGTAGCTAGTGGCTCAAGAAGGTTTAATCCTTTAAAGTTGACTTTGGAGGAAGGACTGAGTGACACATGGGAAATGATGGAAGATTGCTAGGCTCAGCCTGTTCTCTGTAGCTTCCAGTTATTCAGCTCTGACATCAAACATGGACACTCCATCTAGTGAAGCCAGAGGTTGACATGTACCCAGGCTCATCCGCCTGAGAAGGCAGTCCAGGGATAGGACCATATTGTGACTGGAACCTACTTCTTAGGGATTTTTACTTATCCATCCTACTTCTTCGCAATCATACATAACACATTTAATATCCTCCTCCTGAACACATTTCCAGTGGTATTTTGGTGTGTCTAAGGAAATTCATATGCTTACTACAGAACAGGGACCAGGGAGCTGCTCCCAGGTGTGTTTCTTAATCCCGGTCCAGACAGAGAGATGCAAAGAATGCGAAGAGGGCACAGGAACAGTAGCCTCAGGGAGACGTGAGATTTCTGAGCTCCTTCTGGAAGCACATTTAGCAAGTTCAGCCACAGAAGTAAGAGAAAGTCACTTTAGACAGTGAGAACAGCCCTGGAAAAGGCAAGGAAGGAAGAAGGCCCATGGCGCACTTTGAAGACAGGAAGTAGTTTTGTACAGCAAAAGAAGCTGGTGTGGATGACGACAGTTGCTAAGATGTTTAAACCGTATCATTAAAGCGGATGGAGTGAGGGTGGGGGAGTCATTGAGGTTTTTAAGTGTGCAGTAAATGTAATCGGAATTGCATTTTAAAATGACTCTAGCATCTGTGTAGAAAATGGACTGAACCAAGACTAGTACAAGGAAAGCAAACCTGTCAATATTTATGTTTCATTTTTTAGTTGTTGAAACTAAGTTTTTCCTCAACCTCTAGACACTCCAAGGGTGTGCTTAATAATGCAAAAGTTAGTTTTTATTTTGTGGTTTTCCTTTAAAACTAATAAAAAGGTATTAAAATTCACACAAAACCGACAAAGAAAAAGGTACTTCTTCAAAAAAATAAAGATTAAGTACCATCATTTTCATGACCTCAACCTAAGGCAAAAATGCATTATTTTTTGTATATCGCTTCTCCCTTTGTAGAAAGAACTAACATCAAATACAAATCTAATAGCTTAATAAGTATCAAGTAAACAAATTAACTTAAGTACGTAAGTCAATACATAAGACCAGCTCATCTAAGCATAACACAGTAACAAGAAAAAATGAGTTCTGCAAACAGAGTTTTGAAGATCCATTAGTGGGGTTATAGATCATCTATTTGGTAATTGTGTCAACATAAACTCTGGTAAGTTGGCTGAGCAATTCTAATTATCTTAATCTTTTTCCTGGAAAAATATAGCTCTTCTTTTATTTCTCTTTAATTTTCTAAATGGAAAAGCACATGACTTTGAACTTTAACCCTCATCAGTTTCTTATTTTGATATGTCACCAAAGGAGTAACATGCAAGAGAGTTCTGTAAAATGTCCAAAAGGAAGCTTCAGGCTTGGAGGATACATTTTAAGTATTTTTAGAAAGTGACATTTTTACATTATTTTAACAGTTGAAAATATATGTTAAGGTAAGTTTTGCAATTAAAAATAGGTTGGGCGAGGTGGCTCACACCTACAATCCCAGCACTTCTGGAGGCCGAGGTGGGCAGACTGCCTGAGGTCAGGAGTTCAAGATCATCCTGGCCAACATGGTGAAATCCTGTCTCTAAAAATGCAAAAATTAGCCAGGTGTGGTGGCAGGCGCCTGTAATCCCAGCTACTCAGGAGGCTGAGGCAGGAGAATCACTTGAACTTGTGAGCTAGAGGTTGGAGTGAGCCGAGATCTTGCCACTGCACCCCAGCCTGGGCAACAGAGCAAGACTCTGTCTCAAAAAAGAAAAAAAGAAAAAAAAAAGACGATGCTGCCTTGGGGGAGAGGAAGTATTAGAAATCAAGAAAACATGGAAATGAAACATAACAATAATACTTGCTTTCTCAAACTCACACACTGGGGTCCATATCAAAGGTCTCTATGGCAACTTTCTACACTCAACTTTCCCTCTATGCCTCTGTCTATGCCTGAAATGCTCCCATGCATTTCAGGAGAAACGCTGGAGCTTTTCCATCCCCAGGTAGAGATGATCCCGTGCATACGCTATGGTTGCCTGAACTCAGGACACAGAGAAAAATGCAGTATATAAAATTACTTTTAATTTGCTTTTGGGTTTTAAATGAAAAATTTGTCCTCCAGGAGATTTTTCAGTATATATATGAGTTTCTAATAGGAAATCAATCTTTTCTAAGCATTCTCTCCTTTTTCTTTTTTTTTCAGTTTGGTTTACTTAAAAATAATAGGTCCAATTGTTGAACTGTACTCTTTAAATGGGTGAACTTTATGGCATGTAAATTATATTTCAATATGGTTGTTTTAAAAAATAGAACAGATTATAACATCATTCAATAATATGTCTGGATTACAATCCCATTTTTTCCCAATAGTCAACTATTTATTAAACAGAAATCATATCAGGCTTCCTTGGGGAGAACTTTTTCTGTAACTGGCTCTTTGATCCCCTCGGTGTACTTACAACTTACATTTCACATAGTTACATATGTCTCCTTTCTTCAATATATAAATTGATTTTTTTAAGGTGACTATTTTTCCACTTACAAACATGAACACTACTGCTCAGGGCCACTGACTTTGCAAATTCTAACATATAGCTTGTATAAAGAATGCCTCATGATTAGTATATTTAAAGGGGTCTCTTAATTTGGTAGCATAACTTACTTGTCTGTAGATTTTATGACCTTCATCCTTCTCTCCTCTAGAGGTTACTTTTCATTTTGTTAATTTTGTTTACCTCTTTGGTATTCTTACTAGAATCACTAAATACAT
Organism: Homo sapiens; assembly: GCF_000001405.40. Lineage (NCBI taxonomy): Eukaryota > Metazoa > Chordata > Mammalia > Primates > Hominidae > Homo > Homo sapiens. The sequence goes on from NC_000009.12 coordinate 71,139,123, forward strand.
GCTATTTTATCTTTCCAAATTGCTGTCCTCACTCACCACAATTCATGTTGTAACTGAAATAAGCAGTGTTCTCAAAGATTAAATTGATGGGAACAGCATATTAGATACGTTTTCCCACTAGCTAAAGAGTACACACAGCAATGGCCGTATGGCAAGGTACTATCTCAAGAGGTTTTCTCCTATGAAAATTTTATCAGTTGTGAAGCTATGAGGTAAAATTCAATCTTAATTCCTAGAGATGTGTTCAAAATAATTAAAACAAAAATTTCCACTCATCTTAATTGGTATTTCAGAAAAACCACTGTTTACATTTCAGACTTAAAAATAGGAACAAATTACTTCTCATGTTTGGTAATTTTCACAAAAACAGAGTCGGGGTTGGATAAGAAAAGGTTGGGGTGGAGATAATACTAAAAGGGTAATAAAAGTAATGTCTGAGCTCGTAAATAATTTATTTTAAAAATTTTGTTGGTAGGAACTAGCCGATTTTGCCATAGAAACTTTAACTTACATTAGAATTATTTTGTTCACTGCAGTACAGAATGGTTAATAATAAAAGTAGTAATACCTAATGAATACTTACCCTGTAGCCAGCCACAGTGCTAAGAAATAATAATAATCCTTATTCCAACAGGGACACGTACTCTTAGTTGGCTACCTAACTGACATTCTCAACCTCTTTCTTACTTGTGCTTCTGCTAGAGAAGCTAAAAAATAAGATGCCTGTTTCCAAGTATCCTTTATATACAGTCTGGTCAATCAGGGAAATAAATGACATGGAGATTCGAGAAAAGAGCTTCCCTTCCTGAAAAATGAAAAAAGCATCCAAGCTCTCTTGCAGCCCTCGCTATGCTATTTACTGTCACTCTACTTGTTCCCTAACTCTGGAATGCTGTTATTTGAGGAGGTGATACCTAGAGCTATAGCAATCATCTTGAAACCATGAGGGAGAGGCCTAGAGAAAGACAGATAGCAGGCTGGCATCCTGAAATGTTGCACTAACCTAGAATCAACAGCCTCAGACTTCTATTAATAATTATGCAAGATAATCAAATGCCTTTATTATTTAAGAAACTAATATGTTTTCTGTTACTTGCAGCTGAATGCTTCAATTTAAGCAGATATAGGAAGCAAATTCTGAAAGAAGAGACTGAAAGACAAAAAAAGTTCACCTCCTCAAAGTCACAAACCTAGGAAGTGGCAGAGATGTGATCAGCCCAGTCACCATATCTCCGGTGTTTTAAATTCCTACTCAACATTGTCTTTCATTTCCAAAAGACATAGTGTGGGGTTTGAAAGTACAGCTATTTCCCTTCCTTTGTTCATTCTCTGAATCTGTTCCAATTCTACCTCTTCTTCTCTCTTCCCCATCTTCAATATGACATCCTGACACCTCCCCAAGTTTGGTCATTTATCCTATCCTAGAATAATGTTTGAAAATATTTTTACGTTACAGTATCTTTAAGGCAAATAGGCATATAACTTTCCTCAATGAATGCCCTAAATCAACATGTTTCTTCATTTATTCATTCATTCATTCATTCATGCATTCAAACATTTATTGAGCTTTTGCTATATGTCAGGTACTGAGATAAGTAGCAAGGGTAAAGATAAACAAGGCTAATACTTCACTGTTAAGTCATACATGTACTTATTCAGGCAAATACCATATAGTAATATACTTTATAAATGCAGTATAGTGAAAAGCACAATAATATAAACATAAGCAAGGTACGATGTTAGCAGAGAGGAATAAGGAAACTGGCTCTGCCTGGGGAGACCCGGGGGTTTTAAAGGAGCATTCCTGAGCCGGACTCTATTATATTCAAATGTAATTAGTTTCTATTTTCAAAAGTAGTCAGATAAGACACTTGGTATTCAGCTTGTTATGTGTTCATTCATGTTGAACTATAAAAAAGATTATGCATATCACATTTTTATATTTTTATGCTTACAAGAATTCAAATCAAGAACATTAAACAGGATGTATCTTTGGCATGTAAAATAAAAATTTCCACAAAGAAATAAGAAAGCTTGACTCTTCACATGTTTTAAAGTTTTTGATTCTTATTCAGATAAATTAATTAGTTGTACTAAGACTGCGTAACTTAATTTGAACAATAATCAATGTACTCACCTTCAGAGATCTTTATTAATATCTCTAGCTGGATGTGGTGCTAATATTCCTACGTGATTTACACACATTTTGAGCTTTTCAGAAAAATAAAAAAAAATAAAATTCACATGTAAGCTGGATTTTAGTGTTCAAAAACCACCCCTACAGTTCAAAATGATTGTAACAAGCCATGGATGTAACTCGCCCTATAATCTATTAGCTTTGATTTCATTCTTTTACTGATTATTTCAAAGTAATATAGACTTTTCTTAGCTACATCTTTTAGTTCCAAAATATTCCTTTGTCTATGTATTATTTATTAAGTTAAAGGGGCTTTTCAAACACACACCTGAAATATTTTGAGCTAATGTGATTATCTGTACAACGTCAGGTTGTCAGAATCTGCAACAATACATGTCAGTGTTTGAAGCAGATCTCTGAGGCTTGAATGACGGGATTAATATTATCACTACCACTTAAAATAAATTTTTATTACATTTTATAAGTTGACTATATTTTTTCTCATACCACTTTCACTCATGTCTGTCGTTCTGCTGGTTGTTGTCTTGCAAAATCTCAATTACTTTGGCAATGACCTTTTGATTTCCTATGAAATGGAATTTCTTCTTCCACAAGAGCATCTTTAATATTTTTGTTGCTGTACTTGTTTTGATTGCTTCTGAAATTCCATTCACTGGGGCCATAATATATCCAAGTTTCTTCTCTATAGTGGACTTTGTCCAAAACACCGGTATATAATGCCCGAATGTTTCCATAAGTAAGTAGAAAGAGTTTTGTCAAAACTGGAGTGTTTCTATCTTAATCTTTGCCTTTGTTGTATAAAAACTTTGAAATGTTGAATAGGGTCAAGAATAACAAATGCATAGTCAAGAGGGTAGAATTTATCTCATCCCTTGTTTGTAACACTAGACTAAACTTCAAACTATCAAGATCTCTGGTTTCCTATTTCTCAAGAGAGTGGCTTGAGCTGGTCAGTCTCTTGGCAGAGCATCTCCAAAACCGTTTTGCATGTGGTGGCCACTCTCTTTGCAATGGTTTCCACTTGTCTTAGGTTGAGTTACCTTCAAAACAAACCCTAAAGCAAGAGTTTGAGTGCAAATAGCTCATTTAGTAGTTATCTCAGAAAACACAGAAGGAAAGTAGGGAATTGAGACTGGAAAGGAGAAACAGACAATAGAGAGGTTTTGACTTTTTAATAAGAGCCATTATTTTTTACATTTTCATATATACATATATATACACACGTATATACACACATACATATATACACTTATACACACATACACACACATATATACTTTTCATTTTAAAGTGAGATCAAATCTAATGTTTAAATTTTAATATTGAAACCAGGTTATTAAAAGAACCATGCTAATTTGAACACATTAACTTCACCAAAGGTGACATACTCAGATTTACTTTATACTGACAATTTATATTTAAAAAATTTGCATGACAAATTATATTGAAGTTGTCTTTTCTGCTTATGTGCAGATGTATTTTCATGCACTATCAGATTCTGTTACTGTACTGTAAATAGTACACAGTATTCAAAGAAGTTTTGGTCAGGCATGGTGGCTCATGTCTGTAATCCCAGCACACTGGGAGGCCAAGGCAGCGAGGCAGGAGAATCACTTGAGCCCAGGAGTTTGAGACCATCCTGGGAACCATAGGGAAATAAAAAATAATGGAAAATATAAAATTATTAAAAAGAAAATGTTAAAAAAAAAAAAAGAAAGAAAAAAACAGGCCTGGTGGCACATGCCTGTAGTTCCGGCTACTTGGGAGGCTGAGGCGGGAAGATCACTTGGGCCATGATCACATCACTGCACTCTAGCATGGAGGACAGAATGAGACCCTATCCCAAAAAAAAGAAAAAAAAAAAAAAAGAAGTTTTTTGTTTCCATTGGTAGAACTTTGTCCCATTAAATATTTTTTCTTTTAACTTTTAAGTTCAAGAGTACAAGTTTGTTACACAGGTAAACTTGTGTCATGGGGGTTTATTGTACAGATTATTTCATAATGCAGGTATTAAACCTAGTACCCATTCATTATTTTTCCTGATCCTCTCCCTCCTCCCACTCCCCACTCTCTGAAAGGCCCCAGTGGGTGTTGTTCCTCTCTACGTGTCCATGTGTTTTCATCATTTAGCTCCCACTTACAAGTGGGAATATGTGGTATTTGGTTTTCTGTTCTTGTGTTAGTTTACTAAAGATAATGGCCTCTAGCTCTATTCATGTCCCTGCAAGGGACATGAACTCATTCTTTTTTATGGCTGCATAGGATTCCATGGGGTATATGTGCCACATTTTCTTTATCCAGTCTATCATTGACAGGCATTTGGGTTGATTCTATGTGTTTGCTATTGTGAATAGTGCTGCAATGAACATACACATACATGTGTCTTTCTAATAGAATGATTTATATCCCTTTGGGTATATACCCAGTAATGGGATTGCTGGGTCAAATGGTATTTCTGTCTTTAGGTCTTTGAGGAATTGCCACACTGTCTTCCACAATGGCTGAACTAATTTACACTCTCACCAACAGTGTATAAGCATTCTTTTTTCTCCCTAACCTCACCAGCATCTGTTATTTTTTGACTTTTTAATAAGAGCCATTCTGACTGGTATCTCTGATGGTATCTCATTGTGCTTTTGATTTGCAGTTCTCTAATGATCAGTGATGTTGAGCTTTCCATATGATTGTTGGCCACATATATGTCTTCCCATTCACTATAAATTTAGTTAATTGAGCTGCCTTTTAAAAAGATATATTCCAAGCAACATCATTTCTTTTTGAATTGGTTAGTTCTCAAATCTAGTTTTTCTCTATGTCTTAACACAACGACTTCCTTAAACCATAATATTCCTTACATTGTGGCCAAAACTATGGATAAGAAAAAATAAGTGAGAGTTCCAAATTTCATAAGGTACATGATTTTGAAACTTATTACTCTGGTTTGACCTTGTGCCCCTAGAAGTAGTATGCTCTATCCAAGCAAGTTACTTTTAAAGGGCCCATCTGATCACCGTAATTTACCCAATATTGGCATACTCAAAAAACCTTTCCAAGCCTTTTTAATCCTACTTTTTGCTCATGGACAACCTGATCTATCTCTGGTTCCACCACTCATCCCTTTCATTCTTTTCTCTTTCCTTCTTAAATATCAGTCAAGTCTTTCTTTGCTTCTAGACTGTTCTTAAGAATTGTTATTGTACCCTTAAGATAAGAAGAATATCGTGAGATTTGGGACTTGGCTTAGGGGAAGCTAAGGTTTTATTTTTTCCCTCATATGGGTCAATTACATTTCCCTCATCTGGGTCAATTACATGAGTTCCCTGGTAGGTTGGTCTAACTCATTATAATGAACATTACTCTGTGTTATATATAATCCTTACTTGACATATCAGCAGAAGAAAGGAAGACTTGCAAAAGTCAAGCCAGATTGCTGATCAGTCATTTTGACAGGCAGTTTAAACTGTGCCCTTTGGCGATAAAATGTCATTAAGAGAAAATATTAACAACAAAGAAATTAAGCAGCAATATGCTTAATATAATAATTTTAATGGAAAAAAATGAACAGCATTGGTGTTTTTATTAAACTCTATTATATCCTAAAAATAAATGGTAAGCTTTGTAATAATTTGATAAAATAAGCCTTGGCATGCATGTATCCATGACAACCCAGATTTATATTTTTGAGTTCCAAATAACCGTGTCACCAGAAATATGCAAATTATCTTAAAAGTTATAATGAGATAACATTATTTGTTTCCATAAATATCTGTTGACTAATAGTCCAACAAAAACTTGACAGTAAATAACAAATTATGAAATGTTTTGAATATTATTCTTAGAGAAACTAGAACAGCTGTTTATCATCATAATTATAATGAAGAGCAAAGAGTCAACGGTCACATGCCCTTTAGTCTATTGTGAAGTCAAAAAGGATATTAAAAAAATATACATGCTACCTTAAATACCAGATGGAACTCCATTTGGAAGTCTAATAGGGTAACTTCCCTGGAGCTAATACACACCAGAGGTTAAGCAACAACAGAAGAGAGTGAATGTGGGCATTCAGCCAAGGGCTTCTGCTGCCCTTTCCTTTTCCGGTACCAAATGTATGTTCCTTTAGATAAGAGACTTTGAGAATGGATTCTGAAAAACTCTGAGAGAATGCAGAAAATACCACACCATTGGACTGCATTTACTCAAGAGTGCTCTGAAAGTCCTATTAAGCTGTTACAAAACCTGGAGTTGTCCTGCAGACATAGATTGAATTTCTAGGAAAAGGAAATGCAGATAATATGAGGAATGGACAAAACAGGCATTTCCGTTTTCTATTTTCTCATGTAAAATCCATTTTTCTTCTGTGCAATAAAAAAGGAAAGTATACTACTTACTGTTAGTATACTATTCTGAGTAATGATTGAGAAAAAAAAATTGAAGGAAACATGTCTGAAAACATGGGAGTAAATTCCAGACTAAAGTTTTCCAAGTGTAACTAAAATTGTCTTTTAACAAAGGAAACTCTTATAAACTAATTAGAATAAAAGATTAAAATCAAGAAGGAAATTCCAAAGTACAAAATTAAACATTAAAATTCCCCCCTCATTACTAAATTACATTTTTCAGCTCATCAAGTTTGGTTAAAAAAAAAAAATTCTAAAGAACTAAGAAAAATAATCTGCCTAATAGCATCGTTCTTTATGAAGAAGTCATCTGAAGACAGAGGTACTCTGTGATTCTGTTAGGTACATATTTGTTCTTTTAGGCATATTTCTACTGTTTAGATCAATTTTCCATTTACAGACAAAATGAATAACAAACACATATTATCTTTGTGTATTTGGAAGAATGGGAGAAAATTTTCCCAAACTATGTTTTATCTTGTAGATACTCCTTAGACGTTCCTTCGTTTTTAATGTGGGTACACAATGACACAGTGATATAAAGTCAGCTTTTGCAAGCCATAGGTAAGAATGATGGAGCTTTCGAATCACCGTGGTGCCGTTTGCAGTTTCAGCCAAAGCCCCTAGCTTGCCAGGCTCATACTATACATTCCAGAAGCTCCCCCTCTACCCTGCATAGTAAACAATCCACCACATGTCAAAGACGAAATTTTGAAACCTCAAGAAGCAACTTGTTCCAATCTATGAGCCATTAACTTGAGATTCTGTTTCCTAACACTAGAATTTTTCTGCTACAATTGTCCTAAAAGAATACATTTCTTTTCTGTCACATCAGTCTTTGGAGACATAGCAGCCTCCTCTTAGAGCTCAATTATGCCCCAGGGAGCACCTTAATAACAGTAGTGGAGACTGGTTTTTTGTCCTAACATACATCCTTCTTCTCCATTCTTCTGGAAATACAACCATTCTGTCAGGTTGGTAACACTCAGCACCTGACTTATATGTGCCCTAGACGCCATTACTGGTTACAGGAAATGAGGCAACACCCATGACCACAGCACATTGAACAAACATGCTGCTTCTTGAAGATCTCAGCAGCTGGTAGCTTTTCATAATTTATTAATACCACTTACCTGATTTCTCCAAACTTTGACCATAGTGATTGGTTCAGCAATAATCATGCAACCCAAACTGGGCCAACCAGAATTCCCCTTTAATTTCCTTTCTAAATCTATAGGAAAAGGCAACAGCCATTTGCTACCTAAAGAACTAAGATGTGTTTGTGGCTATTGGATGTCATCTTCTTGCCTCAAAAAGAAACCCGTCTGCGAGGGAAACCAAGTAGGGGCTAGCCGAACTGAAAGACCTGACAACATTGCTTGAGCCCCTGGATCTAACTTGTCCAAAAGCAGTAACACCAACGTGGTTGTCCCAGCCTAGGAGCCAAGTGTTCCCTTTTTTGCTTAAGCTAGTTTGAGTAGGGTTTTAGTCACTTGCAACCTACAGTGAAAAAATAGAGTATTTTCATCGAGGAGATAGCTTCATGGATTTCTTAGTTAGTATTAACTGTGGCTTAATATTCCTTCATTGAACAAACATTTGCTAAAATACTGTCTTATGTAGAGCATTATCCCTAAACCCAGATAGAAAAATTTAATGGACTTGCTTCTTGCCTTTAAGGAGTTCACCATTTATTTACTGAGACACACTACCACTGAACATCTGCCCTCTTGCCTGCAACACACAGACACACACACACACACACACACACACACACACAGCCAGCTAGGCAATAGAATTTCTACTGGCTAAGAAAAGGTTAATGGAAACTAAACTCAACTGCTCTTCCTTATAAGGGAACTCTGACCCAGAGCCTCCTGAAGTCCTATACATACACTTGACAAAAACCCTCAAGAGATCTGCGTTGAGTACTGACTGATTCTTTTAAACGAATCTCTAGTCTGAATGGAAATCAGGTTAAGATAACATTTTGGAATTTATCCCATTTCAAGTGTTCTAATCACATAACAGACTGAAGAAGTAACTTTATTTGCTGCCAAGCCTGCTGATTCAAGTTCTCAGAAATAGAAAATGCTGCCTCTGGACAAAGGTATGTGCACAACTCATATCTCAGACCTCCTGGGGGAAGCGACAATGCAATAAACAGGGGCCTTACAAGGGGTTCTAATTATGTGGCACTTTCTGACCAACATTTCTTTTTCCAGAATCTAGAAATATTCTCTTTTCCTCTCTACCTTCACAAAAATATATTCAGCTCAAGAGCCACCTCACCAAGAAGCTCACCTTGAAAAATCTAGCCAGCAAGTCTCCTTCCTTCCTCTCATGGTACTCTATCTAGTTTGGCACTTAATTACTGATTCTGATTCTCAAGTGGGGATGACAGAGAGTAGTGTAAAAGAATTTTCTGAAGTTAAAAAAAAAAATCTCAATTTATTACAGTTTACTTGTTCTCCTACCTGAGCAAAACTATGTACCTTAGTTTTGAGTCCTCAAGAAATTTAAAAAATATTCACATAACAAACTTTTAAAATCAGCTAAAGTTATCAAATAATATTTAAAATATTAGAACATGTAAATAGTTCTCTAATTACTAGAAGAATATTTTTAAAACAAATCATACATTTGCTTGAATTTTTATAAATAACATTGGAAATAATTTACATTTTTCTTAACACCCTGGGATCTATCATTACTATGTGATTTGCTACAACAATACTTGCAATGTCTAAGGTGTGTTGGATGTTGTTTTGAAATGCTTTGTTTTCTGAGGTCTTATTTTAGATGCTTATGTGTTTTTAATCTCCTGTCTTGTCTTCTGCCTACTGTTCACAGAATTCTTTGGAGCAGAATATACAGCCAGTGCATGAAAGACTGACACCTGGAAAATCTTAGGAAAAACATGAACCAAGAAAACATGAACCAAGAATTTTATACCCAGCCAAGTGATCACTAAAGTATAAAGGCCACAAAAAAGGCATTTTTCAACATACAAGACTCAGAGAATAATGTTCCAAGAAAACTTTCTTGAAGGAGTTTAAAATTTCTTGAAAGTCATAGGGTGAATTTCAACTAAGGAAGAGAGAGTAAGAACAGCAAATGGCAGTGGCCATTGAAGCCATCTAGCTCTAGGCTAAGAAAACAAAAATCAAATCTGTGGTCATTATAGTAATAGAACTATAAAAAGGAAAAATAATATAAGTATCAAAACTTAAATGAGGAAGAAAGTGATGGTAGTGACTGTAGGCTGATAGCCTTTCTTTTTAGAGCTGGGGATTCAGAAAGAATCATATAGCTGGTCAAATAGCATACATAGAGATATATGCAAAGATAGAAATAAAAAGATTAGATCTAATAAAATGTAATCAACCAATTGTAAAGAGAAGGATGGCGGGAAGGCAAGTGAGAAGAAGTGAAAATATAGGCCGGAGTGGTAGCTCACACCTGTAATCCCAGCACTCTGGCAGGCCAAGGTGGGAAGATCACCGTAGCCCAGGAGTTCAACACCAGCCTAAGCAACATAGGGAGATCCAGTCTCTACAAAAAATAATTTAAAAACTTGCTGGATATGGTGGTGTGCACCTGTGCTCCCAGCTACTTGGGAAACTGAGGTGGGAGGATCACTTGGGCCCAGGAGGTGGAGGCTGCAGTGAGCCATGATCATGCTACTACACTCCAGCCTGGGTGACAGAGTGAGACCCTGTCTCAAAAAACACAAAACGAAACAAAACAACAAAAAACAGCTATAACCTGAAAACGAAGACAGTAACTTCTTTGAAGTAATTATGGAATGTCTGCAAAAAAAATTAACCAAGTGTTAGGCTACATAGCGAATCTCAATAGCCTCCCACCCTACCAAACTATGCACAGGTACATGTGAGTTAAACAGGTAATAAAGATAAATAATGAAAATCCACTTGGAAATGGTGAAAAGCAGCTAATACCAAGTTTAAGAGAAAATATACAGTTAAAATATTTATATTAATAAACAAAAAAGCCTGGGCATAATGTCTCATACCTGTAATCCCAGAACTTTGGGAGGCTGAGGCGGATGGATCACTGGAGCCCAGGAAGTTGAGACCAGCCTGAGCAACCCCATCTCTACGAAAAATACAACCATTAGCTGAGTGTGGTGGCACGCACCTGTGGTCCAGCTACTTGGGAGGCTGAGGTGGGAGGATGGCTTGTGCCTGGGAGGTCAAAACTGTAGTGAGCTGAGATCTCATTCTGTCATCCAGGCTCCACTTCAGCCTGGGTAACAGAGTAAGATCCTGTCTCAAATATATATAAACATATAAATAAAAACAAAACAAAATACTGAATAAGTATACAAATTTACACAAGAAAGAAGAACAAAATGAAACTAAGCAATATAAAATAAGAAATAACTGAAAAAGTTAAAAAAAATTAGAGGGCAGAAATGTTGTAGAATTTAAAAATACAAGAGATTGTTATTTTTAAAAATAGGATAAATAACAAACACAACTAATAAAGAATGGGAGGTCCATATACACACATGCACATATACACAATGAGAAGGGGGAAATAACCTCAAAACAGAAAATGAAAATACATAAAAGATTGCTATCATTCACATTAACTTGCAAATACATTTGAAAATCTGTAAGAAATTTATTGGTTACTAGAAAAATGCAATTTATAAAAACTGACCCAGATGAGCAGAGTATATAAATATCTTAACGGGTAAAAATTAAATTAAGTGATTCCTCCTCACACTCTCTTATACCTTTGAACAAGCACCAATCTTAGGTAATTCCCTGGTGAAATTAAATTGTAAAGAGTAAATAGTTTCAATACTATGTCAAATTTGAAAATTTGAAATTACAGATACCTCCAATACTATCGAAACAGATCAAAAGCATAGAGAAAGAATACAACCTTTCAAATTATTTATATGAAGTCAGTATAATATGGATGCCCAAATTCAATGAAATAGCCTTCTCCTACAACCACAAAGGGCTAGTACTTGAGAAAACTGATACTGGTGCACAACCTTCAATACTATCACAACATATTTCTTAGACCTATACAAATATGTTTATCTAAATCACATGGAAAAATAAATGTGCACAAATAGAAAATTCTTAGGAAAGAATTTAATGAAGAGGGAGTGAAGAATGGTTTTATTATAAGTCTACTGCAATTAAAATATTGTTGCTCTGTTGCACTAAAAGATCAATGGAACAGCATACAGTCTAGACAAAAATCCAGATATATATAGGAGTTTGGTTTATGATATAAGTGGCATGCTGAATCAGCAGAAGAGATTAAATGGTGTTGAGATGACTGGGAAACTGTCTGGCAAAAATTCAGATTTGATCTCTATCTATTCTCTAACCAAATAAATACCAGTTAAAAACACTAGAAATGAATAGGAGTGTGTGTGTGCGCGTGCATGCGCACTATGAGAATCCATAAAATGAAATATTCATAAGTTGAATAGGTAAAAATCTAAATTTTCTTCTTGGCAAAACATGTCACTAAAACGCCCTAAGATAAATGGCAAATGAGAAAAATAATATTGGCAAATTCTATCACAAAGGGATACATTTTCCAATATGGAAAGAGTTTCAGTGAATCAAAAGAATACCAACAATCCAAGAGAAAAATGGGCACAAAACACAATGAGAGTTCATAGAAAATGAAATGTAAATAACTTCAAAGGCTCCTATTTGTTACAAGAGCTTTATAAATTCTAAAAGTACAGATACCATTGTTCATCTATCAGATTGGTAAAAATCTAAAAGACATACATATGTGAAGAATTGTGTATCTTCTTGCACTCCTGGTGGGAATACAAATTGATAGAACTTCTATGAAGGGCAATTTGGCCATCTTTATTAAAAAAAACATGTTGACCCAAGGACCTAGCAATTTTACTGCTAGGAATTTATTCTATAGAGTACTCACCCATTAGTTCGATGACACGTGCACACAGATATTCTTTGCATCATTGTTTATATCAGTAAAAATTTAGAAACAACATAAATTTCCAGCCATAGAAGAATGGTTAACTACATTACATAAATCCAAATAAAGGGCTCTTAAGTAGCCACTAAAAAAGAATAGTCAATTCTATATGTGCTAATATGGAATGAGCTCCAAGTGAAAAAGGCAAGGTGGATAACAGTGAATATTTTGTGTTTTTATTTTGCCAAAAACATTCGCTGAGCTCTCATGTGAAGGTTCTGAGTTTTTTACTTCAACTATCTGCCATCAACAAATGAAAAATGTATGTTATAAAAACCAGGGAAAGATATATCTACTTTTCCTTTTCAGAAAAGGTGTAAGAACCCTGGCTTGTTTTTCAATCGATTTATATGTCATGGCCGATTTTATGATAATGAGAGTTTTTAAAATCTGGACATATGTTATAAATAACCAGAAGTGCACGTCCTTAATCACATATAAAACTGTGAACTCCTTGTTGATAAGAATTTTATCACCTTCAACTTGCTCTGTAATAAACTGTAAGATAAATGATTCTGAGATTTACTGCATAGTAACTTAGAGATTTATTTTTCAAGTCAAGGCCACTGTTAAAAACCAAGTCACTTGAGAGGGTGTATGTTATGTATTCTCAAGAAAGGTGCTGAATGTTGTTTGCCTTGTACCTTGCTTCTGAGGACTTAAGGACTTGACAAATGTCCTTATAATTATTAATATACCTATATGACTAAATCACCATGATTAAAAGGCTTCAACCTCAAAGAAATCTTTAAATTGGACTACAAATACAGTTTGGATTTTATTTAAAAAAGGGTTCTATTTTCCATTTAACTAGATCATTTATACCCAATGAAAATAACACAAATAAGGGATAATTTTATTTTAATTTATGAATTTCAACTTTTTATATTTCAAATGAACTGACAGAGATAGTCTGTCCTCGTACGGAGATAATCACCACTGGTGCTTCCTAGCCTTACTGCTGCCTAAGATAAGGACATCAGTTTGAGGCCAAGGTTGTCCAAGGTTGAGGCCATCATAGGAGTTGGATACGTACTTAACCCTCCTTTATTAGTTCCCCTTTTCTATTAGGACAAAGATTTAGCTTTCAAAATGAAAACATGATTCCCAGTTAAGCAACTTGTGGATGACTGTGTACATTCATTTGAACTCTTTAAAGAAGATCTATTCCATTTCAGGCACTGTGTTTGGTAGACATAAAGGATAAAACAACAGTGGCCTTACCCTGCTGAAAGTCTAGTAGGAAAGACTGCAAGTTGATTAGTAAAGTCAGCATAATGTTAAACTGAGAGAACTGAGAAGCAGCCCCTGTCATAGTGGCCAATGGCTGTCATGCCATTACAGCATTTCATATGCTATTTCAATCTCCGTAACACCCCTGTGAGGTTGGCATCATCAAAATCAGAGCAGTCATAGTAATACTGAGCCCAGGGAAAGCAGTACCATCAGATCATCTTGGTAATGTACCATATAGGGTAATATCAGTAACAGTACTTGTCACATGACAATTTTCTATTTTAATTACCTTTTTGCTAATTAGGTGCTAAGCTCAGTGTATATGTTGTCAACATGTACATTTCACACTATTTTAAATGGCGCCATTAATTTTTTTTTTTTTTTTCTGAGACAGAGTCTTGCTCTGTCATCCAGGCTGGAGGGCAGTGGTGCAATCTCAGCCCACTGCAACCTAGCCTCCTGGGTTCAAGCAGTTCTTCTGCCTCAGCCTCCTGAGTAGCTGGGATTACAGGCATCTACCACCACACCCAGCTAATTTTTGTATTTTTAGTAGAGATGGGGTTTTGCCATGTTGGCCAGGCTGGTCTCAAACTCAAGTGATTTGCATACCTCAGCCTCCCAAAGTGCTGGGATTACATGCACGAGCCACCACGCCCGGCCAAAATTTTGTTTTTCTAAATGTCTATACTCCCTTAATGTTGATGATTTCGGACACATCCCTGCTGACTCTACTTTTATCTCAGGATAATTTTGCAGCTGAGTCAAAGAGGGTCAGGATCGTTCTGTCACTTATCCTAAACCCTTTGCTCATAAATAGCAGAGTGATTTGCACCCTCATTGACTTGACCCAGAAGGCCATGCTTTTTCAAGACAACATCCCCCAACAGGGAAATGAAATTCTATAGCTCTAAGATGGGACCCAACAAGTACAGTGAGCATCTTCCTTTTTTTCCTTTAACTTAGCAACCTTATTGCACATAGTCTAATTTAGGGTAATTCTTTCCAAGTGCCTTTACTGTTTTGCAACTTGAGGTGTATGTAGCCATCTTTATATAAATACCAAGAGTAAATTTGTTTTGGCACTGTGAGAGTGAACCTGTACAGAACTGCAGTGGTATAGCCCAAACCTTAAATAAACAAATAACAACAACAACAACAAAACCTTTGGAGTTTATGATTTTGGAGTTCTTGAAATAAAAATAATTTTATTTTAGCTATATACAAAAAGCAACCTTAGTTTCAAATTGTTACTTCAAATAAACACTTATGTTTTAGATCTCTTACCCAATAACTTTTTAAAATATAATATCCATAAGCACTTATTATATTTAAAGCATGTAGTTGTAAGCTCTATAAGTACAAAGCAAAAACAATTCTAGAATAAACACCAAAACATCACTCAACCATTCATTAATACTAGCTAGGAAGACAGAGCATGTAGCTAGGAGGCAAGTCTTTTTTCTGGGCTTCAGTTTCCTCAGATATAAAATGAGATAACTGAACTAAGTTATCTGTAAGCCCCCTTCACACTTAAGGGTTCCCTGAACCTATTGTTATTTAACACACCAGCAAACTCCAACTGGCAGCAGGTCAAAATATATTTGGGTAGACTAAAACACAACTGCCCCCTCCCTCCTTCAAAATAATCTATCTGAAGAAGCCTTCTCCATCCCACAATAAACACTAATCTGATTTCACTCCAGGTTTAGACTGTCCTTTGTGTTATACTAGGAATTTGTACATCACCTTGGCAGTCCTAGAAACTGCCATGTGAAATAAGCCAAAAACCTTTCTTATGAAATAATTTAATCATCCCCTACTACTCAACTTCCCATCTCTACAAAAGGAATTTTTCCCAACCAATTTGATCTTATTCAAAGAATGGAATGCCAAGATTGGAAAGCAGTGGCACCAAAGAACGATACAGTTTAAAATTTGAAACTCAAGATTCCCATTAAAATGGTATAAACTACAGAAATACATCTGGTATTACTAATGAAACAAACTCACACAAAAAGCATTATCTTAAACTTTTTTTGACAGTCTAAAAATTAGCCTGGCTACATATCAAAGATGTATTTGTATTGTCATATTAATGGAAAACATAGTATTCTTCAGAAACCGTTTTATCCTCAAATCTACAAATGAAGGCTTTATCAAATAGTATTAATTGTAAACTGAATCCAGCACACCCCTATTTGTACAACATCTGTATTCTCTTCCCAATCACCTAGAAAACAATGATACATGTAGACTTTGTGTCTACCGTTGGGAGAGCTGGCTTAGCAGATGAACTTAAACAAATAAACTGAACAAAAGTCTATCCTAACTTTATCATTAACACATTCATTCAACAGACATTTATTGAATACTTACTATATGCCAAAGTTCCTATCTTTTTTTTCTTTTTTTGAGACAGAGTTTCACTCTTGTCACCCAGGCTGGAGTGCAATGGTATGATCTCAGCTCTCTGCAACCTCTGCCTCCTGGGTTCAGGTGAATTCTCCTGCCTCAGCCTCCCAAGTAGCTGAGATTACAGGCATGCACCACCATGCTTATTTTTATTTTATTTTATTTTATTTTATTTTATTTTATTTTATTTTTGCATAATTAGTAGAGATGGGTTTTCACCACGTTGGCCAGGCTGGTCTTGAACTCCTGACTTTAGGTGATCCACCTGCCTCAGCCTCCCAAAGTGCTAGGATTACAGGCCTGAGCCACTGTGCCTGGCACAAAGTTCCTATTTATACTAGAGATACATACATCTACAAGATAGACAAGATCTCTTTTCACATTATTTACATCTTAGCAAAGATGCCAACAATACACAAGTAAAATAACACAATTCCATAAAATTAGAAGTGTTTTACAGAAAGATTGTAAAAGGAATGTAATCAAAAATTTTCAGGGGAGTTATGCTGGGAGACACTCATAGACTGTCACTCTGAAAAAACTTAGGAATGGAAACCTGAATACAGAGAAGAAATCACCCAGGGAAAGTGTCAAGTATAGGCCAGTTACAAAGTTCTTGAGACTGAAGTGAGCTTGGCTCATCTGGTATTAAGCTTTTGTACCTAATACATCCAAATGTATTTTTATTATAATTGTTTTTTAAACTCCCCTTATAATCCTGATGCACAATGAAAGTTGAAAGCCATCACTCTAAATTAATCTATAAATTGCCATATTCTAGCAGTCACACTCTGTTGGGGTTCTTTGACCTAATAGGTAGACTTAGTTCAGGTACAATGGAGTTTAAGAAAGGCCATTGAGTGGGTGTTTGAGGGTGTGAGTTCTGGTCAGATTATTTTCCTGGTTTGAATACTAACTCTCATCAGCTGTGTAGACTTGGGCACGTCATTAAATTCTTTAAGCCTTTGCTTCTTTATATAAAAAATTAGGATACCACGAGCACCTATCTTATTGTTCATTAGGTATTATATATATACTACAGACACACACACACACACACACACACACACACACACACACACACACAAGGCTTATCACCGTACCTGGTAAATAATAACTGATCAGCAAATTCCAGCTATGGTTATTAATTATTAAGTGAACAGCCTGGTCTTTTCATCTACTTTTTATAAACAAACAAATCTAATTTCTTGCTCTCAGGATTAACTTTTAATGCTTTAAATGAGAACGACTGATTGTGATTAGGTTGCTACCAATACAATCCCATATAATTATTTTATTGTTTTTCAAGTTATTAATAAGACAAAATCTACTTATATTTCCTTATTCACCACCATACTTAGGAAAGCTTGCTATAAACATTCTTTAAGGTTCTTAAGAGATATGTAGACTTATTTTTAATACATAACAGGAAAAATATTACCCTCTTGAAAATTTGCAAAGTCTAATGGAAGAATATTCAATGTCACTAAGAATGCATTCCAAATTGGTTTGCAAAGGAAAATGAAGATAGCTTGATGTGGCAGTGGGCATCCTCCTGACAACTATCCTCCAAGACCAAATAACTTGAAGTGATTTAAGTCATAACCCTTGTCACAATGGGACTTCCACAGGAATTGTGTCTTGGGATATCAATGTTCCAGTATAATTTCCATAAAGCATACTTTATCAAAGATATAAATGCTCCACTTCTGCCTCCTTCCCACACACATGGATGAGTAACGGCTTCCCTGACTGTAATGATCCACATTGGATACACACTGACTTTCTTAGAGTCTAGGTTTATTTTCCAAACATTAATAGAAAATGAATAACAGTACATTATCAACAAAAAGCATAACACCTACACAATGTTGAAGGAATATTTTGGTTTGCTGATCTAACAAATGTTACAGTTCTGAAGGCAAAGAATATTTTTACTAAAATACCAAAGTCTCACAACTTTAAAAAAGTCAGAAGCAGATTACCATGAAGATGTCTATAATGCTATTACAACACATTTAAAAGTATTACTTTTTATTCCAAAAAATTCCAAAGGCTATAGCTATCATTTTCAAAATATGTTAGTTTCTATATATTTTATTAATCCTAAAGTCACCTGAACATACAGGTAGTATCATTTGTCCAGTGCGTGCCTCTTCGACAGTTAAGAGCAGGACGAGATTAAGCCAATGGCACTCTAAGGGATTCTACTACACCCACAAAGGTAATATATCAATTAAATCCACAAATCAAAGCAAAGCCGTTCTGAGTTTCTATTAGTATGTTTTAGAAACTAAAAACTCTGACCAAAATTCAGTTATTAGCTGCAAATCCTTTGGTAGTTCAATAATGTTTTTAAGCATTACAGGGAAACAAAAACTATAGAGTTTTAATGGTCCAACATTTAACTGACAATATTTGACTACAGATGGATGGTAAGTCATAAAAGAAATTGAGTTAAAGATATGGTATTTTTAGTCATTCTTTTCTAGGTAGGAGGAATCAAGTAGCTTAGGAAGAGAAGATATAAGCTCAAGAGCACACAGACAGATTGTTGAAACTGAAATAATTAAATTATGCAAAGATTAAGAGGACAGATTGTCAAAAAATGTCTGCATTTGGCACTACAGAACAGTTGACTGGGTTAAATGAGGTTAATATAACTTGTCATGCAAGACTGGTAATGAACTTTTCTTATCGAAAACCTAATTATAATATTGTACAGTAAGACATATTACATGCAATCTTAAAGTTGTGACATAGCTTAGACTATTAATCTTTGATACAGAAATATATTTTGCCAAGCACAAAAAGAAAAGATCCTATTATATTCAAGTAACAGAAACTGAAGCTTTACTTAGTCCAAAATATGCCCCTAGTTGATTCCCCCAACAACTCTGGAAGGTTAATGTGATTATCCTCATTTTATAGATCAGGAAGTAAAAGCTCAAAACTGAAAATAACTTGACCAAAGCTACACCATTCATGATAGACAAAGCTGTGATTTGAGTACAACACTTCTAAACCCATACTACCTAATTTAGTCATATCTAATTTACTGTCATATCCAGTAAGGATGAACACCCACTAGCTGTAGACCTGTTAACAATTTATTTCTTCTACCAGATTCTAGTTACATAATGTTCAAAGAGAGTTAAGAAGAAGAAAACAATTGAATAAAGTGGAAATTACAAAGGATTTTGAATCTGAGCAACATGAACTAATATCGAATAAGCAGTGCACTTGGGAAAAATTATTTAACCTTGGTAAGCTTCAGGTAATGCTTCTTTGAAATTAGAATAATAATGTCTCTCTTATAGAGCCTGTGATGGTTAACTTCATGTGTCAACTTGACTAAGCCATGGGGTGCCCAGATAGCTGTTCAAAAATTATTTCTGGTCCTGTCTATGAATATGATTCCAAAAGAGATTGGCATTTGAATTTGTGGACTGAGCAAAGCAGATTACCCTCCTCGATGTGGGCTGGCATCATCAATCCACTGAAAGCATGAATAGAACTAAAAAGAGGAGGAAGGTTGAATTTCCCTTTCTGCCTGACTGCTTGAGCTCTGAAACACTGACCTTCTCCTACCCTCAGCCCTCTTGATTCTCAGGCTTTTAGAACCCAGCTGGAATCTACACCATCAGTGCTCTGCGCCTCAGGCCCTCAAACTATACCACTGGCTTTCTTGGGTCTCCTGCTTGCAGGAAGCAGACGGTGGGATCTCTAAGCCTCCATAATGGTGTGAGCCTATATTATATATATATATTTAGAGAGAGAGAGAGAGAGAGAGAGAGAGAGAAAGATGTCCATTCATCCATGTATCCAATTGGTTTTACGGTGTGTGTGTGGGTATGTATGTGTCCAATTGGTTCTAATCGGTTCTTTGGAGAATGGTGACTACTACAGAGCTATTTGATAAGCTCTGAAAGCTTATAAGAGAGACAGTGTAGTATAAACAGTATTGAACGCAATGATCTATAGAAGCCCATTAACACACTCAGGCACTAACAAACATATGCTTCTGTGTATCCCTGCTATAGATAGAATCATGTGGAAAAATAAGGCTCGGCTACTCCATCTGTGTTAATTAGAAGAGGAAACTCATATGTCAATATATTGAATCAAATATATCAAGAATACATACTTCAATATTTGGCCAAAGAAAACACACATATGTTTAAAAAAATCCTAACGAACATAAAGCCTACGAATATATCATTTTATCTCCCCATCTTTTGTTCTTAAGAAAGTTATTATATAACTGCCTTCCTTTGACTAGCCTTGGAGTAAAAGGGTACGAGCCCTTTTTCAGTGAAAAATAGCTTATACCTGTTGTATCTAATGCAACGTGGGTATATGTCAATACAGAGAACACTTAACGACTTGAAATATTGCTTCCTTACTATTTGAAGTCTGCTAAGATCATCTATATTTCAGAGATTTATGAGGTTGAATAAAAAATTTTAAATCATGTGGAGATTATGTTGACTCTGTCTGCTGAGATGTGAGTAGATGAATCACCACAGCCCTTCTAAGGAAAACATTTACTCCATATTTTCTATGACATTCCAAAACTAGGGAACTATTGAGTGTTTGGAGAAATTGTTGGCAGAGGAAGCAAGAAAGTCCTTAAACCTTCTATCAGACCCTATAGGACTCACCTCCCTATGGACTCACCTCCCTACAACCCCACTACACATCAGTTTACTTCTCTGACTGTATTTCTGACTCCTCTTCTACCTATTCAGCTCTAGTTATACTGGCCTCCATGTTATTCTTTGAATACACCAGGCACACTTTGGCCTTGTAACTCTTTTCCTGGAGCATTCTCCCCTAAAATATCTTAATGGTTCTGTCATCCCTTTCAAATCTTTGCTCAAATATCACTTCAATTCTCAATGAATTATTCTTGACCCATTCAAATTAAAGTGTTATCCTTCATCTTACAAGGGACTCCCAATCCCTTCATCTGCTCTTTAAAAAAATTTCATAGCACATCATCATCTTCTAAAATCATTTATGATTTTTCAACTATGATCATTGTTTATCATTTATCTCTCTCTACTTACACATAGTAAGTGCTCAATATTTGTTGAGTGTTAAATGCAAAGTAAGTTATGCCATATAGAGTATTTCCTTAACCCACGTCATAACACCTCTGCCCCAACTCCAGAACACTACTTATCCTTCTCACTCTTTCTAATCTCAATGTTTTTGCTCAGAACATATTTGTATCTAAAATTGTCTCAACACTTTACTTCCACAAAATACAATCTGTCTTTAAGGCCTGCTCAAGTTCCATCTCCTCTGTGAGGCCTTCCTAGATTCCACTGGGTAGGATCAAATCTTCTTCATTCCCTTCATAACTGGACCTGAGTTGTACCATTTAACAAAGTTCTTTCTGTGTCTCTTTCTCGAGCTATCCAAGAAGCTACAGTCTTTTAAACACTTGTTTATTTTCTTTTTAGAAACTAGCACAGTGCCTGACACTTCTAAGGTTCCCAATTATATTTATGAGACTGGACTGGACATAATTTTATGGTTTTGTATTGCTGGTAGACAAAATATTAGACCTAAGCAAGCCTTATATTTTGTAGATAATAATACTTAACTCCTCCCAATTCAATGTAAATCAATTCAGCCTAATTAAATGGGAAGTTTCCTCCTTGCTGTCGTTTCACTGAGCACAGAGGTGACTATGGAAACCCAAAATTCCCCTTAAAGCTCAGGGAAAATTATACCAAGCTTCTCCATCAAATAAATGAAAATTTTACTTTCTGATGTATTAGTCTTGGTTTTGTAAATATCCTTCAATTTACTTCTCACAGGTCTAATTGTTTCTTTAGGAGGAAACTCCAACTACTTTCACGAACTCCAAGCCCTTCTCTATCTCTTGGTTACCTCTGGTTTGGCCTCACCTTCTGTCACATACCAACACAACATTCTTCACTGCAGTGATAACCAAACCTGACTCCAGAGCTCATCTGAGCCCCATGGACCCTAGAAGGTCAATGAAATTCTTTTAGAGATCTATGACGCCCTGAACTTGCAGTCAACATTTGTGAGGGTATGAGTATGTGTATTTTCCTTGAGAAAGGACCCATATCAGATTATTAAGGGGTCCAGAACTCCAAGAAGATTAAGAAACATGCACCTTACTTCCTGATATCTGTTGTTACGTCCTTGAATAAACCCTAAGCCTTGAAAATAATATAAGGGCTTTGCTGGGTTAAAACTCTTCTAAGTGTGGGGTAACTGAAAGAAAAACAGTTTCAGAAATGCAGATTCAAGATATAATTACTGTGTACTGTCTTAGCATACCATGCTAAGGAAACAGTGAATAGGAGTACCTCTGATTACTCAAACTCTAGAGAAAAATGGGATTATTTTTAAAAAGAGGTTAGGTTTAGACTTTAAGAAAGATGCTACATTCTAGTAAACCTATGTCAAAAGGAGAGTCTTAATAATTTAATATACTGTATAGAGATAAGTGAAATACCTAAAAGTTTACTATATTCATATTACTGAGTTACTGCAGATGCCAGATAATCATTTAGAACAGTTTAATTAAAAGTAAATAGCAGCCGGGTATGGGAGCTCGTGCCTGTAATTCCAAAACTTTGGGAGGCCAAGGCAGGCTGATCACCTGAGGTCATGAGTTCGAGACCAGCCTGGCCAACATGGTGAAACCCCGTCTCTACTAAAATAAAAAATTAGCCAGGTGTGGTGGTGTGTTTCTGTAATTCCAACTACTGAGGAGGCTGAGACAGGAGAATCACTTGAACCCAGGAGGTGGAGGTTGCAGTGAGGTAAGATCGTGCCACTGCACTCCAAGCTGGGTGACAGAGCATGACTCTGTCTCAAAAAAAAAAAAAAAAAAAAAGAAGAAAAAGAAAAAGAAAAAAGGAAATAGCTGCATTGTGGATTAGAGAAGGATGAGTTCATAATAAAATACAATGCTTCCGGCTTTTCTGGCTTTCTGGTAACCTGTAGGTCTCATACCTACCATACAATAATAATTAACAGTCATCATGACAGACAGGATATGACAACAGACAAAGATAAGAAAAACACTGTAGTTTCAATCATTTAGATCACTAGTTTTTCTGTATCATGCATTTTATTGTACTCTTATTTAAGAAAATGGGTATACTTTATTTTACATATATAGCTTCATGCAATATTACTAGAAATATGTAGTTAGCAAGAAAACAACGGTCCTCAAAACTAAGAGGATTTGAGAATCAAAATTAAATTACACAAGTGGAATTGTTCAGAGAACTTATTTGAATTTTTTTAATTTAGAAAATCTCTGCTAGTATCTTAATTTTATTTATGATATTTCATTCATTTATATATTAATCATTTATTTAATAAACTTTCATTAGTTACCTACTATGTACTGGGTTCTGGAGAGATAAAGTGAATAGAATTTGGACTTCCATGTAAGAGACAGGAAAGTAAACAGATTATTCCAGAAAAGTATGGTAAGCATTAAGGTAGAGATGTGCCTGTACAAGATGCTATAGGAACACAAAAGAGGAGCACTTAGGTTGGGTGAGAAGAGGTTTCTTATGGGAGGTGATGGTTCACATGGGTGTTACAGAACAGGAGCAATGGCTGAGGGTCACTAATTTACATAGTGCATGTGGGAAATGTTGCTGGAGTGATGAATAGATCTCAGAAAGTGAAAGAATAAATGTTAGGGAGCTAAGCCAAGGCCGATTTATAAAGGTCTTATGTTCATGCTAATGAAATGGTCCTTGTGTTGAAGGGAGCGGACATCTAAGGACAACTTTAACCCAAAGAGGTGACATGATTAAAAATTCACCTTGGAAGCTTTTTCCAAGGTCACAGTGTGAAGAATAGATTGGGAAGTGGTGAGATTGCAAAGAACATAATCACTCAGGAGCAGATGTGGTGATTTGGACGAGAATAGATGTATATCTGCACTAGGGCAGGATCAATAGTGATAAAGAGGGGAAACAAGATATAGGTAGGTAGGTAGGTAGGTAGGTAGATTGATGAGACTGATGTTGATTAGGGAGATGGAAATGGCAGGATTTAGTGACTGAAGGGATATAGCAGAAGTGACTGAGATAGAGTCATGCTTTGGTATACTGAGTGGTTAACAGTGGTGTTATTTATTAGGGTAGGCAATGTCAAAGAGGAAAATTTGGAAAAGAATGATGAGAGTTTGAAGTGCTTGTGAGATAATCAAATTGAGGTAACAAACAGAGAGTTGGACATGTGTCTAGAGATCAGCAGAAAGGCCAAAACAAGAGATATACCTTGAGAATCATCAGTGTGGGTACATTAGTGGAAGCCATGGGCGAGGATAAGCACATCTAAGATATAAAGTAAGATAACCAGAAGATCAAAGACTGAGTCCTGGAGAAAGACCCTACTATTAAAGGAGTGGGTAGCTGAAGAGGGATTTGTAAAGGTGACAGAAATAGCAGAAAGGCCACAGATCCTGGAAAGAGGGATTCTAGAAACCAAAGAAAGAGATTTTTAGTAGCAGAGAATGGTCAATAAAGAAAAAAGTATCAGAATTATCAAGAACTATAAAGATAGAAGTGTAGCCACTGGATTTGGCCACATGGAAGTCAGTGGTCATTGTGGCCAGAAAATTTCAGCAGATAATCCAAAATCCAGCAGGTTCAGAAGTATTAGCTGGGACTCTTTCTATCAAGCAACAGATGCTAATGAGCGTATGCACAAAGGATGCAGGGGCACCTCCTGGCATCCAAGGGGAGCTGTACAATTAAGAAGGCAGGAGCCAAGGCAGCCTCAAGGTGAATATCCCAAAAGATAATTCATCATGTCACCAGTTGGCTGGACAACCACTTCATTTAAAGCCAGTTTGCTGAAAGCTAATTTACCAACCAATTCAATGAATTTACTTGTTTGTTTTAACAATTTGAAATGGTTCACGGAAATTTGTTTTAGATGGACAAGGTTTAACAGCTTGGGAAAACTCCTGCTGTGTTTGAATTGACCAGTTTTCTCTTTTTTCTCTACAATGGCAGTGTCACAAGAGTTGAGTTTACCCCAGATAGTCACTGTTAGAGCCGACGGGAACTCTATGGCTGGAGGAGAGGCAAACGGGGAAGTCTGTACACCCCACAGCCTGCTTGCGCTGTTGCTCCCAGAGAGTAGAGACTGAAGGAAAAAATGGTTGTGTAGAGAATGAGGGGCAGAGGCAGAGGGTAAGAGAAGAGTGTGAGGGAGAGAGGGATATGGCCTGAAAAGTATCTATATAAAGACAGGAGACAATTGTCAGTGATTTTAAGGAGAAGGAGAGTGAGAACAATGAATTTCATTGTTCCGATTGGAACTTCGACTAAATTTTATTTTCCTGTCAACAAAAACAGAGGTGCCAGATAGTATTTGAGATTACATAACCATTATGTTTTGGAATTTTAAAACCTTACCTTTGTAAGCACTACTGATATATTCAGAGATGGTTATTCACTAGAGAACTGCTCTGACTCTTACCTTTGGCAGGAATTGCTTTAATGTGCTCAATTCATTCATAAGTAATCTTTTTGATTCCATTTAATCCATAAGATTTTATACTCATTGGGTCCAACAATATAAAGTTTCATGCATGGAAAATGTGTTTTCATTTAAATAATTACTTAAAGTTTGATGTGTTTCTTCACATACTAAGTCTGATTGATCAAATAATCCTTGTGTCTTATTGTCTTTACACCTGGTCACAGTGTGCATATGTTTATGATAAGGACAATCAGTATAGACCAGCCCCGGAGCCAGGCTGACTGGGTCCAAATCTCAGCTTCACCTCTTATCAGCTGTGTAAACCCGTGGGCAAGTTACTTAACTGCCTATACCTATTTTCACAAGCTGAAATTACAACAATAATATCAACCTCATAGGGTTTGTGAGAATTAAAAGCATAAATATATATACAGCATTTAGAACAGTGCCTGGTCTATAGATAGTAAGCATCACTGAAGTGTTTGCTTATTATTACTGCTGTTTTGTTATGGGTTTTGTTGTTACAGGGTAATAAGTGGGGATGAAAAAAGCAGCGAGACATGGTTTCTGCCTCAAAGTAGCTTAACATCCATAGAAGATAGGACATTTCACACATGCACACACACACTTCTAACAGCATGTTGAGTGGGACCTTTTATATTACAACTAAGGTCCAAAATGGTATAACAACGTGCCACCAGGAGTGTTCCTCTTCTCAAGGGGTCTATCAAGAGGTGGCAGAACCAGTTTTCCACGCACCAGTCTTTCTCCCTGCCCTCTTTTCCCTCAATCTGTAGAATGAGGAACCTAAAGGGTAGCTCAGATTTCCTGAGTGTGCGCTATTTGTGTTGAAAGGTCACTCATCATTACCCTAATCATGAGAGAGAGGCATAAATTATTTCTGAAGACAAGCATTTCAGAGGATACTCATTTACAGCCATTGGTGAGAAAGCCTGGCTGGTTGATTCCTAAGCCAGAGTTGAGCATGGTAAAACAGTTTGTAGGTGAGGTTAATGTCTATCCCCAGGAATGTGGGACAAACTATAGAACCTGGTAGTCTCCACCCATTCGAAGATAGAGTTGTCTGACAGCAGAAAGGCCTTCAGAGCAGCCTATGTCAGCAGGTCTTAGAAGGACAAAAGTTCAATACACTCTTGATGAAAATCAGTGAGGCAGTCCCTTCCAGGTTCCCATAGCATGTCAGCGGACACAGAAGAGGATTCCTGTGATTCCTGTGGTCCTCTATGAAGAATCAAGCAAGACAGAGGAAGGACACAGCCAAGTGAGGAGTATTCCATCATGAGAATGAACTGAAAACATGGTCTTCTGGAAGCACTACAGGGAAACTAGCTGACCCACTCTGCAGGAGTCGGCAGCCACAGAAGTCACCAAATGGAGGATGAACAAAGCTATCACCCTCTTTCCCCAAATATAAAGCAGCTACTCAGAAAGCCATTCTCTCAGCAGAGCATGAGGTGGAACCAGAAGGAAACGAGCAGCCCAGTTATCTAGCAGGCTCTTCTTCCACGACTTCTGTCTCTCCCTAGAGCTTAGGCCTAGTCTCTCTAAGGGATTAGGCCTTGAAAAAGAAGAGGAAGTGAGGATCTAGAGACCATATTGTCCTACTGTCACCAAAGTCCAAGCAGCCAAGGCCATAGTCTACTACTGGGAGAAAAGAAGAGAACTTCAAATCTGACCTGACACTGGAGTATAATATAAGCAGGAATGACCAGAGGTTACAGTATCTTGCCAAAATGGACTAGAAGGAAATTCAACATGGAAATTTTAAAGCTGTGACTGAAGAAATAAAAATATAATGTTTTTGTCTCCATGTATTTCATGGCCATGTAGTCTTTAAACAACGTTAGAAAGGAAGAATAAAAGGACTAATGGACTGTTAATGTAGAAGCTCAAATGTGAAACTGAAATACATTATATCTTTGATTACGTAAAAGTAAATTTAGCTCTCTTATCAAACATAAGTTATTTAGAAATAAGAGTGACAAAGTATAATAATGGGATGCATAGATTGAAATTTCATACAAATAACCTAGAATCATTCACTTGTAATTAATAAAAGGCATGATGAGAAATAATATGAAAATGTCCCAGGTACTGTCAACACCATTATAATTTCTTACTATCTTGTTTGAGAAAAATGAGGTAATGGCAGAAAGGATTCAAGAGCTCTGTTGAATGTTCCATTTTTGTACAAAAACAAACAGAAAAAGAGTTACCAAAAAAAAGTTTTAAAAATTCATTGAAACCAATATTTCGAAAATGTGAATCAAGTAAAATATGTGAGATATTTATTATTTAAAAGACCATTTGTGCTAGTCAATGGTTGGTTTAAAACCACAGAACAACATTCAGATCATTCTGAAAAGCATGTATTCATTTTAGCCAGAACTACCTAGATGATTTCTTCATTTATCTTATTTGCCTTATGTGATTTTCCTCAAGACCACTAGGTATGAAATGAAGACACTGTTATCTTTTATTTAAAATGTACTATTATTTTACTCTGGTATCCCAAAATTGTACACTAGAAGACATGAAGGACACAAGCGTGAACTTACCAGAATAATGCCTGCCTCATTCACACAACCAATCAAACAACAACATATCACACCCTTCTGCAAAAAAACACACTTCTTTCTCCCATGAGACATTTCATTTTCCATTATTTATTGGTACCCCTCTGCCACATAGTAATAACATTCCTAAATTCAACAATCTTCCACTCCTTACAGAAGTTAATTTAGAACCAAATTAGCAGCTTCCAGAATTCTGAGAGCCATAGGCTCATGGTGGAGGTTTCAATTACAACTCCCTCATGACTTCAGCCCTTGCACAAGCTGATGAGAGCTCTTTTTTAAAAAAAAGTTTTTCTTGCTAGGAGAGGTTTGCCCAGACTTTCCTAATAAACCAGTTATGGAGGGAATAATGACAGCACAATTTAAAAAAAATCCAGCAGCATTCTAGTTGCATTCTACAGAAGAAAATTTCAAAAATTACAAAGGGTAAGTGGAGGGCAGGGTGTAGAATAAAGAAAACTGTAATTTTTGTTTTATAATGCCAATAGCTGTATAATGTTATGACAAATCAACTGCTAAAGAATTATTTTTGCTGAATCTAAAAATAAGTGCACTATGACATACCTCATTTAGAGGAAGAACTGTTATTATCTTAGAGAGAATACAAAATGGCTTGCCAAATTTTTACTTTAATAGGTAAAGCAAAACAAGTTAAAAACTATCACCCATCATCATATCATGACATCTTTAGTAGTATTATTTGCATGATAATCTTGCCAAAATGGACTAGAAGGAAATTCTAGAAGGCTTTGAAGCCACCAGACACTTCTGTTTCAAAGTGGTATGCACAACTGGAATGACTTTCTGAATATGCATCTTATCTGCTATCTTCCTTTGTAATCTAGTTTTCACTCTTTTGTACTTGTTAGTATCAAAGAATAAATTAGGACAGATCCTATACCATCTGTTCTCTCTGAATCCAGCCCCTACCTTCCACTTGGGTAGAAAGGAAGACAGTAGTAAGTACTGAACGGAGATTTAGAATTACTGAGAGTTTAAATCAGAACCTCTGTTCACCATTCTTGGCAATGTCAGCATCACTAAGCACCCTTCTTTAGCCCTGACATTTTTCTTTTTTTTTTTTTTTTTAAGGTGTGATTTATTTATTTATTTATTTATTTATTTATTTATTTATTTTTGTTTTTTATTTTTTTATTTTTATTTTTATTTATTTTTTTATTATTATTTTTTTATTATTTTTTATTTTTTTTTTTATTATTACTATCCCTGACATTTTTCTACATGGATTACACTGTGTAACTGACAGTAGATACTTCCTAGGGGTGTTGCCATAATTTTAATAACATTATTATTTATATTTTTAAAGGTCATAAATATAAATGCCTACCAAAAAGAAGTAACTTAAATGAGTGAGGATACCTGGGTAAAGATCCAGAGATACTTTTAAAAATTGCATTTGATATGTAAGAATATAGTTCACTGATACAAAAGAAGAAGCTAGCTTCCAGATTTTGTTGAAATAAACTGTCCTCTCCTGCTGTTTCATTTCCTCATAATTAACAAAGCCATGGATATAAAAAAGCATTTCCAATAAAGCAAGCAATGTAAGAGCACAGATGAAGGGCAGGTTGTATCAGGCATTGGCATCAGGGAGATAATAGGGAGTGGTGAGAACTGTGGTCTACTAGGGAGTGGTTACCTGTATAAATAAAGTCATCATTGCTAAGTTCCAGCTGATTCTTGCCATGTTGTAAAGTGAATCATCTGTTGCTCCTTGTTTTTGTGTGTGAAATCATCCAATCTTCATATGTTGACTAAAAAATAATTTTGTTTACAGGCAGTATGTATTCCAAATAAAACACATCTCCAGGTCAAATGTGACCCTCAGGCCTCCAGTCTGCAATACATGCTCTTTATATTCACCAACGGTTGGAAACAGGACTCTCAACATTGATTCTACATAAGAAGAGACTGAGAAATGCAGCCTTGGAAGGCGAGAGTATGTAGGTAAATGTTATTTATATGCAAAAGACAAATTATGTGCAGAATGTGGCTATGCAAACAGATTAAGGGTAGATCAGGAAAGTCAATTGAAAACTATGTCTTGATAGAACCAAAAAAACATATTTCGAGGCAGGTGCTCTAATTAGTTGTTCTGTTTCATTTAGGCAGATTTGATTCTTTACTGATGTTATTAAATCTATGGATATTTTTCTTATTAGGAAGAGAGGCACGGAGGAAAAATATATACTGATATAAAAATCCAAATTCGGGTCCAGGCACGGTGTCTCACGCCTGTAATCCCAGCACTTTGGGAGGCTGAGGTGGGCGGATCACCTGAGGTAAGGAGTTCGAGACCAGCCTGGCCAACATGGCGAAACCCCTTCTCGGTTTAGTATAAAAATATAAATTTTTAGAAATATTTTTTATATTTTTATATTTTTTATAAAAATTAGCCGGGCATGGTGGTGTGTACCCCATAGTTCCAGCTACTAGGGAAGCTGAGGCAGGAGAATCCCTGGAACCCAGAAGGAAGAGGTTCAGTGAGCCGAGATCATGCCACTGCACTCCAGCCTGGGTGACAGAGTGAGACTCTGTCTCAAAAAAAAAAAAAAAAAAAAAAAATCCAAAGTCAGACTTTACTGCTTAATTTCTAATTTCCAGTGGCAACTAGGAAAGAAGATGGTGAGAGCTGCACAATGGAAAATAAGAGGAAAGAAGCATAGGAGAAGAAATTGGAGGTAGAGAAGTTTGAAAAGATTCTCTAGTACTGTTTCTGTAAAATTAATGACTCAGGGGGAGAAAGTAACAAGGGCCAATGAACTAAGTTACAGCAGAATAGAGAACACGAAGATGAAGGGAAGGGAAGGGACAGGGAATGAGGTGAATAAGATGCTTATGAAACAGAAACCCCAGTATTTAGATCAGGAGTCAGTATTAGGAAGAACGTCTGGACTGCTAATCCTGTGAGTCAGGATAAGTAGCAGCACTGTGGATTAAGCTTAGGTCTTTAGAGCTTTCATCAAGGTATGAATTTTACCAAGAGTTTCCATTAAGCTTCATTTCTTTTAAAATTAGTAAAACAAACCTGTTGTGGGAAGTCTGGGACCCCAAACGGAGGGACTGGCTGAAGCCATGGCAGAAGAAGATTGTGAAGATTTCATGGACATTTATTAGTTCCCCAAATTCTTTTGTAATTTCTTATGCCTGTCTTTACTGCAATCTCTAAACATAAATTGTAAAGATTTCATGGACACTTATCACTTCTCCAATCAATACCCTTGTGATTTCCTATGCCTGTCTTCACTTTAATCTCTTAATCCTGTCAGCTTAGGAGGATGTATACTGCCTCAGGATCCTGTAATAATTGCATTAACTGCACAAATTGTACAGCATGTGTGTTTGAGCAATATGAAATGTGGGCACCTTGAAAAAAGAACAGGATAACAGCAATTGTTCAGGGAATAAGAGAGATAACCTTAAACTCTGACCACTGGTGAGCTGGGCAGAACAGAGCCATATTTCTCTTCTTTCAAAAGCAAATGGGAGAAACATCGCTGAATTATTTTTCTCAACATGGAACATCCCTGAGAAAGAGAATATGCGCCTGGAGGTATAGGCTTATAAACAGCCCCCCCCAGGTGCTCCTGTCTCTTATGGTCGAGACTGCAGAGGTGAAATAGACTCCAGTCTCCCATAGCGCTCCCAGGCTTATTAGGAAGAGGAAATTCCTGCCTAATAAATTTTGGTCAGACTGGTTGATCTCAAAACCCTGTCTCCTGACAAGATGTTATAAATGACAATGGTGCCTGAAACTTCATTAGCAATTTTAATTTTGCCCCAGTCCTGTGGTCCTGTGATCTCACCCTGCCTCCACTTGCCTTGTGATATTCTATTACCCTGTAAAGTACTTGATGTCTGTCACCCACACCTATTCGCACACTCCCTCCCCTTTTGAAAATCCCTAATAAAAACTTGCTGGTTTTTGTGGCTTGTGGGGCATCACGGAACCTACCGACATGTGATGTCTCCCCCGAACACCCGGCTTTAAAATTTCTCTCTTTTGTACTCTGTCCCTTTATTTCTCAAGCTGGCCGACACTTAGGGAAAATAGAAAAGAACCTACGTGAATATCGGGGCAGGTTCCCCGATACAAACTTTTACTATGTACTGAGTGTGGGTCAGAAATTAAGTCACAATTCCTGTCTCTAAAATACCTACAATGTGTTAAGGGATAGAAATATAAATAGAAACAATACGGTAATGAGGAAAAGCACAGGGTGTGTTGGAGCTCAAAGAAGGCAACGTGTACCCAAGGCTGCTATACACCATTACTCAGGCTGTGAACTGCATAAAACCAGGAGGTGTCGTTCATATGAGTTGGAAGTAAACGGCTCCTGCATCTGTGTTACGCGGCAGCTTCACACATCTAAGACCAGATTGGCACCACATAAGGCTTTTTATTATTATTTATTTTGGAGGGGGAGGGTGTTAGGGTTTTTGTTGTTTTTGTTTTTAAGACAGGGTCTCACTCTGTCACACAGGCTAGAGTGCAGTGGCGTGATCATAGCTCTCTGCAGCATCAACCTCCTGGGCTGAAGTCATCCTCCTGCCTCAGCCTCCCAAGTAGCTGGGACCACAGATGCACACCACCATACCTGGCCAGTTTTTTTGTTTTTATTTTTGCAGGACGTGTCTTGCTCTGTCGCCCAGGCTGATTTCAAACCCTGGGCTCAAGCAATCCTCCCGCTTCAGCCTCCCCTAAGTGCTGGGATTACAGGAATGAGCCACTGTGCCCAGCGCATAGAAGGCAGGTGTTTTGGAGGAAGTGGCTCCTGAACTGAGTCTTGAAACTGTAGAATTTAGCCAGATAGAGGTTGGTTGGGAGAGGGAAGATCTCATTCCTGATAGAGGAACTTGTTAAAACAAACAAAACAAACAGAATAAATGTCTTTAATAGTTTTATCATTGTCATGTTCAAGGACATTTGCAGCCAAATAGCAAGTCATAATTTTTTTGTTTTTGAGACAGGGTCTTGCTCTTTCACCCAAGCTGGAGTGCAGTGCTGTGATCTCAGCACACTCCAGCCTCAACCTCTCTGGGCTCAAGCAATCCTCCCACTTTAGCCTCTCGAGTAACTGGCACCACAAGCGAGTACCACCATGCCTGGCTAACTTTTTATTTTTTGTAGAAACAGAGTCTCACTCTGTTGCCTAGGCTTGTTTTGAACTCCTGGACTGAAGTGATCCCCCTGCCTTGACCTCATAATTTTTAACTGTGAGGTCTCAGAGGGAAACAATAAAAGCTCTCTCACTGGCACTCAGATTTACTGAACATGCTATGCGTTAGAAAAATCTCCAAACAGAATATCTAAACAGGTTCTTCCCATGGAACTGAAATGAAGTGAATCAGAGTGGAGTGGAGGAAACACAAGAATTAAAGATGGTGTAACGTATAGCAAGGACATCACACATTGAAAACTGTTCGCTTATGCCCATTTACTTTAGAGGTATCTAAAATGCAGAGGCATCTTGTAACTGGTGAAGTAAGTGGGCATAAACACACAGAAAACCATAATAAACTAGAAAAGCCACATAGATCTGGAAAGGAAAGAAACACTAGAAGGGTTTTTTCCCACAACTCATAAAGTCTTCCTCCTCTGAACACCTTTTCACTGAACAACTCAATTGTCAATGATGCCTTATGTACCTAATTTTTTGTTTTCTTTACAACTAGACTATATGTGCCTTGTCACATAACTGCATTTTCCACAATGCCTTGACTATCCCATGCCATGAATGTATGTTAATGATAAGCATAAACAGAAAATAGGAAACTATATCACCAATTGCTTTACATTATATAATTATATATATTAACAATATATGATTGTAACACCACTACCTGCAACTGCTACCATGTATGCAGTATTTATGACTGCTATCAGTATGAATTAGTTACATATCACAGAATCTATTAATACACTGGAAAGGATTTGTGAGTAAAGTAGAGAGGAACAAAGAAAGCAAGTGGTAAATTGTAAACATATGTGGAAAGGCAGTATATTTACCATATATGTCTTATATTTGGTGGCGATGAAAGAAACAAGTTACGCTTTGCCACTATGTTTTGTTCCTTAAAATATAGGTGCAAGTGCTGCCACTACATTTGGTAGAACCAAGATCTATGGCTGTGTATTGAGGGAGGTGCATGAATTCCTCATGGAAAATTTCACAAGGGGTCATGGGGAGAGGTAGATTGCTAACTGCCAGAAAAGCAGCTTTGGAGAGAGGCACATTAGAAACGCCCACATTTCTTTTCTACATTCATCTAAGGTAAGGATGATATTGAAATGGCTGCAGGACACCTTGAATCAACTTTTAATTTGTTTTTAGATTTATTACCTAGGAACACCAATTTATTTCTTGAAACAACTGTTCTTACTTGTGAGCTTTTACTTGTTAAAGGACAATGAATTTGGCAAATAATCGACAATCTGGGCATTGCTTTGCATTATAAATTGCTAAAAATAAAGTCATTCCACATTCACTGCACTCAAAGATAAACCACTCATCTGCAATACAGTGTACTTTCTAAGAAGAAAAATACTCCAGAATCTGCAGTGATAGCCGACTCTGCATATGATTATCTTAGCACCAAGCCAAAGGCATATGTCTGTACGAGTATTTATATATTTCCTTCAAAAATTAAAATAAAGTTAGAAATAAAAAATCATTAGGGGGAGGCATGTCGAATGGGAAAGGTTTCAGACAAAGATAACTCATTAGATGAGCTAAAATGGAAGACATCGCAGGAAAATTAAGTTGAAATGCCCAGCAGGCCTTTGAAAATGGAGTTATGGCGGGGTACAGTGGTTCAGGCCTGTAATCCAAGCAATTTGGGAGGCCAACGCCAGTGGATCACCTGAGATCAGGAGTTCAAGACCAGCCTGGCCAACATGGCAAAACCCAGTCTCTACTAAAAATACAAAAATTAGCCAGGTGTAGTGGTAGGTGCCTGTAATCCCAGCTACTTGGGAGGCTGAAGCAGGAGAATCAGTTGAATCTGGAGGTGGAGGTTGCAGTGAGCTAAGATCATGTCACTGTACTCTAGCCTGGGCAACAGAGTTGAGACTCCATCTCCAAAAAAAAAAGAAAATGAAGTTACAGCTTTGGAGAGAGTTCTGTGTGAAGGCATATTTTGAGGCATCATGAAAATATAGTTGAGTGTTGAAACTGGGGAATGCTAAGCAAAGAACCAGGAGTGTAAACCATGAAAAACTTTTAAAAACATTCATATTTAAAATCTGAGGGTGAAAAAGAAGCCATCGGGTATCTGGAGAAGAATCAGAAGTGTGAATTCAGTATGGTTCGAAGCCAGGGTCAAAGGACATAAGGAGATCCTGATGATGAAAATGCAGCAATCAGATGAGGGCCACACATTAAGTATGAGAGTTCTGAGAGAGGACAGCGCACTTGACCAAAAGCTATTTGGTTGCTTTGTCTTCAGATAGTGAGAGCTAATCTTTAAAAGTAGAAGAGGAGGAGCTGGAGTTACTGGAAATGAATGAGAGACTGAGGGCCTTCCCACAGTTATAAGGACATGGTAGGCAGAGAGAAATTTCATGGAGGCATGACGTGTAGGAAAAAACAAGCTGGGAGGAAGGAAACGACAGATGGAGGTGAACATGACCAGAGATGCAGAGCAGTTCCTGCAAGACTGCCATGATCTTTCCCACACATTTGGAAGTGAGAGAAAGTAGGATTGAGAGACAGAGAAGAAAAATCAAATCATGTGTGGCCTCTGTGAGAGGGAGCTTATGGTTGCATGAAAGAGAAGTAAATGGCTTGTGGAGCTGCATTAATGGACAGACTGAATTTGTGTGAATCTGTAATAGGCTACGATAGGCCTAATTCTACCCTTTCCTCCCTTCAAGAGGAACAGAAGGTGAGAGAACAAGAGCTGAGACAGGTCCAAGGATTATCAGTGCATATGGTTGACTCTGAGGTGGGCAAACAAGGGAACTGTGAGTGGGAAAAATAAATCTCTAACATCATAAAGATTAGAGGCCAAAGACAGGGATGTGTGTGATAGCCAAAAGGCACAGAGTGATGTCAATGTGAAGGCAGGCTAGAGTGATGACTGGTCTTAGTGGTGGCAGGCAGTGTGGATAGTGTCAGAGGGAAAGATCCCCAAAGCAAAGTAACATCCATTGATCAGAGCTAGTTTCCAGGCTACTGGTGAGTGGCTGTGCCATCACAGAAGGCAGAAAGTCAGGTGACAGACGGGTCGCATAGGTTTTCAACATGGAGATCAAAATCATTAAATGAGAAAGGACATGGATAGATTAGGCATTAAAAAATAGAAGCCAGCAGCAGAAATGTTAGCAGCTATGCAGTGCAGTAATTTTATGTCATGCAATGGTAAATATTTCTCAAATAGAGTCATGTACTACATTATGGCATTTTGGTCAACAACAGACCATGTATAGGATGGTCCCATAAGATTATAACGGAGCTGAAAATTTTCTATCACTTAGTGATGTCATAGCCATCTTAATGTCATTGTGCAATGCATTACTCACATGTTTGTGGTGATCTTGGTGTAAACAGACCTACTATGCTGCCAGCTGTATAAAAGGATAGACCCTATGATGACATACGGTACATAATACTTGATAAGAAATGATGATGTTACTAGTGTATGCATATACTGTACTTTTAATCGTTATTTTAGAGGTATTCCTTCTACTTATTTTAAAAATGTTAACTGTAAACAGCCTCAGGCAGGTCCTTCAGGAGGTACCCAGAAGAAGGCACTGTTATCATAGGAGATGACAGCTCCATGCATGTTATTGCCCCTGAAGACCTTCCAGTGGGACAAGATGTGGAGGTAAAAGACAGTGATATTGATGATCCTGACCCTGTGCAGGCCTAGGCTAATGTGTGTGCCTGTGTCTTAGTTTTTAATTAAAACATTTAAGAAGTAAAATAACATACTTTTTAATTGAAAAGGCCTAAGAATAAGGATATAAGGAAAGAAAGTATTTTTGTACAGCTACGCAAACTGTTAGTATTTTAAGCTAAGGTTTATTACAAAAGAGTCAGGAAGTCAAACAATTTAAAAGTTTATAATGTAAAGAAATTAAAGCTGACATTAATTTATCATTGAAAAAATAAAATTTTATAAATTTAGTATAGCCTAAGTATAAAGTGTTTATGAGGTCTAAAGTAGTGTATAGTAATGTCCTAGGCCTTCACATTCACTCACCACTCACCCACCGACTCACCCAGAGCAACTTCCAGTCCTGCGAGCTCCATTCATGGTGCATGCCCTATACAGGTATATCATTTTTAATCTTGGATACAGGAGTTTTACTGTGTATTTTCCATGTTTAAATACATTTAGATACACCAATATTTAACCGTTGTGTTACAGTTGCCTACAGTACCCAGTACTGTAACATGCTATACAGTTTTGTAGTCTAGGAAGAATGGGATAGACCAAGGATCCCCAACCCCTGGGCCATGGACGAGTACCAGTTTGTGGCCTGTTAGAACTGGGACACACAGCACAAGGTAAGTGGCATGCAAGAGAGCGAAGCTTCATCTGTATTTACAGCCACCTCCCATCACTTGCATTACCACCTGAGCTCCACCTCCTGTCACATTAGCATTGGCATTAAATTCTCACAGGAGCATGAACCCTGCTGTGAACTGTGCATGCGAGGGATCTAGATTGTGTACTCCTTATGAGAATCTAATGCCTTGTGATCGGTTTTTGTCTCCCAAAACCCCCAGATGGGACCTTCTAGTTGCAGGAAAACAAGCTCAGGGCTCCTACTGATTCTACATTATGATGAGTTGTATAATTATTTCAATATATATTACAATGTAATGATAATATAAAGTGCACAATAAATGTAATGCTCTTGAATCATCCCAAAACCATCCCTGCCCCCCTACCCCTGGTCTATGGAAAAATTGTCTCCCACTAAACCCATCCCTGGTACCAAAAAGGTTGGGGACCTCTGGGTTACACAGCATAGCCTAGGCTATACCATCCAGGTTTGGGTAAGTATACTCTACAATGTTTGCACAATGACAAAATTGCCCAAGGATGCATGCATTTCTCAGAATGTATTCTCATCGTTAAATGACCTACGACTGTACATTAAAGACCTAAGTTTTCACACATGTAAACAGAATCTTGAGTCATTCATGTATTAGGAAAACCTATCTTTTCACATACTTAAATATTCAACTTAAAGAAGGCCCAACTAATATTCTAAATATTCTAAAATATACTCAACCCAGGCCACAACCTTCACTGGGTTTGTAGATTTTTAGCTCTTGTTTTCCCTACCTTTAGGACTAGCACACTAAGGCTTGGTTTTTAGTCTCTTGGAGCGTCACATAGGGTTATCTTACATTGACTTTCATGAGGTTTTCATTTTCTGTTTACCTTACTTTCCTTAAACTATAGGGAGCTGTATTTTTGTTTTGTATTGAACAGAAAGGATTGCTCAAAGCCAAAAAAAAAAAAAAAAGCTTCTAACAAAACTTCCTTTGCTAGCAGATGTTTTATACTGAACCAAGATACGATCTTAAACTGAGTACAAGCAAAAGCATTATTCAAGCTTAGTAGGTTTTAGGATTTTTTTTCCTTCTAGATAAGATTTTTATCATACAGTACACTGTAGATAAAATATAATAAACCTATAAACCGTCACAATGGCAAGTGTAGCAATGTGTACAAGGTATCACTGTTTTTTTATCAACAAGACCACACTTCAAAGAGGAATTCTTATGCATATGTCATAGTCTTTCACAACTTAAAATACAAGAGAAATAGAGCATATTACAGAAAGCGGGTGCATAAACTCAATATGTTTTGTTTTATTATAAACATAAATATTTTCCATAGTATAGTATAAAAGTATCTGAATAGAGTAAGTAATACAGTCAAGAAATTTGAAATGAAAGGGGGAGTAAAAACAAAATATAATTCTCTCACTTTTGTAAGATCTCAGGCAATTTAACTTTTTGTTCAAACTCATCATTGTTTATTATTATCTAATAAGATTCCTGTCAGGATTTTAGACTAGTCCACATCAAAGATGTTTAAGAGTTAAAAAATCTGACATGTGACATTTGCAAATAATTACTTTAAAAATATTTTTTCTACTGTGGAAACCTCTAGAACCATATTTCTTTAGCATATTATATTTATGGCACTAGTAGTTAGAAGATATTTAAAGAAGTAATCACTAAAACGCAGGAAAATTCTGAGAAGATGAATAATATACCTGAGAGAAAATAGCAATTTTGTGAGATTCATTCCATTCTGAGAGTATATTCTAACTAAACGTGACGCACAAATGTTACAGGATCCTTATCTATTTCAAAGTCATGAGCTCGCTGTTAAAAATGCCTGCCTCCACTCAGACAGGCAGGGATGTTTCTCTTACTTCAGCGGAGTTTCTTCTATTAAGTAATTAATCTATTTTATTCCCACAGTGACTCTCCAGCCACCATAGAACTTAGATGCTACAAATTAACTTTTAACTCAAAATATTTTTAACATTTTAAAGAACAGTTTAAACTTTTATTAAATAGAAATTTCATGCATTACAATGATGAACTTGATTTATAGGGAATATTCAGAAGATATTGAACCTTGATTTTCCCTGGCTCTTTCCTATATTCTAGGTTTCTCCTGTTTTCAAGGAATTAACAGCCCAGTTTGGGAGAAAGAAGCAACACAACTGAAACAGAATAATTTGATGTGAAATGCAGTGTGCCAACTAAAAATGCATTACTGCTTCCAATATGGGAGACTGGGCTGGACCAGTCACACTGGACCTAAAAGAATTGCTGGCACCAGTCGATTATTAAAACGGGCAGGGAAAAGAAAGGGGCCTCACCACTCACGATTGTAAAAGTGAACAGTCAACAAGCAGTCATCCACTTGTCTGGCAAAACAGCAAGGTGTACACCACTTCCAAGGTCTCAGGCAGGGAGTGTCTCCTTATTCTCTCATTCTGGTCTGTGTTTGACTTTGCTTTGCTTTATTAGAAACCAAATTAAAATGCATACTATGTAAAATAAAATGGAAGAGTCACTATTGGCTGGTGAATTTGGACAGTTTAGATAATTCTGAACAAATTAGATTTTGAGAAATGAAATTTACTCTGTAGAAACTGAAACTGTAACACAGAATGGTAAGGAAATCACAGACTCCATGTTTTTTCTGAAGGGGCAGGACGCTAACTTAGCCAGAGACTTCTGTGATTTGTAGGGGGCCAGCAGTGCTTTACTTGTCATACCAATCAAACATAACCTACATATATTCCCATCAGGAAATTTTCCATTCGGGGAATATTTTTCCACAAACATTCTGTTTAAACAAAATTTCAAAATCATAGTGAGACTTTCCTAATGAAATCTGCCTCCAAAAATAAGCAGTAAATGTTAGTGGTTCACATGACTGCAGGACCCACCATATGGCATTCACGTGCCTGAGATGCTGGTGTCCATCACTGGAGGAAACTGCTTAGTTGAAACTACCATGTTGGAAACCATCTACCAATAGAACATGATTGGTTTTACATTACACAATAAAAGGGGAGAACCTTATCATACATCCTTCTTTTTTTTTTTTTTTTTTTTTGAGACAGAGTTTCACTCTCATTACCTAGGCAGGAATGGAATAGCACAATCTCAGCTCACTGCAACCTCCACATCCCGGGTTCAAGTGATTCTCCTGTCTCAGCCTCCTGAGTAGCTGGGATTACAGATGTGCATCAGCACACCCAGCTAATTTTTGTATTTTTAATAGAGATGGGGTTTCACCATGTTGGTCAGGCTGGTCTCAAACTCCTGACCTCAGGTGATCCACCCACCTTGGCCTCCCAAAGGGCTGTGATTACAGGCATGAGCCACTTCACCCAGCCTATCATACATCTTTCTTAGAAAGGGCTATCATCCCCAATGTATTTCAAATTCAATTCACTTGAAAGGGAATTTAATCTAGATATAATTCCCTAAGAATCCATTTTTAGGAGGAAGCCTGTACTTTGTAAGTACTCTATTTGAAAGCCATGTGACTTGTAATACCTGACATGGGAACCCAAAACAAACACCCCAAGGTTGAACGAATTTCTCAAAGTGTGTCTTATTGGATAGAAAGGAAGGAGATAGCATGGATACACAGTTCCCACTGAAGTCATGAGTAGCTGTGAGGATGTGCAGATCCACCTAGGCCACATTCTCTCCCTGTTGCCAAAGAAATTCTTAATACTTTTTACTAAAAAGAAGAAAGCTTGTATCATATAAGATTTCTCTTTGTATAAATCTTTTAAGATTTGAAATTTTTTGACCCCAGTTAAATCTTCTAAGTCCCAAGATTAGGCAGCTAGAGTACATAAAAAAGCGAATAGTTATTGAAGAGAGGCTCCTCACCTCCCCTCAAAATTCTAGCCTATTAGATTCTCTAATTATAGAATACAGGTACTATTTTAAGTGTTTGGCCTTTTAGTCGTAGGAGAAGTACGTTGCTAGGATAAAAGCAAATGGTTCCTGAAGGCTCTTGAGTGTTTATTTTCTTTATGATAATATAGTCACAAGGGATTGACAAGACTGCTCTAATTTGAGGACCCAGACACTTCACGAGTTGAATTCATTTCCATTAAGATAATTTAACTAGGCCTTTAAAAAATATTCCTACTTTATAAAGCAAGGAAGATCTGTGCTCTTCCTGAGAACAAAGGGATTATCACACTCACTCGCCATTTGAACTGTCTGTCCATGTTCACTTTTAAATTGTATGGAAACTGATCTTCTATTACTACAGCTCACTACAACTTTGAGCCCTAGAAGGAAAAGTAGATGGCTTTTTAAACTTCAACTTCTGTTTTAATAAAAATATTTGTTTTGTTTTTAAAAAGAATAGAATGGGAAACTGCAATTTTTTTTTTTTTTTTTGATTAGGAGAAAACTTTGCTCTTCAGCCACAAGATGATAAACAAAACAATAATCTGAGCCCTTAGGTCAACTCACTGTATTAAAAATAAAGCAGCAAATAGGAAATACATAGCTTAAATAATAATGAATGATAGAAGAAGGATGCATGACGCCTACTAAACATTTTATCAGATGCTGCGGAATACAATGAGAAGCATTTTACAATCACTACCTTATTTAATCCTTACTATGAGGTAAATAATATAATTATTACATTCAACAGATGAAGTTTTTCTCTTTGAAACAAAAAAGTGATGTCAAATTTACCACTGTCCTTTAGCAACAGAGAGGTTCTTTTCTACTTTTCTTTTCTCGTTATCTGCCGTACACACTCACATGGGATGTTATGACTGGACTAACAGGTGAACAATCCTTAGACATAACTTTTCCTCAAATGTGTGACCCAAAGTAATACCACATGAAGTTATCCTCTCAGTGTTTCCAGCACTACCTGTGTCATTAATCACCTGGTATGTTCATTAAAACACAAATTCCTGGGCCACTCAATAAATGCAGACTCAGAATCACCAGGAGGGCCTGGGAATCTGCATGTTTACAAGCTCCATGGGTCATTGTTAGGCATGTTAAATAATGGAAACCCCGGCCTCTACATTATTCATGCCCCATACTCTCTTTTGCACATAACTCAGATGTCTTGTTTTTTTTATATGCACTACATCTTATAAGATGAACACAAGCATACAAAAGCACTTTATGTGCTAAATATATGATGCATTTTTTTTCTCAAACATGTATTTGGCACTAGAATTTCAGAGGTATTTCTTAAATTGAAGTCATAGCATACAATAGGAAAAAGAATTATTGGGGTATATGTGTGTGCACATGACAAATATTGTTAATCCACCAGCCCACATATCACTAGAGATGCACACAACTCCCTCTCCATGGAATTTTACTTCCCCAACAATAGCTTCAGAATGAAAAATGGCCCTCCAGGGTTTCAAACCAATGAAAGGAACCCAAGTTCCTTTAAGACCTCAAATGAGTGTACATGGCCAAGCAAAACCTGACAATTTCCTTTTCTTCCCCCTTAACTTGGCAGGTAAATATCAAAGAAGAAAATGGCTCTAAACTTCATAAGTATCTATCAAAAACATAAAAGAGCCTATTTATCCTAAAAGACACTTTTAGCATTTTTGAGTCTTACCTGATCAAATTCAACATAATAAAACATAAAATAGTATAATGGCTTACTTATGTTAGCAAGATGCTCAATATTAAATTTTATTTTATTTTTAGATGGAGTCTTGCTCTATTGCCAGGCTGGAGTGCAGTGATGACATCTTGGCTCATTGCAACCTCCAACGCCGTGGTTCAAGGGATTCTCCTGCCTCAGCCTCCTGAGTAGCTGGGATTACAGGCACGCATCACCACTCTCAGCTAATTTTTCTATTTTTAGCAGAGATGGGCTTTCACCATATTGGCCAGGATGGTCTCAAACTCCTGACCTCAGATTATCCACCTGCCTCGGCCTCCCAAAGTGCTGGGATTACAGGCATGAGCCACCATGCCCAGCGTATTGAAAATTTTTAAAGCCCATCAGGGAATAAAATTATTTAACTCATTCCCAAAGTGGGGTAAAAAAAGAAAAGA
Organism: Homo sapiens; assembly: GCF_000001405.40. Lineage (NCBI taxonomy): Eukaryota > Metazoa > Chordata > Mammalia > Primates > Hominidae > Homo > Homo sapiens. The sequence continues at coordinate 71,183,038 of NC_000009.12, forward strand.
AAAAGATATTAAGTAATTTGGTGGTATATAGATAGAACATACCAGACAAGGTAGTAAATAGTCAGGGCTTTTTGTATATAGAAGAATGTATTTTACGTTATTCAACATCCACCACTTAAGTAAGACTTAATATCAAAAAAAAATATGATTCAGAACTTGTGTGTGTCCTACTGGATCCGCACAGTCAAACTCTGCAAGGTCAAGGCCATGGCATTTACTGTGCATTTTGTCCTCACCACTACCTGTTCGTCTCCTGCCAAGTTCTCTAAGGATAATGAACGTAGAGGAACAGAGAAGAAAACATCTCTCTTGAATCAGATCTTTTTCGTGGAAGTTCTCCTCAGTGTGTCAATGCTGGAGGCATTTCTCCTCTAGCCATCCAGCCCCTTTGAAAATGTCTTTCCTCTTCTGCTTTTTCATTTCCTGTGTTATTACAATTATTGGCTGCTTCTCCTGCAAATCACCCTGACAACAGTCCTAGCCAAGTACAGTTGCACTGCATAATATTTATTATTATATACTAACCTATTCTTTTCCAAGCTTTACTTATTAATTTCATGCTAATTTCCCAATATGTATTAAAGATTATTTATTTAGGCTACTTTTATATCTAAATACACACAGCTGGGAAAATCTTCCCTTCTTGACTTTCTATCACATTCTTGCAGCTAATAAAACTGCTCTCTGAACATACTAATAATATGAACAATATAGGTGGGATCATTTTCTCATTTTCTTCAATTCTTTAACAGGTACATCTATGACAGTTCAATCTATGGGGGCATTTGAAATAAAAAGCAAAAGCAGGTTTCCTTTGTGAGAACGTAGGCCAAAGAGTAGTAGAAGAAAGCACGGTTAAAATCTTTCAGGCCTCACTCATTTGCCCGTTACTATACAAGGTATAAAAAATTCAGAAGCAATTCATTCAGGCCCCCACTGAATGAACACAGATCAACAGCACCACAGCTTTGCCGCATCTCTCACACCCTTGCCAGGAAATATCAAGCCCCATCATCAGCTCAGCCAGAATCCAGACAGGCAGCCAGATTTTTAATGCAAATCTCCAGACACCACCATTAGGGGTGCTCTTCGAGATGTTACCATTGTGTGAGTATCAGAAAAAAAGGGAGGAATACCTCCCATGATGAGATATTGCTATTACCTAAGAACAACAGCTCTCAAACATACCATATGGAACTGGATCAAAGGATAACTAATGGGATCAATCAATGTCAGGGTCCAGCATGGGGGTTGCAAGAACACCACTTTACTCAACGCTCATCCTTAGCAAGGGCCTCAAATCTAGACTTTTGGCTTTCTCTCTATAGGAAAGGAGTGTTAACTTGAAGGAAAACATGTAAACCATACCATAGTTTCATGACTTGGTTTTAACTTTTATTTTCTCCTTTTGTGTTCTCTTCTCTTTTTCCTCTTCAATATTATCAAAGCCCCAAAAATGGAAGTGACCTGGGCTTCTCTCAGTATCTGTTAGTCCTTGATTCCTTCTGTAATTGGTCTCTATAATGACACTATTGAGCAGATTCCATGTCTGCATACAGCAGGTGGACTATTTTCTTGCTGTGAAGTGTTAACCTAGAACTAGCCTTTGGCAACATTACGAAGGAGGCAAAACATTCTCATGAGCAGTCTCCATTTTTGCTTTTTCTTCTGTCTTGTTGCCCCATTTTTTTCTCCTTATGCTCACTTCCATCTCTGACCCATTAAAACTTGCTCTCAGGCAAGGGCCTGCCAACAGCTTTACATGCTCATCCAAATTTAATTTCATGTGTTGCTTAGGCCAGAGGAAGGTGCACCTGAGTCTCATGTGTAACTGATAAAGATGTTTGTTTCACTCTTATAATAAAGGGAGGGAATGAGTAAGAAATAGGCTGTCAACACACATATAGAAACACATACACACACAAATACACAAATTAGAGCAGCAGATGCCAAGATGTAGGATGCCCAGCCTAAGACTGGTCAGTCTTCTATAACAAGCAGGCATGCACGCACATGCATTGATGAGCTAAGTGCATGCTCAGAGAAACCAAGTGTCTTTTCAAAGATGGCTCTTCAGTGAACTGGAGAGAACTCTTTAGGGTAAAAAAAGTGCTGTGGGGGAAGCCACACACTCTAATGTAATAAAAATCCAGTGTGTAACTGATGCATGAAAGGAGAGAGGAGATATTAGGAAAAAAATCAGTTCAGAGCAATCCTGCATATAAAACTAAGTATAACCACAGCTATTCATTTCCACACTTTTCTTCCCTGATTCTGACAACTGAAAAGCATGATCCCATCCCTTTATCTAAAGGAAAGACATTCGCTTGTAGCAATTCTACAAATATCTTTATTTTCATGTAGAGTAGCAAGAAAACAAAACAGAAACAGTAATAAAACAAAAACCAAAGAAGCTTACTTTGGAAGTAGACCCTCTTTGTTTCTTTCTTGGCTGTTTAGGCCAGGTAAGAACTATACTGTTACTGACGTAGACCTGGCTTCTTTTACTCAAAGGCTAATTAGGACAGCCTTTGAACAAAGCTTCTCCTGGAGCAATCTAAAGCAAGGTAATGTGACAGAATTCGTGTTTATTTATTATGCATCTATTATATGCCAGGCTCTGTGCTATGTGTTTTATGTGTAGTCTCATTGCATATGACACTGCTTTGGGTAGTCATCTAAATATTTCACAGATCAGGAAACTGAAGCTAGAGAGGTAAGGCGTCTCATCCTTGAGCTCAATGGCCACTCTGATGAGCCGGAGCACCTTACATAGAATGGACGTGTGCATGTGAAAAGAATCATAATCACATATTCATGGGGTATTCATCTCCTAGTACTGCATTAACAAAGTACTGCAAACTGGGTGGCTTAAAACAGCAGAAATGTATTGTCTCACAATATTGGAGGCTACAAGTTCAGAATTAAGGCCATGCTGTCAGTGAAACTGATAGGGGAATCCTTCTTTGCCTCTTCCTAGCATCTGGTGGTTTGCTGAAAATCTAGTATTCGTTGGTTTGCAGCTGCATAACTCTAACCTCTGACTTCACGGCATCCTCCACATAGCATTCACCTTGTGCCTCTCAACCTTCACAGGACCATCTTTTTATAAGGATGCCAATCAGATTAGACTAGGAGCCCATCCTGCTCCAGTATGGCCTCATCTTACTTAATTATATTTGCAATTACCGTATTTCCAAGAAAGGTCACATGCTAAGCTATGGGAGGTTATGGCTTCAATCTAGAAACCATGTTTAGTCCCTAGGTTATTTACTATATCAAAAACATTTCAGAAATTAACTATAGCCAATGCATTTAAACTATCTGCCAACTATAAAATTTGAAAAATCTAAGTAATCATATTATTAAGGTCACCCACTTCTCTATTTCTTCTTAAATTCATGCTCTCTCTGCTCTGGTCTTATACTGTATGTTTTTTAAGGCAAATTCTATGTGTAGCTTAGCTTCCTGTCTCCAAGGGCATTTAGTTTGTGAATTTGCCTCCAGAAAGACTGATGTCCAAAGATGCACTGTATGTAAAAAAATACACAAATAAATCATGGCAATATGTGGTCAGCCCAGACCAAGTTAGGGATGAAGTTTGTTAGGATTTTATGAAAATGTGTGAGATTACTAATTAGAAATATATTAGAAACAATGTATAGAAAGTATTAGAAACATATTAGGAGCTATTGTTATACTTAGTTCCTGTAAAAAGAACAGATTTGACTGTCTATAAAATCTTCAAGTTTTTCTTACATATATTATTGTTGGACTGATGCTTTGTACATGAAGATGAGCTAGCAAAAAGTCTCTCGTTATGTCAACTCATCTATGAACAAATGGGAGCATGTCATGGAGTTTTAAACAGAATCTCATGAACATATTTTCCCTAATAATTAAAAACTCTTCTTAAAAATAATACGTGATAGTGTATAATACTTTATCATGTGGGCATAATAATTTTGGGCAAGTTTTAATTTGATTAAATCTTTTGAAAATAAGTCTGATGTGTAATTACTAGTATGTTTGATACCAACAATGAACTCACGAAATCTTTAATAGCAATTCTAGAGAGCAGATTAAACAAGCCTTTGAATATCTTTTTAACAGTACTCAATTTCTTCATAGATTAGATCAAGTTAAACTTCAGTTCATTTAAATTAAATTATCCCCTCATTTCTAATTGGTTAATCTACATTCAAGAGGAGGTATACTGGCATCATAATTATTTTTTCTACATAGTTTGATCCAACTGAATTCTGTTTCAATACATAGTTTGAAGTTCTCTCTTCCCTCCAGGAAATTCCTACTCACAGTTCCAACAAAAGTCTACCCACTTCTTATTCCTCCACATCTTCCTGGGTGCTCAGCTCTAAGCAAAGGCCTCCAAAGCTAGAAAAAGGGATGAGAGAATAGCGAAGGATATGCTCTCTTCGTCTCTTACCCAGGCAGATACCCTTTTTCCCACTGACTCCATCAAGAATTCTGGGAAAAACTGGGATAGGACAATTGGCATTAACAAAACTGGAAAACAAAAAACCATTTTAGGAATTAAAACAGTAACAGATTTATTTTAACCAAAGGTTTATTTTTATTTAAAAACTATACACTCTTTATAAAATAAAAAAACTCAAACAATACAGAAGATTACTAAACAAAATCTAAAAGCCTCCTCTGTTTCCCCATTACCAAAAGCTGGCCACTCCTAATTTTGTTATTTCTTCAGACATATTCCAAGAATATATGATCATATATATGAACATAGTTTTCATAACACAAAAGAGAACATATTCTCCATATTCTTCTGCAACTCTCTGAACATATCTTCAAGACAGACAGGCAGACAGATGATAGATAGATAGATAGATAGATAGATAGATAGATAGATAGATAGATAGATAGATAGATAGATCATCGCATTTTTTAAAAAAGTTAACCAGTATTCAATTCTATAACTATATCATAATTTATCATTCCTCTTTTGATGAACATTTAGGTTCTTTCCATTTCTTTATATTACAGACAACTTTAATAAACATCCTTGCACACCTTCCTGTGGGCACAAGTGCAAGTCTGTCTATACAATACACTTCTGGAAGGAGACGTCCTAAATAACACTTTTGCTTATGTTTAATTCTTATGGTAAATGTCAAATTGCTTTCCTGAAAGACTGCACCAATTTATACTTCTGGCAGTGCTGTGTTAGAGTGCATGCTCCCCCACATCCTTGATAACACTGGATACCATCAAGCATCTTCATATTTTCCAATGTGAGTAGGAAAAGGAAAATTTTTATATTAAAAATATCAAATTGGCCTAATAACAGTGCCCATTTTTAGAGTTGCCATCCATAGGCAGACCACGTGCCTGTAGAGGTTTATATCACTAGAATCACTGTGTACAAGCAATTTTATATTTCCCCTTCTTGTTTAATCTGTGGATAATATTTTGATGCTACCACATGGTATTTATTATTATAAATACTATAATGATTATTATAATGTTGCATCATAGAAATACTCAACCACTGAGTTTGAAGAACCTTGGGAGACAGGGTTTTAGACTTAGTCCAGGAGCTGGGGAAAGAGTTCATGTCTCTCAATTACCTACTGCCCTAAGGCAGACCTCTCAGCACTGCCCTTCCAGACACTCAAGTCTACCATGATCCAGAAGTCACTATGCTTTCTTACCTGCAAAGAGTCAAATTAGCTACTCACTAGCTTTGTGACAGTGAACAAGTTACTCAACAACTTTTTCCTTTTTTGTCCTTTAAAAGGAAGAAATAATATCTATCTCTTAAAATTGAAACAAGGATTAAATAAGAGGATGTATATAAAGTAATAAGCACAGTGGCATATATAGTAAATGTGTAAAATTCATATTTGAATATTCTTGTGATATTTTGTGGGCATGTCCATTGAGGAAAAAGGTCTATTTTACAAATTCAAGACAGAAAGACATTGATTGTTCTCATTCCCAAGCCTTAAATATATAATTTTGAGACTGGTCATCAATATGTGCCAATACCACTTCAATAAGGATACTTCTGAACATGAGTCAATCAGGAATTGCCTCTCTATGATGTTTAGAATTTCTGGGATAAAGATCAGCCAGTCCCTAGACTCCTACTTCTAAAAGTCCTTTAAACTCAAACACCCAAAAAGAAAAAGACTTCTCCAAATTCTGCACAAGATCACCCACTTACTTGGTTCACTATGCTTTAGGAGTAGAGCTTTCCCTTGCTTAATCAACAATATATTCAGCTTTTTGTTTCAAACACTGAGTGGTGGGCTTGTCCTTGAACAGCATATATGGTACATTTGTATACGTATGTTGTTTTAAACAAAATTACCTATATGTTACAATACTGGGTACTAACACACGTGCATATACACCCATCCTTAAGCTGCTGTCTGTATTGTTCATTTATTGGATGTACAAATTCTTTTGCCCCAAAGACAGGATTATTTGCATGCTGAAACTATCTCAGCTTTTGTGTTATAATCCCATCACTCCCACGCTCCATTCTACCTGGCCCTTCACAGCTATCACTTTTTCATGTCTTTTTACTTGTCACCAAGCTACCCCTTCTGTCTAGAACTACTGCATCCTCCCCACACAACCACTCACTTATCAAATACCTTTTCATCCCTCAAGGCCCAACTGAAACATCTCTTCTACCCCTTAATCCTTATTCCTCCTTTTTCCTTCCCACAACACTCTGTATATGTCTCAAGTCAGCTCTTGCTGTATATATCTTATTTGTGTATCTGTCCCCATCCAATGGGATTATATACTTCTTGATAACATATACCTCTAATGTGGTTTTCAAATCTTCTATCTCCAAGACTTTACATATCAACAGTCATATATAGTGTTTCCACTCACATGTGCTATTCATATAAAAATTTATCTGCAGCCTATAGCAAGTAGAGAAAAATCTGCCACATCAACAGAGGATTTGTTCTTGTTATCCTGATTTTTGTGTCACTTTTATATATTTCAAGTTACAAACTGATTTCCCCAATGGCCAGAGATGTGGAGATTTGAAAGAGCAAACCAAATACCTTTTGTCTAAAAGCGTATGGGCTCAGTGGTGTTGACAGCTTAATATACAAGGCAGGAGCAGATCCATGTCACTTCACATAGCTGCGCAATGTGGGCAAGGCAGCAATGATACTGTTATCCCCATTTGAGTTGAGATCCGCAAGTATCTAACAACTGAACAATTCTACTGAACAAAGCAGGTCAGTCCATCTATTTTTAAAGAACTTGTACAAATACCTAAGTAAATAATAAGCATTAAATTGGTATTTGCTGAGTGAATACTAGCCTTTTTTATATCAATTAAAACTCCCATTAATATCCAAACATCATATTAAAACTTTTGCTACAGAGACTTAATGTAATTAGTTCAATGACAACAATCTTTTCCCACATCCGATAATCTTATTTATAAAATATCTGAAAACATAGAAGTCTTTCAGGTATCTGGGGCTTCCTTATAATGAGGGATGGGCAGGATGATTAAGAGTAGGATAAAGGGAATGTTTAATTTTGTATAAACATTTCAAAAACTCTTTAGGATCATGTTATAAATTGCCTAAATTCATGTTGTACATTTCTTCTTAATATAGGGTCTCCATATCTTCCTTAAAACAGAAAACTATGATACAACTTATTGCAGGATGCCAAGCATTATTAGCCAACTGAATGCCATGTCCTCTGTTCTAATCCACCTGTTACATAACCACTCTGATCATTATATTCACCTGGGCAACGTCCTGTAAGGACTCTACGACTTAAAGAATGTGTTCAAATTCCTAGACCAGCAATGAAGGCCATTCACAGGTTCCCTGCCAACAAAACACTCTAGTGAAATCTCCTTCTGTTTCACTAGACATAAGCTTCAATCCAAGCAAAGCAATATTCATTTTCTGAGCATTTACTATATAAACACCAGACACCGTTTAATAGTTTAGACATATTTTCCCATGTATTCCTTACCATAGGCCCCTACGAGGGAGCCATTGTCTTAGATTTAGAAATAAGGAAAGTTAAGTGATACTGTAACTTTCCTAAGGCCACACACTGAAAATAATGTAGCCAGAATTTGAATACTGATTCCAAGCCCTCTTAAACATAAAGCTGTATTGAATGGGTCTGTAATTTCTGACTTCATCTCTTCTGTATCTTCAGTGGCCAGCGTGGTGCTGGGTACATAGTAGACACTGTACATTTTTGTTTAATAAAACAAGACTCTGTGTCATTATTTATTTGCTTTTTGTCTATAAAGACAAACGCTGCCCACCCTTCTTTCAAATACCTTTTCAAGTTCACTTTCTTCCACAATGCTTTCCACAGCTAACCTCTCCAGCTCACTTCCATTTCTTCCTAGCTCATGGTCTGTGCTAGAAGCTTGCAACTAATGCTCTACTTCCTTCCAACACTTATGTATTTGTCGTCCTTCTTTTTCATTTATTTTTGCTCATGTGGTCTCATTAATTCTTAAACTTTGAGTTCTTTACACTACCCAAATGTCTGGACTCCAGTGACAGCCAATTTAAGCACTTCTGTACTAGACTGTCCTATACTCCCCTGCAAGCCTACAAGATAAAAACCATTTTTAAGCATTGCTGTTTTGCCAATTTGGAGTAGTTCTTTTTAAAATATAAACATTTGCTCCCATTGTGGAGCAAATTATTATAAGTTTAATCTGTACAGAGTCCCTAAAGAAACAACAGAACATATAAAAAAAAAAAAAATCACATCGTCAAGGATCAGAAAACTGAAGTGTGACTTTCAGCCACTGGTAGCCTCTGCTTCAGGGTGATGTCATATCTGTAAGGTTAATTACCTTTGCCTTCCTGACCTGGAGAGTGAATGGGGAGGTAACTATGTGCTTTACTCCCTCACATAGCACTAAATGGAACATTCTAATAAACATGTTACTTTCTTGCTCTGCTTTTTCAGTCTTCAACTAAAGGAAGAAAAATTTATATCATATACAGTAACCTTTACGTCTGAGCTTAAAGAAGGCAGTGGCTTAAATCTTTACGTAAATATATTATAGCAAAAGCACATATTATTAAATAAGACATCCAAACGGTATCATTGTGATACTCACCTTTATATAGCATTTTTAATGTTCTTCCAAATCTAGGCTTTTGAAGAGGGGAGATTTGGGAATTTGAATCAATTAAAGAATCTAAGCCTGAGAAGAGAGTTTGAATGAATACAAGAGAGTAAAATCATGAGAATTATGAAAAGGCATGAAGTTTTGCTCTCTGAAAGCAATTTGGCAATTTAAGGGTCCAGATTAAGGACACTAATAAATTAGTAAAAAAATTTTTAAGAGAATTTATGACAGAGAATTGTATGTTATCTTTTGACATTTTGATAACAGCCATCCTAAAAAGTATGAGCTGATATCTCATTGTGGTTTTTATTTGCATTTCCCTGATGATTAGTGATGTTGAGCATGTTTTCACATACTTGTTGGCTATTTGTATGCCTTCTTTGGAAAAGTAATTATTCATGTTCTTTGCCCATTTTTTAATTGAGTTATTTTATTTTGCTATTTAGTGTGACTTCCTTAAATATTTTGAATATTAACCCCTTATCAGATATATGGCTTGAAAATATTTTCTCCCATTCTCTAGGTTGCCTTTTCATCCTGTTGATTGTTTCTTTTGCTATGCATAAACTTTTTAGGTTGATGTAGTCCCAATTGTTTATTTGTGCTTCTGTTGCTCATGCTTTTGGCGTCATATCCAAGAAAATCATTGCCAAGACCAGTGCTGTAGAATTTCCCCCTATGTTTTCTTCTAGTAGTTTTAGATGGATATATTAACCAGCTTGATTGTGGTAATTTCACAGTGTATAAATAGGCCAAGACATCATGCTGTCAAATACATATCATTTTTGTCAATTAAATCTCAAAGCTGAGAGGAAATGAATTGTGTATATATGGTGTATGTGTAACTTTAGCTTTAAATTATCTTTAAGGAGATGACATGAATGGGTATTTAAAAGCTATTTATGACACTGGAAGCATCTCCCCAAAGCTGACAGGAAATTACTTTGGATTTTATCATGAATCTACTCAATTTTCAAAAGTCTTTCCTTCATCCCATTTTCTCTATAATGATGTGAAATCATCTCCCTCTCTCATTTCCCCCACGTGGTCATCACTTCCTTTCACTCCCTGCTCTGCTTCTCAGTCCATTTAAGGTCTTCCACCTCCTTGACTCTCCTGTAAATATCTGAAAAAGTCACCAGTGTCCTGTGGGACTCCACTCAGTATTTGACCCTGTTGTTCATCCTCTTTTCATAATTCTCATGACTTTACCCTCTTCTATTCATTCAAACTCTCTTCTCAAGCTTAGATTCTTTAATGAATTCAAATCCCCAAATCTCCCATTTCTCATCCTCCTCTTTCTCTACCAGCACCTCCTAAAATATCTATTTTCCCCTATTCAATCTAAATGACACTATCATGCTGCTAACTCCCTTTATATCTCCAACCCTCAACTTTCTATTAATCTCCGAAACTGAAATTTATCTATTAAATCTGTCCACAAAATCTTACTATTACTTCAAACTCTGTAAGTCCAAAACAAAACACAAAATTGTCCTTTTTGTTCTCCAAACTTAACTTTTCTATTCTCTTGTATTACTGAGTCAGTGGATGATGTTACCATCCACCGGATTCCAAGTAAGAAATCTAAACTGCAGAAAGGCAGTGTGGACTATGGAAAATACACTACTCACAAGTGGTTTGATATTGACACATCACTTCCTGTAACTGGAGTTCAATTCCTTATTATTATAAGGTTCTGTATGTATCTCACATTTTCATCATTCATTAAAACACCAATTAATGATCACTCAGCGTGCACCCAAACCATCAAAGTTAGGTAAAGTTAAAATAAATATGCATACACATATACAAATTTTAAAATGAAAAATAATCCTTTTTACAAGTATAGGTGATGTTGACATTTGTTTTACATTGTTTTACATGACACTGTTTACAATTTTTGTAATTTGTCACCATAATGGGTAGTTTGAATCAGATTCCCTCCATTCCCACCCTTTTCTACTAAATTAGGAAATCCAACTTACAATTATAGATCACAGAAATTTTCATTAAGTGTTTGATGGCTCTTTCTAATAGTTTAGGGTTTCTCTTGGGAAGAGGTAAGTGTGTTCATACGTGGGAGGAAGAGTTAAATAGGTATATGGCAACCAGGAGGATTGATTGTGACCAAGACTATGTGTTTCATAAACCCTGTTTCCTCTTCTTCCTTGATACATAGCTAGACTACGTTTCCTAACTTCTCTTTAAGTCAGGTGTGGCCCTGTTGCTGAATTTTAGCCAACAGAACTGGGCAAAAGAATGCATTCCACTTCTGGATCCAGTTGGTCCATGAAAGCTCCCACAGGTGATCCAGCTAGAGTCCCCAAAGTGAGCTTGGGCATCGTAAAAAGATGACAGTAAAACTAGAAGATGGAAAGACACTGGGTCCCTGAATCACTGTTTGTAGGAGAGCCGCCCAACCAGGAACATACTGAACTCTGACGCAAGTGAGAGGTGAATTCCTACTGCGTGAAATCACTGAATTTATCTGCCACAGCACCAAACTTTACCTTAAATAATACACATACATTGGAAAATATGTTTTAGCCATAAACAACTGGTTCCACTACAGTACTGAAAGCATACTCTACCATTGGGAGTATGCAACACTTATTTTAAAAAGAAAAAAAAAAGAAAACCTTTAATTTCAGTTAGATCTAAGAACTTAGCTAAACTCAAAAAAGCAATCATATGTTACCAAAATCTATACTGCAAAAAACACCAAGAATAATCACTTTGAATCAATTTCTAAGTACGTCCTTAAGGATCATGACATATACATCACAGATAGAAACACTGACATAGCATCTCTCGTTTCATTAAGTATAAAGAAGCAATTTAGATCATCACATTAAAGAATATCGTTTTAACCCTGAGAAACAACCTAAGAAATACCATTCTGGACATAGGAATTGGTATAAGTTTCATGACGAAGACAGCAAGATCAATTGCAGCAAAAGCAAAACCTAATAAACGGGATCTAATTTAACTGAAGAGCTTCCGCACAGCAAAAGAAACTATCGACAGAGTGAACAGACAACCTACAGAATGGGAGAACATTTTTGCAAATTATGCATCTGACAAAGGTCTAATATCTAGCATCTAGAAGGAACTTAAATTTACAAGAAAAAAACATAAAAAAGCAGGCAGAGAACATGGACAATTTTCCAAAGAACACATACATGCGGCCAACAAGTATATGAAGCAAAGCTCAATATCACTGTAAGATAGCATCTCATACCAGTCAGAATGGCTATTATTAAAATGTCAAAAAATAACAGGTGCCAGTGAGGTTAAGGAAAGGAAACACTTCTACACTGTTGGTGGGAGTATAAATTAGTTCAATCATTGTGGAATGTAGAGTGGAGATTCCTCAAAGAGCTAAAAATAGAACTACCATTCAACCCAGCAATCCCATTACTGGGTATGTATCCAAAGGAATATAAATTGTTCTATCATAGAGATACATGCATGAATATGTTCTCTGTAGCACTATTCACAATAGCAAAGATATAGTATCAACCTAAACGCCCATCAGTGGAAGACTGGGGTAAGAAAATGTGATACATACACACCATGGAATACTATGCAGTCATAAAAAAGAATGAGATCATGTCCTTTGCAGAAACATGGACAGAGCTAAGGGCCATTATCCTTAGCAAGCTAACACAGGAACAGAAAACCAAATATCGCATGATCTCACTTATAAGTGGGAGCTAAATTATTAGAACACATGGACCCAAAGAGGGGAACAACACACACTGGGGCCTACCAGAGGATGGAGAGGAGCCACCCTTTGGAGGAGGGAGAGGAGCACAAAAAATAAGTATTGGGTACTACGCTTAGTACCCGGGTGACGAAATAATCTTTACATCAAACCTCTGTGACATGAGTTTACTCATATAACAAACTTGCACATGTACTCCTGAACCCAAAAGTTAATATTTTATGTACATACGCATATATATATATACACACACGTATATGTGTGTGTGTGTGTGTGTGTGTGTGTTTTGTACTTATTTGCTCTACCTGTGGTATATTTATTTGATTTCCCAACCTCTGGGTCTTAATTATTTGTTTTTCTTTTTTAGTAATTTATTTCTGATAGTATTGAAGTTATGGCCAAAAAAAGTCACACACATGCGATCACCAAATCCATTTTTCTAAATTTGGATTTTATCATGAATCTACTCAATTTTCAAAAGTCTTCCCTTCATCCCATTTTTTAAATTGTATTTATCTATATTGTCCTCTGGTCCCTGTCCATGTGCATATTCAATATTTGCATATCTACCTTAACATCATGGAATCTAATACCTGCATTTTCCATTATCATGATCCTGTGTATTTTGCCACATTTCCTACTTCTTCCCTGTGAATTGACCTGTTCTTCTTCTCTCCCCTCTCCTCCATCTCTGACCCCAAGCACCCTCCACTGTTTCAATTTCTTCAGTAATTGACACCTCACAGGTAAATTCCTGTTAAACTAAATTTAGATCTAATAACAGGGAACTTCTTTTTCTTTCCTTTAAATGTTATTTAGCAGTATTTGTAGGACTTACATGTGTTTCAAAGAAAACTAGGATATGAACACGATTTTGAGCCATTTTTCATGAATGCAGTTGCTGCTCCACAAAACTGTTTGCTCTAAAGCAGGATGGAGTATAAATTGGGCCTTTCTTTTTATTTTATTATTATTATACTTTAAGTTTTAGGGTACATGTGCACAATGTGCAGGTTAGTTACATATGTATACATGTGCCATGCTGGTGTGCTGCACCCATTACTCGTCATTTAACATTAGGTATATCTCCCAATGCTATCTCTCCCCCGACTTCCCACACCCCACAAGAGTCCCCAGAGTGTGATGTTCCCCTTCCTGTGTCCATGTGTTCTCATTGTTCAATTCCCACCTATGAGTGAGAACATGCGATGTTTGGTTTTTTGTCCTTGCGATAGTTTACGGAGAAGGATGATTCCCAATTTCATCCATGTCCCTACAAAGGACATGAACTCATCCTTTTAAATGGCTGCATAGTATTCCATGGTGTATATGAGCCACATTTTCTTAATCCAGTCTATCATTGTTGGACATTTCGCTTGGTTCCAAGTCTTTGCTATTGTGAATAGTGCCGCAATAAACATACGTGTGCATGTGTCTTTATAGCAGCATGATCTATAGTCCTTTGGGTATATACCCAATAATGGGATGGCTGGGTCAAATGGTATTTCTAGTTCTAGATCCCTGAGGAATCGCCACACTGACTTCCACAAGGGTTGAACTAGTTTACAGTCCCACCAACAGTGTAAAAGTGTTCCTATTTCTCCACATCCTCTCCAGCACCTGTTGTTTCCTGACTTTTTAATGATCGCCATTCTAACTGGTGTGAGATGGCATCTCATTGTGGTTTTGATTTGCATTACTCTGATGGCCAGTGATGGTGAGCATTTTTTCATGTGTCTTTTGGCTACATAAATGTCTTCTTTTGAGAAGTGTCTGTTCATTTCCTTCGCCCACTTTTTGATGGGGTTGTTTGTTTTTTTCTTGTAAATTTGTTTGAGTTCATTGTAGATTCTGGATATTAGCCCTATGTCAGATGAGTAGGTTGCAAAAATTTTCTCCCATTCTTTAGGTTGCCTGTTCACTCTGATGGTAGTTTCTTTTGCTGTGCAGAAGCTCTTTAGTTTAATTAGATCCCATTTGTCAATTTTGGCTTTTGTTGCCATTGCTTTTGGTGTTTCAGACATGAAGTCCTTGCCCATGCCTATGTCCTGAATGGTAATGCCTAGGTTTTCTTCTAGGGTTTTTATGGTTTTAGGTCTAACGTCTAAGTCTTTAATCCATCTTGAATTAATTTTTGTATAAGGTGTAAGGAAGGGATCCAGTTTCAGCTTTCTACATATGGCTAGCCAGTCTTCCCAGCACCATTTATTAAATAGGGAATCCTTTCCCCATTGCTTGTTTTTCTCAGGTTTGTCAAAGATCAGATAGTTGTAGATATGTGGTGTTATTTCTGAGGGCTCTGTTCTGTTCCATTGATCAATATATCTGTTTTGGTACCAGTACCATGCTGTTTTGGTTACTGTAGCCTTGTAGTATAGTTTGAAGTCAGGTAGTGTGATGCCTCCAGCTTTGTTCTTTTGGCTTAGGAATGACTTGGTGATGCGGGCTCTTTTTTGGTTCCATATGAACTTTAAAGTAGCTTTTTCTAATTCTGTGAAGAAAGTCATTGGTAGCTTCATGGGGATGGCATTAAATCTATAAATTACCTTGGGCAGTATGGCCATCTTCATGATATTGATTCTTCCTACCCATGAGCATGGAATGTTCTTCCATTTCTTTGTATCCTCTTTTATTTCATTGAGCAGTAGTTTGTAGTTCTCCTTGAAGAGGTCCTTCACATCCCTTGTAAGTTGGATTCCTAGGTATTTTATTCTCTTTGAAGCAATTGTGAATGGGAGTTCACTCATGATTTGGCTCTCTGTTTGTCTGTTATTGGTGTGTAAGAATGCTTGTGATTTTTGTACATTGATTTTGTATCCTGAGACTTTGCTGAAGTTGCTTATCAGCTTAAGGAGATTTTGGGCTGAGACGATGGGGTTTTCTAGATATACAATCATGTCATCTGCAAACAGGGACAATTTGACTTCCTCTTTTCCTAACTGAATACCCTTTATTTCCTTCTCCTGTCTAATTGCCCTGGCCAGAACTTCCAACACTACGTTGAATAGGAGTGGTGAGAGAGGGCATCCCTGTCTTGTGCCAGTTTTCAAAGGGAATGCTTCCAGTTTTTGCCCATTCAGTATGATATTGGCTGTGGGTTTGTCATAGATAGCTCTTATTATTTTGAGATACGTCCCATCAATACCTAATTTATTGAGAGTTTTTAGCATGAAGGGTTGTTGAATTTTGTCAAAGGTCTTTTCTGCATCTATTGAGATAATCATGTGGTTTTTGTCTTTGGTTCTGTTTATATGCTGGATTACATTTATTGATTTGCGTATATTGAGCCAGCCTTGCATCACAGGGATGAAGCCCACTTGATCATGGTGGATAAGCTTTTTGATGTGCTGCTGGATTCAGTTTGCCAGTATTTTATTGAGGATTTTTGCATCAATATTCATCAAGGATATTGGTCTAAAATTCTCTTTTTTTGTTGTGTCTCTGCCTGGCTTTGGTATCAGAATGATGCTAGCCTCATAAAATGAGTTAGGGAGGATTTCCTCTTTTTCTATGGATTGGAATAGTTTCAGAAGGAATGGTACCAGTTCCTCCTTGTACCTCTGGTAGAATTCGGCTGTGAATCCATCTGGTCCTGGACTCTTTTTGGTTGGTAAGCTATTGATTATTGCCACAATTTCAGAGCCTGTTATTGATCTATTCAGAGATTCAACTTCTTCCTGGTTTAGTCTTGGGAGAGTGTATGTGTCAAGGAATTTATCCATTTATTCTAGATTTTCTAGTTTATTTGCGTAGAGGTGTTTGTAGTATTCTCCGATGGTAGTTTGTATTTCTGTGGGATCGGTGGTGATATCCCCTTTATCATTTTTTTTGCGTCTATTTGATTCTTCTCTCTTTTCTTCTTTATTAGTCTTGCTAGCAGTCTATCAATTTTGTTGATCCTTTCAAAAAACCAGCTCCTGGATTCATTAATTTTTTGAAGGGTTTTTTGTGTCTCTATTTCCTTCAGTTCTGCTCTGATTTTAGTTATTTCTTGCCTTCTGCTAGCTTTTGAATGTGCTTGCTCTTGCTTTTCTAGTTCTTTTAATTGTGATGCTAGGGTGTCAATTTTGGATGTTTCCTGCTTTCTATTGTGCACATTTAGTGCTATAAATTTCCCTCTACACACTGCTTTGAATGTGTCCCAGAGATTCTGGTATGTTGTGTCTTTGTTCTCATTGGTTTCAAAGAACATCTTTATTTCTGCCTTCATTTCGTTATGTACCCAGTAGTCATTCAGGAGGAGGTTGTTCAGTTTCCATGTAGTTGAGTGGTTTTGAGTGAGTTTCTTAATCCTGAGTTCTAGTTTGATTGCACTGTGGTCTGAGAGACAGTTTGTTATAATTTCTGTTCTTTTACACTTGCTGAGGAGAGCTTTATTTCCAACTATGTGGTCAATTTTGGAATAGGTGTGGTGTGGTGCTGAAAAAAATGTATATTCTGTTGATTTGGGGTGGAGAGTTCTGTAGATGTCTATTAGGCCCGCTTGGTGCAGAGCTGAGTTCAATTCCTGGGTATCCTTGTTAACTTTCTGTCTCGTTGATCTGTCTAAAGTTGACAGTGGGGTGTTAAAGTCTCCCATTATTATTGTGTGGGAGTCTAAGTCTCTTCGTAGGTCACTCAGGACTTGCTTTATGAATCTGGGTGCTCCTGCATTGGGTGCATATATATTTAGGATAGTTAGCTCTTCTTGTTGAATTGATCCCTTTACCGTTATGTAATGGCCTTCTCTGTCTCTTTTGATCTTTGTTGGTTTAAAGTTTGTTTTATCAGAGACTAGGATTGCAACCCCTGCCTTTGTTTGTTTTCCATTTGCTTGGTAGATCTTCCTCCATCCTTTTATTTTGAGTCTATGTGTGTCTCTGCACGTGAGATGGGTTACCTGAATACAGCACACTGATGGGTCTTGACTCTTTATCCAATTTGCCAGTCTGTGTCTTTTAATTGGAGAATTTAGTCCATTTACATTTAAAGTTAATATTGTTATGTGTGAATTTGATCCTGTCATTATGATGTTAGCTGGTTATTTTGCTCGTTAGTTGATGCAGTTTCTTCCTAGCCTCGATGGTCTTTACAATTTGGCATGATTTTGCAGTGGCTGGTACTGGTTGTTCCTTTCCATGTTTAGTGCTTCCTTCAGGAGCTCTTTTAGGGCAGGCCTGGTGGTGACAAAATCACTCAGCATTTGCTTGTCTGTAAAGTATTTTATTTCTCCTTCACTTATGAAGCTTAGTTTGGCTGGATATGAAATTCTGGGTTGAAAATTCTTTTCTTTAAGAATGTTGAATATTGGTCCCCACTCTCTTCTGGCTTGTAGAGTTTCTGCTGAGACATCTGCTGTTAGTCTGATGGGCTTCCCTTTGTGGGTAACCCGACCTTTCTCTCTGGCTGCCCTTAACATTTTTTCCTTCATTTCAACTTTGGTGAATCTGACAATTATGTGTCTTGGAGTTGTTCTTCTCGAGGAGTATCTTTGTGGTGTTCTCTGTATTTCCTGAATCTGAATGTTGGCCTACCTTGCTAGATCGGGGAAGTTCTCCTGGATAATATCCTGCAGAGTGTTTTCCAACTTGGTTCCATTCTCCCCATCACTTTCAGGTACACCAATCAGACGTAGATTTGGTCTTTTCACATAGTCCCATATTTCTTGGAGGCTTTGTTCGTTTCTTTTTATTCTTTTTTCTCTAAACTTCCCTTCCCGCTTCATTTCATTCATTTTATCTTCCATCACTGATACCCTTTCTTCCAGTTGATCGCATCGGCTCCTGAGGCTTCTGCATTCTTCATGTAGTTCTCGAGCCTTGGCTTTCAGCTCCATCAGCTCCTTTGCCTTTGGTTTGAATTGAACTTCTTTGCCTTTGGTTTGAATTTCCTCCTGTAGCTCGGAATAGTTTGATTGTCTGAAGCCTTCTTCTCTCAACTCGTCAAAGTCATTCTCCGTCCAGCTTTGTTCCATTGCTGGTGAGGAACTGCGTTCCTTTGGAGGAGGAGAGGCACTCTGCTTTTTAGAGTTTCCAGTTTTTCTGCTCTGTTTTTTCCCCATCTTTGTGGTTTTATCTACTTTTGGTCTTTGATGATGGTGATGTACAGATGGGTTTTTGGTGTGGATGTCCTTTCTGTCTGTTAGTTTTCCTTCTAACAGACAGGACCCTCAGCTGCAGGTCTGTTGGAGTTTGCTAGAGGTCCACTCCAGACCCTGTTTGCCTGGGTATCAGCAGTGGTGGCTGCAGAACAGTGGATTTTCATGAACCGCAAATGCTGCTGTCTGATCATTCCTCTGGAAGTTTTGTCTCAGAGGAGTACCCGGCCATGTGACGTGTCAGTCTGCCCCTACCGGGGGGTGCCTCCCAGTTAGGCTGCTCGGGGGTCAGGGGTCAGGGACCCACTTGAGGAGGCAGTGTGCCCATTCTCAGATCTCCATGTGCGTGCTGGGAGAACCACTGCTCTCTTCAAAGATGTCAGACAGGGACATCTAAGTCTGCAGAGGTTTACTGCTGTCTTTTTGTTTGTCTCTAAGTTGGGCCTTTCTGTACCCCTCATGAGAGGCCTTGGTCACTAATGTTTAACAGGACTTTGTTATAGAGCTCTCTGGCATGGACTTCATAGGCAGAATAAGAGAAATTTCAGGTTATTAACACCTCCTGCCTTTTGGTTTATGTTTATTTCTAGGTATAAAGTGGCAGGTACACAAAACCTCATGGGAAGATTAATGGACCCAGGTACTCGGACAGTGCAGGGTGGTATGTCAGTTGGTAAACTTCAGTCTTCCTCACTGTAACATTTTAGCGCAGCATAGTTTTTAAGAGCTCAGCCTCTGGAGCCAGGCTGCACAGGTCTGAATGCCAACTATGTCACTTATAAAACCCTTTGCTCCTCTGTATCTTTATCAGTAAGCTGAACCTAACAGTACAGCTTACCTCATAGAGGTGTTAGAAGGATTAAATGAGAAAACTTACATACATAGCTTACAATAGTGTCTGCTCTCTCATGGGTATTAGAAAAATGTCCTTTAAACAGCAACATTGTAAATACTGAATAATGACTTTCTTTTTGCAAAAGAGAAGTCCCCAAATTGGCAAATAATACTATAGCATTCCCACAGCACTGACTGTATGAAAACAATGTCAATTACTCAAAGCCAGGTTGCAAATGGATGGCCTGCAGTTTGGCTCCTAGAAGTGTTTGGTTTGGCCAGCATACATTTGTAGCTGGTTCTGCTTTTCTGGTTTACACTGACTGATACTGTCTAAGGGAGATCTAGTTCCAGAAAAACAGACATGCTTTGGAACAAGACAGAGCTGGTTAGAATGCTGGTTTTACCACTTATGTCACCTTGGACATGTTTATTAACTTTTCTGGGCTTCATTCTCCCTTATCTGCATCTCTGGAAAATATCCCTTTCACAGGACCATTGTGCCTGGCTCACAATGCATATTCAATATTAGTGTTGTCTCTTTTTCCCTCTTAACATGTCTCAGTAAGTTGTAAGCAAATCCACTGTGCTTAATTTTGTACTAAAACACAATATATATACAGTCCAGTCTGTTTTAAGCTTTCATTTGCTCACTTGTTTGTTTAGCCAAAAATATGTCTTAAAGGCCCAATAGGGGATGGATAAAACTGAGAAATGATATCAGAAAGAATAACTTTGGAGACTGTCTGTGTTGAAGTCCCAGTTATGCTACTGACTGGCTGTGTGACCTTAGGCATGTTACTTGACCTCTCTGTGTCTGAATTTCCTCATCTATAAAATGATGATTACAGTTATATCTACCTCTTAGGGTTGTTGTGAGGATTAAATGATTTAATACACATGGTACTCTGTACAGTGCCTGGAACAGTATGGGGAGCTTTATACAAGTATTGGCTGTCATCATTCTTCCTCCTTTTCTTCCTCCTCCACCTCCTTCTTTTCTGCTTCTCCTCCTCCTCCATCACAATCATCATCATCATTATCATCTTTCAATTCAGTGCCACATATAGTAGTACGATTGAAAGTAATCTCATTTCAACTATCTGATCTTTGACAAACCTGACAAAAAGAAGAAATGGGGAAAGGATTCCCTACTTAATAAATGGTGCTGGGAAAACTGGCTAGCCATATGTAGAAAGCTGAAACTGGATCCCTTCCTTACACCTTATACAAAAATTAATTCAAGATGGATTAAAGACTTAAACATTAGACCTAAAACCATAAAAACCCTAGAAGAAAACCTAGGCAATACCATTCAGGACATAGGCATGGGCAAGGACTTCATGTCTAAAACACCAAAAGCAATGGCAACAAAAGCCAAAATTGACAAATGGGATCTAATTAAACTAAAGAGCTTCTGCACAGCAAAAGAAACTACCATCAGAGTGAACAGGCAACCTACAGAATGGGAGAAAATTTTTGCAACCTACTCATCTGACATAGGGCTAATATCCAGAATCTACAATGAACTCAAACAAATTTACAAGAAAAAAACAAACAACCCCATGAACAAGTAGGCAAAGGATATGAACAGCCACTTCTCAAAAGAAGACATTTATGCAGCCAAAAGACACATGAAAAATTGCTCACCATCACTGGCCGTCAGAGAAATGCAAATCAAAACCACAATGAGATACCATCTCACACCAGTTAGAATGGTGATCATTAAAAAGTCAGGAAACAACAGGTGCTGGAGAGGATGTGGAGAAATAGGGACACTTTTACACTGTTGGTGGGACTGTAAACTAGTTCAACCCTTGTGGAAGTCAGTGTGGCAATTCTTCAGGGATCTAGAACTAGAAATACCATTTGACCCAGCCATCCCATTATTGGGTATATACCCAAAGGACTATAGATCATGCTGCTATAAAGACACATGCACACGTATGTTTATTGCGGCACTATTCACAATAGCAAAGACTTGGAACCAAGCGAAATGTCCAACAATGATAGACTGGATTAAGAAAATGTGGCACATATACACCATGGAATACTATGCAGCCATTTAAAAGGATGAGTTCATGTCCTTTGTAGGGACATGGATGAAGCCAGAAACCATCATTCTCCGTAAACTATCGCAAGGACAAAAAACCAAACACGGCATGTTCTCACTCATAGATGGGAATTGAACAATGAGAACACATGGACACAGGAAGGGGAACATCACACAACAGGGCCTGTTGTGGGGTGGGGGGAGCAGGGAGGAATTGCATTAGGAGATATACCTAATGTTAAATGATGAGTTAATGGGTGCAGCACACCAGCATGGCACATGTATACATATGTAACTAACCTGCATGTTGTGCACATGTACCCTAAAACTTAAATAAAAAAAAGTAATGCACGAATGTTTAAGCAAATCAAATAATAAAAAAAAATTAATCTCATTTCAAAGATCGAGTGTTGAAAGAGGAACAAGAACGATTATTTCTATGAAATAAGTACTATTTTTACTCTCAAAACTTTACAAAAAAGCTTCTCATTCAGCCCAAAATGAATTTAACATGTTCCACTCTAAACTTGTTTGAGTTTTAAGAGTGCCAGTGCCTAGGTGTGCTTCTTTTACCTAGTTGGGTAGAGAGTGCGTAAGAAGGAATGGACCTTGGAGGGAGGGTTAAGGAGATGAAATGGCATCCATGGCAAGTTTGTTGGCCAAACACTTTTTGAATACAAGTATGTGCAATACTGTGTCAAGTGTTAAAACACATTAGGGGTAGTTTGAGGACACAGACAAAATAAAAGTTATACTAATCATACACTTTCCTAAAAACATATGCTGATACATTTTGAATTATCTACTATGTAGTCAGAAAGTTATCAGCTCAAGAAGTAATTACTCATTCTTCCCACATTTACATTTTGTGTAGTCTGGAAAGTGATTCATTCACACAAATTAATAAATGTTTCTGGCCTGAGACTGTCATCAGAATGAGCAAATTGAACTGTCTACTGATAGTTTCCATGAGAAATGACCTAAATCCCTGTGTTTGCACACTGTGATTTCAGCACAAATGAAAGTGTGAAAGAGTCACCTCAAAGGAAGAAAATAAGCAAATGAAACTCTGGCTCTTATTCTGAAAACACTCTTTAAAAATTTTAAAGGAAAATGGAGTTTTAAGATGAGAAATATTAGGTGACTTGGTTAAAGACAAAGCTTATCATGTAAGGAAAATATATGGATTTGCATGTGTCTTTACAGTAGAATGGTTTATAATCCTTTGGGTATATACCAGAAATGGGATTGCTGGGTCAAATGGTATTTCTGGTTCTAGATCCTTGAGGAATAGCCACACTGTTTTCTACAATGGTTGAACTAATTTACACTCCCACCAACAGTGTAAAAGCTTTCCTATTTCTCCACATCCTCTCCAGTATCTGTTGTTTCCTGACATTTTAGAGATCGCCGTTCTAACTGGTGTGAGATGGTATCTCATTGTGGTTTTATTTGCATTTCTCTAATGATCAGTGATGATGAGCTCTTTTTCATATGTTTGTTGGCCACATAAAAGTCTTCTTTCGAAAAGTTTCTGTTCATATCCTTCACCCACTTTTTGATGGGTTTTTTTTTCTTATAAATTTAAGTTCCTTGTAGATTCTGGATATTAGCCCTTTGTCAGATGGACAGACTGCAAAAATTTTCTCCCATTCTGTAGGTTGCCCATTCACTCTGATGATAGTTTCTTTTGCTGTGCAGAAGCTCTTTAGTTTAATTAGATCACATTTGTCAATTTTAGCTTGTGTTGTCATTGCTTTTCATGTTTTATTCATGAAGACTTTGCTCATGCCTATGTCCTAAATGGTATTGCCTAGGTTTTCTTCTAGGATTTTTATGGTTTTAGGTCTTACATTGAAGCCTTTAATCCATCCTGAGTTAATTTTTGCATAAGGAGTAAGGAAGGGGTCCAGTTTCAGTTTTCTGCATATGGCTAGCCAGTTTTCCCAACACCACTTATTAACTAGGGAATCATTTCCCCATTGCTTGTTTTGCAAAATGTTTTGCAGAAAAAAAAAATGACTTAAAATGTACAAAACCATTTCTCTAACTTACATCAAGGACTAACTCATGAACCTAAGGCTACCTTAGACAGTTCTCATGGGATGTTCTCTTTATCAGTAGTTGAGTTGGGTACAGAAGCTAAGCAAGGAGATGAAGGCATAGCTTCCAGTATAAAATAAAGTGTTGATTTTTAAAATCCAG
This sequence comes from Homo sapiens, assembly GCF_000001405.40. Taxonomy (NCBI): domain Eukaryota; kingdom Metazoa; phylum Chordata; class Mammalia; order Primates; family Hominidae; genus Homo; species Homo sapiens. The sequence goes on from NC_000009.12 coordinate 71,207,078, forward strand.
CTGTTTATCACAATGTTATACATCTGGTAACTGAGATTAGGATGAAAATGCTTTTCCTTAAAATTTTATAAATCAAACAGCCAGTTTCTATAAAAATTCATTTTTCTTAAATAAAAGGATTAAGACACCATAAAAACACCATGCTGCTAACAATTACAGACCGCATTTCTGAGATAAATAATACATCTCTTACATATTTCATCATTTTAAATGAGAAAATATGTTTAATTTAAAAATAATTATGTTCAATTTTTTCATAAAAGTTATTTCTCACTGTAATTCCTAGTCATATTTAACTTTCTAATTTAACTCTACCAAAGATATAATTTAAATGTCATTGATGATCACTGTATAACAAAGTGATAGCCAAGTTCACAAACCAAAATTAAAGAACATCTTGAGATCTTTGATAGTGTGTCCCATCAAATTGGTCATTATCTCCTAAAGTGATTTTTGGCACAAGAGATAAATGTGATATCCAGAATGTATCTTGTAACAGATATTGCATATCATTTGGTTAATTCATCAGTGGGAAATTTGGCACTGCATAGTATAGTACTATAAATTCTCCACACAGTAATGAATAATGTAATTACAGAAACTCTTTGAATCAGATATTGTTCAAAATGAAGATGAACTTTAAAGTATTTCTGAATATGTCATATAAAACCAGTTGGTCTTTTTAATGCTTTTCAACAGATCTTCCTTGCCCTTTTGAAAACTCAATATAAAAGAACATAGACAGTTGCTATATTTCAATCTCTTTTACTTTTATCCTTGGCCCCATACAGCTTAACTTCACTTTTATTTTTTTCCTTAACTGCTCCAAATTATGCTGAGCTATTCTTTGATGAGAGTGGTTTCCTTGTCCCCCAAATCCTTCTTAGTTCTACAGTTAACCCCTAGAGTGATGAATCCTCCATTATAGGAGCAAGGAAGGAGAGAAGGAGCTGACAGAGTAGGGCCGGAATTATTTCAATTCTGTTCAATTTTTTCTTCCATCTCTAGCCCTGGAGGGGAAGAGGAAAGAGAACTGGAAAAGAAGATTAACGTTGTGCAGGTGTTTTGCCAAAGAACAGGGTAGACAGAACACTGTTTACCTATTCATCTGTATTTTTATCTAGCATACCTGCCTGATAACAATTGACACTCACCTTAGCTGGAACTGATTACTAAATAATAGTGTAAAACGGTATGTCTAGAGTAAAGGGAACAGCAAGAGTACAACTTGCTGCAGTTTTAAATTCTATTTTGAACAAAACATTCACAAAAAATATCAATAATTTAGGTACTGAAAAGTATTTGAAACAATGAATGAAATACTAGGCTTTCATCCTTTACCCACCAAAAACAGGAATATAAGTCAATGGAAAATATTCCTGCAGTGGAACATTTACAAGCAGTTGTTGGTGTTGGTATTCTTAAGAATAAACAGTTCAAATTGCCCTGCAAAGGCCAAGTTTGGTTTGCGTTAATTAACATTGACTACTTGTGAGACCAGCTTCCAAGAGTTTACTTAGATCTTTGAAGTCAATCAAAATAAAATATCCTACTTGCATTAATGTAATGAACATTTAGAAACAGAAAAGAATATGAAAGTTTCCTAAATTCATCAAAAGTAGTGCTATTAACACAAGAATGGTTCTCATGGCCAAAATAGCATCTCTAAATAATTATATCATATCTGCTAAACTATATACTATAATTCTCCCATTTGTTGTCCCATTTTTCAAGTTAAAAATTGAGATGGTCAGGGACACATAAACATAAAGGTAACCCTCTGTGCTTTTCAAATTATTATGAAGTTTTATCACATATTTTGGAAAACTGGAACCTAAAACATCTCCAGCTGCACGAACCTCAAGACTTTAATAGCAGTCCATGCAACTATTTACTTGTGATGAACTTAAGTGAATAGTGAAGTCTTAGCCCATCCAGACACAATGTAAATCATGAGACTTTGATCACTTTAATTATTCATATTCCATAGCTAGAAATGGAATTCTGGCCAATGGGAGAATGGGAAAGAGTAATTAGCAAATAGATGCCTCGTTTATATTATGTACCATGATTGCTAAAAGTGCTTGCTTTTTAAGGAATAAGCTTTTCACTTCTATATGAGGAAATGAATGTGTGTTGGCATTTTTATAAGCAAAATGATTTCTTAAATCTTAACACTCAGATGAGGAAACCAATTCCAAAAATGATTTTATGAGTTAAAACATAAAACCAAAGAAAGGAGCTTTACATGAAAAATGGAAGGAGGTGGGAGAGAGGCAATGAGGGGGTGGGGGGAGAAGAGGGGGTAGGGAGAGGGGGAAGGAGGGAGGGAGAGAGAGAGACTGACTTCTTTTCTTCTCTATCAAATTAATTGGACCAAAAGGAAATAAAAATTTCAAAGTCATCTCAAACAAAACAATACCAGGTATTGGAGCCCATCTTATTTTTTCTGTAACATCTGCCAAATATTGGCACACCAAAAACAGCAGTAAGCTTGGCAAAATTTGAGAGAGAGGCAAAGAGCACCTGCTGATAGAGACAGAGGGGAAGTTATCTGTGGCAGGCGCTGCAAACTACTGCCCACAGGCCAAATCCAGCCTGCTGCCTCTTTTTGTCTGGTCCATGAGCTAAGAATGGTTTTACATTATTAAATAGTTGGAAAAAATCAAAAGAAGAATGTTTCATGGTACATGAAAATTATATGACATTTAAATGTCAATGACCGTCAATAAAGTTTTATTGGAATACAGCCATGCTCATTCATTTACATTCTGTCTATGGCTGCTTTTACATTATAATGGCAGAATTGAGACCTTGTAGCAGAGACCATATGGCACACAAAGCCTAAAATACTTCCTAGCTGGGCTTGTCCTCTACAGACAAAGTTTGCCAACTTCTGCTTTAGGGAATCCCAAGGGTACATTTCCCAGGACAGAGGTCCCTAACCCCGTTAGGAACTGGGCGGCACAGCAGGAGGTGAGCGTCAGGGGACCCAAAGGAGCTTCACCCGTATTTACAGCCACTCCCCATGGCTCACATTACTGCCTAAGCTCCGCCTCCTGTCAGATCAGCTGCAGCATTAGGTTCTCATAGAAGCAGGAACCCTTTTGTGAACTATACATGTGAGGGATCTAGGTTGCGCACTCTTTATGAGTATCTAATGCCTGATGATCTGTCACTGTCTCCCATCACCCCCGGATGGGGCTGCCTAGTTGCAGGAAAACAAGCTCAGGGCTCTCACTGATTCTACATTCTGGTGAGTTGTATAATTATTTCATTATATATTACAATGTTATAATAAAAATAAAGTACACCATAAATGTAATGCACTTGAATCATCCTTAAACCCTCCCTGACCCACTCCCTGGTCTGTGGGAAAACTATCTTTCACAAAACCGGTCCCTGGTGCCCAAAAGGTCAAGGATCACTGCCCTGGAGCATTTCTCAGTCCTATACTGACTCCTTCTGGTACCCTTCCTTACTTCCAAGAGGCCCCAGAGTTTTGACCCATTTAAAGTTCCTTTGTAAGAAGTTCTCTTTCCTATCAAACAACCTCAAGAGTAGGATACAGTTGCCCAAGAACAAGATATTGTTGTTCTCTACACAGTTGGCACGTGGACTTTGTCTTAATGTGTTCTGGCTGCTATCACAAAACACCATGGATTGGATGGCTCACACAACAGAAATCTGCTTCTTACAATTCGGGAGGATGAAAAGGGAAAGTCTAAGGTCAAGGTGCCACCCAATTCAGTTTCCAGTGAGGGTTCTCTTACTGCTTTATAGAGGGACATCTTCTGGCTGTGTTCTCACGTGGCAGAGACAGAGAACGTAAGAAGGCATACACTCTGGTGTCTCTTCATTATCTTAAGAGGGAACCAGCTCAATTGGATTAGGGCTCCACCCTATGACCTCTTTTAACTTTTATCACCTCTTGCAGGCCCTATTTCCAAATACAGTCACGTTGAGGGTTAGGGCTTGAGCATATGAATTTTGGGGTAACACAGTCATTCCCTGGCAGACTTTTCCTTTTTGAGGGTGTTGCTCCTATTCATGATTAGAAATCAGACAGGTAGAAAAAAAATACAGTACATTCAAGCTAGTCACTGCTTTCCAAAGCCTTGCAGGAATCTCAGAGTCATTAACCGTGATCTCTAAGCCTTGACTGTTTCTCAATGGTACCTAGAAGGTTCACTGATGTTCTGCTTCCTTTTTCTATTCCAGAAGATAAAACCCTTTGAAATTCATTCTTTCTTTCATTTGTTACTGTTCTTTTATATGATTGTGTTTTTTTTTTTTTAAATAGGAAGAGTAGTAACTTTCTCCATGGGTCCTGTACTAAAGACAGTAATGCCAATTCAAAGTTTCAGTGTCCCATATATTCGTTTCCTAGGGCTGTGTAACAAAATGCCACATATTAGGTGGCTTAAAACAATAGAAATTTACTGTCTCATAGTTTGAGAGGCTAGAAGTCCAAGATCAGGGTGTTGTTGGGAGGGCTGATTCCTTCTGAAGGCTGTTTGAGAGAATCTGTTCTGGGTTTCTCTCCTATCTTCTGGTGATATGCTGGCAATCTTTGGCATGCCTTGGCTTGCAGAAGTATCGCCTTGATTTCTGCCTTCACATGACATTCTCCCTATATGTGTGTCTATGTTCAAATTTACCCTTTTTATAAGAACATCAGCTACTGGAATTAAGGGCCCATTCTACTTAGGTGTGACCTCATCATTTTTACTTCACTCATTATATCTGCAATGATCCGATTTCCAAATAAGGTCACGTTCTGAGGTACTGTGGGTTAGGACTTCTTTTTGGGAGACACACTTCAACCCATAACATCCTTTATACAGTATATAGCTTGAAAGCCCATTTTATAAACTTACATTTGTAAATCATAGATCTTCAACTGTAATGGATTCCACCAGGCCCCAAGATGTTGGGGTAGGGTGGAGAGCTTAGCTGGGAAGACAGGGAGGTGGAGCTCATCCTCTGCCTCCATGCTTCAGCCTGAACAGAGCTGATTTCATGGTTTTTTTGTTTTGTTTTTGTTTGTTTTTCTTGAGAAAGGGTATCACCCTGTTGCTCAGGCTTGAGTACAGTGACATGATCATGGCTCACAGCAGCCTCAACCTCCCGGGCTCAAGCCATCCTCCCATCTCTGCCTGCTGAATAGCTGGGACTATAAGTGTGTACCACCCAGCCCACATAATTTTTATCTTTTGTAGAGACTCACTATGTTGTCCAGGCTTGTGATTTCATGTTCCTTATATTGAGGTTTGGTGTAATGTTTAGTTTTAATTTAGACTCCTGACTAAAACAAAATACAAAGAATCAGTGTATTATTGGTGTTTCCTTGAGTTTGTTAATCAGTATTATATGAAAAAAAAGTTTCCAAGGGAATATACTGAGTCAAACAAATTAATCTCTTTACCACAGGAACTCTTAGAGCCTTTCATACGTAAATGTGCACCATGGATCAAGAACAGGCTGTACCGCTCTCCAAATGTATTTGATTGCTGAACCCATCAAGAAGGTGCATGGCTGACACTAGCATTCCCCATAAATGCTCCTCTTAGAAGAAAGACACTTTCAAGATAAAACTTTGGGAGTCCATTGAAGAAAAACATGAATGTACATCAGGTGGTAATTGTCAGCGGAAGATTTTTCTTAAAGAAAAAGGGCTGAAAGTAAAACTCTATTTTAATATTAAAATGACTTGAATTTTTCCCCTTTCAGAGATTTTATAATGTGCTAAGAGTGATCACAGCCAGCTTTACTATGTATGTATGTATGTATGTATTATAACACTTCACAGGAAAGACTGATGACACAAAGTTTACAGGCATACATTCTGGGCAGTGAAGAACAAAGGCAATGGTAAAGGTAAAGACAAACCAAGAAATCAAAAACAAAACAAATAATATACTTATTTTTAATCAGATATATAAGAGCAGTGTGAGTTTTATGGTTGAATAAATCCACAAATCAGGTGTCCACAAATGTTTTCTCTCAATGGCCAGCTAGGAAATATTTAAGCTTTACAGGCCATACAATCTCTGTTGCAACTATTCCACTATGGCACTGCAGCAGAATGCAGCCATAGGTAATATGTATAGGAATGAGTGTGGCCATGTTTCAATAAAATTTTCTTTGAGAATACTAAAATTTACATTTCATGTCATTTTCATGTGTTATTAAATATTATTCTCCTTTTGATTTTTTTTCAATCATTAAAAAAATTTTAAATACCATCCCAGTTTGTGGGCTCTAAAAAAACAGCAGGCTAGATTTTGCCTACGGGCCTTAGTTAGCCAAAGCTTGAACTAAACATTTGGCTTTAATTCTTTCCCTGGTTTATCATGTTTAGGTTTAGAACAAATATGTTTTGAAAACATTTTACAGCCTTGGAATGATATCATAAATAGCAATACTATGTTTTGTTTTGTTTTGTTTTTACTTCATCTTTTTAAGGGAGAGATATGACAGAAATGGAAAACATCAGTACTTTCACTTTATAGCTTTGGAATATCATAAATAGCAATACTATGTTTTGTTTTGTTTTTTGACTTCATCTTTTTAAAAAAGAGGTAACAGGAATGGAAAACATTATTTATTTAGCATATTAGGAGGTGGTGATATTCTCAACAGATTGTTACAAAGATCCCAAATTTTCAAATTCTGACCAGGCAGCTAAGACATGGCCCTTAAACTCCAGTAGGTCTATAATTACTTCTTGTATAAATAAATGACATCATCCATTGACTTTTAAAAAGTCAAGAATAACCTACATATTTTTTCCTGGTACAACAAACATATAATAGGATCTGCTTACCACATCAGAGCTTGGTGCAGATTTATATTTACTTTGAAAATTTAAGTCTAAAATCTTACATTGTGATAATTTTTATCTTTTCTTTAAATGCTTTGTTTTCTGCCTCCATGTATCAAAGCAAAGTCATTTTAGTTGAGGTATGAGATGCTTTCTCCAAACCACTGTCTCAAAACTCCTTATTTCTTAAAACATGCAGAAATGAGTAATTATAGTCTTTGTTGGAGAAAAATGCCTCCAACTCATTTGACATTAATAAACAAGGTCTGCCTCAAGCTGCCAGTATCCCCAGAATGAGAAGACTGAAAGGGATGGGAAAAGGAGATTTGTTGGAAAAGGAGCAATAGTTGTAGGAATGGAATATAAATCACAGTTTAATATATCAGAATGTCTAGGCATTCCAAAAAATCTTAGTAGAAGGAGAACAGTTTGGAAGTTTCTTTAAGAATTAAATATATATTTATCATACAACCCAGCATCTCCATTCCTGGGTATCTGCTTAAGAGTAATGAAAACATACGCCCACACAAAGACTTGCATTCAAATATTTACAGCAGCATAATTTATAGGAGCCAAAAAGGAGAAACAATCCAAGTGCTGACCAACTGCTCTAGACACACTAACTATAGCTATCAAATTATACAGTTTTTTCTCTATGATGGCTCCATTCATCATTTTCAAATTTTATCATATTCTGTCACTTCCCTTTTAAATCTTTGACGGCTCCTGAGTACTGGAAGGCTAAAGGCCAAACTGTTGGACATGATACACTATCAAACCTCCTTTATAGGCATTATTATCTTCCACTTTCATGCACCCTGCATTCCAACCACATGGGACTAACAACATATTCCTGAATATTCCATGTATTCTTATAATTCCATATCTCTACTTCTGTCAATTTCTCTGCCTGTAACCCCCTTCCCCATCCTGTTGACCTGGAAACTCATCTTTCAAGGTCAAATGAAATAGTCTCTCTTCTTTGATGCTTCCCTGAGTCCTTACACTTTTCCAGGTAAATTCTGCTGTCATTTTGCACCTGAAGCCTCTTCACTACTGTCATGATTCTATCATTTTTTTGTTTATTTACTTCACTGAGGATATCTGTTCACTCTGCCTCACCAAAAAACAAAAAAAAAAAAACAAAAAAAAAAAAAAACAACAACCCAAAACTGTAAGGTCCAAGAGGGCAGGGAAAATGTTCTACTAGTGTTTAACATAAACACTGACAGAAAGTAATAGTTCATAAATTTGTTAAATGATGAATATCCCTCAACACTACTGCCATTTGCACTAGAAATCAAATTTTTAAAAATTTACTTCTTAATGTATGTTAATAAGGCACTGAATGGCGCTTATATATGGAGGAGATGTTGAAGAGTGTGCATTGCAAAACATGCAAATAAGCCAACTGTGAAAACAGTCCTTTTCATGGTGCTTCTGTATGCTTGTAACAGGCATTCCTGGTAGCCCTATCACCAAAAGCCTGCAAAGTTAAGTTAGACTTGGGGGCTCTGCTTTGCAATTCATTGCTGATCAGGATTACAAGTTTAATTTTAGGATCCATTGGATGGATTACAGAGCTGCCTAAACTTCCCTTATGTTGTGGCTTAAGAGAGTCCTTCCAGAAGAAACCAGGATTTAATAAGATTATCTTTGAACTTGTCTTAACTAAATGTATTATTGGATTACTACTAATGAACACACTAAATTTTTTAGACCATGGTTAGGAAATTAGCTAATTTAGGAGGCAGATTCACTTAAGCATAAAATAAAATTGAATGAAATCTCCAGAGAACTCAGTTCCACTTTTGTGAGAAATTGAAAATTTTCTTTGCTGGTGGTTTTAATTGTGTAAGGCACTTGCTCATTTACTGCTTTAAAGAGTTTTCTAGGACCATTCTGTTTGTGCTTAATGCCAGGATGAACAGACAGTTCAGGGCAGAACAAAGGCAGGAAGTTAATATCACTGAGTAGCACAGAGACCCTCAAAGTTACTTACAATCCATGGCAATGTCTGCCCCTGGTCGGCTCACAGCATGGGAGGACAGAAGCACATGGCATAGCTAAAGATGGATCAGAAGTTAATGGCCTAGAACCTGCAGAGTTCCATGAAAAAAGATTTAGTATATGTCTATTGTGAAAGCTAAGCATTTGATGGCTTAAGTGAGAATCTACTCCTTGACTGTAACTGAAGTATGAAGTTGCTGACAGAATTTTGCTCTCAACTAAGGGATCTATAAAAATTCTTTGTTGTTTATGAACAGATGTGAGTTTATTAAAAGCAAGAGAATTGGTTCAAACAATTACATTGTAAATAGGCTTCTAACTAATGGGAATACTAATTATTCTTATTTGTGCATATATTAGAATGAATTGATCTCACAGGTCCCTGTCAAACAGATAAAATGCATTAAAAGATCTTTACACTTATTTCTCTCTCATAGATGTCTAGTTCATGGTGAGAGGCAAAGGAATCAAAGATTGTAAGTCACTTTCACATTGCAATTGCCTAACGGAGAAAATATTATACTTTAATCTACACAAAATAATAAAGTATAGCTATTTGTGTAAAATGTTATGAATTTTACTTTGGGCCTTTGTGTTTACATGCCAGTACATATGTCCACAATAGCTTTTAGACACACACAGGAAATGAAAGGTACATAATTAGTTAATTGTTCTATAGGGCTAAATGGAAAGTGAAATGCCATGCAAAGAGCACATTTGCACTGAACTCAATATTCTTCCTGACATATTCATATCTAGCTAGATCCTCTTCCCTGTAAATTCTTTTAGAGAAGGGATGAACTTCTATCTTACTCATCATTCTGTATCTTAACAGCACTAGGCACATAACTAGGTGCTCAACACAGGTTCATGGCATTGAATTGAATACAACCATAATAGAATCATCCCTAGGTAAACAGCAAATACTTTCACATTACCACCCAAGAAGACATCCTTTGTGAAAATACCATTGCTGTAATTTGTACAGCACAAGTTTTGCACAAGCATAGTCAGTGGCCCTTTCTTTTTTTTTTTTTTTTTTTTTTTTTTTTTTTGAGACGGAGTCTCGCTCTGTCGCCCAGGCTGGAGTGCAGTGGCGCGATCTCGGCTCACTGCAAGCTCCGCCTCCCGGGTTCACGCCATTCTCCTGCCTCAGCCTCCCGAGTAGCTGGGACTACAGGCGCCCGCTACCACGCCCGGCTAATTTTTTGTATTTTTAGTAGAGACGGGGTTTCACCGTGTTAGCCAGGATGGTCTCGATCTCCTGACCTCGTGATCCGCCCGCCTCGGCCTCCCAAAGTGCTGGGATTACAGGCGTGAGCCACCGCGCCCGGCCCAGTGGCCCTTTCTTAAAACATTCTCTCTCCTATAAACTCTAGACAGTGTAACAGGGTTCATGGTCATATTTAGCAAAGACATGCCATGCAACAGTCAGCTTGTTACACTTTTGCAGGCACTAAAGTATGTGTGTGTCAGACAGAGGTTGGGGGAAAAGGAATGAAGGGATGTTTAGTGTTTGGCTTCCATAATAAAGTCAACGGCTAAGCATAGCAGTCCTCTGCCCAGACACTTTCATCACTTCTCTGTGAAGCCAGAATTTCTGTCCATGGTATTTAGTGCAGTACTGTGCTTATAATGTGCACAATAAAAATGTGTGCTGATTAAAGCCATTTCATAAAATGCTGGGCCCAGGAGAAATGGAAAAACTTTGCCATCTACAGGTTTAAAGCCATAGTTTTTAAGTCTGGATTGAAATCCAGCTGTCCTGATGAAGTCTGATGCTCTGAGACAGACCATTCTGCTCTGGGGAAAGTGAGGTAATCCACCGGGGAACCAACCAAACAAACAAACCTGGTATCTTGGGCATGAAGCTTAAACAACAGTGTATCCTGCCCACAGCATCCCCTCCACAGCCCTTCTGCTGAGCTGTCCTTAACAGTGACCTGGAAGACTGGAAGAATTAGAGATCCTCTTCCAGGACTCAACTCACTACCTTGGAGTGACTGGGGCCTGGAAAAGACCGAATCACTGTTTCCATCCAAATATCTCCTTGCCAAGCTGCAAATCAATTTACTTGAATCACAAACTGCCAGGATTATCCATAAATAATTTTTTCCAATAATAAGATGGCTTTGCTTTACTGATTTTCATCAGGTATTAAAGCAAGATTTGATTAAAGGCAAACAAGAAAAGGGACGTGGTTATTTAAATTTTAATTTATGGCAGTCTGGGTCTTGCTCTAACTTTCCCTATCCACACAATCCCAGTGTATCCTGCACATAGAATTTTGGGAAGTGAAGCAGGCATACAGTTTGTCTGTTTATTCCTCTTTATCTCAGATATACAGACTCAAAAACAACAATGACAACGCACTCTCATGTAGCACTCATTACATGTCCAGCGCTCTCTATATATTAATTCATTTAATCATAACAATAGCATAAAAACATACTGTATTAGGTAGATATATTTTTATAACCATTTTTAGATGAGTAAATTAAAGCATGGTATGATTAAATAACTTGCCCAAGGTAACATCATAAACAGCAGTGTCAAGATTTGAACCTAGACAATCTAGCTGCTAAAGTTTTTCATTATCTATGAAATTTGCCAAGGAATCTCACCAAGAGTGAATTTAATTTTCCATTATAGACATTGCATCCTTCATTTGGCTATCTGATATGACCATTCTCTTTTGGTCCTTCTTATAGAAACTCATGCCTCATTCATCCAACACACATAACACATTTATTGACTACCTATTATGCACAAGTCACCATGCCTAAATCACTTTCACATGGTGATTGCCTAAAGAGCAAAAATATTATACTTTCATTTACGTAAAATAATAAAGCATAGCGATTTTTTTGGTAGAATGTTATGAATTTTACTTCGGGCCTTTGTGTTTACAGATCAGTACATATGTCCACAATGGTTTACCCATCTTGTTGGGGATACAAAATAGATAAGGCCAAAGTTACAGTCTACTGGGAAAAGTAGGTCCACATTCCAATGAATGCTACATAATCTGTTCAAAGTCCTATATAATTTAGGAGCACAAAAGACTGGATGACTAAGTGCTTACCAGGCAAGGAAACTTACACAATGAATGCTAATTTAACCAAGTCTAAAGGAATGAGAAACATATCAACCGGTGGTTTCATGGCTGTGTAACGATTGTGCTCAAAATTTTCTAGTGAGAAAAGGCTGCATTTCCATTTCTTTGCAGTGGATCTATTTAGAATTACCAAACGTTAAAAGAAGGTTGTGTGTGTGTGTTGGGGGTGGGGGTTGGGAGATGAGGGAAGGGCTTTTTTTCCATGGATGTCAATTGCCATTAAAAACTTTCTAAAAATTTTAGTACATACATCACAGATTTGACAAGAAACAGCACCCATCAGTGTATGCTTTAATCTTTTAAATAGTACACATATTCCTGAACCTCTTAATGGTCAACTGTAGTAAGTTTTGGTGACAGTCTGTACTTTCTAAACCTGTATCTCAAGTTTTTAAGTGATAAAATCAACTAGCCTAGTCATTTAAAGATATTTAGATCATTGACAGGAAAAAGTAGTTGCCATGCATAAGCCAATAAAATTGTCCTGAACTCAGAAAACAGAAACTGTTGTCATTTGCTGCTAACTTGGGTTAACTAAAAATTGCACACTCTCCTACAGTTAACTTTCTACCGCACTTCTTGACACAAGTATTTAAGCATGTGCTACAGAATATCACAGACATTTTTCCAGAGTTTCAGGAACTGTTTTAGATACTGACATGGTATGAACAACATTAATCTGGGCGTTCAGAACCAGGGCCAATCAGGGTGAACCTGGGCAAATCAGATTGCCCAACAGGGATTATAAAAGAGGATCAACAGAACATATGGGACAACGCATTCAAGTCAGGGGGTCATAGAATGTGTTTACAAGTGGCCTTGAAGGGTCTGGAAACTGTCTGATAGTGTGTACAAAATTGTGTATGTGTGTTCAAAGCTACATTTTTCTGGGGAGATTTTTATTGTAATTTCAAAATGGATTATATTCCCCTTCCATGCCCCCCAATCCTCACCAAGAGGTTTAAAACCACCAGATTGAGTTTTCACTAGTGAGAAAGAAGTTGATATCAGGTCCCCATTGTTTTATAATTCATTGTTTATTGTATCTATTTCTGCCTGGTGAACTGTATAATAAAATGTTCCCTTAAAAATTACATGTTTAAAGCCCCTCTAGTGCTAGTTTCTAAATAACTGGACTCAAAAGAGTCAATTGTAGTTTATCCCATATTTGACACTAGCAACTCTCTCCAAAGGTGATATCTAGACTATTAGATTTTACAAAATCCTGCCATAGGGGCATTAGAATAGTTAGTAGATGTCATTACTTTTCTGGTCACTGAATTTAGTATTAATAAATAGTACTCTTTAATTTTGAAAAGTCTGATTTATTATTATTATTATTATTATTATTATTATTATGATCTGCTTACCAGTTGACCTAAATAGGTGAGTTAGGGAAGAAAAGCTAATTCCAGACCATGTACTTCCAATAGCCTTTATTAACTAATTTAAGGGCCAACTGAAATTTTCTTAGTTCTTATCCTATTTTGAGATTTTGCTTATACCTTCAGACATTCAGGACCTTCATGGGAAGCAGTACAACTTAGAAAAAAAAAGACTATGTGTAAATCTTCGTCTCAGATAGACCCCAGTTCTAATCCCAGCTCCACTCCTTACAAGCTATGTTCCTTTGAACACATTACTTAAGTCATTGTCTCCTTCTAGAATGGATTTAATAACATAGCACAGATTTTGAAGAGCAAATGAGAGAATATGTGCACCTGACAGATACAAAGTCTACACACGAAAATACCTGACCACCCTCCAAAGAGCGCTCCCAAGGAAAAAGCTGACCAACTTATTGACACCATCCCCTGCCCATCCAACAGCCTCCTGGGCTCCCACAGCACTCACTTTGCTTTAACACTAATCTTATTCCATCTTGTATGCAAATCAGTTGTTTTCATGACTCTTTCTTTTGGGGCCCCTCACATATGCCTTAATTCCAAGGTAGTACAATGTGAGACGGGCCAATCAAGAGCATTACTGGGATCACTGGTAGCTGTGTGAATGAGCTAGTGAAAATGACTCATGCAGAAAGAGTAAGAGCTCCAAAAACCAACTAAAACCACCATGTCTGAGGGAGTTCTTCACCCATTGCTTTAGGTACTAGATTAGGTTTCTGTAAATTATGGCCTTGGGCCAAATCCTGACTCTTCCCTGTTCTGTTCTACTCTCAATGCAGTTGCTCTTGTTCATTAGGTATTACCTACAAACCCCATGCCAAAAACATTTGCAATCTGGACATTTACTGGAAAAGTTTGCCGACCCTCATCCTACAGCAGAACTGTGCAGTAAAATATAGTGTAATTTTACATTTTAAATGTTATGAAATATATGCATCACATAAATACATATAAGTTTAAATTTCTAGGAGCCAAATAAAAAATAATTTTAATATTTTAATCTAATATATCTAAAAGCATTAAAAGTTACTATTGAGCAATTTTATGTTTTTTAAAAAAAATAATTCTTTTTAATTTTACATTCCATTTTAAGTCATGAGAAATCTGGTGTGTTTTTGGCACTTATCACGTATGTCTTTTGGGACCATCCACAGTTGCAATGCCCTGTAGCTAATAGTGGCTCATTGCTGGCATATTGCATGGGGCCTGTTCAGAGGTCCACATGTGGCTGCAGCATTTTGAGGAGAGAAGTGGTAATAAGATCAAGTCTTGGCCAGGTCACGGGACTAAACACAGGCCAATTACCTCTGGGAACCCCATCTGGCAATGGCTAATTCCAGAGCCTATGTGAGACAAACTGGGGAATAAAAACCAGGTAAGATAAAGAGTAGGAAATTTAGAACATACTTGAGGGAGGTGGATGAAGGGAAATGTCTGCCTCAGAAGAAGCAGCTACCCAGAGCTGCAATGAGTGAATGTGTGTGCCCAGTCGTTTGAAATTTAATAAGATAAATATCAATTTCCCTACCACTAAGATGTGGGTTCTTACATTTTTTTATCTGCCCTTAAAGAATCACTAGCTCTTGAAAAGCAAGAATTATGTTTAATTCATCTTCATATGTGATCAAGATACCTCCCACAGGTTTTGCCTTTAGGATGTGCTTTCAATATATTAGTTGAAGCTGATATTGAGCAGTACACTGCTGATAAATAGATAATGAACAAATGACTGACTGAATGAATGACTAAAAATATAATAATAAATCCGTTTTTTCTATGGCTGATAACAGTTTCAATCTCCCCAGAATGCCTGGGGTTGAATAAGGATCTGAGTCCAAAAGTTAAAGAAATAAAGTTCTACTGACAAACACCAAACGTTCTTGTCACAGAAGAGTGATCATCACAGAAGAGGTGGTCCTTTGTTCATTTGGTAGTTTGTTTTTTGGGAAGGGGGAGTAAGGGCACTGAGCCTGACCATGCGTCATTCATATGTGTTCTTTCTGATGATTGAGATAGGCAATTTTAATAAATGAACACAGAAGTGCTTGTAGGGTTGAGGAGGTGGAACAAGATGGCCAAATAGAAGCCTGCACTAATTGTCCTCCCTGCAGGAATACCAAATTTAACATCTACACAAAAAAGCACCCTTCTAAGAACCAATGATCAAGTGAGCAATCACATTAAGTGGTTTTAACTTCATATCACTGAAAGAGGGACTGAAGAGGGTGGATAAGATAGTCTTGAATTGACAACACCATCACTCCCCCATCCCCCAGCAGCAGCCATACGGTGTGGAAAGAGAATCTGTGTGCTTGGGGAAGGCAGAGCACAGTGATTGTGGGTTTTGCATTGGAACTCGGTGCTACCAACACCAGGCAGGACTCAGCTGATACCCACAGAGGGAACATTTAGACCAGCCCTAGCCAGAGAGGAATTGCCCATGGCAGAGATTGGAACTTGAGTTTCAGCAAGCCTCACCACCATGGGATAAAGTGCTCTGGGGCTCCAAATAAACTTGAAAGGCAGACTAGGCCACAAAGGCTGCAACTTCTTGGCAAGACCTAGTGCTGAACTGGGCTCAGAGCCAGTGGACTTGGGGGCTAGGGGCTGGGGGTGGTGGGCATGTGACCTACTGAGACATCAGCCAGGGTAGCTAAGGGAATGCTTGTTCCACTCCTCCCCCCAAACCCAGGCAGCATAGCTCATAGCTCCAAAAGAGTCCCCTTCCTTCCTCTTGAGGGAAGGGTAAGAGGACTTTGTCTTGAAACTTGGATACTGGCTCAGCTACAGAAGGACAGGGCACCAGTCAGAGTCATGAGGCCCCTGTTCCAGGTCCTAGCTTCTGGGCATTTCTAGACACATCCTCAGCCAGAACCCACTGACTTAAAGGGAAGGACCCATTCCTGGCAGGATCCATCATCTGCTGACATAAAAGCCTTGAGGCCCTGAATAACCAGCAGCAATAGTCAGGTAGTACATGTCATGGGCCTTCGGTGAGACTCTGAGATGTGTTGGCTTTAGGTGTGACCAAGTGTATTTACAACTGTGGTAGCTACCAGGAGAGACTTCTGCTACAGAAAAGGACAGGGAAAAATAAAAGAGACTTGTTTTTCGGCTTAGGTAATAGCTCAGTCACAGTGAGGCAGAGCATCAAGCAGGCTCTTGGGGTCCCCAATTCCAGGCCTTGGCTCTTGGACAGCAATTCTGGACCTATCCTGGGCCAGAGGGGAGCCCACTTCCCTGAAAGGTGAGTCCCTGCCCTGGCAGCATTCACTACAATCTGACTGAAGAATCCTTGGGGGATACCCTGGCACACTCCCTGTAGGCCTGTGGTGGTGTTGGACATGGGGAGAGACTCCTCTGTCTATAGAAAGGAGAAGAAAGAATGGGAAAGATTTTGTCTTGTGGTTTCAGTGCTAGCTTTGCTACAATATATTGGAGGAGCAGGTAGATTTCTAAGGTTTCTGACTCTAGGCCCAGACTCCTGCACAGCCTCTCTGGACCTGTCTGGGACTCAGGAGGAACTTGCCACCCTAAAGGGAAGAACACAAATCTGACTGGCTTCACCACCTGCTAATTGCAGAGTCCTAGGGCTTTAAGTAAACATAGGCAATAGCCCAGTAGTGGCTACAGCAGGCCTTAGGCAAGACCCAGTGCTGTGGTGGCTTCAGGTCTGACCTAGTGTAGTACCAGTGGTGGTGGGGCCACAGGAATGCTTGTGTCACCCCTCCTCCAGCTCCAGGCAGCTCAGCACATAGTGAGAAATTCCATTTGTTTGAGAGAAAGTAAGGGAAGAAAACAAGAATCTGCATCTGGTAATCCAGAGAATTCTTCCAGATCTTACCTAAGACCATCAAGACAGTATCTCTACAAATCTGCAAGAACCACAGCATTACTGGGTTTGGGGTGCCCCCTAATGCAGATATAGCTAAAGTGACCACTGGATCGCAACACCCAAGTCTCTTTAAATACCTGGAAAGCCTTCCCAAGGACAGGTACAAACAAGCTCATACTGCAAAAACTACAACAAGTATCTAATTTTTCAATGCCCAGACACTTATGAACATCCATAAGCATTAAAACTATCTAGGAAAATATGACCTCACCAAACAAACTAAATAAGGGACCAAGGGCCCATCCTGGAGAGAAAGAAATATGAGACCTTTCAGAGAATTCAGAATAGCTGATTTCAGGAAATTCAAAGAAATTTAAGATAACACAGAGAAGGAATTCAGAATCCTATCAGATATATGTAACAAGAAAATTGAAGTAATTAAAAAGAATTAAGCAGAAAATCTGGAGTTGAAAAATGCAACTGGAGACAGAGCAAGACCCTGTCTCTAAAAGAAAAAAAAAAGAAAGAAAAGAAAAATGCAACTGGCATACTGAAGAATGCATCAGAGTCTCTTAACAGCAAAATTGATTCAGCAGAAAGAAAAAATTAGTGCGCTTAAAGACAGGTATCTGAAAATACAAAGTCAGAGGAGACAAAAGAAAAAAGAATAAAGCATGCCTGTAAGATCTAGAAAATAGCCTCAAAAGAACCAATCTAAGAGTTATTGGCCTTAAAGAGGAGGTAGAGAGATAGGGGTAGAATGTTTATGTAAAGGGATAACAACAGAGAATGTCCCAAACCTATAGAAGGCTACCAATATTTAATATTGATACACTCTATACAAGAGTGTTACAGAACACTAAGCAGATTTAACCCAAAAAAACACTATCTTATGGTATTTAATAATCAAACTCCCAAAAGTCAAGAATGAAAAAGAATCCTAAAAGCAGCAAGAGAAAAGAAACAAATAACATACAATAGAGCTCCAATATGTCTTGTCTCTCAGCAGACTTTTCAGTGGAAAGCTTACAGACCAGGCAAGAGTGGCATGACGTAAAGTGGTGAAGAAAAAAAAAGAACTTTTACCCTAGAATAGTATATCTAGTAAATATATCCTTCAAACATGAAGGAAAAATAAAGACTTTTCCAGACAAACAAAAGCTAATGGATTCCATCAAAACCAGAGCTGTCCTACAAGAAATACTAAAGAAAGTAGTTCAATCAGAAAGAAAAGGACACTAATGAGCAATAAGAAATCATCTGAATGTACAAAACTCACTGCTAATAAGTACACACAAAACACAGAATAGTGTAACTCTATAATTGTGGTGTATAAACTACTCATATCTTAAGTAAAAAGATGAAAAGATAAACAAATAAAAAGTAACTATAACTTTTCTTTTTTGAGATGGAGTCTTGCTGTCACCCAAGTTGGAATGCAGTGGCACCATCTCAGCTCACTGCAACCCCGCCTCCTGGGTTCAAATGATTCTCCTGCCTCAGCCTCCCTAGTAGCTGGGATTACAGGCACCCACCACCATGACCCACTGATTTTTGTATTTTTAGTAGAGATGGGGTTTCACCATGTCAGCCAGGCTGCTCTCAAACTCCTTACCTCAGATTATCCACCCGCTTCAGCCTCCCAAAGTGCTGGATTACAGGCATGAGTTACCGCACCCAGCCTACTTTTCAAGACATAGACAGTACAATAAGATATGAATAGAAACAACAAAAGGTAAAAAAAAAAAAAAAAAAAAAAAAAAAAAAATAGCAGGGAGATGAAGTTATAGAGTTTTTAGTTTTTTTTTGTGGTTTATGCAATCACTTAAATCATCATCAGTTTAAAATAATGGGTTATAAAATATTATTTGCAAGCCTCATGGTAATCTCAAATTTAAAAACATGCAATGGATACACAAAAAATAAAAAGCAAGAAATTAAAACTTATCACCAGAGAAAATCACCTTCATTAAAAGGAAGATGGAAAGGAAAAAAGAAGAAAGAGAAGGTGACAAAGCTACCTGAAAACAAATAACATCACAGGAGTAAGTCTCTATTCATCAATAATAAGATTGAATATAAATGGACTAAACTCTCCAATTGAAAGACATAGAGTGGCTGAATGGATTAAAAAAAGATGCAACAATCTGTTGCCTACAAAAAGCATATTTGGCCTTTAAAGACACGTAGACTGAAAAAAAGGGATGGAAGAAGATATCCTATGCAAATGGAAACCAAAAAAGAACAGGAGTAGCTATACTTATATCAGACAAAAATATCTCAAGTCAAAAACTATAAAAAGAGACAAAGAAGGTTATTATATAATAATAAAGGAGTCAGTTCAGCAGAGGATATGATTGTGTGTGTGTGTGTATATACACATATATACAGATATATATATACACACACATGTATATACACATTATATATATGCATCCAACAATGGAGCACCCAGATATTTAGAGCAAATATTATTAGAGCTAGATAGAGAGATAGACTCCAATACAATAATAGCTGGAGACTTCAACATCCTACTTTCAGCGCTGAACAGATCTTCCAGATGGAAGATCAACAACAACAACAAAAAATCAAACTTAATCTGCACTATAGGCCATGTGGGCCTATAAATATTTATAGAACATTTAATCCAATGACTGCAGAGTACACATTCTTCTTCTCAGTACATAGATCAGTCTCAAGTATAGACCATATGTTAAGCCACAAAACTCAGGACACTGAGGCAGGAGAATTGTTTGAACCTGGGAGAGGGAGGTTGCAGTGAGCCGAGATCATGCCATTGCACTCCAGTCTGGGCGGCAGCATGATACTTCATCTCAAAAAAAAAAAAAAAAAAAAAAAGAGAGAAATATATCAAGTAACTTCTCTGACCATAATGGAATAAAACTAGAAATCAATAACAAGAAGAATTTTGGAAACCATATAAACACATGGAAATTAAACAGTATGTTTCTGAATGACCAGTGAATCAACAAAGAGATTAAGAAAAAATTGAAAAGTCTCTTGAAACAAATGATAAAGGAGCCACACATACAAAACCTATGGGATACAGTGAAAGCAAAACTAAGAGGAAAGTTTATAGCTGTAAGTCCCTACACTGAAAAATAAGAAAAACTTCAAACAAACAACCTAATGTTGCATTTTAAAGAACTAGAAAAGCAAGAGCAAACCAAACCCAAAGTTAGAAGAAAGAAATAACATAAGGGCCGAAATAAATGACATTGAAATGAATAATAAAAAGAGCGATGGAACAAAAACTGGATTTTTTGAAAAGATAAACAAAATTGACAAACCTTTAGCCAGATTAACCAGGAAAAAGAGAGAGGATCCAAATAAAAAAAAATCAGAAATGAAAAAAAGAGACATTAGAACCAATACTGCAGAAATCCAAAGGATCATTAGAGACTACTATGTGCAACCATATGCCAATAAATTGGAAAACCTAGAAGAAATAATAAATTCCTAGACATATTCACCCTACCAAGATTTAATTATAAAGAAATCCAAAGCCTGAATAGACCAGTGACAAGTAACAAGACCAAGGCCATAATAAAAAATTTCCCAACAAAGTAAAGCCTGGGACCCGATGACTTCACTACTGAATTCTACCAAACATTTAGAGAACTAATAGAAACTCTATTCTAACTATTCCAAAAAAATAAAAGTGGAGCAAATATTTTCAAACTCATTCTATGAGGCCAGTATTACCCTGATCATCAAACCAGACAAAGACACATCAAAAAAGAAAACTACAGGCCAACATCTTTGATGAACACTGATGCAAAAATTCTCAGCAATATACTAGCAAACTGAATTCAACAATACATTAAAAAGATCACTCATCGTGACCAAGTTGGATTTATCTTAGGGATGCAAGGATGGTTCAACATATGCACATCAATCAATGTGATGCATTATATCAACAGAAAGAAGGACAAAAACCTTATGATCATTTCAACTGATGCTGAAAATTTTTGCTAAAACTCAACATCGCTTCATGATAAAACTCCAAAAATGGGTATAGAAGGAGTAAACCTCAACACAATAAGAGCTACATACAGCAGACCCACAGCTAGTATCACACTGACTGGGGAAAAACAAACTTTTCCTCTAAGATCTGGAACGTGACAAAGATGTCCACTTTCACCACTGTTATTCAACATAGTACTAGAAATCCTACCTAGAGCAATCAGACAAGAGAAAGAAATAAAGGGTATCCAAATTGGAAAGGAAGAAATCAAATTATCCTTGTTTGCAGATGATAAAATCTTCTATTTGGAAAAACTTAAAGACTTCACCAGAAAACTTAGAACGGATAAATTCAGTAAAGTTGCAGGATACAGAATCAACATACAAAAATCAGTAGCATTTCTATATGTCAATGGTGAACAATCTGAAAGAAATAAGAAAATAATCACACTTACAATAGCTACAAATAAAATTAAATACCTAGGAATTAACTGAACCAAAGAAGTAAAAGTTCTCTACAGTAAAAACTGTAAAACATTTGGTGAAAGAAATTGAAGAAGATACAAAAATTTGGAAAGATATTCCATGTTCATGGACTGGAAGAATCAATATTGTCAAAATGTCCATACTTCCAAACACAATCTAAAGATTCAATGTAATCCCTATAAAAATACCAATGACATTCTTCACAGAAGTAGAAAAAAAGATCAAAAAATTTGTGTGGAATCACTTAAGACTCAGAATAGTCAAAGCTATTCCAAGCAAAAAGAACAAAACTGAAGGAATCACGTTACCTGACTTCAAATTATAATACAGAGCTATAGCAACCCAGACAGCATGGTACTGGCATAAAAACAGATGCACAGACCAATGGAACAGATTAGAGAATCCAGAAACAAATCCATATGTCAAGAGTGAACTCATTTTTGACAAAGGTGCCAAATGCATGCATTGGGGAATGACATTCTTTTTAATCAATAGTGCTGGGAAAACTGGATTTCCATATGCAGAAGAATAAAACTAGGCCCCTATCTCTCACCATATACAAAAATCAAATTCAAATAGGTGAAGAGCATAAATCAAAGACCTCAAACTACGAAACCACTCAAAGAAAACTTTGGAGAAACTCTCCAGGACATTAAACTTGGCAAAGGTTTCTTGAGTAATACCCCACAAGCACAGGGAACCAAAGAAAAAGTCTGAATCACATCAAGTTAAAAAGCTTCTTCACAGTAAAGGAAATAATCCACAAAATGAAGAGATAACCCACAGAATGTGAGGAAATATTTGCAAACTACCCACCTGACAAGAGATTAATAACCAGACTATACAAGGAACTCAAGCAACCCTGTTAAAAATGGACAAAGGATCTGAATAGATATTTCTCAAAAGAAGACAAATGACAAATAGGTATACGCAAACATGCTCAAGCTCACTGATCATCAGAGAAATGCAAATCAAAACTACAGTAAGGTATCACCTCACCCCAGTTAAAATGGCTTATATCCAAAAGACATGCAATAATAAATGCTGGCTTGAATGTGGAGTACAGGAAACCCTTGTATGCTCTTGGTGGGAATGTAAATTAGTACAATCACTGTGGAAAACAGTTTGGAGGTTTCTCAAAAAACTAAAAATAGAACTACCACCTGATCCAGCAATCCTACTGTTAGGTATATACACCGGAGAAAGGAAATAAAAGAGATAGCTGCACTCCCATGCTTACTGTTGCACTATTCAAAGTGGCCAAGATTTAGAAGCAACCTGTGTCCATCAACAGGTGAATGCATAAAGAAAATGTGGTACCTATATACAATGGAGTATTATTATACAATGGAGGCATAAAAAGAATGAGATTGAGCCATCAAAATATGCCATTAAAATGAGATTCTGTCATTTGCAACAACATGGATAGAACTAAATGTCATTACGTTAAGTGAAATAAGCCAGGCAAAGAAAGACAAACTTTGCATATTCTCACTTAGTTGTGGGAGCTAAAAATTAAAACAATTGAACTTGTGCAGATCGAGAGCAGAAGGATGATTACCAGAGTCTGGGAAAAGTAGTGGGGGGAATGGGGCAGAAGTGGGGATGATTAATAGGTACAAAAAAATAGAAAATATGAATAAGATCTAGTATTTGATAGCACAACAGGGTAACTATAGTCAATAATTTAACTGTACATTTAAAAATAACTAAAATAATATAACTGAATCATTTATAACACAAAGAATAAATGCTTGAGGTGGTGAATACTCCATTTACCCTGATGTAATTTTATACATTATATGCCTGTATTGAATATCCCTATACCCCATTAATATATATGCCTACTGTGTACCCACAAAATTAAAAATTAAAGTTCAAGAAGTGCTTGTAGGCCAACTCTGCAGCAGAACAATTTCTGCCCCAAATTCTACACTTGCAAAGTAGACTTGATTTAGGTTGCTCATGCTTTTACTTTAAGTTAGGATCTGATCTGCACAGGCTCCATGACAATGAGATTCTAAATTGGCCACGAACTGAAGAGCACCTAAGGCTACAGTCAAGCTTACAAGACTTCAGTGTTGCAAATGCTGTTCTGTAGAGTCCAAGCTCTGTGTTTCTAAGTAAATATTCCTGTTTTGGCTTCTGGGCTGTCTATCTTTCATATCTTAAAGGCAAATTTCTCATATCACAGGAAAGGAAAGCAGAAAGGAAATATTACTATTTATACTAGGTTTCAGAACCACAATTTAACCAGTTTTTCCTAGCTAAATAAAGGAATAAAGTAATGTTCTTCCATGGAATATATCAAGCTACTTTGACATACAATATACACACAATATACATACTGATGTAGGCTGAATTATGATCCCCTCAAAGATAGTCATATCCTAATCCCCACAGCCCATTTATTAATTTAAATGGCAAAAAGGACTTTACGGTTGACTGTAAATGAAGGATCTTGAGGTGGGGAGATTATGCTAGATTATCTGGGTGGCCCAATTCAATATGAGAGTCTTATAAGAACTGCCTTGTAAGAGAGAAGTAAGAGAATCTGAGTCAAAGACATGTGGACAATGGAAGCAAAGGGTAAAAGAGAGAGAGAGGGAGACTGGAGGATGCTACATCACTGTTTTTGAATATGGAACCACACCAAGAATACTGGTGGCTTCTTGAAGCTAGAACATGAAAATATATGAGTTCTTCCATAGAGCCTTCAAAGAAATGTAGCCCTGCTGACCTACTTGAAGACTTTTGACCTCCAGAATTCTGAGAGAACAGATCTGTGCTCTTTTTTTGAGCCACTGAATTGGTGGCCATTTGTTACAGCAGCAATATGAAACTGTTAAACATACATGACACATACAAATGTTTCCCCTTTGCAGCAACATGATGCAGCTGGAGGCCATTATCCTAAGTAAATTAACATAGCAACAGAAAACTAAATACTGCATGTTCTCACTTATAAGTAGGAGATAAACACTGGGTCAACACGGACATTAACATGGCAACAATAGACACTGGGACTACTAGAGTGGGGAGGATGGTAAGCGGGTTTGGGTTAAAAAACTACCCACCAGGTACTACGCTCACTGCCTGAGTGATGCGATCATTCATATGCCAAACCTCAGTGATGTATAATAAACCTGAACATGAAACCCTTGAACCTAAAAGTCGAAAACACACACATTTCTACTTGAATAAAAGATTTAAAAATCAGGTTATTTAAATGTCACGTTTATATTAGTCCCTTTAAGGAGGTGAACTCAAAGTACTCCAAAGACCTTATGTTTCTTCCAAAACATTAAAGATGCCTTCTAGTTATAAACTACCATCTTTTACAAGTTAAAAATGATGGCTAGCTTTGGAGAGCAGACTTTTATGAAGATGTTGATATCAAATGGGCAGGTTCTAAGAAAGAAAAGGATATAGCAACTAGAGGGAATCTGAGCTTCCAATCTAGCAATGGGCTGGCACAAGCATTGTTTGTAACTACCTCAAGTTAGTCTGATCTGTGCTAGGAACCTTATCACACCATCTTAAAAACCTGCCAAGGCCACACTATTAATTAGTAAATTATAAAACCAGAAGTTAAACTGAAGCCGATATGATTCCAAGACACATGCTATCAATGATCTACCATCTAATTTCTGATCTATTCACTATAAAAATTGTGTGTTGATTTTCCTTGCTCTGCTCACTCCCTGATGCATACTCTAACGCACATGGAAATTGAATTCAGTGTCTTTTTTTTTTTTTTTTTTTTTTTTTTTGAGACAGGGTCTTGCTCTGTCGCCGAGGCTGGAGTGCGGTGGCACGATCTCCACTCACTGCAACCTCCGCCTCCCAGGTTCAAGCAATTCTCCTGCCTCAGCCTCGCAAGTAGCTGGGACTACAGGTGCATGCCACCACACCCAGCTAATTTTTGTATTTTTAACAGAAATGGGGTTTCACCATGTTGGCCAGGCTGGTCTTGAACTCCAGACCTCGTGATCTGCCGCCTCGGCCTCCCAAAGTGCTAGGATTACAGGAGTGAGCCATCACACCTGACCAGTATTCATTCTGTAACTTGTATCCTTCTCCCTTACTGGTTCACACTTAAGTTTCTATCTCTTCTCCATACACCCTGCTGCCTTCTGCACTGGTGCTATACTGAGCTAACATTCCAGTCCCCGTTTTCACACTGCTTCACTGGGTAATCCAGGGATCATCTTTCTTTTATGAACAGCTTTATACCTGCTCTGTCATCAGCCTTCATCCAGGAGAGACCTGCTTCAAGCCCCCGACTTCTGCTAGGGTTTGACATCTGAAAGTGCCATATGTAGCTAGAAAAAGGGCAAACCAGGGTCTTCATTTTACTGTCCTGCCTTACTGTCCAACAATAAAACATTGTCCTAAGATCACATGAGACAATTGCACTAATAAACCCAATAAGGATAAGAAATAATGTCCTTTTCAAATCAAATGAATCATTTTCCCTCCTTTAAAATTCAAAAGGAGAATCACAGATTTATGTTAAAGACTCCATGCTTCATTATTTTTAAAGCTGTAACAATCACTTGTAGCCAACAGACAACTCACTTGTCTCCAAATTACGATTCAAAAATTAAGGTAAAGTTTCAGTAGCAAATATTCATATTCCAGTCAAAATCTGCTTTAAAAAATTATATACAGTTATCTTTAATTGCTCAATTCTTGGTATAGGTATTGTATGCAAACTTAAAAGCCATATTAAGATGTGAGAAAATCTTATATTATTTTGCAAAGAAATCATCTGCACCATAAAAACAAAAAAATCATTATCTTATACAATATTCTGTGGGGAACAGCCTTGATGACTTTAGAAAAATAACCACACGAATCCTAGGAAACTGCAGGAAAAACTGCAATCTTCTACATTAAATGAGAACATTTATGTGAAAATGTGTTTGAAATCATAGTTAAATAAATTGTAGGTGTTATTATTAGCATTAGAAAGACTTCTAGAGCTTGCAAGAAGCCAAATTTTCAAAGCCCCAATAGCCAAAAATTCAGTTAAGTCTTTAAAATGTCATTCCAGGCTTGAGATTTCTCTCTGCAGTGAAGCTCAAAAGTCTTTCCTTTAATCAGACTGAATAAAATCCGGTTGACCTACTTTCAAATTCACCAGAAGGACTGGAACTATTTTGCTGAGGTCCCTTCCTTAATTATTATATTACTTACCTATTTCTATGTAACAAATTGTTCCCAGACTTAGTAGTTTACAATAACAATATACATTTATTATTTAACAATCCCTATGGGCCAGGAATTTGGGAGCAGTTTGGCTGTGTGGTTCTGGCTTAAGATCGCTAATGAGGTTGCAGTCAAGATATTCGCAGAGGGACAGTGCCTACTCCTAGTTACTCATTCACGTGCCTGACTGTCAGGAGGTCTCAGTTCCTTGCCATGCAACCCTCTATATAGAGCTGCATTCACGTCCTTACAACATGGCAGTTGGTTTCTCCAGAGCAAGTGATCCATTGAGTGTTACATATCTTAGCCTTGGAAGTCACTACCATTTTCTTTTGGTTACACAGGTCAGCTCAATTCAGTATGGGAGGGAATCACACAAGGGTGGGCCTACAAGGTGGCAGGGATCATTGGAGGCCATCTTAGGAGCTGACAACCCCAACTATGAAATTCTGATGACCCATATGTATTAGTATGCTAGTGCTGCCATAATAAACTACCACAGATTGGATGACTGTAACAACAGAAATTGTTTTCCTCACAATTCTGGAGGCTAGAAGTGTAAAATCAAGGTGTTGGCAGCATTGGTTGCTTCTGAAGCCTCTCTCCTTGACTTGTAAATGGTCTTCTCTCGGCGTCTTCACAAGGTCTTTCCTCTGTGTTTCTGTATCCTAATCTCTTCTTCTTATAAGAACACCAGTTACACCCACCTTAATGTCTTCATTTTAACTTTATTACCTCTTTAAACCCCTAACTCCTACTACAGTCACATTCTGAGGTAGTGAAGATTAGGACTTCAACATGTAAATTTGGAGGAGTGTGCACACTTTGGGAGATACAATTCAGTCATAATATCCTGTTATCCATCACCTTCTTTACTACAGGTGTTCTCTGTTCTTGGTCTTGTAAAATAAAACATTCACACTGTGTACTCAGGAATTCCATGTACCTTTTAACAAATAGTGTGCAAATAACCATTTCTTATCTATCCTACATAGGCTTCATAGGACAAGTTCTGAGAAGGTAAGTACTAACGTCAAATTCCTTCTCATGAACAGCAGTTCTCCCTCTGTGATCTGGGTCCTGATGACAGCGCCAACCTATGCGCCAACCATGCCACTCCACCTGCTGGCTCCATTCTAGCCTCTTTGCTGCACCTCTAATGTGCCAGGCTTGGCGCCCTGCAGGGCCTTTGCTAATGCTGTTCTTTGCATTGTTCTTCTGCTATATTGCAGCTGACTAACTCACCTATTCAGGACTCTGCTCCATAAATGGCTCCTCTTCAGAGAGGCCTTCCTTGACCACACACTCTGTTACAATCTTTCTCATCCTCCCCAGTTATTCTCCAGAAGTTTACCCTGATTTGTCAACATTGCATATGTCACTATTTGAAACTGTATTATGCATTTTTTACGCTTTATTGTCTGTCTCCCACACTAGACCATGAGGCCCATGATCATGGAGACTTTCTCCTGTTCACTATGTATCCCCAGTGCCTAGTACATACTGGGTAATCAATATATTTATTTATTGAATAAATGAACAAATGACTATATCAATTAGGTTAATCTGGGCAGTCTGACAGATGGAACAGATAACAATTAAGATAGTGTCTATGTTTTATGAGCTATATCTTCCAGAGTTTCTGATCACTAATAGGATACATTTTTAGCTTTGGTGATATAATTTCAGTAAATTGCTTTAATTAAATTGGAAATTGGCAGTAAGTGTTTGTTTTCTTTAGATGTGGGACTCTGAGACTCAGATATTACATCTGCAATACTGCAAAGTCAAACACACAAATGGGTGCCAATCTGGATGTTTCCCAGAAATTCTCAATATTGAAAATCTCCAGTTTCTAGACTTGCAAAGGGCTCTCTGTTGATGCATATTGCTTCTGTATTATCCCAAGCTATCCATGATGGTAGAAAATAATTCTTTATTCTCATGAGATACTACATATGCCTAGGATCGAGCTTACAAAATGCTTCATAACTTACTTTATTTGTTGTACATTAATTTCTTACCTGAAAGGCAAATTGTGGGCCTGTAGAATAATTTGTACCTATGGTGGTAACAAAAGTTTCAGTAGCTCCACAATTTTCTATGGTCTACCAATGTCATATAATAAGTTAACAGGCATAACCTACAAAAACCACTGCCAGGGATACGTAAATTAACTGTCTCCATTCTCAAATGTGTTGTCTATTGTGTGTTGTGGAAATGCCTTTTGGCTGAAATTTAGAGCTCCTGATTTCTAGTGTTAGATCCACAACTTTCCCCATGTATGGATTGTGGTAAGTCATTTAAATTCTCTGGACATTAGTTTTCTTATCAGTAAATTAAGGTGTGATTTTTCAATCTACACTCTATACTGTTTCTTTTAATTCTAAAATCTTATAATTTCCATCTCCTCTTCCTCTTCCCTCTTCTCCCCTCCTTTCTCCCCACACCACCCTCTACCCGCCCCACATTTGCAGAAGGAAATAAAAAGTAGTAGCAGGAAAAGTTTAGGAAAAGCAATGGTAAGTATATAGTCTTATTTCACTTAATAGGAATCAAAAGAAAGGTACTTTACTATGCATACCTCCTCAGCTGCTGTTCCCCAAACCTCCAGAGAATCCTCTGGGAATGAATGATCACACTTCAGGTCATAAGAGATAAGATACACCTCTGTTTACTGTCCAAACTGAAAGAAATTATGCACCACTCCCTTCAATAAATACATCTGCTAAGATAAATGTAGGCATGTGCTTTTAAACCTATACATATGCAGGACACATATGTAGGTATATGAAAAATAAAACAAGCTGGGTGCAGTGGCTCACGCCTGTAATCCCAGCACTTTGGGAGGCAGAAGTGGGCAGATAACCTGAGGTCAGGAGTTCGAGGCTAGCCTGGCCAACATGGCGAAACACTGTCTCTACTAAAAACACAAAAATTAGCCAGTCGTGATGGTGGGTGCCTGTAATCCCAGCTACTTGGGAGGCTGAGGCATAAGAATCGCTTGAACCTGGGAGGCGGAGGCTGCAGTGAGCCGAAATCGCACCACTGTACTCCAGCCTGGGCGATAGAGCAAGACTCCATCAAAAAAAAAAAAAAAAGGGGGGGGGAAAAAAAGAAAGGAAAGGGAAGGGGGATGGGGAAAGGGGAAAGGAAAAGGAAAAGAAGAAAAGGAAAATTATCTGCTAAAATAAAGGCAGGTATAGTTTGGTGCTGTGCTGATATGTACAAGATACAGGTATAATCAAGCTGTGTTGTTTTGATAATTCAAAATTTTGATCAGAGACTTAATATGATAATCTTAAATCAAACATTGTTTTTTTTCTGAATGAAATGATGATACTATGAACACAGTTCTAAAGTATGACCAATATGACCTCAACATTTTCCTACATCATATCCATTAGAAATATTCCCTTCTTGGGATTTTAAATAGTCTCTTTATCCAGGCACCTTGTTTCAGAAACCTGCTTTATTTTCCTACAAGGTGGCTGAGGGGAAAAAAGGGTGTGGATAGCAACAGAAAACCCACATTTTCTACTTATCATTTATTAGATGGTCTGGAAAATGAATTTCATTTAAGTCCTGAGTACTGCTGACAGGATTTAATTTTTTTAAAGTTTTGATACCATTTTCAATATAATTATTACTCTCCCAAGCAGAAATATCAAAACACTTCTAAAAAGTGCTTGGCAGATTTTCAGCTTCATATTTCTCCTTAGAGAGTGTCTCAGTCTGTTTTGTGCCGCTGTAACAGAATATCTGAACTGGGAAATTTATGAAGAATAGAAATTTATTTCTCATAGTTCTGGAGGCTGAGATGTCCAAGATCGAGGCACTGGCATTTGGTCTAGTGAGGGCCTTCTTGCTGCTACCTTACGTGACAGAAAACAGAAGGGCAAGCTAGCTAAATGCTGCATGAAGCCTCTTTTATAAGGGCCTTAATCCTGTTAATTAGGAAGATTCCCTCATAGTCCTCATTCCTTCATAAAGGCCCTACATCTTAATACTATTGCATTGGCAACACCTGAATTTTGGAGGGGACACATTCTAACTACGGCAGAGGGTACAGCGTGTATCTGTCAAACTTCTGATTGTTCACTACAATGAAGAATTGGCTGAAATTCAACTTTTTTTTCAAATCAAAGTAACACCTCTTCTGCATTTCTAAAAAGTAGTTTTTTTTCTATGAAAAAACGCAGCATTATTAAATTATTAGGACATCCATTTTCTTCTCAGTAAATCTACTTTTATTCCATCTCACATAGATCATGAATAAGGCCTGTCAGAGGTGATGCTTGATTTTTCAAAGATTAAGTCTGGCTTCCTTCCCTACACATCATTCTCTAACTCAGGTGAAATTGTAACTCTCTCTGCCTACTCCAAGTGATACACACACTGATGTCAGATAAGTTATCAATTCACCCACAGGGAAAGAAGTTCAGAGTGGAGCCAGGCTATGGTGCCCCCCTACTTTATTTTAGGGAGCCCTCAGTTAATTTTGGCCAGCCCTCTTCCTTATCTCTCAGGTTGCAGTTCTTCTCAAGCTCCCACTGCTCCAAAATGAACTTTTTTCTTCATCAGTATCTACGGACTAAGGAAACAGTCTTCCTGGAATGTTTATGATGAAATATTATCAATATAAAATTTGATGTGATGCATCTTTATCCTTCAAAGGCCATTTACTTGTTAACAAGGTCTTATCATTGTAATGCATTTGTAACTGCTAGAACTTTAAGCATTCAGGCCATGTGAAGGTTGTCAAGAAAACTTATGAATACATTTAAGGGTAAGGGGGATTTCTTGGTGCTATTTAAATCACATCATACAAGCAACCATCTACCCTTCACCTGTGGAAGGCATTTGAGCTTTCTCTCTCCCTAGTACACCTCAAGAATACTCATGTTAGTTTTGGATAATACTTTTGAAAAATCGCCAACCCTTGTCCTAAGAGGTATTAATATTCTTGACATAGTACTCTTCCAACTCTACCTGCTGTCACCAAAATACATATCTCAGACTGAAATATTCCAAAGGTGCACATGACTGTGTCAGATCAAATGCATCTCTTGTTCTTGAGATCACCTTCCCTACCTCCTTCCCTTGAAGAAGGAAAAAAACAAACAAACAAAAAAAAACAGCATTTTAAAACTCTGGTACCACAAATCCAATGCGGAACATTTAATATTTCATGCAGTGAAATTTAGCAACATTAATACATTTTTAGTGATATAATTTCCCAAGCCAAAATAGAAGAACAAGTTTACTAGTACAATTTTTGCTGTGTTTTGAAAAGTTTCTCACAGGTAAACACTTCAAAACTCATAGTTCCTGCAATTTAAATACTTTAGGGCACTTCCGAATTCTTAAAAATATTAAATTACATCCACTATAGTTCAATATTCTATAGGAAAATATACATTATTTTCAAAAATTAAGTCTGGCTTCCTTCTCTACACATCATTCTCTAACTCTAACGGGTGAAATTATAACTCTCTCTGCCTGCTCCAAGTAATACACACAATGATCCGAGTAGTTTTTTAATCATTAAAGAATATTTTGAAAATAATAAACTTCACTAAAAGTATTAGCAGACATTTAAAACAAAACCACCTTTTTACCTCAAAAGTCATGAGCCAAAACAGGGAGTACCTTACAGAAAATATTTGCCTGTTTCATGTGATGTAAACTCAGAACATAACTCAATAGAAAATGCAATATACCATTTAAATTGTAGTATTATTCCTTAGAAAAGTACTACAATATGTGCTTCTTAGAATTAGTAACTTATTAAATGGGCTTTCTTTTTTGTCTTAAAAAAGGGAAATTAAATAGGAATGCGGAAAACATGCTTTCATGTAAGTTATTGACTCCAAGTACTTAAGTGTACCAAATATAAAAGTTGGACATTGAAACTAATTTATATCACTACCCTAGAGCCTCATGAATTGGAATTTTCAAAGACTGCCTATTTAGGTCTTTGTTGAAAAAAAGGAATTTCATTAGAAAATGGAATTAATTAGGGCAGCCTGTGGAATTTATTCACAACATTTGCAACCTAAGAATTTATTCGCTTGAAAGGTTTCGTTCTTTTGTCAAGGATTAACTAAAGAGAACCTATGGCATCTAAATATAGCTGAGAGGGATAATTTAGTGCATCTTGAAATTTATTACATAAATGTAGTTTCTTTTCCTCTGGAACTAGATGAGATTTATATGTACCAGTTTTTGCACCCATGCCAGATTCTTTAAAGCATATGTTGTAAATTAAAACAATTTTTTATTTTAACATTGAATAATTATTTTGATTGTTAGGGAAATGTTAAGTTATTGTGATAATCTTCAAAATGACCATTAGAAGAGAGATTAGCTAGATTACAAGTTCCTGGAGGGCAAGAATTATGCTGTGTTCATCTTTTTATCCCTGGTGTTCCATTTACTAGAGTAAGCAATAAACAAGTGTTGTCTTGAGTGAGTTAAAGAATAAATGTATTATAACTCTAACCATGACTATTAGCAACAGGATACATTATTATTACCAAATAGCTTTGCTCATTAGTTTGATATATTTTATCCAAGTCTATATTAACTCTGATACAAATAGTCCATGAAAGTGTCAATACAACTTTAAATGTTTGCATCAAATAGCCAGAATCGTTTAAAATAGCAACAAATATATCTTCTCTTGTTGGAACAAAGATAGCAATTTGTAAAAAAAGTTATTTTAAGACTTTTATAAAAATATTTTTAGTGGTGAGTTAGATTCACGGAGAGAGGTTGCAAGAGAGAAGGATAACCATATTCAGGGAGAAAACCAAAACAAAAGAAAACAGGAGTCTGCACTCTACCCATCCTAGGATTAGTCTGCTAAAAGGAATTCATAGAGTAGTATCTAGGTCATGCCAGGGATAAAATTTTAATTGAACTCTTTTGGCTCCTTGTAGGATACCAAATTTTTTATGTTAAAAATTTCCTACTATGTAGATTGTGCTTTATATTATTAGTCAATCACTACAACTCTTACGAACATTATGTTCCTTTAAAAACCATTCTTTTTGTTCCAAATACATAAAAAGCTTTTAAAATGCTCTCAGTTAGTTGGCTTCCAACAGAAAAGCAAGTAAAGAAAAATAACTTAAAATTTTCACTTCTTTGTAGGATTTAAAGCTAATAGCACAAATCTAATAGTTCGTCTAAGTGCAACATCCTCCAAACAGACCTTGAACCTCAGGTAATCGCACACTCACCAGTTTTCCTGTTTCACACCTCTGAATTTAAAATCTTCTCTGGTGGTAAAGACTGGCAAAGCTGCCTAAGCTTTTCTGGCTTATGCACTTCGTAGCTCCTTTCACTATGGTCCTGGCCTTTCTTAACTGAATCTAGCCAAAAATTCAGTTGGTTCAATTAACCATCATTCTCAGCAAACTATCGCAAGGACAAAAAACCAAACATCGCATGTTCTCACTCATAGGTGGGAATTGAACAATGAGAACACATGGACACCGGAAGGGGAACATCACACACCGGGGCCTGCCGTGGGGTGGGGGGAGGGGGGAGGGATAGCATTAGGAGATATACCTAATGTTAAATGACGAGTTGATGGGTGCAGCACACCAATATGGCACATGTATACGTATGTAACTAACCTGCATGTTGTGCACATGTACCCTAAAACTTAAAGTATAATTTAAAAAAAAATTCTGAAATCTGCAACCATGTAACATTCTTCACAGAATAAATGAGAATTCTATTCCGTAACATATTAATGCTTCATAAGCTTACTAATCTGACATACTATAAAACCTAAACTCATCCTGCAAAAAAAATCATAGAAATACATTAAGTGATACATGCAGATCCACTTTACAATGAAAGGTTTAAGAGATAGACTAATGTAGACTTTGTGCAAATTAATATCCCTTCTAATTATTCCTAGGCAAAAATACAGCTCATGTGACTTTATTTGGGACATTCATTTAATTAGATATCCAGCAGCAATGGTCATTGTGCCAGTGGGCACAGAGAATCAGAATGACTGAGATATATTATTGCTTTTGGAAGGAGGTTTTAAGACAAAAACACATTTGCATAAGTGTTAACTTGGGAAATCACTGCCCCTCAATAGTTTTAAACAATGTTTTTGTAGCAGATAGATGGGTAAAGCAGTATTTTAGCCATAAGCTTCCATTGTTCTTCAGTAGGACAAAGTATCAGGCTATGCACAATGTATTCCTATGACACGGACAAGAAGCCGCAATTAAATCAAAGTACCTCCAGCTTAGGTCACTAACTGCGCAGATGTGGTTTCTTCACTGGCAGATGACGGCATGATCTACAGGGGGCAGAGTCCATGAAATAGTCAGTTAACTGAGGAAATGTCTAATTTCCCACAGAACACTCTGTATAACTACATGGCACTACTCTGAAAAGTCTCGGTCATGACCGGATTAGATGGTGAAAACAATCTGTTTATTTAGGCTTGACTTCTGTTAACAGAATGAAATGCCAATGGAAGAATTTAGATTTTGATGCAAAAACGCAAGTTGGCTACCTAAAAACTGGATTCTATAGTATTCAATTAGAACTTGGCAGAGAAAGATGTCTATTTACTACTATCACTATTATGGCTATTATTCCTGATATTAATATTGATGTTACTTTTATAAATATTATTAGTACTACTCCCATTACTACCACCATTACTATCATCATTGCCACAACTTCTTGCCTGGGCTTTTAGTCAGAGTCTTTTCCCTAATCTTCCTACTTTTATTCTTGGCCTTTTATCATCCATGACTGCCTTCATCACCTTTCATCATCCATTCTCCATATTTTAGCCAAATTGAGCTTTTAAAAGTGTGAATTAGATTATATCACGCCTCTGCTTACAACCTTCCAAGGACTCCCCATTGCCTCAAAGTAAAATGCATGCTGCTTATCCAGTTAAACATAAGTCATTTTGCCCTGTTTGCCCGATTTAATACCAAACCAGTGTAGCTGGGGTACATTGAAATCACTGTCCCCAGTGCCGCTTAGCTCATCTGTGCCCCAGAGCCAGAGCCAGAGACTTTGCACCTGTTTTGTGTTTTGTTTTGTTTGTTTCAGAGAGTCTTGCTCTGTTACCCAGGCTAGAGTACAGTGGCATGATCTCAGCTCACTGCAACCTCTGCCTCCCAGGTTCAAGTGATTCTCCTATCTCAGCCTCCCAAGTAGCCAGGATTACAGGCACCCGCAACTACGCCCAGCTAATTTTTGTATTTTTAGTAAAGATTGGGTTTCACCATGTTGGCCAGGCTGGTCTTGAACTCCTGACCTCAGCCTCTCAAAGTGCTGGGATTACAGGCATGAGCCATGGTACCCAGCCTGCACCTGCTATTCTCTTATTACCTGCCTTCATACAGAGGCTCCTTCCATCTGCTGTCATCTCCGCTGTGCAGCTGTCACCTCCTGGAAGAGTGTCTTCCTGACTGCATGGTGCTGCCCTGCCAGGCTCTGGCATATCATTTCATTTTTATGTATTGCCTTTGGTATTACTTGCAACTTTTCCTTTTCTTTAAGTCTTTACTGTCTGTCTCTCTGAGATGTAACCTTTATGAGAGCAGGAATCTTATCTGTCTTTTTATGTAAAATCATGCTTATGCATTGTAAGTACTCAATAAATATATTTTAAACAAATGAATAGAAGAATAAATTATTATTATTAGCAAGACCTTATATTCACTGATCACTTACTAAACAGCAATGTGCTGTAATCACATTAGCCTAATTAACCTACACTGTCAATGTGTAAGAGAAGAAAGCATTAATAACACATGCAGGGGCTAGGGAAGATGCACACATCTTAAGTTTAAATATTCAAAAGTTATAAACAAAGCCAATGGGCTGTTATATAAAATACGTACTCTAAAATACAGACTTTACCCTTGTCAAATATACCTCCATAGAAACATATAAGATCATGTTTGATTTTAAGTTCTTGAATTCCTCTCTTTGTCCCACACTGCAGGGGACATCAGGTGAACAGGCTGTGAACCTCCAGTTCACATGTCTTAGATTAAGGCACATCACTTCAAACAGCCATCTCGAGACAACAGTTTGTGCCTGTGGCCTACGTATAGTAAGGCAAGCTGTGGAAGGAGGCCCGTGAAGATACTAGAAGTGGGAACAAGGGCATTTAGACAAAAGGTCCCAGGAATCCAGGGCTTGTCCTCAAAGGGGAGGTACAGGCAACAGTTAAGCACATTCCCGTAGCAGCATGAACTCCTCATCTTATAAGAAAAGAGGTGGTCAGAGGGAGGCCAGAGTAGAGCTTTCTAAAGCATGGGGTCGGGAGCTGGGGTCCCTTTGACCTGAGTCTAAAAATAAAACTAACTCCACACTCTGAGCCTCAATAATTTGAGCCTCAAATGAGTGAGTGGCAGCATCAGATTTCTAATGCAGCCATTCTGATTCCAGTGCTCATACTCTCAGCACTCTGCCAACCTTCTTCATAACATGGGAAACACAAAACATGACAATATTTGTGGTACATATTGGGGAAAATCCTCTAAGTCACCCTTGAGGTGACTTGAGGGATAAAGGAATCAGTATCTAAACACATCAAAAACCCATTGGGAACCAACCAGTACATTGGACATTAGAAAGCTGTACACTGTACTTTACTTTTTATTCCAAATTTCATAAAATTATTAAGATCCATTCAAACATAAGCCAGACTATTTGGATAACAGGCAATTTCTTTCCAGCAAATGTTGAATTCCTGATATGTGTAAAGCGCTTTGCTAGGTGCTTGGGGCAGGGAAGTGGGAAGAAAATACCACCTAATGGGAAAAATGCAAATAAACCACAGGCTACAATAAAAAGCAGGATAAGTGAAGGATTTGATAGCACTATACGGAATTTAGTTTAGTAGTACAGAGAATGACTGGTTAATTCTTAGTGATAGATTAGGGGAAGAGGGTTGCCAGAATCCAGATGGTATTCAAAATGGAACTTGAAAGATAAATAGGCTTTAACAGCACAGGCTGGTGGGGAGGACATTTGGGGTTGCTCGAACAACATGAACGGAGACAGGACAATCATGACAATTTCACTGCTTGGCACAGCATTGGCAAGTCCAAGATGGCTAAATCAAAGACTATTCTAGGAGAAACATGTAGAAAGGTGGTTTTGTGTCAGATCAAGGAGGAGTATAAATACAAAGAAGAGGCTGGGTATGGTAGCTCATGCCTGTAATCCCAGCACTTTGGGAGGCCAAGTTGGGTGGATCACCTGAGGTCAGGAATTTGAGACCCCAAACATGGCGAAACCCCATCTCTACTAGAAATACAAAAAATTAGCCGGGTGTGGTGGCATGCACCTGTTATCCCAGCTACTTGGGAGGCTGAGACAGGAGAATAGCTTGAACCCAGGAGGCGGAAGTTGCAGTGAGCCAAGATCACGCCACTGCACTCCAGTCTGGGTGAGAGAGCGAGACTCCATTTCAAAAAAAAAAAAAAAATACAGTGAAGAGACATCTGAACTTCTTTCTTTAGATATTTAGAGCGGCAATGAAGGAATGAATGCTCTTGAAGCAAGGTGTAACATAATTACAATTGTTTTAAGAACTAAGCTGAGAGAATTTATAAGAATAAATTAGTAGTAAGGACGTACAAGTGGGATAGGCTTTAACCAGGGCAGTAGTGGTGGAAATGAAATAACTAAATAGAAGAACTGTGGAGAAGTTGAATGAACAGGAATGGCTTGATACAGACAAGCCCACTTGATAAGGGACTTTGGAAAAGGGCTGATTGTGATTTAAATGTGTCATGATTTGAATGTGGATAACTAAAGGATTGTGGCTTAAAAGCTCAGGAGACAGGAACAGATGTCAAAGACACAGAGTTTGTGGCTAACATTGGAAAACAGGAGGACTCAAGTGCCCCAAAGAGGGGAGGAACAGAAGAGAGATTTATAAAAGAGAAGAAAAGATAAGGATATCTGATGAAGTTAAAGGAGAATGGCTTTTTTATTTTGTCAGTGAAGCAAAACCCAGGGTCATTAGTTAAGAAAGGAGGGATTGGAGTATGATTGGAATTTTACATGTTTTACAACTTTTAAAATTACACAATGGTACTTGGATTGGGGGTTTGGGAAGTGGACTGCTGCACAGTTTGACTCCTTATTTGGTGGTCTAACCTTCCCTTTATGGGATCCAATAATGGGTACAAAAGCAATTCAAGGAAATATTAGTCCTAACAAGATCATAGTTTCACAAGAATGTTTTATGTTCATCTCCAGGGCTTTTTAAGTGATTTTAAAAATTTTTTTCAAATCATTTGTACTTTAGAAAACAATTAGAAAAGAAAAGGCATGTATGCCAAGTCTCCAAACAAGACAGGTCACATTTTAGATTTGTGAATGGACAAAATCAATGAAATCAAGAGTAGAACAGTCAACAGACCATTTTACACAAACTCAATAAAATTATTTAAGGTGTGTCCCCTTCACACATTTTAGCACATGGTTCCGGAAAATGAGATGTTTCACCAGGCCCTTCAGTTCTGGCCATAATATAAAATGGATTGAGACTTTTAACTAAAAGGAAAAAGAAAAGCAAACAATGGCTTTAACAAACAGTACCCAGAATTGAATTGGCCCTGTTTAATAGCCCTTTATACAAATAACTCGTTTCACAAAATTAACTGGCATTCGCATACAATTTTATCAACCTACTTTTAGGATATGAATAATAACAGGATTTACTTTGCCATCTCAAAATTGTCCTCTGTAAATTCACACAGTTCTAATTTACCTACCCTAATATCAGGAAGATTTAGTTATACGACACTTTAATTAGTGCTTTCACTGTACTTGGTAGTTAGTTACTACCATTTTAGCCTCTTCAGGTTTTGTGTGTACATGTAATTCCAGTGTATCACAAAGCAAATATAGATTACTGAAAGGTTACCTCTCAGAATATTTAATAAAGCTAAAAACTAGCAAAATGGAAACTATTTCAAACCCCAGACTGTTAAAGTGCTAGATTCAGGGAACAGAGTCTACTGAGCTCCAAAAGTCTAAAATTACTTTAGCAAAGGACAACAGTGGCAGTGGAGAGGGATAAGATAACTGAGAGGGTCTTGAACTCCTAACCTTAGGTGATTTGCCTGCCTCAGCCTCCCAGTGTGCTGGGATTACAGGCCTGAGCCACCTGACCAGCCTGACCAACATGGTGAAATACTGTCTGTACTAAAAATACATTAATTAGCTGGGCGTGGTGGCACATGCTTGTAATCCCAGTTACTCAGGAGATTGAGGCAGGAGAATCGCTTGAACCTGGGAGGTGGGGGTTGCAGTAAGCCGAGATCATGCCTCTGCACTCCAGCCTGGGTGATAGAGTGAGACTCTGTCTCAAAAAAAAAAAAAAAAAAAAAATTAACAATAATAATAGTTGAGAGGGTGAATCAATAGGAATTGGCAAGTCATTGCATACTGAGTAAAGGAAAGGGTCAAAAATCAGTACAAAGTGCCTAGCCTAGGTGACTTGGGAGAAGAAACTGGATGACAAAGCTCAAAAGAGTCAGGAGAGGAAGGAATAAAAAATACCAGGGGGGAATTTGCACTGGAAGGGAGAAGAGGTATTCCATCCTCAGAAATAGAAGGGAAGGAGGAGGAACTCAGAGATGTCAAAGAGAAGATTAGTTGATGAAATTCATATGAGCTGAACTTTTATTTTCTCAGTGATACTAGGTAATCAGCTCAGGGCAAGGGAAGAGCTCCCGTGGGCAATGGGATACTGGAATACCAGATCAGACTCCTTTCTGCTGCTTAGTCATTAGTGATGGTCTAGAATTATCATCCCAGGCAGAAATATGAGATCCAACAATCATGAAATAGGGTTTAAAACAAGGAGGTCCAGAGACTTAAATTTATATTTTATAACAAATGATCTATTTTACTAGCTAAAGTGAAGGCCTTAAAATAGGTGTAATAGTGAAATATTTGAGGAGACAAAAAAGACCAGCCTTGCTAGGCTGACAGCACAATGTCAAAAGCTGATAGACTGTCCTTCTCAGGGTCTTCAATCCAAGAACATTGAAATGATTGAGATTTTAAGTACATCTCACTCTCTTTTGATAACTGAACTTGTTCAAGCTCTTCCAAACCTCCAATAATTGGAAACGTAAGGCATCAGAAATTACTGGTTGTCAGTCTGAAACCCATTCACCCTTCTTACATGTTTTCCTTTGGAAAATTCTCCCACTATGTGACTTAGTAAACTGAATAGTCTAAGCAATCATAAAAATCAAATTCCTTCACTATGGATTGGTTTAGACAGAAGTGTTCAACCAACTCTGGCCAATGAGACCCGAGGGAGTTGGCTGCAGGGCCTCTGGGTATGGTAAGGTGGTTTCTTCTTCCTCTGGACATTCTGATATTTGAATGTGACTCCTAGAAATATACAATCACATGGTGACCATGAAGGAACACACCAGGGGACAAAGCTAACAGACTGGGGATGATGGAAGCGAAGACAGAAAGGATATCTTTTAGACTCTACGTTAACCAACTTGGAACCATCATATCTCAGTCCTTCTTTTTAGGTGAGAGAACATATTTTTCCTCATATTTTAATTTTGTTGAGGTTTGTTATTTGTTGCAAATCCTGTCTTAACTGATTTAAGGTGGCCAGAGGAGAGATAAAGTCCCCTTTTCCAGCTATTCACAACTTACTCTTGTTGTCTGCTTGATCTTCCCAGTCAGCCAAGACACTTTTAACAGAGCCCTGGTGTGTTATAATGTACGTCCAACTATTGTTACACATGTACGTAACTACTTATGATTGTCAACCTCCCTGAGCATCATGATCATAAATAAAAGTTCTGTGTTTTGTGGAAGCAGGGGTTTTGAAAGAAGTGAGCTTTATGGCTCAAAACGTAACGACAAGCCACTTAAAGATATACAGATAAAAATCTTCATGAAGGAAGAAGAGGAAAACAGTTTTATTTCAAAACAGATAAATCTCTAATGAGCTTTAAGATATCTATGATTTGCTTTTAAAGAGCAGGCAATGAAAAAAGTGTTTCATCTGGAATATACTTCCTGACTTAAAAATAGCACTTGAAAAAATTTGCTCATTTCATTTGCAGACTGTTAATAGCAAAACTCATCTGGAGGATCTTTAAAATGCTCTGAAAGTAATCCCTGAAAGTATGGTCACCCAAAACTTTGTTTTATAAAATGCCAACCAAGGCTTCTCCATAAGGCCAAAACAAATAAGTTAATGAGAATATAACTAAATTCAGAAGAAAAATTACTAGCCCTTAAGAAAAATATATTTATTTGAAAATGTTCATTTACCTGCAAACACTATAAAACCAAACTCTACATTGGAGCTTTGATGTGATTGTATATTCTTATCATAAATATTTTTTAAAAATCAGAGGAAGTTACATAAGCAAAGGATGTATAAATAGTCTATTTTACTACAAAGAGTACAGCTTAAATGTTCCTATTTGGAATCATAATATAGTTCAGCAGCATAACACTACTGTGCAAGCTAATCATCAAGCCTTAAAAACATCACACATATACACACACAAATACGCTAACCAGTATTTTTGTCCCTTGAGATATATATATTTTCTCACAAATGTAAAGAAGCCTACACAGCTGTTTCCTTTAAAGATAAAAAGGGAAAAAAATTATTCTGCTGCAAAATACAACTAAAACAATTAGAATTAAAAAATGTTCACAACAAATATTTTTCAAAGGAATGTCCCAAAGACCTTCTCTTTAGTACACCCTACACATGACTGGTATCATAGTGGGAATCTACGAGATAGGAAAGAACTGCAGAACAGAAAGCAACGCAGACCTGGAACACAAAAAGAATTAAGATGAATGGGTCAGGAGATCTTGAAAACAACGGAGAGATGCCATCAAGTGGCTGAAGAAAGAATTCTTCACGTGGGATGGTTTTCCCAGACATCACCATCTGGTGGTCAATTGTGAGAATCATTTTAGACTGGTAAAACTGTACAATGTGAAATACTAGTCTTTCATGCAGTCCTTAATTTAAGGCTTGATAACTCCTCATTGACATTAAGAGAATACACTCCATTAACAATCTTTAAACACCATTTACATGACAGACTCATAAGGAATCATAAAATAGGAGTCACAATTCTACATAGGAGGGGAAGTACATTTAGAATTTGGCTTAAACAATTTTAGGGAACTTTTTTTCATAATAAATTCAAATTGAATAGCTATTTACAACTGTATTTAACTTGAAGCTATAATTTTTACCTTCCCTTCCCATATCTGTTGGCAGCCTAAAGTTGGGATCGTAAGTTTTTATTGTTATTGTTCTCATTTTGCTTTTTATTTTTACCTAAAATAGATCTTATAAATCATTTTATTTATGAATTCATTTATTTACATCTTCAAAAATTATTTTTGGACCATCTTCGTTGGACTGGGCACTGATTTAGGCACTGGTTATACAATGGTGAGCAAAATGGGCATACTGCTGTCCTTAAGCTTATAATCCAGTGTAGGTGACACACACTCAAGAAAAGTATTGGTTTACTCATTTGAAATCTATGTACTGAGTATATATTTCTTATGCCTTGTTCAGGGAGACATTAATGAGCAAAATAGATAAGGATTCCTAGTCTCAAGGAGCGCTTTGGATTATAAAGGAGGATGTGAACAAAGGTCGAGGGAAATGACACTGAACCTTTGATGTGAAACATGAGAAAGAGCCAGCAGTAAGAAGGGCAGGGGGCAGGAGCCAGAAGCAGAGGGATCAGGATTGCAGGTGCATATGCAAAGGTCCTAAGATTCATTGGGGGAGGGGAGGTAGGCAGAGTAGCTACAGGACAACGAACAAAGGGGAGAGTAAGATGACCTGGGACCAGAGAGGTAGGAGAGGATAGGTCATTGCAGAATGTTGTAGGTAATGGAAGAGAGGGGGTTTGATTTTCGGTTTAAGAGCAGTGGGAAGCCACTGAAAACATAGTCACAGGAGTGACATGATTTGCTTTGTTCCAAAAAGATCAGTTCAACTGCTTTTTGGAAGATGGATAGAGAAATGGATGGATGAATGGATGGATGGGAAGATAAGTATTCTTGTACTTTTAGAGAAAGTTTCCTTTTATTGTTTTTCTAAGAGAAAAATGAGTTTGATAACAATTTTCTGAAGCCATATCCCAAGACTTCTACCAGCTTCATTAATATTGGTGGATGGCATTTTTTGACCTGCAAGTAT
Organism: Homo sapiens; assembly: GCF_000001405.40. Lineage (NCBI taxonomy): Eukaryota > Metazoa > Chordata > Mammalia > Primates > Hominidae > Homo > Homo sapiens. Next base: position 71,251,217 of record NC_000009.12, read on the forward strand.
TCCTGATATACATTCTTGTGCTCAGGAAATCAGAAAATACAAAGATTAATGCTCACACTGCCTTATTCACCAGTTATAATTCTTCACTTCCTCATGTGAACTCCCCTATCATAGCATTAATCTTACCCTCTGATAAATTAACTTTGTTCTGAGTTCATCTTCTCTACAAGACTAAATGCTTATATCTTCTCTCATTTTTTTGCAATCCCATAATGCTGTCTTTCATTCTTGGGAGCTTTATCATAAATGTTTATTTAACTAAATAAAAAAATTATAGTTTAATATTAATTCATTGTACCACAGAATTTTAACTTTTAACATTAGAATACTCACTTCTCCAAAGGAATTTTTTTAATTTTTAGTTTTTAAACATGGGTACATAGGTATATATATGGGGCACATGAGATATTTTGATACAGGCATGCAATGTATAATAATCACAACATGGAAAATGGGTTATTCATCCCCTCAAGTATTTATCCTTTTTGTTACAAACAATCCAATTATACCCTTTTAGTTATTTTAAAATATACAATTAAATTATTTGGCTATAATCACCCTGTTGTGCTATAATAGGTCTTATTCATTTCTATTTTGTTTTTTGTACCCATTAACCATCTTCTCCTGCCCCCACCCTCCCACCATCCTCTCCACCTTCTGGTAACCATCCTTCTACTCTCTATCTCTGTGTGTTTAATTGTTTTGATTTTTAGTTCCCACAAATAAGTAAGAACTTATGTTTGTGTTTCTGTACCTGGCTTATTTCACTTAATATAACCACTTCCAGTTCCATCCGTGTTGTTGCCAATGATAAGATCTCATTCTTTTTTATGGCTGAATAGTATTCCATTTCCTTATTCATTCATGTGTTGATGGAGACTTAGATTGCATCCAAATCCTGGCTATTGTGAATAGTGCTGCAATAAACATGGGAGTGCAGATATCTGATATACTAATTTCCCCAAAGGAAAATTTAGATTGAAACCAATTTAACTTTTTTTTTTTAGGTTCTCTAATTATGGCCAATTGAGGTAGCATGTATGGTTCCTCATAAAATCTGCTGCTCAGCCCTTCAGACAAGGTGGATACAGCGTATCAGGGTAACACAGTGGTTTTTCGTGGACTGTTATTGGACATTCTGGGTTCTGTTCATTTCCTTTAAAGCCATGACACGTTTATCAGACATTGACATTGCTTTGTTCACCTTTCTAAAAATGACAGCTTATGATACAAACCGCCTCTGTCCCAACAAGTTCCTCCATCAACACAGAATTCTGCTGTGAAAGGCACTTTCCAGGACCAACTTATTTCTTCATAAAATTATGCAATTTTTATTAGGAGTAGGTTTCAGTGACTAAAATGCCCTGCATTCAGGGAGCTAAGAGGAGCCATGGGAGAAACAGCCCACAAAATAACGGGGAGATTTGCTATGGAACTTTCAAAAATAATAGAAAGACTTTTTCTTTCTTTTTTGTGACAGAGTCTCATTCTGTCACCTAGGCTGGAGTGCAGTGGAGCAGTCATGGCACATTGCGGCCTCGGCCTCCTTGGGCTTAAGTCAATCTCCCTCCTCAGCCTCCCAAGTAGCTGGGACCACAGGCATGCACACCTCGCCTGGCTAATTTTGTCTCTTTTTTTTTTTTTTTTTTTTTTAGAAGTGCAGTCTTTCAATGTTGCCCAGGATGGTCTTGAACTCCTGAGGTCAAGCAATCTGCCTGCTTTGGCCTCCTGAAGTGCTGAGATTACAGGCATGAGCCACCAAGCATGGCCAAGATTTCTTTCATTATGGAACTTGGCTGAGTTTTTCTGTCCAAATTTGATTCAACATCCTTTTGGCTCCTACAGAACCATGGATTTACCTTTACAGAATTACATTTGAAACTAGAGAGTAATGGTTTGTTCCATGTGTCTGTCTTTCTTATTGAAATGTAAGTCAGTGAGGGCAATTTCTTAATTTTCACATTTCTCACAGATGATTCATTGAAAGATGTCCAACAAATGTTTGATGGGTAAAGAAAAAAAATTCATCACTAGTTGAAAAGTTCTACTGACTCAAAGACAAATGTTTATAGTAAGGAAGAAACCATGCATTATGGCTTAGGTCAGTAACTATCAGGGGAATTTTGCTTTCCTGGGGGACATTTGGCAATATTTAAAGACATTTTTAGTTGTTGCAAGTGGGCACGTGTGTACTCCTGTCATCTAGTTGGTAGAGGCTAGAAATGCTGCTAACCATCATAACACCACACAGGACAGCCACTTATAAGCATTACATAGCCAAAAATGTCAATAGTGCCAAGGTTGAGACATCTGGCTTTAGGTTAAAGTTTCAATTGTTCTTCACACATATTAAAATGGAGCAGTTGCCCCCAAATTTATCCTCCTAGAAACTGTTTTGGTACAGCCATTACAGAAAATAGTATAGAGGTTCCTCAAAAAAATTAAAAATAGAACTACCATATGATCCAGACACCCCACTATTGGGTATATATCCAAAGGAAATGAAATCAGTATGTCAAAGAGACGTCTACACTCCCATGTTCCTTGCAGCAATATTCACAGTAGCCAGTATATGGAATCTGCCTAAGTGTCTATCAATGGATGAATTGGTAAAGAAAATGTAGTATATGTACACAATGGAATACTATTCAACCGCAAAAAAGAAGGAAATTCTGTCATTTGTGACAACACATATGAAAGTGGATAAATTATTATTATTATTGAGATGGAGTCTTGCTCTGTTACCAGGCTGGAGTGCAGTGGTGCGATCTTGGCTCACTGCAACCTCCACCTCCTGGATTCAAATGATTCTCCTGCCTCAGCCTCCTGAGTAGCTGGGACTACAGGTGCCTGCCACCATGCCCGGCTAATTTTTGTATTTTTAGTAGAGACGGTGTTTCACCATGTTGGCCAGGATGGTCTTGATCTCTTGTCCTTGTGATCCGCCCACCTCACGCTCCCAAAGTGCTGGGATTACAGGCAAGAGCCACTGCGCCTGGCTGGATAACATTATTTTAAGTGAGATAAACCAAGCGCAGAAAGGTAAATACCATATTATCTCACTTATATATGGAATCTAAAAACATTGAATTCATAGACGAAAAGAGTAGAACAGTTGTTACTAGAGGCTGTGTTGGGAAGATGTTGGTCAAAGAATATAAAATTTCATTTAGACAGGAGATATAAGTTCAGGAAATCTGCTGTACAACACGGTGACTTAGTCGGCAACAACGTATTACATATTTGAACATTGCTGAGAGATTTTAAGTGCTTTCACCATGGAAAGTTATAAGTATGTGAGTAATGCATATGTTAACTAGCTCAAATTAGCCATTCCACAATGTATACATATTTTAAAACATGATGTACATGATAAATATATATGATTATTGTCAATTAAAAATTAAATGATTTTTTAAAAAAGAAATCACTTCAGTTTTATCCAAAATATTCTGATCTACCAAAACAGTATTTATTAAAGTTTGAATGCCAAACCACATTAACAAATTGGTCTTGTACATATTTAGACAGTTTGCATAACCTTTATGTGTACATGATAAGATCAAACATAATGCAATCTCTAAAGTACAGAGGTGGTAAGGGCAAGGATAGAAAAGAAAGAAGGTGGAATAAAAAAAAATGAAGATGAAAGGAAAGAAGACAAAGGGTCCCTTCTTACCTTTCATCCAGATGAGAATGGCTGAAATTTTCCAATTATCAAAAGAAATCCCCTACCTCTTTCAGAGACAGCTTTGATTCTAGCAAAGCCACATCCAGTTTTGGACTCTGCCTATTTCTGTAGCCATGGAGCCATTTTCTTCTCTTAACCAGTCCAACTTAGCCACAAAGGGATTTTGCCTAAGTCCCCATAGCTACCACTAATCTATTACTGGATTGACTTTAAGCAAACATGACCAGAACCTACCACTGTGACCATCTCTAATCATTTCTGCATTCCCAGTGCCTCATGTCCAAACTCTCTAAACCATCTAGCTTCCACAAATGTTGAAGATTTTTAAAAATATTTTTACTAATTTTTGTAATGCTCATTTTAAAAAATGCTAAATGGTTAGTCAAGAATTAGAAGTCTCCTGTACTAAGAAACAAAAGTAAACAAAAATTTTAAAAGAATGCTTTAATTCCACTTGGAAAAAACTTTTACAAGATTGTGATTCATATAATACCCATTGGCTGGCCAGGCATCCCACCATCCTGCCCACATTTGCAGACACCAACTGCCTCGCCATAATCAGTTCCTTCATTAATCCTGTCCACACACCTCTGCTAAAACAATTAACATAAAACATCACTTAGTATAAAAGACATAATGCTATATACAAATGTAAGGTAAAAAAGAGACAAAACCTTGATAAAATATTATTTTGCCTGATGATGTTGAAGTCTATTCTGGTTTAATTTCTTGAGTCTTTGTTGAACTGTGTTCTTAAACCTGAGCAAAAACATACCTTTGCCACCCATTAAATGTAAATTTATAGTTCTTGTAACCTTGGGCAAGTCTTTTATTCTGTGCCAGCATCCATCCTATTATGTGTAAAATAATGGGTTTCTATATGCTCATTTTAGCTGTAAAAACTCTAAGGTTATTATTGAGTAAATTCATAATCTGAATCTCTTTTCTCTTGGAAGAAAGCCAACTCTGCAGCTTCTTATGGACAGCTGTTGCCACAATTATCTTGTTTTCAAAAATGAATGATCTACAGCCAACCAAGAGTGGGTGGTTAAATCAAAAGAAAAAAAATCGATTTATTGCTTCTCCTTTGATCTGCTTCCAAGATCTGAGATGTGACATATTCAGTAAGGATTTCAGCCCATCTGAAGGCCATTCTATCTCTTTTCTCTTTTATTCAGAAGGATGGTGACCATGAATGCAGAAAAGAGAGAAAGTAGTAAGTAATCTTCAAAGTTACAAATGCTCAACATTTGATTGGAGAGCATCTTTTTGAGGAGGAAATGGAGTTGGAATTCAGATGCAGTTTCTGGGGATAATGGTTTCATGGCTGAAGTCACTGCGTATTAATGAGTAAATACAGCCTTGCCTCTGATTTCATTATAGTCCTAACTTTCTTGCACTGCCCCTCTCTCGACAGTGGTGTGTTCATTTACCACTAGAGAAGAACTACTCTTTTTCTTAGTACCAACTATGTGACAGGTGCGAGGCACATAGGATTGAAGAACATTGATGATAAAGGATCCCCCAGACTGGTACATAAGGAGAATGATACACCAAAAATTTAATAAAATGTGATGAGAACTCCAAGAGAGAGTGCCATACTGGGGAGTATGGAGGGGAAAAAAAAAGATTCCTTGGGTGTGCCAGAGGAAGCTTTAAAAAGGTGATATTTGTACCTCATCTTTAAGGATGAAGAGGACTTCAAGTAGACAAGCTAAGGGAATGGATTTCAGATAGGGAGGAATGCATGAGAGCCATGACCGTATGCCTGACATGGGACCTAGATACAGTTTGATGGGACCAAAACAAAAGGTATCTGCAAGAACAGATGCCACGTATGAGGCTAGGGTGATAGCAGGAGGCCCTTGCAAGGCATGTTAAAAAAATCTGTGCTATGACTTATAGGCTGATATGAAATTTGAAGGTTTAGAGAGGCAGATAAAATAGTATTTTACAAAGTGTATTCCAGAGCAAACTGTACTCTTGCAAAAAAAAAATACTGGTAAGTAAAATTCAGGAAAAGTTGCATATTATAACGTCTTGGATATTCATAATGTATAAATCCTAAACATTCTGATAAATCTTACAACGAAGAACCCTAACATGGTTAAGCCAGCATTTCTCAAATGTACCATCTTTAACATGTGCAGAATGATGTTTGCAGAGCACTCTGGGAAATATCTAGTCACATAAAGTAAATTTGCATGAGTAGAAGAGTTGCTTTAAAGTTATCCTTCTAAAGTAATGTAGCAGATGGACCAGAGGAGAAACCCTTTAGGAGAGGGCTTTAATAGTACAGATCAAGATTATGAGGCTCTAAATTGATAGGAAAATGGAAGGGATGGGCTCTTAGATAAAGGATAGGGAAGAGAGTTGGGAGAATATGGCAAATGACTAGATGATAGGTTGGTAGAGTGTAAAGAAGAGAGAGTAGAAGACGGATCCCAGGTTGTCAAATAGAGTAACTTAGTAGATGGTGGGATCCTTTTTCAGAAGAGGGAAAACAGGAGGAAGAACAGTTTAGGCAAAATATAGCGATTTCAGTGCTGGTACTATAAGAATCTTCATGCCATGTACCCAATGACTGGTCAGTAAAAACTGTGTGATAGTAATGGCAAAACATTATATATGAGATATTTTTCAATAAAATAGCAAAGCACGGGCCTGATTAAGCTATTTAAGATATGTTTTCTTTACACATTTATATCTACAACTTATATAAAGTGAATTGATTTATACTACGAGAAATTGTGTATGTATAGCCCTCCTGAGGAAAATACCTTCTTAAAACCAGTAACCGCAAGTGAATGTATCTTTGTACTAAGTCTGTACTTCCATGTATACTGATTTTTAAAGCTGAGACAGAGTACTGGTAGGTCTTTTGATAATGTCATCTCACAGTTAATATCCCTCCATTATAGCTGATATTTTGATAACTGTTTTGATGTTCATCTAGAAGTCTAATTTCTTCACATTCTAAGAATGAAGTGATATTTCTTTATCAGATATGCAAAATGGGGGAACGGAGGTATTTGGTCATTACGTGTTAAATTGCATTGTGAGATGATTTTCTTGTACTCATTCAGTAAGTATTTATGCTTCAAGAATGCACATCTGAAGGTTTCCACCATCTAAAAAGTACCAGGATTTTATATTTTCTAAGAGTGGATAAAAGGCTAAAATCATGAAAATGAAAATATTCAAAGGCATAAAACTTCATAGGCACATTTTCTAGGTAAATTAAATGTCCCTCATTTATGTACCAGGCTCTTTGCACACATTGGCCCATTTAAGTCTTACCAATAACATTATACAGTGAATGCTGTTATTAGCCCCACTTTTCAGATGGGGAAACTGAGGTTAAGTTCATGCTGCTGGTTGGAAAGGCTGGGACTTGAACCCAGGTAGCCTGGCTCCAGCATCTGATCTCTTGCACCACCTGGACCTGGCCATACTTCCTTTGCACTTGTTCAGCAGTGAGCCTTCAAGCTAAAGTCCCCATGAATTCTATTTATTACAGGGAGTACAACCTATCTATCATTTATATTTTTTTACATTACTGAGAATGAATTCTCTCTTGTATCTCATATTATTTTCCTACTTGAAAAGTGAATGACTTACATGATAATGATTACTTCGTATTTACCTGTGGAATTTTCATTTTGAATTTCTACCCCGTAAAGTAACACTTATTTTTCATTAATGTGTCAATATTTTAAAAGATACTAATACATTAAATTCATATGTTCCTGTGCGATTGCTGGCCAGTGGGTACTATGATCATTGCCTTACATGCATTATTACATTTAATCTTTCCAACATCCACAGAATATTTTACAGATAAGAAATCTGAGACCCAAAGGGGTAATAGAATTTTCCCTGGTCTCAGTATCTTGAAAGTTGCCCTCTTAAAAGTTATAGACTACTAATTATTTTGGGTATCATGATGAATTTTTACCCTTAATTTTAAAAAATATTTTAATGGAGCTTTTCTTTCTTAATTATACTTTAAGTTCTGGGATACATGTGCAGAACATGTGGGTTTGTTACATAGGCATACATGTGCCATGGTGGTTTGATGCACCCATCAACCCGTCATCTACATTAGGTATTTCTCCTAATGCTATCCCTCCCCTAGTCCCCCATCCCCCGACAGGCCCCAGTGTGTGATGTTCCCCTCCCTGTGCCAATGTGTTCTCATTGTTCAACTCCCACTTATGAGTGAGAACATGTGATGTTTGGTTTTCTGTCCATGTGTCAGTTTGCTGAGAATGATGGTTTCCAGCTTCATCCATGTCACTGTGAAGGACATGAACTCATTCTTTTTTATGGCTGCATAGTATTTCACAGTGTATATGTGCCACATTTTCTTTATCCAGTCTAACAATGATAGGCATTTAGGGTGGTTCCAAGTCTTTGCTATTATGAATAGTGCTTCAATAAACATACATGTACATGTGTCTTTATAGAATAATTTATAATCCTTTGGGTATATACCCAGTAATGGGATTGCTGGGTCAAGTGGTATTTCTGGTTCTAGATCCTTGAGGAATTGCCACACTGTCTCCCACAATGGTTGAACTAATTTGTATTCCTACCAACAGCCTAAAAGCATTCCTGTTTCTCCATATCCTCTCCTGCATCTGTTATTCCCTGACTTTTTAATGATCACTATTCTAACTGGTGTGAGGTGGTATCTCACTGTGGTTTTGATTTGCATTTCTCTAATGACTAGTGATGATGAGCCTTTTTTTTTGCATGTTTGTTGGCCACATAAATGTCTTCTTTTGAGAAGGGTCTGTTCACATTCTTTGCCCACTTTTTGATGGGGTTGTTTGTTTTTTGTAAGTTTGTTTAAGTTCTTGTAGATTCTGGATATTAGCCCTTTGCCAGAAGGTTTGCAAAAATTTTCTTCCATTCTGTAGGGTGGCTGTTCACTCTGATGATAGTCTCTTCTGTTGTGCAGAAGCTCTTTTATTAGACCCCATTTTACAATTTTGGCTTTTTTTGCAATTTCTTTTGGTGTTTTAGTCATGAAGTCTTTGCCCATGCCTATCTCCTAAATGGTATTGCCTAGGTTTCCTTCTAGGGTTTTTACGGTTTTAAGTCTTACATTGAAGTCTTTAATCCATCTTGAGTTAATTTTTGTATAAAGTGTAAGGAAGGGGTCCAGTTTCAGTTTTCTGAATATGGCTAAGCAGTTTTCCCAACTCCATTTATTAAATAGGGAATCATTTCCCCATTGTTTGTTTTTGTCAGGTTTGTCAAAGATCAGATTGTTGTAGATGTATGGTGTTATTTCTGAGGCCTCTGTTCTGTTCCATTGGTCTATACATCTGTTTTGGTACTAGTACCATGCTGTTTTGGTTACTGTAGTCTTGTAGTATACTTTGAAGTCAGGTAGTGTGATGCCTCCAGCTTTGTTCTTCTTGCTTAGGATTTTCTTGGCTATGCGGGCTCTTTTTTTGGATCCATATCAAATTTAAAGTAGTTTTTTCTAATTTTGTGAAGGAAGTCAATGGTAGCTTGTTAGGAATAGCACTGAATCTATCAATTACTTTGGGCACTACAGCCATTTTTATGATATTGATTCTTCCTATCCATGAGCATGAAATGTTTTTCCATTTGTTTGTGTCTTCTCATTTCCTTGAGCAGTGGTCTGTAGTTCTCCTTAAAGAGATCCTTCACATCCCTTGTAAGTTGTATTCCAAGGTGTTTTATTCTCTTTGTAGCAATTGTGAATGGGAGTTTGCTCATTATTTGGCTCTCCGTTTGTCTATTATTGGTGTATAGGAATGCTTGTGATTTTTGCACATTGATTTTGTATCCTGAGACTTTGCTGAAGTTGCTTATCAACTTAAGGCGTTTTGGGGCTAAGATGATCAGGTTTTCTAAATATACAATCATGCCATCTGCAAACAGAGATAATTTGACTTCCCCTTTTCCTATTTGAATACCTTTTATCTCTTTCTCTTGCCTGAGTGTCCTTTGTGGGTAACCCAAGATTTCTCTCTGGCTGCCCTTAACATTTTTTCCTTCATTTCAACCTTGGTGAATCTGACGATTATGTGTCTTGGGGTTGTTCTTCTTGAGGAGTATCTTTGTGGTGTTCTCTGTATTTCCAGAATTTGAATGTTGGCCTGCCTTGCTAGGTTGGGGAAGTTCTCCTGGATAATATTCTGAAGAGTGTTTTCCAACTTGGTTCCATTCTCCCCATCACTTTCAAGTAAATCAATCAAACCTATGTTTGGTCTTTTCACATAGTCCCATATTCCTTGGAGGCTTTGTTCATTCCTTTTCATTCTTTTATCTCTAATCTTGTCTTCACATTTTATTTCATTAAGTTGATCTTCAATCTCTGATATCCTTTCTTCCGCTGGATTGATTCAGCTATTGATACTTGTGTATGCTTCACGAAGTTCTCATGCTGTGTTTTTCAGCTCCATCAGGTCATTTATGTTCTTCTTTAAACTGGTTATTCTAGTTCGCAATTCCTCTAACCTTTTATCAAGGTTCTTAGCTTCCTTGCATTGGGTTATAACATGCTCCTTTAGCTCGGAGCCATTTCTCATTACCCACATTCTGAAGCCTACTTCCGTCAATTCGTCAAACTATTTCTCCATCCAGTTTTGTTCCCTTGCTGGCGAGGAGTTGTGATCCTTTGGAGAAGAAGCATTCTGGTTTTTGGAATGTTCAGCCTTTTCATGCCAGTTTTTCCTAATCTTCATGGATTTATCTATCTTTGGTCTTTGCTGTTAGTGACTTTCGAATGGAGTTTGCATGGTCATCCTTTTTGTTCATGTTGATGCTATTGGTTTCTGTTTGTTAGTTTTCCTTCTAACAATCAGGCCCCTTTTCTGCAGGTCTGCTGGAGTTTGTTGTGGGTCCACTCCAGACCCTGTTTTCCTGGGTATCACCAGTGGAGGCTGCAAAACAGCAAAGGTTCCTGCCTGCTCCTTCCTCTGAAAGCTTCATCCCAGAGGGGCACCTGCCAGATGCCAGTGGGAGCTCTCATGTATGAAGTGTCTGTTGACCCATGTTGGGAGGCGTTTCCCTGTCAGGAGCCACAGGGACCAGGGACCCACTTGAGGAGGCAGTCTGTCCCTTAGCAGAGCTCAAGCACTGTGCTGGGAGATCTACTGCTCTCTTCAGAGCCAGCAGGCTGGAACGTTTAAGTCTGCTGAAGCTGCGCCCACAGCTGCCCCTTCCCCCGGGTGCTCTGTCCCAGGGAGATGAGAGTTTTATCTATAAGCTCCTGGTGATACCCAGACTGGGGCTGCTGCCTTTCTTTCAGAGATGCCCTGTCCAGAGAGGAGGAATCTAGAGAGGCAGTCTGGCTATAGCTGCTTTGTGGTGCTGGGGTGGGCTCCAACCTGTCCGGACTTCCCAGGGGCTTTGTTTACACTGTGAGGGGAAAACCACCTACTCAAGCCTCAGTAATGGCGGACGTCCCTCCCCCAACCAAGCTCCAGTGTCTCAGGTCAACTTCAGACTGCTGTGCTGGCAGTGAGAATTTCAAGCCAATGGATCTTAGCTTGCTGGGCTCTGTGGGGGTGGGATCTGCTTAGCAAGACAACTTGGCTCCCTGGCTTCAGCCTCCTTTCCAAGGGAGTGAACAGTTCTATCTCACTGGTATTCCAGGTGCCACTGGGGTACCAAAAAAACAAAAAACAAAACAAAACTCCTGCAGCTAGCTCAGTGTCTGCCCAAATGACCTCCCAGTTTTGTGCTTGAAACCCAGGGTGCCTGTGGTGTAGGCACCCGAGGGAATCTCCTGGTCTGTGGGTTGTGAAGACCGTGGGAAAAGCGTAGTATCTGGACTGGATAGCACTGTCCCTCACAGCACGGTCCCTCACAGCTTCCCTTGGCTAGGACCCCTTGCACTTCCTGGGTGAGGCAACGCCCCAGCCTGCTTCAGCTCACTCTCTGTGGGCTGCACTTACTAACCAGTCCCAATGAGATGAACCGGGTACTTCAGTTGGAAATGCAGAAATCACCCGCCTTCTGCATTGGTCTCACTGGGAGCTGCAGACTGGAGCTGTCCCTATTTGGCCATCTCCTTTACCTTTAATTTCTTGATGGTAATAACTGTATTTGATTATCTAATATCTTTAATTTTGTTTTAAAGCATTCACAAACATGACGATGGCTTTAAGGCAAATTGGAAAAACTAAAAATAACTAATGATATCATAATTCTCACTGACCACCATTATTTTTAAGTTTTTTGTCTTTTACTTAAAACTATTACAATCCTGATTTTTATTTGACATAAGTGCTTTCATAATAATTTTCATACCTTCATCTTAGTTGACTTTGTAACTTTCCTCCAAGTTTGCTTACATTTTTTTAAACGTTTAACATGTCTAAAATGTTACTGTGACCAAATTTGTACAAATATTATTTCTCTTCATTTAATTTCACAAAGATGAAATTTAAAGAAATGAGAAGATAGTACAAAGACTGTTTATTTTGCTTAAAATTTACTTCCAAGACTGCGAGAAAGAAAAACTCCAAAAGGTGAGTCTCATGAAGACCTCTGAGTCTACAACAGTATCTTTCATCTTCCAACCTTTTGAGCAGTAGCTCTCAGGGCACTTATTACAGATCTCCATGGAGGTGTCAGTTAACACTGTATATGTTTGCAGGCAAACATTTCTTAGTCATGAGGGATTTCATCTTATTTACTTTCATATCCTCTACAGCACTTACATGGTTCTGCATAGAGAAGAGAAGTAAAGCTGTGTGTTGATTCTGGCACAATCACAGCAAGTCCAGGTACAAGATGTCCATGAATATGTACAAGGGCCTTGGAATCAACTGAGGGAATAATCACCCCTGGTCTCAAATACCCAAACACACCTATTCTTTTTCCTTCTTCTTTTTATTTTGAGACAGAGTCTCACTTTGTTGCCCAAGCTGGAGCACAGTGGCATGATCATAACTCACTGCAGCCTGAAACTCCCAGGCTCAAGCAAGCCTCCTGCCTCAACCTCTGAAGCAGCTGGGACCACAGGTGCATGCTACCATGTCCAGCTAATTTTTATTAAAATTTCTTGTAGAGACAAGGTCTCACTATGTTGCCCAGGCTGGTCTCGAATTCCTGGGCTCAAGTGATTCTCCTGCCTCTGTCTTCCAAACCTCTCAAAGTGCCTGGGATTACAGGTGTGAGCCACCATTCAGGCCACTCTCACCTATTCTTATTAATCCTTACCCCTGATCTAGCCCACACAATTAGTGTGACTTACCTTTGACATAATTGTAAAGATTCTGAAGTAGGAGAAGAATGAAAAGGACAAGTAACACACACACCCCACAAAAAGGGCCAAGAGCTGAGGAAGAAAAACGCATTGTGGAATGGTGTGCCCCCTCTCAGAAGTCAAAGAGAATTCATTCATATTGACAAAAGCAGATCGCACCTCCCCTCCCATCTGTACTATCTGATGTAAGTAGATAACAAAAGTGAATGATGAGAACACTAAAATATACAAAATTTTCATTTATCAATTACACTTCATTAAAGCTGGGGGAAGGGAGTGAATGATGTTTCAGTCTCAGTAAGCGATCCAAAAAAAAGTCCCCAAATTGGCATAAAAATAGCCTCCTCTTAAACGAAAATAAATTCAGCTTAATAGATGAGGTTGCACCTGTAAGCATACAAGCACGAAAGCTTCTATAAGCTTTAAACACATACATTTATTTGACCCTTAGGAAACAAACTCTTGTAAAATGGGCTCCACTGTCTCTCATTTTTAGGGTAAGGAAACCAAGACTAGGAAAATCTAGGTAACTTGCTCAAGATGGCCCTTGAACAGATTCTGAGTGAGAATCTAGACAGGTGTACTTGCCAACTGCACATGGGTCCAGCATGCCACCCTCCCTCACCTTAAGCATCATTGCTGCTGTCCTTTCTTCTCACCTTTTAAAACCACTTCATCTTCCATCCTCTATGTCCCAAAGCAGAGCATTTCTATCCTAAAATATATATTTTAAATCTACTTCATGCCAAATTGAAAAAATTCTTAGAACTGTATTAGTGGTGCGTGGGTGTGTCATTTCTTATTAATACTAGAGAAAGAATGTTTTAACAAAGAAATGTATTTAATTTGGATGATAGCAAAGAAAGATATCTTTATAAGTATGAAACACCCACTTAGTTTTCTTAAATTCAAGCATGAGATCTTCAATATTTTAACAGAAATTAGTGGAAAAGATGAATTAGAATTTTCATGATGCAAAGAAAAAACATAAAAGTTAATAAAGCCACTCATATTACTTACAAAATATGTTATACATTTTAAAGTATCAAAATTTTAAATGGCAAGAAGTTTAAAATTTTCTTTGAGCATAATAATGCCTAGATGTCCCATAGTAGCCAAATAGACTATCTGAATATAAGTTACCTTTCCGACATTAACTTAAGTTCCTTATGCAGCTTATTAAATTTATTGCTCATAGTATTTGCAAGAGGAAATCATTTGGATGAGAGGTGGAACAATACAGTAATAAGACTGGTTTTTAAAAACCTTCTTTGAAAATGGTGACACATATTGGCATGTAAGTGAATGTATTTGCTAAATAGCTATTGCTTTTCTGTCCCATCTGATTATATACATCAAGTCAACCAAATTAATAGGCTTCTGATTCCAGTTTCACTAACTTTATTTCCAATACCTCCTTATCCTGTCACTTGTTTTCAAACATCTGTTCTCAAGAGTTGTTCAAGCCTATGTTAATTGCTTACACTCCTCCATGATAGACAGCTTAGAGCTATTCATAAGCCTATTATAAGTGTTGAGCAGCAAGGGAAAATACCCTTAAAATTAACACCAGCAATATCTATTGTATGTTTACATTTTCCTTTCTAATATCCAGCCATTAGCTGAGTCATTAGACTACTGTCATCACCTCACCTAACCAGTGACTATTCTTTCTCTCACCTCTTTTCCTCTCATATTTTAAGTTCAAGCAACCCACTCAATTAAAATTCAGAACTATCACTGTCATTATCAATGACATCACATTCTGATATCCCTTTGAGGATGAATAACCTATCTTGCCACTGAGTGTCAACTAGTTTGTTGGCTTGTTTCCTCTCTGGCTGGATAAAGATAACAGGTGTCTGTCTCCAGTTCCAACACCAGGAGCAGCTGAAGTCTGCCAGACCTCTCAAACTTAAGGAGTCCACTGTAGCCAAAACCAGAATCCTAAGAAGTTTCTGCCATTCTCTGTTTTCATATTGTAGCTCCCCACTTTGCATTTCACTACATAGTATCAATGAAGAGAAGCTTTTCTGGGTTCTTGCCTTCACTTTATCCAGCCCTCACAATTATATGATTCTGGGCACTGATACCTGGAGAATAATTCCTTTGAAAATATCAAAACAAAGAAAAATTAATGGTTGTGAGTAATTTTTATATCATGAGGGAGTGGCAAAAAAAAAGGTCTACCTTTGATGCTCCAGTAAGAAAGGAAACCGGTTTTTAAAAAATAGTTGGTGCATACAGCTTGTAACTCTGTTTCCATTATATTCTTTGTTTTCTTTCTATGCCTTTATCCTTTGTCCAGTAATCCTTCCAAGAATCCCCTCCCTTCTTTATCCCTCTTTCTCTCCCATCTTTACTCTCCCCATAAGTGGCAAAATGAGCAGAGGCATAAATAAAATAATTTCAGTGTGTTTTGTGTTTTTATCTTATTTTTATTTTATTGTGGTAAGAATACTGAACATGAGATATCGCTGACAAAATTGCATGTGTATAATACAGTATTGTTGACTGTAGGCACAATGGTGTACAGCAGATCTCTAGAGCTTATCCATCTGGCTTAACTGAAACTTTATGTCCATTGATTAGGAACTTCTCAATTCCCCCTCTCCTCAGTCCCTGGTAATCACCATTCTTCTCTGACTTTATAAATTTCACTATTTTAGATACCTCATATTCATTGACTAACACATTGTTTGTCTTTTTGTGGCTAGATTATTTTACTTAGTGTTCTGTGTTTCTATTAATTATGACAATTTTAATCCTTCAAATGCTATATACTTCTCTGGCCAAAAAAAAAAAAAAATGTCATACCAAATGACAAAAGTTAATTTGATTCCACATGACTCAAATTTAGAAAAAATTAAGAAAGCTAACGCTGTTAGTCATCTATGGCAAATTCATGGAGAGTCCCGAGAAGCTATTCTGCCTACCTGGAGCACTGGATTTCCCTTCACCTCCTGCCCCCTTCCTATCTTCCCATATTCCTTTCTCCTTTGCCTGACTGCTTTATCCTTCAAGGCTCAGCTTAAATGTCACCTCCTTAGAAAAGCCCTCTAAGTTAACACCCACCTCTACCATTACATGCTCTTATAACACTCTGGAATATTACCTTATGACAATTATCAAAAATGTAGTAAATAAAAGTTATTCATGTTTACCCTCATTCTAGACTGGAAGCACCATGAAGGCAAGACCTGTTTCATTCATCACTGTGGCTCTGACCCCAGTAAGTGGCTGCCCATAGGGAGCACTCAGCTCTGTAGATGGTTGTTGAATGAATAAATGACTACATGGCTAAATAAATGGGTGCTATTTCTCTAAGTACTTTGGGTTGCAGCTCCTTATCCCCAGGCCACAAAGATTTGGAAGGCACAAGGAGGCTATTTACTCAGACTCTACTTATCTCTGTCACTCCTCACAGAATACCTAAAACTCCACAGCCCACCTCTCACTCTAGATGCCAAGACATATTCTTTTTGAGTGATTATTATACAACTTACTCTTTTTGTGTGATTATTAATTATACTTTTATTTTTTAAATGCCCAGCCACACAGATGGGCATTTATTTTAGGTCACCTAATCTAAATGCACATGACGGACAATGGCCTTGTATATATCAGTTTTGCTAATAGTTCCAGTGGATAATACGTGATGAGAACAATCATCACAATCATCACCTAAAACGAACCTCAGATCTTCCTGGCTACTGTTACCATAGTTCCTAGGGTGTACAAAAAAGATAGGGATTACTTCCCACTTCAATGTATTTAAAATCTCTTGAGATCAGCTGATCTGAAGTTGCTTCCTATTCTTCAAAGCTGTTACAAGATTCTGATGAGCAAATGACACAGAACAAATATGCTGGGAAACCTTGAAATATTTTACATTGATTAAAATGGCTTTGGGCCATTAAATAATAAACTTGGGCTGGGTGTGGTGGCTCAAGCCTGTAATCTCAGCACTTTGGGAGACCGAAGCAGTTGGACCACATGAGGTCAGGAGTTCAACGCCAGCCTGGCCAACATGGTGAAACAATGCCCTACTAAAAATACAAAAGTTAGCCTGGCATGGTGGTGCATGCCTGTAGTCCCAGCTACTCGGGAGGCTGAGGCAGGAGAATCACTTGAACCCAGGAGGCAGAGGTTGCAGTGAGCCGTGATCACGCCACTGCTCTCCAGCCTAGGTGACAGAGCAAGACTCTGTCTCAAAAAATAATAATAATAATAAAAAACTTGTATTAAGTCTATGATATATCAGGGACTATGAGTTGAATGATAAAATTAAACAACTATAGTACTTAGAACACAATGCTCTAATGGAAGCCTGAATGTCCTAGCATGGGTTTGTGGCAATAGGAGCTAGATCTGAGGGCTGGGCACGGTGGCTCACGCCTGTAATCCTAGCACTTTTGGAGGCTGAAGCGGGTGAATCACCTGAGGTCAGGAGTTCAAGACCAGCCTTGCCAACATGGTGAAACCGTTTCTAGAAAAATACAAAAATTAGCCAGGCATGATGGCAGCTGCCTGTAATCCCAGCTACTCAGTTGGCTGAGGTGGGAGAATCACTTGAACCCAGGGAACGGAGGTTGCAGTGAGCCAAGAGTGTGCCACTGCACTCCAGCCTGGGCGACAGAGCGAGGCTCCATCTCCAAAAAAAGTTTAAAAAAATTAAAAATTAAAAAAAACAAAGAATCAGAGAAGGCTTCTCAGGGAAAGTGATATTTGCACTAAACTTTGACAAAGAAATGTAAGTTCATGAGAGGAGTAAGGTTAGAGGCCATCTCAGCCAGAGCAAACCATGTATACAAAGGAGTAAAGACACAAAAGCACATGATTTACTTAAGGATGAATGAAAGCATAGCAAGTACACGGGGGCGGGCAGAGGTAGCGAGTGAACCAAGATACAGTTTTTGAACTCTATAATGAAGTTACATTCCAACTTTAGAAATACTTTGAATAATAATAAGAACAATGTTTAGTACAATCATTTCTGAAGAGCTGGTACATTATACACAAGGCTCTAAAAAGCACAATTCCTGTTCTTAAGTAAAAAGAAAGAAGTGTAAGTAAGCAGTGAAGAGATAAGAATGTCTCATCAAACCATTAGGCCTGGAGAAAATGTTAATTTTGCACACGACTGGGATTTTATCTGCTAGATTCTGTTACCATTGAAATGTTTTGAGGGACTCAGCAGGGGCATGGCAAGCATGTCTGGTTTAAGAGAAAAACTGAACACATTCCTTCTCCAAGTCAGTGAACCATGGCCAGAGTCTCAACACCTGCACCGAGCAACAGAGCAGAATAATCTCATTTTAAATGAAAGTCTGCATTTTCTCTGGAGGTCAAAACTACTTTATAAAGAGCAAGACTCATCACTGGCCAGTGAGCTGGGAGAGTGGGCTCTTCTTTTATGTCTAAAGTGATTATTTTGTAAATGAGTTAAAACCTGCATTCTAACAGCATGAAAAAGGAACTAGAAAAATCGGAGTGAGTGATGCCCTACATCTGACAAATAATAGGGAAAACACCTCAGCAGGAATGTAACTTGGCCCTTGAAACATTTATAAAATATATTTTTGCCTGTAGTTCCCTGTGGATTTTGTTCCCTATAAATAATCTGGTCAACAGTAGAACCTCTTTCATGATGGCAGAATAGGAGGTCAGAACTAATTCAGAGATGCTCACACTTCATATTGAAATCCCTGGATCACTTTTATTCTATTATTCAACAAAGTAGAATAAATATTTGTATGTCTCAGTTTTATGAGTTTGCATAATATGACCATCAAGAGTAGAAGTCAACAGTCTTAGTCTAACTCATTCTTTCTGTTTAGTATTGCAATTTTACAGGTCATATCCGGTTCTTTTCTCATAATTGTATTTTTGTTCAATATGTAGTCATGCAGTTAATGTCACTCCTCTGCTTAAAACTTTCAGGAGGCCAAGGCAGGCTCATCACCTGAGGTCTGGATTTCAAGACCAGCCTGGCCAACGTGGGGAAACCCCGTCTCTACTAAAAATGCAAAAATTAGCCGGGGGTAGTGGTGGGTGCCTGTAATCACAGCTACTCAGGAGGCTGAGGCAGAAGAATCGCTTGAACCTGGGAGGCAGAGGTTACAGTGAGCCAAGACGGTGCCACTGCACTCTAGCCTGGGCGACAAGAGCGAGACTCCATCTCAAAAACAAACAAACAATAAAAAACCTTTCTAACAGTTTACTCAATCATTCAGAATATATTTCAAACCCCTAAAAGGTCCATGTCATCTGGCCCCTGCTCACTGGACTCATCCTATATAACCCTCCTGCTTATTCAGCCTAAACTTATGTCTATTCTTTGGCAACACCCAGGTTCCCCTGCCTCAGTGTCATAGAAACTGCTGCTTCCTTTAATAGAAAGCCCTCCTCCCTAGGTATTCACTTAACTGATTCCTTGCAATTATTCTGGCCTCAGTGCAACTGTCCCTTCCTGTGGTAGGAAGAATGATATCTTCCTAATACCTTTACTCCTGGTATACATGCCCTGTAATAGTCTCCTCCCACATGGCATCAGCATTAATCTGTGTGACCAGCAATATGGTGAGATGGTGGCATGTGACTCATGATGTGTCAAGGCTGAGACATAAAATATATTGCTGCTCTGCCTTGTTCCTTCAGATCATTTGTTTTGGGGAAAACCAGTCAACATGTCATGAAGACACTCATAAGAATCTTATGGAAAGATCCATGTGGGAAAGAGCTGAGGCTTCTTGCCAACAGTTGTTTGGGTGCACCATCTTGGAAGCAGATTCTCCAGCCCAGTTGAGCCATCAGATAATGGCAACCTCACAAGAAACCTACCCAAATAAGACCTACCCAATAGAACTATCCAAATAAGTCATTATTTCTGTCTGACAAAAACCACGAGATAGAATAAATGTTTGTTTTTTAAGCTGCTAATTTTGGGAATAATTTGTTGCACAGCAATAATAACCATTATACCTTCTCATATAGAGCTCTTGTGACACCCACTCAGGGGCAAACGAACCTACCCTGTCACGTGTTATGAAATTATCCCATTTTATTTTCTTTCTCACACTTATTCATAGCTTGTTATCTTGTTAATTTATCATTATTATTATTATTGTTAGTTTGGTTACTGTCTGTCTCTTCTTACTGGAATGTAGTTCTTGAAGGCAGAAACTTTGCCTTTTTCATCAAGGTTTATGCCTAAATTGGGTCATCTGGAATACATGTTCAATAAATAACTGTTTAAAGAATGGCTTACCACTCTGTGAAAATTCTATTTCACTTATTTCTCCAAAGCACATAGGAGGTCGGGTACTCATATAAATCCCTTTCTCAACCTGTGTGGTGGCTCATCGGCCTCAGATTCTATGCAAGATTAAGGAAACATTTCTACCCAGCAGAAGAGGGGAGTAAGGGGCTCTCAGTTAACCTTCAGCAAAAGAAGAAGAAGAAAAAAAAAAAGCCCCACCAAAGAGCCACAAAGGATTCGCTGGGCCTGGCTTAATTTGGGTAATGACTGGACTGGCGAACGTACCTCCATGGATTTCTCAACAGGAGGTGACACTATCATCCTCAGCAGCCCTGGACACAAAGTTCCAAGCACATGGAGCTGAGCCATTTTCCACCTGATGAACAGTAACAGAAGCTGTCTTCTTGAATCAAAAGACATGAAAGAAAGGGGCAAACTGTAGAGTGATGAGAAGAGAAAAAAAGATAAAGATCTATTCACTCTCTATCCCCAGGGAGCCAAACTAGTGGCTCGTCTTACTTCTTGTGAAGAGGCAATTCAGCACCACTTATCCGATCCTTGTTGTGCCAGCTGGATAGTCTGAGACATAATTTTGGTTAACGGAGGGGGTATATTTTAATTCACAAGTAGCAAAGTATGAGTTGTGCTTGAAAGGAATCTTGGCAAATAAACCCCGCAGGTAGTAAATATAAATTGAATTGAGAGAGCATCATTTTCAGTGTTTGGGTATGGGGTTATGGAAGAAAAGTGTCGTATTTTTTCTTATCTTTTTAAAAATTTTTAATGTCTAAGACATCAAGAAAATAGAATTGGTATTGAGAGAAACTGACTATTTTAAAGGTGACTGTAATTGCACATAGGTCAATTTTAAACAATGACAAAAACAATTTTTAAAATGTTAAACATTCAAAATCTTATATATTAACATAAAAATATTTTAAAAATGAGTCTATTTCACAATATATTGCACAAAGTCCAAATATGCCAACATGTACTAACCGCTTTTCCTACAGAAATACCAGGTATTGGTATATTCATTAGCTCATTTATAAATTTATTCACTCCATGTATTTATTCATTTGATAAGCACTTAAGGAGCTTGGGAGATACAAAGATGAAACAGACTCAGAGGTTTCTAATCTGTAATAAAACGATTAAACTCAACTATATCCACTGGAACAGGCTCACATACCTGTACATAGTTTATTTCTAGATTATAATATGAAATTCACCCATTTGTGTAATAGAAACTGTATAAATATAATTTATATATTCTCATACTATACTTTTATCATTTTGTATGATCATATATTTTTTAGTGTTATATTACTTATATTTATGCCCTATGTAAAAAGAACTCAAATGCATAATTCTAGTAAGGCAAATAAGAAGCCAGGATCTAAAAATGTGCATGAATTTATAGTATGAACATTGTATGAAAGCGGTAATTTTTTTTTTTTTTTTGAGACAAGAGTCTTGCTCTGTTCCACAGGGTGGAGTGCAGTGGCATGATCTCAGCTCACTGCAACCTTCGCCTCCCGGGTTCAAACGATTCTCCTGCCTCAGCCTCCTGAGTAGCTGGGACTACAGGTTCATGCAACTGCACCTGGCTGATTTTTGTATTTTTAGTGGAGATGGGATTTCACCATGTTGCCCAGGCTTGGTCTCTAACTCCTGACTTCAAGTGACCTGCCTGCCTTGGCCACCCAAAGTGCTGGGATTTATGAGCCCAGCCTATTAAAGCATTTTTAATTCTCTAACAACCATTTGGCATGACCAGAATCCTGAAGTTAAAAGGAGAAATAAGAATTTTACTTGTTCTGTGCTCCATTCTTTATCGGATAGATGTTTGGTTCCATGCATACAGTTCTTCAACAGTGAAGAACCACAGCAAAGCCATAATTACTGCAAATAATTTTGACAAGAAACATGACAATGTTAGATCAAAGAAAAAGATGGCTCTGCCACATGACCTCTCAGCAGAAATTCTGTTTTCCTGTCTTCTATTCTCTTTCACCTCTTGGCATAAGACCATAGAGACAGCACTGGCATGCCAAGTTGAAATTCATAAGTGATAACTTGATAAAGTGTAATTATGACTTGTATTTTTCCTTGTTAAGGTTGTCATTAAGGGTGTCAGTAAGGCTATACATTAAGGTTATAACACCAAAAGGAAGGCTTTATGCGACTCTGGGAACTTTACAATGTTTACTATTAATCCACTCCCCAAAGCGCCAATTACACTTGTGTCTATAATCAGTTTGGAACTCTTTGGGGAGATAATGAATCTCTAAAAACGATGACAAATGTATGCAACTTTTTAATGTTTGCTCCTGGGGCAAAGTCCAGGTTACTCTGCCCTAGATGCATGTCTGCTGGGCATTATGAAATCTGTTCTTTAGGCTAACCTTGATCTCCATATTGGTAACTTCACAATCTCTCAGTTATATTCTGCACAGTGCTCCCCAAGACCCTCCTCCCTGAGTAATCCTGTCTCTCAAATTTGATCCCTGACTATAATACAGGATATGCCACCTTTTATCTCTGGGTAATTATGAATGAAATGTGTCTATAGATAAAATTCATTGTTTAGGTGTCCTCATCTGTTACCGGTGGTTGTTGTACACTGTTCATTCTCTCCTCTCCCAGAGGTATGAGTTATCCATCTCCCTTATCCATTAGTTCATCCATGCTCCAGGCTGCTCAAAGCCTCAGACCACTTCCACTGTGACAAATGTATGCCAAACAGAGGTAGTCCTTGATTTATTATGTCTTGGGACTGACATCTATAGTCTCCAAGTGGATTTCAGGAGGGAAAAACATCTACTCTACAGAAAACCCTCCCTATGTCAGGACAAGTACTGAAAATTCTGTTTTTGTTTGTCATGGAACTTAGTGGTTTTACTGGGTAAGACTTAAGAGGCTCTGATTTCCTTCAGAATGGGACAGCTGGATAATACTATTGTCCTGTTTTCTTTCCATAATTTACACATACCTATTAAGGTATTAGTGAAAAAGCATACCGGGCCACTTATATTACATTTATACAGACAGTTAAGGGGCCCTACAAACACCCTGTCATCTTCCCTTCCTACAGGAAATGCTGCAAAGACTAGTTAGGCTGTCAGTAACTGTGTTGCTCTTAAATAGGAGAATTTTCTGCAAATAAATTCCTTAAGAGACTGCACACAGAGAAAGCCAGCAAATGCTCACCTAAAATTCTGAGGATGCTTTCTGCACTAAAATAAGTGTCATTTTCTTGAATCTATTCACTGTGTAGTGGGCATGAGCTTTCGTCTACAAACTCATGTATGCAAGGCATGCCACTTTATTTCTCCATAAAGGAAATTAATTTTTACTTATAGCTTCTAGTATGTTTTGTGACACAAATATAACCTTTTAGATTAGTTTAACATCCTCTCCTTCACCTCCAGTGATTTAACTAATTTCTTAGGGACTTAAGTGATATTAAGGCCTAGGTCAGATAAAGGGAGCCCTTCTAATTCTCAACATTGAAATGCTTAATCCTTTGAGTCTGAGAAGAAGGTTTTGAGTTTGCAAAGAAAGGCAAAGATCCCTGCTATCACCATTTCTGTTCATTCTCACTTTAGATCTCCTAGCCAACATAGTAAGGCAAGGAAAAAAAAATAAAAGCATAAGAATTACAAAAGAAGCAGCAAAATGATGTTTATTTACTATGATATAATTGTGTTTATGGACAATAAAAAAGAATCTTCCAACGAATTATGACTTATTAACACAATTAGCAAGATTGTTGGATATGAAATAAGTGCAGATAAATCATTTCAATTTCTATTCTCCAGCAACAAAGCTTTAAAATGTTTTTTAAGTGTTTTTAATTAAAATTTTTTTCTACCAGTTACAATAGTAAGAAAAATCATATGCATGATTTCAATGGTGAAAATTGTAACATTTTATTGAAAGATATAAAAGAATAGTGTAAGTGAAAATAGTTAACAGATTGGAATAGTCAATATTGCAAAAATGTTACTTGATCACAAATTAATCTATAAATTTGATTGCAATAAAAATTCCAACCCCGTGTGTGTGTGTGCACATGTATGTGTGCGTGTGTGTGTATGTGTGTGTGTATTATATATGGAGCCTAACAAACTGCTTCTATAATATGTAGGGAATTATGAAGTTCCAATAGTTATACATACTAATTAATTAGAGGAATAATGTCATGGGACTTGACTACCAGATAGCAAACTTCAATTATAAAGCCATATTATTGAAGATAGATAGGTATTGGAGTAGTGATTAACAAACAGAATCTGAGGCAAAGCCCTAGTTGTTTGTTAGAACAAAATAGAGAGCCCCAAAATAGAATGATGAGTGCATAAATGCAATATATGAGTAAGTTCATAATGTAGATCAATGGAGAAAGAAGGAACTTTTTTTTTTTTTTGAGACAGAGTCTTGCTCTTTCACCCAGGCTGGAGTGCTGTGGCGTGATCTTGGCTCACTGCAAGCTCCACCTCCCGGGTTCACGCCATTCTCCTGCCTCAGCCTCCAGAGTAGCTGAGACTACAGGAACCCGCCACCACACCCGGCTAATTTTTTCTATTTTTAGTAAAGACAGTGTTTCACTGTGTTAGCCAGGATGGTCTTGATCTCCTGACCTCGTGATCCACCTGCCTCGGCCTCCCAAAGTGCTGTGATTACAGGCATGAGCCACTGCACCCGGCTGAAAGAATGAACTTTTACAAATAAATTGCACTGGAACAACTGACTACATACGTGGCAAAAAATCCCTTCGTCAACCGTACACACAAATCAATTCTTGATGAATGAAGCACACATATGTGAAAGGCAAAATTTTAAAAGCAATTTAGGGAAATATTTTTTTATGTTGGGGGTAAAAGAATTATTTAAGGCACAAAATGGGTAGATTATGAAGGGAAAGATTGTATCAAAAACTTCTATCCTCAAAAGCCATCAGGGAGTAAAAATTTAAGCTATAAATTTGGATATGACACAACACAAATATTACTATGTAGCATATACAAAAAAAACTCCAAGAATCAGCAAGAAACACTATGAGAAAATAAGAAATAATCACAAATTTTACAAGAGAGAAGAAATAAATGACCCATAAGTAGATTACAATGTGTTGACCCTTTTAGTAATCAAAGAAACCAATTAAAATCATGAGATATAATTCATGACTACAAGTTTGGCAAAAATATAAATATGGAATAATATCAAGCAATGCCATTAATAGAGAGCAAAGAGGGTGTTCATCCATTAAAAGCAGATATGTAAATGAGTAAAACTTCTTTGGAAATCACGTAGGAAAGTTGAACATGTACTGGCCTCTGATTCAGAAATTCTATTACTAGGTATTAATTCTTGACAAATTTTTGCCTATATGTACCAGGAAATATGCATGAAATATTTATAATTATGCTGCTTATGATAGCAATAAAACTGGAAAACCCCATGTGTGCCTCATAAGTAAAATGAAAAAATAAGTTGTGATATGCCCATATCATGTAATACTATACTGCCATGAAAAAGAATGAACTTAAGTTCTAATCACTGAAGTAGGTGAATCACAAAACTATAATGATAAATGATATAATCAAGCTACGTAAGAATTCATACAATGTGATCTCATTACTTAAATTACCAAAACAGATACAACTAAGTAATATTTAGGAATTCCAAAAAAGCTTATTTTTTTTAAAGAAAAGTTATTAAGAAAAGCAAGGGAATAACAAACATGATATTCAGGATAGCAGCCACCTCTGAAGGCCTGCACAGAAAGGAAGACGCAACTGAAATGGGGATGGTGTCTATGGCCACACCACCCTCACGTGCTCAAGCTTGTCTGAAATGGGAATAGTAAATGTATTTGTTTTCCTGAGTAACGTGTACGTAGTTCTGCATTTCATCATTATTCTTACACTGCATTTATTTTGTTTACTGTGTTTTTCCCTATGTAGGCTATATAATTCAATAAAAATAGTTTTGTTTTTGTTTGTTATAAATAGTTTATGATGAGTCATACTGAGGTAAAAGGCAACAGGTATCAGTTGAAAGTTTTGGGAAAATCAATGTGACAAATCAAAGGAGTCTAATTTTTTTTAACTGATTTAAAAAAAAGATGTGGACAACAAAGAATATTACAAGGTGGCAAAAAGTGAAGTCCACAAAAGAGGCTCATTAGTCTGCAAAATATTCTCCTGATCATGTAAAATGCAGAGCACCTCCCCAAATAGAAAATGTCTGCGGTCCAATATGAATATAATAATTTGACTCTTCTCATGGCAATATTTTAACAAATATCTAATCTGTATTAAAGTAACATGAAGGAGAAAACACTAACAGGAAAAATGCTTCAGCAATGTGTAATCCACATACACATGAAATAGTTAAGCATCGCACTCCACACATGGGTTTCAGGAAAAGAGGATGCAGAGACAAAGTCAGAGAGTAGAACTGTAAAGCAGGAGGTTATTTTTTAAAAACATAAAAAGAAAAATGAAATACAAAGGAAAGGCGACTAATTATAAAGAGAGTGGGACAGCAATGCAAAACGCAGCACATTTTGTTCTAGTGGTCCTGTTATTTCTACCAGTGCTGGGGCTGGGGCAGCTGCTCGGATGTGTATCACCTAGCATTAAGCATTAAGCAGTAGAAATAACTGCTTTATTCCTTGGTCCATGGGAAAATCCTGATCAATTAGTACAATTTCAGTAAAAGGAACAATAACTGCGGATCTACTATGAGGCAACCACTGTCCTAAATCCTAGCACTTGAAAGTAAATAAGCCATGATCCCAGATTAGAAGAGGAGAAATCAACAACCTTTGTAGAGGTGATAAATTCCATGGAAGAGTGGTCCCCCAAAGAAGCACAGAACATTAGCACTTGGCCATGCCAAAGAGGTCAAAGAGGCTTCCCAAAGGGAGCAATTCTTGAATGGAATCTCAAAGGAGTTAGGGAAAGGTAAGAGCACCACAGTACCAGTATCAGAACAAATGCAAAAGATACCAAATCAGATAAAACTGAACCATGTTAGAAGGGAGTCTAATACTAAAAGGAGGAATAAAGTGTTAATTTTCAAAGAAACACAATTCTTAAACAGTATAGGTTATTAGGCACAAAGAAAAGTACATATGCAACATCATATAATATAAGATTAATACAAACTCTCTAGATATGACATCAAAGGCTTACAAACTATTTAGGTTGAACCGTATGTCCTTGCTGGGGTTTTTTGTCATGTTTGATGGACAGAAACAGTAACTCTATGTGGCTCAACCTGACAGAAAGGAATAGATTGACAGATTTGATCAGAAATAACCTGGACATGTATATGACAGAGGGTTAATGATGACATATTGAGATATCCATATGTAACACATATATTATAGAAATCTTACCTATCAAGAAAAAACGTGAAACCTAAAAGGAAAAGAAAATACCAGTGCCCAACAAGTATAAGCAGAAATAGTCCGCTACAATGATAATCAAAGAAATGCATACTAACACCATAAGAACATACTTCTCTTTTGGTTAGCAGATTGGTAAGACTCATGTCAAGTTCTCTCCTCACCAAACTTATCCTGCTTAGGTTAAAAAAAATAAAAATAAAAATAAAAATAAAAAAACCACCAACGACCATTTATGCTCATTTCTTTCTTCAGTCGAATTGCTGAAGAATACCCCATAGTGGAAATGAAAGGAATTTGATTTCTTTAACAGATGGGCCTTTACTACAAATATTTCCTTTGGCCCAGCTACTGAGCCCAAAATGCGTACACAGACAGAGGAGGGCAACCCCTTCCTGTGAAAATATCAACAGTTGCAGCCAGATCCACTGGGTAGAAAATATACTATGAAAAAAAAATCTCCAAATACGGATAGTTACACAACGGAGCTCAAAGGTGTGTTGGCTTACTGACGTTCTCCAGGGCAATAGAGGGTGTAGTTAAATATTTGTCCATCTGGCAGTTTTGAAAAACAAAGTATTTTTAAAAGAAACTGAAATCTAGACTTAAAAGGAAAACTTTATAGGAGCAAAAAAATGAAACTGTATGTTTTTACCATGCACATGTGTTTGTGGCAAGCGTCTTGGAAAGACACGAAGCCATTTAGTAAGCCTGGCATAACATGGAGGGCTGTTAGGGACTCTATGACAGCCTAGAAAGAACCCTGGTGTGAACACTTGGAAGTGTTGGTTCCCCCAGCCCCCAAGCAGGCTCAGAGGACAACCTCTAAGGAAGGAAGAGCCTGGGGGAGAGGACTCAGCGTAGACAGGGAGAGATGATTCAGGAGCAATGCTGACTGATGTTTTTTCAAAGGTACCAATACCCAGCATTGACGGAAATTATCCCGGCCGGGCGCGGTGGCTCATGCCTGTAATCCCAGCACTTTGGGAGGCCGAGGCAGGCGGATCACCTGAGGTCAGGAGTTCGAGACCAGCCTGACCAACATGGTGAAACCCCATCTCTACTAAAAAATACAAAAATTAGCCAGGTGTGGTGGCACATGACTGTCATCCCAGCTACGCAGGAGGCTGAGCCAGTAGAATTGCTGGAACCCAGAGTCAGAGGTTGCAGTGAGCCGAGATCTTGACATTGCACTCTACCACAGATGATGAGAGTGAAACTCCATCTCAAAAAAAAAAAAAAAAAGGGGATGTATAAGGTTCTCCCCTTTTATTGTGTAATGTAAAACCAATTATGCTCTACTGATACATGGTTTCCAACATGGTAGTTTCAACTAAGCAGTTTCCTCCAGTGATGGACACCAGCAACTCAGGCACGTGAATGCCATATGGTGGGTCCTGCAGTCACGTGAACCACTAAAATTTACTGCCTATTTTTGTAGGCAAATTTCATTAGGGAAGTCTCATTATGATTTTGAAATTTTGTTTAAACAGAATGTTTGTGGAAAAATATTCCCCACATGGAAAATTTCCCAATGGGAACATATGTATGTTATGTGTGATGCTATGACAAGTAAAGCACGCCTACAAATCACAGAAGTCTCTGGCTAAGTCAGCACCCTTCCCCTTCAGAAAAAGCCAACAACAGCAAGGGGCCATCTCAGAAAAAAAAAGAAAAGAAAAGAAAAGAAAAGCCCTGGATTTTTGAGAGAGGATTTGTGGGAGAAAAAAATTAAATAATGGAGTCAAATAAGATTTTAGCATTAGCTTTGTTGAAGAAACAGATTCAGACCACCCTGTATTCCAACACTTACTCAGTGATACAAAAGCCTTTGTGCAGGTCCTTGAAGGTGCTGGGTTTTGCTCCCCTTAGCTAAGGGTCTTTGCACATGGGGTTCTCGTGGCCTCCTCTCACACAAACACATACACACACACAAATGCATCAATACAAGGGCTGATTCCTTTCTTTCTCCAGATCTTAACCCAAATGGCACACATTCAAGGAGGAACTCTCTGATCAATATATCTACATTCATTCCCCTATTATTCTCTATTTCAGCATCCTATTTGCTTCCATTATAGCATTTATCAGATTCACTTGACTGTTCAGATGTTTTTTGTTGTTTTTCCCTAGGTTGATAGTAAGCTCTGTGCAGGCAAAGACCACATGTGTCTTGTTCACCACTGTGTCCCCAGCACCTGGAAAGTGGCTGGTATATAAGACATTCTTAATAAATATTTGCTGAAATGGATAGTGAATATCCTGGAGGAAGAGGCACTCTCACAGACAAGTCAGAACCACAAAAGCAAAGTCGGGAGGTGTGTCAAAGTGACAAGGACCAACCCTGGTTTTTCAAGGTTAGCCTGTGTCATGGAAGAAGCTGAGAAAACAACAGCAATTCAGGACACACGGGATAAAGAAGAGGCAAACTTTAGCAGTGGGACAGTGACAGAGTTGAATGACCATTAAGAACAGTTCATAAGCACCTGGACCCACTTACAGGATCAGGTTAGAGCTTGAGTCACCTTACATCCAAATCACTTGCCCCCAACTGCTACCATCTATTTTATTCACATATTTTGTTTGCTTTCTGGAATAAGGCTCCTTGGGAAAGCATTTTGTTCATTGCTGTCTCCCCAGGTACAGTATCTAGTACATGGAATCCGCTCAATATATTTGAATTAATTCTGCTGGTGGGAGTTTAGAGCCACGTCTGTCTTTCTGTCCTTTTCATTGCTGTCTACAGCATTTTAAGTACACTCTTCCTAAACTGAGGAGTTATACTTTTCATATTATTTTAGAATTTGCTGGATTCCTAAGCAATCATATTAATTTCTTATTAAATTCATAAAAATTACAGGAGAAAACCACATTTGAGTGTACATTAACATCCTCAACAATGGTAAGGTACTGTAGATATGAAAATTGTGGCCAGGTGCGGTGGATCACACCTGTAATCCCAGCACTTTGGGAGGCCAAGGTGGGCAGATCACCTGAGATTGGAAGTTCGAGACCAGCCTGACCAACATGGAGAAACCCCGTCTCTACTAAAAGTACAAAATTAGCCAGGCGTGGTGGCACATGCCTGTAATCCTGGCTACTCGGGAGGCTGAGGCAGGAGAATCACTTGAACCTGGGAGGCAGAGGTTGTGGCAAGCCAAGACCACAACATTGCTCTCCAGCCTGGGCAACAAGGGCAAAACAGAAAGAGAGAAAGAAAGGAAAGAAAGGAAAGAAAGAGAGAAAGAAAGAAAAGAAAGAAAGAAAAAGAAAGAACGAAAGAAAGAAAGAAAGGAAAGAAAGAAAGGAAAAGAAAGAATGAAAGAAAGAAAGAAAGGAAAGAAAGAATGAAAGAAAGAAAGAAAGGAAAGAAAGAAAGAAAAAGAAAGAATGAAAGAAAGAAAGAAAGGAAAGAAAGAGAGAAAGAAAGAAAAGAAAGAAAGAAAAAGAAAGAACGAAAGAAAGAAAGAAAGGAAAGAAAGAGAGAAAGAAAGAAAAGAAAGAAAGAAAAAGAAAGAATGAAAGAAAGAAAGAAAGGAAAGAAAGAAAGGAAAAGAAAGAAAAAGAAAAAGAAAGAAAAAAAGAAAGAGAAAATTGTAACTAAACAAAGGCTCACTCACCCCAAGCAGGTAAAAGGGTAGTGCTATTTTTAAAAACAAGAGGTATGCCAAAGCACTACAAAGTCTGTGCATATTTATGTTTAAACTTCAAGTAAAATTGTTATTTTTTTTAGAAGTCTGTTGTTGGAAACATCTGTGAGCACCATCTGTATAGGAATTTAAAGTTAAAATTAATGGCATGCTCTTTCTTGTTTAAGACTCACCAGCATGAGAACTTAAACCATAGGAGAGATGTTCTTACTTAGGAATATTACTGCCCTGCCCACTATCCTCTCCCAATGTAAAATAACTCATTTACTAACTGAAATATCATCAGACTCTACAAGTGGCTGATGTGACTAGATATCTTTAAGTCAATAAGACCTAAGGTATGTGTGTATGCTACCAGCTTTACCAGCTACCTTGAACTTGTAAGAATGTCTGTCCCTACCCCTCGGGGCACCGCTGGACGACCATTCTTTCTCAGTCTCACTTTTAGGCCTTCTTTCCTCCTTTCTAGTGCTTCCCAAGGTGCCATATCGTGATCCTTCACTCTTATTCCTTTCTTGGACTCCTATCAAATTGTGGTAAAATACACGTCACATAAAATTTACCATCTTAACCATATTTAATTGTACAGTTTAGTCTGTATTAAACGATTCCCCCATTCACTCCTCCTCCAAGTCCTTGGAAACCATCATTTTACTTTCCATTTCTATAACTCTATTACTGATACTTCATGTAAGTGGAACCATGCAGTATTTGTGTTTTTGTCATTGGCTTGTTTTACTTAGCATGATGTCCTTAAACTTCCTCCATGCTGTAGCATGTGTCAGCATTTCTTTCTTTCTTTTTCTTTCTTTCTTTTTGGAGACAGAGTTTCGCTCTGTTGCCCAGGCTGCAGTGGTGTGATCTTGGCTCACTGCAAGCTGTGCCTCCCGGGTTCACGCCATTCTCCTGCCTCAGCCTCCCGAGTAGCTGGGACTACAGGCACCCACCACCACGCCTGGCTGATTTTTTGCATTTTTTTTTTCTTAGTAGAGATGGGGTTTCACCGTGTTAGCCAGGATGGTCTCAATCTCCTGACCTCGTGATCCCCCGCCTTGGCCTCCCAAAGTGCTGGGATTACTGGCATGAGCCACCATGTCCGGCCTCCTTCCTTTTTAAAGCTAAATCGTATCCCATTGTATTTATATACCACGTTTTGTTTATCCATTCATCTGTTGGTGGGCACTTGGGTATCACAAATAATGCTGTTTTGAACGTGGCTTTGCAAATATTTCTTCAAGATTCTGCTTTCAATTCTTTTGGATCTATACCCAGCTCTATTCTTACATTTTTAACTACCACCCCTCTTCAGGAGTTTCAAATTACAAGTCAAGTGCCCTATCTAATATACCAACATCTATGTGAGTTCAGATACTGTCTTCTGAGAGTTATGTTTCATAATTGTGTCTATGTTCCTCCTTTTTAAACGCATTAATCTGTCCCACTTCCTACCGCCAGTGGGTTTCCTCAGGGAATTCTGACAGTTAGACAATATATTAGGGAGGCAGAATGCCTGATATGAGCCCTGGTTCTGCCACTTGCTAGCTAAATGACCCTGGGAAACTTATTTAACCTTTGTGGTCCTTAGTGTTCTCACCTGTAGTACCAGCTTCAATGGGTTTTTTACCAGGATAAAGGAAATAATATATGGAAAGTACATGCACTAGCATGATACATAGACCAGTGCCTGAAATGTCATAAAAGCAAACCTAAAAGCTAGCTACTATTTTTCTGGATTTTAAGTTAAAATAATTTATACTTGCCAACATAAAATTAACTTCCATTTCAACTTAAAAGACATCTAGTGATTCAGGATAATCATCCAGAGTTTTTAATCCTTCAGGTAGTTTGTCTCAATATTGGGAGAGATCAAGAAGCTCAATCTAAGTTTTTCTTTAAAATCAGCCATCCTTATATGTGAAGAAAACGTGGAGAATACAACACTTGATCTGTCTAATGGCCTAGGAGACTCGATCAGATGGCCTTACAGGTTGTCTCTCAGCTCGCCTCTCAGAATCTGAGCCTAATAAACGCAGTACTGTTATATTAGCTTGTTATTCTTTTAAGTGGTGAGGTCACACATTTCTGATAAAAAAGATTTCTAATTATGGGACACACCTATTTATATAGGTAAGCCATAAATTAGTAGAATTGACCATGCTGATCATTAGAATACTTTCTTCTGGTTAGTGAGGGAAATGTTATTCACTAACATTTACTAACTTTGCACTTTACCATAACTCAATTAAGATTTTATAAGCTAAAGACTAATGTATTCTACATTACTTAGTCTATACAGTTCAAAACTCAGCTAGGAAATAAAAAAGGCTATTCACTCTGCAAAATGCTATAAAAGCTAGAATAACTATTCCTAAGAAAGAATTGTGAATTAAGTCTGAATTTTGTATCACACTTACAAAGTATATTACATTTTTTGTTCAAAATAACTTTTATAGACTAAAAAGCTGCAATTCTCAAACATTTTAAAAAATACATTTTCCATAATTTCAATTTTAATTAAAATCAGCAAACATAGAACAGGTAAATCCAGAGGCAAATTTACCATGAAATTCATGAAACTTGGGAGATGGGAAAGAACTCTAGTAATGTGTTTACATATTTGCATGTTTTTGTAACACTTACCTAAGTAAGATATTTTACATTTTCTTCTAAAAGTGCCCATCCAGTCTAAAACTGTATAAGCTTTAGGCCCCACTGAACCCTAACTCCTCCAATCCTGCCTGGGTGTGCACCATGTTATCTGACGGTTAGAAATAATTAAATCTTTCCCATTGCTGTTCAAATTACCTGCATTCTCACTAGCATCCACTAGAGGGTCGTAGCTGCACTATGTAAAGAGATGGCCTTTGCCTCTTTTTCTTCCTATTCTTTTTTGTGTACCCAAACAAGCAAGGAAACACTGAGCAAACAGTATAGTCCTCAGAGTTGAAAAGCTGCCTATTAGCTCGAACTGTTGCCATCGAGAGACTGATGTGGCAGAAATGTCTTGCTCTGTTTCCGAGGCTGCCGATCCGTTCACTTGGCAAACTCCAGAGAAACAAGGCCCAGCACGCCCCAGTTTAACAAAGTTGAATAAAAGGCCATTTCATCTCAGGGCTACTTAGTCCAAATCAAATAATGCTTAAGCTATTTGGTCCAAGCCAGCTCAAGTGCTCAGACATCATACAAGGCTTTCTTGGCTGAGAAGAAGCACCACCACCACCAGTCGCTGCACACATTTAGCTTGTTCCTGCTGTTTTCACCAGCCTAACTTCCCAGCTGGAGTAGGTACCAAATTCAAAATCAAGCTTCACTGAGGACTATCACCTAGACTCCCCTTGACCAATCACTCTACAGGTGCAAATTAATCCATTATGCGCTGTAATTTCCAAACAGTGGCATATCCATTTTACATAAGCAGGAAGACTTATAATGTCACAGCACAAAATTATTCATATTTGTCTATAACTTTCCTTCAAATCCTCATTTTCTCCTATTTTTATTTAATGCAAAAAGCCATGTGATTTTCAGGGAAAGAAAAAAGTGATTCATTTCTGAAAACCTATAAGCCATAAAATCAAGGGCTCCACATCTGTTTGAGAAAGTCTGACAATTGTTTCTGAGATCTTCAGAATTTCCTTTCATAAGGTAGCGAGGTATGGGAATCACCGCAATTTTGTGAGGTGTCATCAGACCAGGTTTAGTAGTTTTGTAGTTTCCCAATCAACTTGTTGATAAATCATGATTAACAATTCAGGAAACTCATATTAGACAATAGTAATTCAAATTAAGCTAAACCGGGGGAGGGCATGTAATTTATTTGGATTTGCAATCTGTCTGTTGCAAGGAGCCAGAATCGTGCTGTGATTTGCCCTTCATGTGCAAAGCTCATTTTGCAAAATCCATCTTCCATAGAGAGGGAAAATCTCAACCCAGAGAATCTAGCCCATTAATACATTAATTCTTTAATACATCACTAACCAAACTAGCTTTTTGGTCATTTGTGACCAAAGGAGTTACAATGAGTGTGGAAGACTGGGACAGGAAAAGAGATATTCACTGGAATCAGGAAATAACAAGTTTACTACTTTTAACTTAGGAGGTTAGCAATGGAAAACCCATATTTAGGGAGAACAGGCAAAAGGAAATAGAAGTCAGTACAATACATTCTATTCAATTCCACCTGGAATACTACTGATAAAAATCACGTATTAAATAACCTAGCCATTGTCAGCTTCTCGGATTCAATCTTGTACCAATCTACCCCTTGTTTGTTGTGTTTCAGCTATACTGGTCTTTTTCCTGTTTTTCAAAATGCCAACCCCTTCCGCCTGCCTGGATTGTTTTCTCACATCTTCAGATGCCTCACATTGTTTAATTCAAACCTCAAATATCACCTCTCACAGAAGCATTCTTTGACCACGATATACTTTTATATATATATAATTTATATTTTATATAAATTATATATAATATAATTATATTATATAATTATATTATATAATATACAACATATAATATAGTATATAATATATAACATATTGTATTATATACTATATTATATAATTTATATATTATATATAAATTATATTATATGATATAATATAAAATTGTATAAAATATATGGTAATATATAATAAAAATATATAAATAATAAATATATGTATATAAAATAACATAATAAGATAGTATCGGGATGCCCATCCTCTGGAGATTTACCATCTAATTTGAGAAATACATTGTGTAAGAGAAACAATACCTGTATGTATTGTACAAATGCCAAGAAGAGGCAGAAATAGAATAGTTCACAGGAGAAGCAATGACTTGCCTTACCTTCTGAAGTCTCAGGCATTTCAGAATATACACCAATGAGCTTTCATGGCTGCATATAAGATTTTTATACTGGCAATCACTATGAGGCTGTCCCACAAATTCCATCCTATTTGGGGTAATTTATCTGTACTCATGGTAACAGATAAGATGTTGTATAAATGCTGAGCAACTTCAGGAAAGTGGAAATATTACTAGCGTAGGCTCTCAGTTTGGAGGGTACAGAAGAAGGCCTTCAAAATTCAACTGCTGGACTTCAATGTACAAAAAAACTACAACTCCAGAATTACAGAATGTGTCATTTACTCAGAAAAAAAAAAAAAGCCTGGACTATTAATGCTATAATACAATTGATATACAGCCATGCACTGTATATATCAATTGAATAAGATATTTTGTTTCTCACAGCAGCAACATAAGACCTATACATGTGTTATTTTCATTAACCCATTTAATAAATGAGGAAATGGTAATTAGAGAGGCTAAGCAATGCGCCCGATGTCACATACGCAGTAACAGCTGGAATTTGGATTTTGGAAGCAGCTACTGTAAAATTGAGGTAGCAATTCTTATTAAACCCTTGCTCAGTTTGCTCAGATATTTACAGGTATTACAAAATACAGGTACCAATGAGCCTGAACTTAAACTTCTAGAGGGCAGCAGATCTGTGTTAACTACCCCTTATCAATTTAGAATTGGACTCAGTCACAGAAAATACTACATATTAAATATTTTTAAAATGTTAAATATTTTTTGTTGGCTTGATGGAAGTTTTACAACATTTGCTTTCTTAAAGTCAAGGTTTTCCCCATTATTCCTTGCTCTAAACCCCGATATTAAATTTATATTAAATATATTTTTAACTTATAATATTTAATATCATAATTATGATATTAAAACAAAAGATACCTTAGTGAATAGAAGGAGAAGGCATGTTAGCATCTCATAATATTGTCTACGATAAACGCTATTTTCTGGATGTAGAGCTAAAACTGTTCGATTATTAACAAAATTATAATGTACTGTTTACACATAGCATTATTTTTCATATGTGTATATATACACATACACATATGTGCACATGTGTATATACAGGGAGACAAACAGACAAAGTTCATCTGAGTATGACAGAAAGTTCCCTATTGAAAAATATATACGTTTTGCTTCTAGTAGCATAGCAGACTAGTTTTACACATGCACACACAAAAACCACACAAACACACATACCAACTCAGTAACAAGGAAGAACTAAAAATGGTGGAACTTTTTAAAAGGCATTTTCACACAGAGCTGAGTTATTAGGGAAATGAGGAGAATTCCTTGGAGGCCAGAAATGACAAAGGGTGGACACAGAGAGGTACACAGCACTGAAGCCAGTGTTTACTCTGGGTACATCAGCCAATCCTGAGTTGACTCAGAGTCTAGATTTTTAAAGAAAATCAAAGAAAAAAGTTGAGGGCCCAACAGATAGGCA
Organism: Homo sapiens; assembly: GCF_000001405.40. NCBI lineage: Eukaryota > Metazoa > Chordata > Mammalia > Primates > Hominidae > Homo > Homo sapiens. Next base: position 71,288,802 of record NC_000009.12, read on the forward strand.
GTCAGACAGAAGACCTGCAGATATGAAACTGGAAGCTCCCAATGGTTGAGCTACAAAAATAAAACCTCCTGTAGAGAGAGACAGTGGGGCATGCATATCTCCTTGGTTTTGACTCTAGGTGGAAATAGGGGGGAAAAAAAATTCCCAAGACTTTCTAACTGCAAGTCCAGTTGTGTTTTGGGAGAACACAATTTACACAATGTAACTGGCTCAACAGTCCCTCATATACACATTTATTTTAAAGATGTAATGGACGTGTAGCACCTCTAATGCCACACACAAAGCAAATTCAAATCCTCTCTGGAAGAACACACTTTAACACTTAAAAAGGCATCACAAAATATGTAACAAAACAGTGAGAGAGAGAGAGAGAGAGAGAGACAGCAGAAAACGCTAACTGCAGGATTTATCTTGCAAACCCCACAAATATTTAGTATCTATAAATGCACTTAAAGAAATTAAAGATGATACTGAGAGTATGTCAAAGGAAAAAGAAACCATCAAAAATTGACCTCAACGTTTTAAAAAGGAAAGCAATAAAACTTCTAGAGATAAAGCCTATAGTAGAAATCAGAACCTCCATAAATGCATTGAACAGATGAAGCACACCTGAGGAAAAGTTTGTGCACTTAAAGATACAGCTGAAGAAATTATTCCAAATGTAGCACTGAGGAGCAAGGAGATACAAAATATAAAACAGAAGCTCAAGTTCTAGTGTTCAATAGTACAGTAGGAAAATCATAGTTAACAATAATATATTGTATGTTTCAAAATAGCTAGATAGGGTCAAGCACAGTGGCTCACGCCTGTAATCCCAACATTGTGGGAGGCCAAGGTGGGCATATCACTTGAGGTCTGGAGTTTGAGACCAGCCTGGCCAACATGGTGAAATGTCGTCTCTACTAAAAATACAAAAATTAGCCAGGCCTGGTGGCTCATGCTTGTAATCCCAGCTACTCGGGAGGCTGAGGCAAGAGAATTGCTTGAACTCAGGAGGTGGAGGTTGCAGTGAGTTAAGAGTTAAGATGGTGCCAACTGCACTCCAGCCTGGGTGACAGAGCAAGACTCTGTCTCAAAAAAAAAAAAAAAAAAAAAAAAAAGCTAGATAAGAACTAGATAAGAATTGAAATATTCCCAACACAAAGAAAAGATAAATGTTTGATGTGATGGGTATCTCATTTACCCTGATTTGATCATTATATATTATGTTCTTGTATCAAAGTATCACATGTACCCCCAAAATATGTACAACTATGATATGTCAGTTTAAAAAGTACAAAAAAAGGAGAGAAGCTCAGAGGCTGGAGAACAGAATGAGAAAATGAAAGATATATCTATTCAAAGTTCACAAAAGAGAAGACATGATGGGGCATAGGTGATACGTGAAAAGGTAATGTGACGCACTCTTTTTCAGAACTGATAAGATACCGGGTTATATATTTAAGCAGTCTAAGATAGTACAGGAATAAATAAGAAGAAACTCACCAATATATCGTAATGTAATTCAGAATACCAAAAAAAGAAAGATATTAAAATTGGCAAAAAAGAGACCTACAAATGAAAAAGAATTATATTGAATATTGATTTCTGTTTGCAATACTTGAAACCAGTATTTGGAATAATACGTTTTAAATACTGAGAAAGAAATAGTTCCAATAATTGAATGTCCAATAGAATGAGGGTAGAACAAAGATATTTTCAGACCAACAGTAACAGAGTTTAGAAATAGGAGACTCTCTAAAGAGCTTTCTAAAGGATATATGTTAGAAAAAAATTACCTCAAAAGGAACATATAAAATTCAAGAAATGATGGACAAGAATAATGTATAGACACATGCTCAAAATAATATAGAAAAATAAAACAGGTCTCATTTATAGAGTTAGAGTAATCAAGATATTGCTAAAATCCAAGACAATTATACAAGTCAGGAAGAAAGTAATTCACGTCAAATCATCCTAAAACCCTTATATTGTTTGGCAAGAGGTAAATGTATTAGGTTTTGTTAAATATGCTTATTAAACTGTATAGGACCTAAAAGAATGACATAAGTGTATAAAATCTAAACTAATGGAGAAGAATGGAAAGAGAAAAAAGTTGAAAAAGGCAAGGAAAAAAGAAAACAGCACAAGCAATATATTAGAAATGAAGACAGATATATCAGCAATAATCAATGTAAATGAACTAAACTCTAAAAACACAGATGATATTTGATTCAAAAAGATAAAATCCAAATATATACTATTAACGAAGACACAAACATTTAAAAGAGAAAAGACTATTAAATAAAACTTATGTGAGGCCATTATTTGGAATTGAGCTCCTGTACCAGGCCTCAGCAGACCAAACCAAAATGGAGACAGTCTTGTCAAGTGCCACATAATTAAACTGAAATCTTAAAATACAGGAAAATCCCCAAATATACCAGTTTTTCCAAAATTGGGAGATTCACAACAATCAGTCAGAAGAGGCCCAGTGTACCTGAGCCAGCATAACAAGGAAGTAACCTCTGCTTTAACCCTTGCAAGGAAAGTAACCTGATGTTAACCTTTCTCCTTTCTCATATTGTACTTTCCTTAGTTCTGGCTCAAAACCAACTGTTTTGCCAGCAGTGCTCTTTCTATTTTGTAGATTAGACATTGCCTGATTCATGAATTGCTCATAAAAGCCAATTAGATCTTTAATTTGTCAAAAGTATATTCTTTGACAATAGAAAAGATTTATTAGCCAAATATTAGCTGAATCAAGCTAATCACTACTCATCAAAATAGACCCTAAGGCAAAAATATTAGCAGAGGTAAAAGAAAGTCATTACCTATTGATAAGTTATTTAATTTACCAAGAATATGTAGTATTTTCAAATGTATATGACCCTACAAAAGAAAAAATAATACAGATACAAAAAACAATTACAAATCTGCCCTCATAGTGGAAGTTCTGATACACTGATAATTGATATTATAAAGCAATCAAAAAGAAATTATTGAAATTAGAAACGACTTGAGTAACAGAATCAGAAGCTTGACCTGATGGACAAATAAATCCTGAAACCAGTAACAGAAGACTTCATATTTTTCTCAAGTTCAGATGGGACATTTAGGAAAATGATTGCAAATTAGAACATAAAGCAAATCTCATCCTGTTTTAGATAATCAATGTCATGTAGATCATGTTCTTTTACTACAACAATTAAGTCAGAAACAAATAATGAAAGACGGAAAAAGGAGGAGAAAGACAAGAAGAGCAGGCAGAATAAGGAGGAAGAAGATAGAAACAACAGAAATTAAAGAAATCCACTTCTAAAGAGCGCATGTAAAAGTAAAGCATAATGAAAATGAATAAACATTGAAAACCTGGCGAATGCTGATGAACACACAGTACCTCGAAAGTTGAAAACCGCACTTAGAAGAAAGGTAGATAATGCATACACACATACACAGGGCTAAAGTAGGCTGAGGAGTCCATTTAAAAGGAGAATTGTATTTTAACAAGCTATCAGAAAAAAATAACAATCAAAAGCTGAAATAGATGAGAAAAAAGAATAGAAAACAGAAAAGAAGATGTGAGAGAATTAACAGAGTTAATCTGTTTTTAATGGCTAAAAAACTTGAGCAGTCTCTAAAAAATACTGATTTTTTTATAGAGGGAGGAATAAACAATATCAGAAATGAAAAGTAATAAAAGATAATATAAACAATAAACTATGAAAATATGGTAAAAAGAACATTCTTAGAAATGTGTGAATTATTAAAAGTGACTTAAGTCAGTATTACTATCAGTCTGTTAAGAAGAGATTGGAGAAATAGAAAATTAGAATAATCCTAATAATGTTTTTTAAAAAAATAAGTTAGCTGTTGAAGATTTTCCAAAGCAAATATCATACCTAGAGCATTTTACCAGCAAGTTCTATGAACCTTCAAGGAATCAATAACCTCGATATATTACTACAATTTCTATGGAACAGAAAGGGGAGAAATACTTCTACAAATTTTTTACAAGTCTAACTTTTGATACTGACACCAAAGAGACACCAGAAATGAAAAATAACAGGCCAATCCTAATCATTCACATATCAGTGAATGATTATATATTGTCATTCAACTAAAATTGCAAATCAAACACAGCAATGCCCAAAAAAGCAAATACAAAATGACGAAATTGTGTTTATCTCAAGAATATAAAGTTGGTTGAACATCAGAATCCAGAAATGTAAGTCAACACAGCTACAGTTCAAAGAAAGAAAAGTCTACATATTCATCTCAATATATTTGGTAAAAAGTGTTCTTTAACATTCAGCATCACTTCATAATAAAAACTTTTTAAAAACAGTAAATAAAATACAACTTCATCTTGATAAAGGGTATCTACAAAAAAAAACCTTACAGCAATTATCTTTTCAATAATGAAATATTAAAATTATTCCCTTTGAAATGACACACAGAAAATGCCCACTATCACTTCCTTACAACATTAACTTTGATTGTGAGTCAATGCAGTAAGTCTAGATAAAAGATAACACATAAATGGCTTGTAAATAAAGAAATAAAACATCCATTATTCACGGACATTTTATGCATAGAAAACTTAAGCATTTCCAAATTATTAAAATAAAGTACACCACTTTTAAATACAACAAATTAGAAAAATGCAATTTTAAAATATATCCTTTACAAATAAAAAAGGTTGGTGGTACCTAAGAATAAATCTAATATTAAGATGTGCAAATCCTTTACGTAGAAAGTTCAAAATTTTATTGAAAGACTCTAAGAGAGACCTAAATAAATGGAGAGATATACTACATTTGTGGAAAAAAAAAAGCTCAATATTGTAAAGGTATCAATCTTCTCCCCCAAATTGATCTATACTTTTAATGCAATTTCAGTAAAAATCCCAAGGATGTTTCAAATAACTTGACAGAATAATTCCAAATATTTTCATGTAGGAGTAAAGGACTAAGGATATCTTGAAAATATATCCCTACCAGTTATTAAGACTTATTATAAAACTATAACAATGATATTGTCTTAAGGATAAACAAATAAGCCAATGGAATGAGAGAGAACCAGACACAGACTCATGCATACGTAGAGACTCCATATAAGATAGAGGTGGTATTGCATACCTGCGAGGAATGGATTTCTCAATAATTATCCAGAATAATTACAAATCCATATAAAACACAATACAACACTGCTTCCTTCTTGGAATAAATGCAAAAATCTCTTCCAAGACTTTAATGTGAAGAGTAAGATCTTTGAGAAAATGTAGGCGATTATCTTTATGATATCATAATAAAGAATATTTTATGTACCAATTTTCTAAAAAAGAAAACTATTGATAAATTCAATTTTGTTAAAATGTAAAACTTCTGTTTATCAAGAGGAACCATGAAATGATAATCCAAAAACAGAGAAAATATTTGCTGTATATATAACAAACAAAACTGCACCTAGAATATGTAAAAAGAACTCCTATAAATCCATAAGACAAAAACAAAAAATCTAATAGAAAAACACACAAACATTTCCCAGAAGAGGAAATGGGAATGCCAAATAAACATATGACATGATGCTCAGACTCTTTAGTAAGCAAGGAAATGCAAATTAAAATCTCAAGGAGATACCATTTCACACCTGCCAGACTGGCAAAATTTAAAAAGCCTGACAATCTTCTTGACAATATTGAGGAGGATATAAAGCTCCATGAATTTTTATGTACCACTGAAGGAAAATGTAATTTGATATAATCACTTTGGGAAACAACTTGGTATTGTATAGTAGAGTTGAATATGAGAATATTCAATGACCAAGTATAAACCTATGACTAATTCTAAGTGTAAACCCCAGAAAAACTCTTGCACAGGTGTACTAGGAGACATGAGAAAATGTCCACAAAAACATCAGTCATTATAGCAAAAAACCCTAAGCTCAGATATTCATCAACAAGATGACAGAGCATTAAATTGTGATTTACTCACACAATCGAATTCTGTATCAAAGTGAGCACGATTGATTCTGAGTATGTTCATCAATATGGATGAATCTCAAAGCAAAAAACAAATCACAAAACAATATACCTAATATGATTCCATTTATATGAAATGGACAAAAACAGGCAAAACAAAACTTACATTATTTAGGGACATAAAGAAAAGGAAATGATTAATACCAAATTTAGATGTAATTATCTCTGTAAGAGGAGAGTACACAGGAAATGTCAAGGATACTGATCATGTTCTATTTTTATAACCTGGATATTAAAAATAGAGGTGTTTATTTAATGCTATTCTTTATGCTCTTGTTACACACACCTTTGTACATGTGATATATCTCATAATACTTTTTGCAAAATGCATAACTGTATGAGCAATATAGGTCTCTCAATATAAACCTTGCTGATTCATTATGCAAATAACATGAAGCTCAGCAAGGTAGGAGGTATTCATTCAAGGGAGATGATAATGGTCAGTATTTTCAAAGCCTGTGAATAGAAATTAAAAATTATGGAGTTACAATAGACAGTACTATTGTAGAATGAGAGCTCATGCCGAATGTTGAATATTAGAAGGCTTGAAAAAAATACAAGTGATTAACTATGATAAAAGATTTGTTTTAAATGATCATAGGAGAGTAAATTAACTCCATCATGGTTTGAAATCTATTTTGGCTTCCTTTTTTTTTTTTTAACAAAAGTATAACTTATCTTATAAAGTATGAACATGTATCTAAAGTCTCTGAAATTTAAATGCTGCCAGGTGCAGTGGCTAACAAATGTAATCTCAGCACTTTGGGAGGCTGAGGCAGGAGGATAGCTTGAGCCCAGGAGTTCCAGACCAGCCAGCTCAACATAGCAAGACTGTATTTGTACAAATAAATAAGTAAATAAACAAGCAATCTTGGCTTGGTAGCATGTACTAGTAGTCCCAGCTACTGGAGAGGCTGAGATGGGAAGATCCCTTGAGCCCAGAAGTTTGAGGCTTCAGTAAGCCACGATCATGCCACTGCATGCCAGCTTGGGCAACAGAGTGAGATCCCGTCTCAAAAAAAAAAAAAAAAAAAAAGTTAAATGCTTACTATTTTCTACCATAGAAGTAGAAGTTGGTCAACATAGTGACAGAACTCTTCCTGGACCAAAGGCATTGAGATCCAGGCTCCAGCCCTGACTCTGCTTCTTCTTCATCCTCTCTAGATTTTAGGGGAGTCGATACATTCTCTTTCCTAAAGCCTTAGAGGTGTATAGGAAAATGTTTGTGAAAATGGTACAAAAATACTAAGAAATACTAAGTATAGATGCTCAACAGCTTTCGTGTGCTAAGCTCTGGACTCTGCTGCTTTACATACAGTTTCTCTTTTAATCTTCAAAACAAACTGGTGAGACAAGTACTATTTGGCTCTTAAAAGACTCCATTCAGTCACTAAATATACATTGAAATGAAAATAAGAGATTATTATTCTAGATGCCTGTGAATGATATTAACAAGGTCCCTACCCCCTTGCAGCTTCATATTCTGCTAGGAAGACGGAAAAATAATAAACAAGTAGACAAAAAATCCAGATAGAGTGTGTTGGAGGCTACTTTTTCCTAGGGCAATGGAGGATTTCCTCTCTAAGAATGTAACATTTGACCTAGACTAGAATACAAAGAAGGGATCAGCCTTATGAAGATCCTGGGAAGAAATCCCACCAGTTAAATGAACATAAATGCAAAACAGCAAGGAGAGAACAAGGTGTGTGTGTTTGGCCAGGTTGACCAAAGTACCATGAATGGGGCCTCATGAGATTAAGGAGGGCAGGAGGAAACTCTGAAGGTTACAGTTAGATGCTTGAATTTTATTCTAATGCACTTGAGCCCTAGGCAAATTATCTGATATATTTTTAAACTAGCACTCTATCTGCTACTGATAAAAGGACTATGGGAAACGACGGACCATTAGAAGATTGCTACAAGACCCAACAGACTAGACGGCGGGGGTTCACACTGAGATGGTAGCAATAAAAAGAAAGAGCTGGTTTTTAGATACATTTTGAAAGTAGAAGAGAAAGAACTTACTAATTGAGCTCATAAGTTTTGGGCATCTACTACTGCTGAAGGGTAATGCCATTATTGAACATGAGAAACACTGCAGAAAGAAGATTTAAAGCGATGAAAATTGAACAATACATGAACAAACATGGGATGTGAATCTTTTCTTTTTTTTTTTTTTTTTTTTTGAGATGAAGTCTTGCTCTGTCACCCAGGCTGGAGTGCAATGGCACGATCTCTGCTCACTGCAACCTCCGCCTCCTGGGTTCAAGCAATTCTCCTGCCTCAGCCTCCCGAGTAGCTGGGACTACAGGTGTGCACCACCACACGCGGTTAATTATTTTGTATTTTTAGTAGAGACCAGGTTTTCTTTTCATTACTTCTCAGTATCTCCAGAAGAGGAGTCACCAGCCTTCTTCAGTAACAATAGTGGTATTTAATAGTATAATGGTTGTGAAGAACTCACGATATGCTGGGCCCTCTTCCTGATCTGAGCCCTAAGATGTAAGTGCTATTATCATGCTCATTTACTTGATGATAGATGTATTAGTCCATTCTCATGCTGCTATAAACAACTGCCTGAGACTGGATAATTTAGAAACGAAAGTGGTTTAATTGACTCACAGTTCTGCCAGCCTGGGGAGGCCTCAGGAAACTTACAATAATGGTGGAAGGGGAAGCAAACACGTCCTTCTTCACATGGTGGCAGTAAGGAGAATGAGATCGGAATGAAGGAGGAAGCCCTTTAAAAAACCATCAGATCTCATGAAAACTTACTATCACAAGACTAGCATAGGAGAAACTGCTCCCATGATTCAATTACCTCCCACTGGGTCCCTCCCACTACATGTGGGGATTATGGGAACTACAATTCAAGATGAGATATGGGTTGGGACACAGCCAAAACATATCAATAGAAAATGAAGCACCAAGTTCCTTCAGTTGCCCCAGGTCTCATGGCTAGTAAGCGGCAGAAGCAGAGTTTGAATCCAAGCAGTCTTAGCTCCATATTCCTTCTCTTGACCACTTGACTGCCCAATTTCACAGTTTCCTTAGCATGCCTGTAATGTAATTGACCCTTATGGACAATAAAAGGTGAACGGCTCATAGCTCAGCAGACTTAAAGAGGTGATTACCAACTCATACTGGTCTCTTAAATTGTACTTTATAAACATAGCATCAAAATGTTTACAGTTGGAATTTAGAGGTACTCTAGTCTAAAATCTGTGGGAAGGTGAGTAGTCCACAGCATGCCAGTAAACTCTGCCACCAGAAAAAAAAAAAAGTTCCTCTAGTAAACTGAGTCAAATCTAAACATTACTATTTACTGCAGGATATCTTAAGTCTTTAATGGGGTGTCACTATAAATATCAGAGCAGAATATAAGATATATTCGACCTTGTTTGATCTGGAAATCTTTAACGTTTGTTTTTGCTGCTTGTTTGTTTTGCTTCTCATCAGGAAGTATAATCCATACATCTGGTTGGGTCAATCCAACATTTCCTTATTATGAAGATCAATAAACTCATGCACTGAGATATTTGTCTAAGCTCAAGGGATGAATATGGTCCTGGGCACAGTAAAAGCTGATTAAAATCTGATTCCCCAAATTATCATGGCACAAGGAAGGACATTCAAAATAATCTGGTCTTTTTTTTTTTTACATATATGAAGATATAAAAATTTATGGTTTTATACATTTGTTCAGCAGCAGTATATAATCAATATGGTACTTCACTAATCCCATTAATTATACCATCATCTACTTTTTAAAAAAAATCTGTTTCTCACAATAATAGGAATTTAGAGTCCAAACAGATGCCCCATCACTGCTTGGCCAGGGTCCAAGAGCAAACTGCAGGTAGCAACACAGGAGACACCTTCTAATGTCACCTCCACACTCTCTCTCAATCTCTCTCTAGCTCAAAACAGGCCTCCTTCAGAGTACTTGCGTCACTAGGCAAATGTGCTTTCACCTGCAGAATAAATCTCAGTATTTTTATGAAACCCTCTTTTATAAGGAAAAAGACACCAAATCAAAAACTAACATGGGAATAAGAACCAGTTCAACTTATAGCTGACATCGTCCTACTTTCCTAGATAAGAGAATCAACTCTGTATTTTATTCCTCTCATTTCCAGGAAGGTAATACTAGATAAATCTTTGTCTAAAATAAAGGATAAAAAAAGAGACTGCTGAATTTAATTTTTTAATGTTGAACCTAGAAAACATTTTTTCTACTCAAGATCAGAACTTTCTAGTGCACACCTTCTGAACGATGAAAACCATTGATTGTGCTTGCAGAGTACAGTCTAAGATAGATGCCAAGAGGTCTGACTGCATTCTCTTTGCAACTGACTAGGTGAAATACCTTAAGTAAACCAAAGAACATTAGGACTCTTTAGATTATTAAGGCTGTCCAATTCTAAGTCTGCATGTGTTTTGATTGAGATGAACAAAATCATGTATTTATTTTAATCACCCAAAATTGACCTAAGACTTAACTCTGTGCCCAGTGTTGTGGTAAATGCTAGTGTGTGTTAATCTCTTAATTCTAACAACTCTCCTACTATATCTGTATTAATATTCTCCCAATCTTACAAATGAGGGAATTGAAACTGAGAAAGGAAAAAGAAAAAATAGGAAGTTAGGAGGAAGAAGGAAAATAAAAGAGAAAAAGATGAAGGAAGGGAGGAAGGAAGGGAGAAAAAAGAAAAGGAAGGAAGGAGAGGGGAGGGAGGGAAGGAAGGAGGGAAGAGAAATGTTAACGTAATGGAAACTATTCTAATTTGTTAACTATGTAATTGTGCAATGGTTAGTTATATTCTGAAATGTGTCTCTCAGTTCTCATAAAAATCAAAGAACTTTCCATGTAAAAGTTGTTGGATTGGCAAACAAACTTTGTATCTTATTTTCTGTTGGCTAACACCATATACCTTCCCTTAAAATGGCCTTGTGCACATTTATAAAGAAACTGAAAATTTGTGGGAAAAATGACTATTAAGGATCAAACTCCAGATAAGAGGGCAAAAGTTAACTAAGCTTAAATAGATATATTATAATGTAAGGGAGAGAGAAAATGGGATGAAAATCCACAAGATGGCATATTTATATAGGGGACATTTAATAGTGGAGGTCTTTCTAGGAAAGTCTAGTAAAGTTAGCTAGGAGCTGTCTCATCTGCTGCCAGATAGCATAACCCATATGTAAAGAGTAAATAGGATTTCGAATTGACAATTATCTCTGTGCTTGGAGCTGTAAAGAACCAAGATGTCACTGACACTGTTCCTTATTTCATGGTCCTTAAAGATAAAAGGATGTCTATAATGGTGAAATAGTATTAATCATAGGATAACCAAAGAAACAGTAACCTTATAAACATTAGAAACATTAACTTTGTAAAAACTTAAATATAATCTCGTTGGTGGTCAAAACACACTTTCAAAATGCATGAATCTGCAAGCTGGTTTTAATGACACTATCATGGAAGCCCATGACAGGGATGCTGCTGATTAATGGGCTAATAAATTATTTAATTGGATTTTTCCCTCCATTCAATTGTAAAATCTATGCATTTCTTAGCTTATGTAAGGTCTGTTAGTGCCTTCCTAAGCATTCTATTTTGTCAAAATGTAGACTGAAGAAGTAAATAGAAGACTTATACACTTAACCACAACTTTTGACATTAAACTTTTTTTTTTAACTCAGTACTGTTAACTCAAAACAATGTCATGAATGGTGAATACAGCAAGCCTTCCTTGTGTATGTTTGTTTTTAAAGATGATGCTGGTTTAACTGTAATTCTAAGTCAGGAATTTCCTCACACTTCCCAATTTAGAACCTTCAGTTAATTAAAGGTCAGTCTTTATGATGTAAAAGTTTGCTAATAAAAGCCTTGCCAGTTCTTTTTTTCTTACAACTGTGTAAGCAATCCCTAGATGATCTATTTCAAATGTGATTTTAAATTCTGAAATGGGAAAAATCTTCTAAAGCCAATAATCAGATGTATAAGATATATGGGATTTAGCATTTGGAGGGATACGCACTACTACTGACTCATATTCTCAGGACCAAATTGGATCCTCAATAAAATGCCTTAAGTAGCACCTTGAAATTTGATTCAGTGTGATTTGTACATATTCAATGGCTAATATGTGCTAGATTCCATGCTATTAAACCGAGGCTTCATTTCACCACGCTCTCATTTCATCACCATCAAATGAATATGTATAGGGTACTTCCTATGTCTATGCCATTTAAAAGCATAAGAAGAAATACAAGAAAACAGAATACCTGCCCTCAGGGAACTGTCTCAGAGCAACATGTACCAAAAATTTTTAATTAGGATTGATGTCTGATTGGGCAAGAGATCTCACCTCATTCATCTTTGTCTTCTGAGCAAGTGACACAGCACCCTGTCCAAGAGCACCCAAAGAATGTTTGGGGACCTGAATGGTATTATGAGTAATTTTGTACTGTATAGATAGAAAGATTTCCCTTCTAAAGTTTGTCCTAGTTCTAAAATAATTCCCAGGAGGGAAAACTGATGCTTTACACATTGATTACTCCTCTTCTTAATTCCCAAGGGTCACTGAGTATGTATCACCATGTTGTGCTTAATTGTTCTCAAAATCACTTATACTCAGTTTCAAAGCCACATACTGAAGCCATATATACAAGACTCAGACTAAATATATCATATGGCAAAACGTAATATTATAAAAATATATTTAACGAATCATTTTCTTGGTTATCTGGTTAACTTTTCTCTATGTATATCTTTTAAAGATATCACATATCACCTTATTCAAACGTCAACTGCTGCTCAGATGATAAGGGGAAAGAATACATGAAGATGATTTTTGTGTTTGGCAATAGGGTGCCAGGGAGAAACCTAGTTTTTAAATTCCAGCTGGGCTGTGAGCCAGTTGCTTCATTATAAAGTGCTTTATTATTATTATTATAAGAACTGTCTACCTAATAGGTACTAAATGAAACACTATATACACATAAGCTATTAATGTAGTACCTAGCATATAGTAGATGCTTCATAAATATTAAATTCCTTTCTATTTCTGTGGAAACATGGATTTACCCTCAAGAGGTTGTCTCCGTAGTTAGAAAATCTGATTATCCTCCTTCAAATTTTGCTCTGAATGAAACAGCGTTTGTGTTTATGCCCCTCTTTACTCTGAACCATTACAGGTAATTTCCATAGCTTTGGGAATAATATAGCAAACTCCAAATGTCTACATAAAACAAAAAATCATGTATAATTTAGTGTCGCAAATCAACACCTACACTGTAGGTTTTTAAATTACTTTCTATGAAACTGTAGTTTAAAAAATTTACACATTTGAAAAAAAATCAACTGTAGTTATTTTAATCACACAGAATAAAAGTTATTGCAAATACTCTTCAACATGTCTGAAATCATAGAAATTTGCTGATAAATATTAGTAAATACTTCATTTATCCTCATCACCTACTATTTTATGACCAGATTGAAAGGCCAACAGACTATTTGAGTAAGAAGGACTACCTAATTGATATGAAAGTCTAAAAGCCACCAAAATATTCTACGAGCAATACTGAACAAAACAAATACGCAAGATCTGCAATGCATGAGCTTAAAGTAATGAGATCAAATAATTCTAAAATGCTGTTTGATATAATTTCATTTCTCCATTTCTTGACAGTCATTGTATTCCTTGAAGTTGAGGCATCCATTGGTTCAAGCGAAAGGTAGAATGCAGCAAATACAATTATACTCTACTTTTAAATTTCAAAATGAGTTCTTAATGGCCATGTCAGAAACAATACTTGTAAGAGCCAGAGCTTTTATTTGTAAGAGCTAGTCTTTGTTGAGAGGATGGATTTAGGAGGCCCAATGAGACAAAGCTGAAAGACTCAGCATAGAGATTATTAATGTCAATTGCAGAATATGGAATAAATATTCTAAAAAAAAAAAGGAAGGAAGGAAGAAAGAAGGAAGGAAGGAGGGGAGGGAGGCTTTGTAAGTTATAGTATGGACTGAAGAGACTACAAAGGGAGAAGTCAAGAATTAAGAAAAAAGCATAGTGCTATGTCACTGAGAAAGGCCTAGGGAAGATATCTCGTGGCCACAGTAAAGTGAAAGCAGATGTGTGCAGAGTTTCGGAACTTGAAGCCTAAGGCCACTTCAGACTCTAGGGACACTAGCACTGGGCGCTCACCAATGCTCAGAGACTAGGCAAATCTCGTTTCTTCACCCACAGTGGCCTGAAGGAACCCAGAGGACTTCCTGGACACCCCACCCCATCCCACCATCACGGTGTGATGTAAGCTTCTCCATCTTCCCTAAGAAAAGGAAAGGGACAGGGAGATGGGACAAAATAACCCTGGACTCATTGCCCTATAAAAAACCTAAACTGTGTAAAGGAAGAGAACAAATTACTGTGAAAAGGTAAGACAAAGTTTATTTTCCTCCACCATCAACAGAAATGGAAGCTCAACACCAAGTGGAGTTAATTATAGAAAACAAAGTTAAATATCTCTTTATCTGCATTCTGCAGTAGACATTTTAACAGGTTACAGTGATTTTTTTTAGATGTTGACTTTTGAACACTGGTAAATGAAGGAGAAATATGTAATAAAAATCTCAAGATGGAGTATTAGAGAAATGGCAATAAGTCAGAGTGACTAAGGTAAAATACATGCGTGAGCAATCCCCATACCACTAGCTATGATCCCATGCATTTCTTGGCACTTTACTGTTTTTACATTTTTAGCTCATTAGTGAGAAGATATAAGCTCCCTGAGGGACAGAGGAGAGAAATCCTGTAAAACAGAGCTCAAGCTTTGCCTAGAGTTAGTGAAAATTAAATCTAATAGCCTAGCTTTTGTCACTAGCTTATTAAATTACAGAGATACAGAAAATAAAACTATTATCAAGACCTCAGGAGAAAAGGTAGAACATAAAGGTGTTACATTATTTTAAATAGGTTTTTAATAGAAATACTTAGGGAAAATAAAACTATGCTTTATGTTTATTGTATTGCAATGATTGTTCAAGATTTGTTTCTGTGAATTACAAAAACAAAAAAAAAAGATTCTAATTCCTATACAAAAACTTGTGGAACACACACTTGAGGCTAGCCATTCTATAAAATACATATATTTTAAAACAACATATTGTACACAATAAATATATAGTTTTTGTTAAGTGAAATTAATATGTTAGTAACTCACACACGCTTATGAACACAGACACATACATATTGGAGACCAATACACAAAATTGTTAGCTTGAAGAAACTGCACACATAATTGATGCAACAAATTGAACTTGGTGTACATAAATTGTCTACACAGCTATAGAGATAGTAATATTATATACTTATACTATTTTATTGCAGTCATGCTGAATTAACATACCAAGTTAAGGATAGAGTTCTTCAGGTCTGGTTTTGATTTGAGTTTTGCTTTTCAGCTAGACTATTTTTTCCAAACTAGTGTCAGCTTTGAAAAGCTGCAGGAGCCTCTTGTGGATGCCCACCTCATCCGACGGAAGGCAGTGTTCCAAAACCCTTTGTGTTAGTGAGATGAGAAGTTGGTAATGTAAGGACTGGTTTAAGCTGTAAATAAGCACACTCTCACAAGGCATCAACCAGATGTCAATAAGAATTAAGGTTTACAAATATCAAAGAAATCCAACCTAGCATCTATTGTAAGGGTAATCCTTTACTTAAGTCAAGTTCCGTTTTAAATTAAGCCTAAATGAATTATTCTCAAATCTCTGCATATTGAATAGTGCATCATAGACATGCCACATCACCACGCAAATGGAAAATAAAGTACTAAAAATTAGGTCAGCAATTGTATCTGCAAAAGTTATTTTGCAGAGCAGCGATCTGACCTACAACATTCTCTCTTGAGGCGCATTTAAATACTACAGGATACAGTACAAGAGTAATGGAGACATCAGTGAAACCATGTATAGACGGAACAGATTATGTTTTACTGGTTAGTTTGGTTGGGTTCTGTAGCTCGGGTGAATCTCTCATTTTGATCATGGTCTTCTCTCCTTGCCTAGGATTCCAAGAGCTTCTGAGACACCATCATCACCACAAGAAAATAGTTCCCACTAGTTGAACATTTTTTAGTAGGTACTAAGCTCAAGATTTGGCCTTCCCTGTCACATTCTATTCTTAAAATACCCCTGTGAGACAGAGATTACACTCCCATTATACAGATAAGAAACTGAGACTGAAAGAGACCAAGAATTTTCCCAAACATACACAGCTGGTAATAGGAATACAGATGTGTCTATGAGGGCAATGCTCTTCTCATTATACTTGCAAGAAAGGCATGGACATTTAGTGCAGTGAGAAAATGAATGGACAGAAATGTTTTAAAAGGTTTAATTATAATCAAAATACATTTGGAATGCTGTAAAAGCAGAGGAAAGCCAAGAACCAAGATTCAGAAACCTCTAGGACTGACAGAGATGGAGGCTGATTTTTAGACATTCTAGCAAAAATAAACCTTTCCAGGAATGGTGAGCCTCATAAAATGACTGCATTCATCATACTAGGGGAGTAAGGCAGAAAACTGCCACATAGACCTAATTTGTGTCAAGCTTGCTGATGGCAGCTGCTGTTGGTACTTTTCTCCAGTGTAAAGGTCTGGTAAATAAAATTACAAGAAAATGTAGTGAAAAATATTAGTAAAGACAGAGTTCTGACTAGATGGAGTTACAAGTGGCTCAAGTGACACATTTTGATACAAAATGTTTTGTTTTGCTTATACAAAATTAAATTACTAGATAATTTAATGGGCTCCAGTGTAATGAAAAGCACAATTCCCCAAAAGATTTTAGTCTGTAAGCAAAGATTCACAGTGGATTTGAGGGTCATTATTCAGCATGGTAGGAAAGCGCTAACAGGTGATGTTTAGAAGTTTTGGAGTGCTAGTATTGACTTGCTTTCTCTTTCTTTAGATCACGGTGCCTGTTCTTTACCGCCATATCTGCTCGTTACTAGGAATTACCTTATATTTGGATCAGAATTCCTTCTTTTAAAAAAAATCTATCTTATAGGATCAGGGTTTTTTCCTGATCAGGACTTTTCTTTGCAATTCTAACTGCAAGACAAATATCTGAGAAAGGGTGCTTTGTTGTACACACTAAACTTTCCCATTCTCTATTTCACATTGACGGATCAATTCTCCTGTCAAGTTTGACAACTGTCATTAATAAAAAGGAAATTTGACTGTCATGCATATACACCTTGTTTTACATGCACACACTCTCAAGCAGAAATGTAGAGAGCACACGGCCTTGCTTTGCTACCTGAACTATTATCACGAACTTGTTTGGTTATAGTTTAGAAGATGAAAAAAGAAACATTTTGGCTATTGAGATAAAATCAAAATCATGCAGTCTAAATTCTGGACTGAACAGGAGATCCCTGAAGATAGGTTCTTGAGAGCCACGCAGCAAATGACTTGAACTGTCATACAAAGTTTCCATTTGTGACTGGGAACCCCCTGCAGAGAAATGTGGCCTGGGTTGAATGAGGTGCTTTCCTAGGATCTTTGTTTTTTCATTTCCTCCTCTTGGTTTAATATTTCTATAACTAATAGACATATTCAACATAGAAACTTTTACTCTACTTCTCAGTTTGTCTTTTTTATATTAAAAAATCCAAAAAGTTTGGAAAATAGATTATAAATTCACTATTCTGATATCTATAAGCCTTCTATGTATTTATTTTCAAATATGATTTTTAAAAACCAGGCATGGTGGCTCACGCCTGTAATCCCAGCACTTTGGGAGGCTGAGGCAGGTGGATCACAAGGTCAAGAGATCGAGACAATCCTGGCCAACATGATGAAACCCTGTCTCTACTAAAAATACAAAAATTAGCTGGGTGTGGTAATGCGTGCCTGTAGTCCCAGCTACTCAGGAGACTGAGGCAGGAGAATCGCTTGAACCTGGGGGTGGAGATTGCAGTGAGCCGAGATCGCGCCACTGCACTCCAGCCTGGTGACAGAGCGAGACTCCGTCTCAACAACAACAACAACAAAAACACCTTATAGTATCTGGTTAAGGATAACTCCATATTGTTCCTTATGTATCACTGTTACTATCTGTAAAATATCTTTGACATTACTACAAAACTTAACACTTCATAGATTACTCACTAGTTTGCTTCCAGTTTTTTACTGCAGTTGCTCCTCTGAACATTTTATGCATTTTTTAAGACTAATTATTTTGGCTTTACATTCATTTGAATTCCTTCTTAATCTGGAATGCCTGAGTGGGATTACTGGGTCAAAGGCCATGAACACTTCTGTGAGTACTGATAATCTCCAGTTAGTTTTATGTGACCTGACGATACATATGATTAGTGGCTTCATGGAAATCTCATCATTTCTTTTTCTTGTATTTTTATTTCCTTTTTCTATGTTCTTTGTTTTCCTAATAGATGCTTTGATCTTTATTTCCCTGTTTATTTACCAATCCTATAATTGCATTTGAATTTTAAGTTGTTGATTTCTAACAGTATTAAATTTAGAATTTTTTCATCTAAGAGCTGATAAGTATTCAATTTTCTTTTATTTTTTCTTATATGTTTACATATTTACTGTAATTTTTAGAAATTATTGTAGTAAATTATATAAAACATGCATCTAACTGAATTTGTACCCCAAACTGCTAACCATTCATTTGAAATAATTTATTTTTGATAGTCTGCTTCTCCTCTCTCCTCTGTTTTTAGTGGGGGAAGAGGTTATGTGTATTATAATTAGATTTATTCAGTAGCTATTCTTTTCTAATAACACATGCATTTTCTTAGGTAAAAGCATTATTTCAAAGTTCCATCTTGGATGTACTAACATATGATATACTTTTTCCCACTAGAAGTATGTCTATTCATTCACATTTTCATTATCTCAGCAAAGTTTTACAGAAAAATGCTCAATCTCTTTGCAGATTACTTTTCACATATTTCATGCAATTTGCTACTATTATAAATTAAATATTTGTTGTAATTCCTAAGTGACTATTTCTAGTAAGGCATTTATTTTGTTTTAAAAATTTATTTACTTTGAACTTACCTATATTACTGGAGCCTTTTATTAGAAGTTATTTTTTCTTTCTTTCTTTCTTTTTTTTTTTTTGAGATGGAGTTTCACTCTTGTCGCCCAGGCTGGAGTTCAGTAGCACAATCTTGGCTCACTACAACCTCCATTTCCTGGGTTCAAGTGATTCTCCTGCCTCAGCCTCCCAAGCAGCTGGGATTACAGGCATGTGCCACCACACCTGGCTAATTTTGTATTTTTGGTGGTGAGCCACCACACCTGGCAATGTTTTACTCAAGTTTCAATACATTTTAACATCCCTGCCCTCCAAATCAATAATTTATATTTATATTCAATACAAAAGTATTTGATCATTGAGAAATATTTGTTTCTTTAAAAAAAACCTATTACTCTGCTTGTCTTTATACATTTTGAAGGTCTAAATTTAGAGGATTATTTGAGATGTTGTCAGCATGAATTCAGGAAAATTGAGGGGAAGATTAACAGGGTTGTTTATACATCTAATTTAAACATCAATTTGTGATTACTACATTTATCCAGGCTTATTAGCAATTCAGGCAGAATCTAGTTGTCATAACTATTTAATGATCAGTTACCATTTCATTAAAATACCTATTCTAAAGATAGTATTTAACACTCTTAAAGAACCTAATCATTTTCTTTTTGTAGGATCAGTTGGAGGTTAGGTAGGACTTGGTCTGACTCAGAAGGAAAATTATTTTACACCTCAGCAAACAAAGTAATGGGGGTTTTTTGACATAAATAGCACTGCTGTGCTCTGTAATTGAAGTTCAAAAATGGACGATGAAACCACAGAAGCAGAAAACCAAAGTAAGCTTGCAATGAAAAGAAATACAGGCCACAGTTGCTTCTGGCTGAGACTGATTGCCAATCTTTGGGAATGAGATTATGACAACAATTCTAATGCATTGGGTCTTGCATTGACATTAAATCACACTCCTCCCTTAATGTCACTCTCCAAGCACACCAAAGAATATGTCATTCTGTCATCAAAAGACATGACATAGATTGATGGAGACTTCAATAGGCTATCAGAGTTTTCCATTGGGTAGAATCCTGCCCTTGTCTGGTCAATATTTAGAGGTGCTGCTACATATGCTGCTACATGTTCTAAAGCATCGCAGGAGTGGCCTGAAGAAACAGGACATAGTGGGAGATACAAACACATCACCAACTGAAATTTACTTTTAATCTTTTAATGTGCATCGAGTAGTGTTGCTTCCAGATTACTTATACCTTTTCAAAAAGACTCACAACAACCAATCTTTTCTGTTGTCCAGCTTTTTAATAGCTGTAACGTTTAGGACACCTAGATTTCTGAGGTGAGTTACATAAATATTTCATTTTTGTTTCGTATTCATGGCAGAATTTCTATGTTTCATGGATTTTCTTAATGCAGATACACTCAAACTAACATAATATAGTAGCATGTCTAATATTTTTTCCAGAAGGATACCAATTCAATAGCTTGATATTTAATGCAGGCAAAATGGACATATCTCAATATAGATTGTTAAAGGTGAAATCATTTTAGTTACTTAGTAAACATATTGGAAGGATCCAGGGCATTACTACCATCACATATTCCCTATCCCCAAAATAAAGTATGCTCTGCAAAATCCATCACAATTGCAGTTTCTCATTCTAGGGTTTTTAGCTATTTTCTTGCTCTTACAATTTTGGTGTAATTCTGAAATAATGGGCACATGAATAACACTGTATTTAATAAATAATGGAAAAACAAAACTTGAATATTGATTTCATTATTTCCATTTTCTTAGAATGACATAATTTCTGCAAGCAATACGCTGATATCTTAATTTACAACTGAAATGCACACACATTCATTTCAACTAAAATGCCATGAAAGTATCATGGCAGAATTGACAAAAATCACAGAATAAAAGATTCCCTCAGCATGCTATTTTTAAAAATTTCTAAGAGTGATTTGTGGGATAAAACATTAAATATTTCTATCATTATTCTTCATCCCATAAACTGATGTATGAAAGAATTTTATAGTAGAGAACACATCTTTGGAAAGAACTATTTTCATAAATGAAACAGGTGTAACATATTAAGGCAGATAGCAAAAATCCTAAACTATGAATATTTGTAAACTATCTAAATAAAATAGAAAATTAAAATGAGATCTTGGGTAGCCTATCATTCAATATGTTAAAAGGAAAGAAACAAGTCAAAAGCACAGGATAAGAATTTTAAATCAATGAAATTAAATCTCTGAAATTAAATGAGGTAAGAATCATCACACAGTAACTGAAATTATAATCTATTATGTTGTTATTTTCAGATGGTTTATTTTTTATATGTCTCTCTAGCAGTCAGGAAAAAAAAACCCAAAATAAAACTAATCTGAAATGTACTATAATCTTGAAAACCGAAACCAACATTTCATGAAGGGTGATTTAATTACAGTGTGTTATAGTAACCTTAAAAAATCTAGAGAAAGAAGTGGGTAAGGTAAATTTTTAAGAAGAGATCTAGGCAACATCTGTGGTTATTAGAATAGGAAAATCTCTGGAGGGGCAAAGGGTAAATTATCAGGCTCTTTTGGCTGGAAAGTAGTATCTGTTAACATTCAATTCCCATTGCTCTAATTTCATAGCCACCAAGCAAGTTTCCTACCTATAATTTGGCCACCAGAGCACATCTTCTCACCCAAGGGGGGTGTCTTGTATGATTAACTAATCCAGTTATTTTATTATGTGTAGCTCCTACTGTAAATTAATGAGCAGACATTAAGATTTATAAATCAGTCTCTTGTGACTTTGGCTAATACAAATCAGTCTCAGTATCACCTCGACATGCTCTGGCTTCAAGCATAGGACAATACCCTGAGTAACACACTTTACCAAAATCTAGGCACCAAAGAAAGCTTAACCTAACATGTTTCTTAACCTGATGATAAAACAGCCTAATGTTTTTCTTTTTACTATGGAGAGAAAGATGACAGTTAACTAAGAGATGAAAAAAATAGAAGAGTTTTTAACCTGATACTGAGTTGTAAATTTCTCAATCTGTTCCTTAACTTTCAGTCTTAAATAGAACTCCTACTAAAAATTATTATAAGGATTATTCCAGAATTGTAGTAAATGAACATTAAGCTTTTTTTCTTCATCTCTTCTACCTTATATACTTTTTTGGAGGGTGACTTTAAAGAAAATATAAAAAAGAAAATATAGTATCCTAATAATTTATTTCATGTTTATTCCTGCAGAAATCAATGGTTTAAAAAATTGTGCACAAAGTGAAAACAAATTCTCACTAAGGAATTTTTCTGTAAATTCATCTTTTCTCCTGTACTTATGCTGTGTATAACATCAGAACTAATTTTAACATGAGAGCAACATGTTCAAGAATGCAATTATTTTGCAGAAAATGTGTGTCAAACCCAGACAGAAGAAACTGTGAGTTTTAAAAGTAATATCTCTTCAAGACAGTGTAGCATTGACAAAATAGAAAAATAAATTAATGGAACAGAACAGAGAGCCATATAGTTAGACACACATCAATATAGTCAGCTGATCTTTGGCTAAGGAGCAAAGGCAATACAATGAAGCAAAGACTGTCTTTTCAACAAATGGTACTGGAACAACTGGATGTCCACATGCCAAAAAACTGAATCTAGATACAGACTTTTAATCTTACAAAACAAAAGTAACTCAACATGAGTCATAGATCTCAATGTAAGGGGTGAAACTATGTAACTTCTAGAGGATAACAAAGAAAAAAAAATCTAGATCAGAGGTGTCCAATCTTTTGGTTTCCCTGGGCCACATTCAAAGAAGAATTGTCTTGGGCCACATATCAAATATGCTAATGATAGCTGATGAGCAAAAAAAAATAATAAAATAAATATAAAAATAAAAAAACAAACCACACACACACACAAGAAAATCTTATCATGTTTTAAGAAAGTTTACTAATTTTTGTTGGGCTGCATTCAAAGATTCAAAAAATCTCATGTTTTAAGCAAGTTTATGAATTTGCATCCTGGGCCACATGAGGCCTGTGGGCTTCCAGTTGGATGAGCTTATCTAGACGGTCTTGGGTATGGTGGTGACCTTTTAGATTTAACACCAAAAGCACTATCCATGACAGAAGTAATCTATAGGCTGGGATTCATTAAAATTTAAAACTTCTTCTCTGTGAAAGACATAGTCAAGAGAATGAGAAGACAAGACACAGATTTGAAGAAAATATTTGCAAAAGATATATCTGATAAAGGACTGTTACCCAAAATATATTAAGATCTCTTAAAACAGTGAGAAAACAACCCAATTAAAAATGGGCAGAAGACATGAACAGACAGCTCACCAAAGAAACAGATGACAAACAAGCGTAAAGATGCTCCATAATAAAATGTCAGCAGAGAAATGCAAATTAAAACAGGAATGAGATATTACTGCATATCTATTAAAATGGCCAAAATCCAGAAGAACACCACCAAATGCTGACAAGGATGTGGTGCATTATAAATTCTCATTCATTGTTGATGGGAATGCAAAATTGGCACAGCCACTTTAGAGGACAGTTTGGCAGTTTCCTATAAAACTGAACATACTCTTAATATACAACCCAGCAATTGTACCCCTACACATTTAATCAAATGAATTGCAAACTTACATCCACAAGAAACACCCTGCACATGGATGTTTGTAACAGCTTTATTCAAAATTGCCAAAACTAGGAAGTAAACAAGATGTCCTTCAGTAGATAAATGGCTAAACTGTGGTACATCTAGATAATGGAATATTATTCAGTGCCAAAAAGAACTGAGTTACCAAACCATAAAAACACATGGAGAAAACTTAAGTGCATATTATTGAGAGTAACCAATCTGAAAAAGGCTACATTATTATATGATTCCAGCTGTATGACATTCTGAAAAAGGCAAAACTATGGAGACAGTAAAACATCAGTGGTGGTCAGGGATTAGAGGGAAGGAGAGATGAATAGGCAGAGCACGAAGGATTTTTTGGGCAGTGAAATTGCTCTGTATAGTACTACAATGGGAGAGACATGTCATTATACACATTTGCCAAAACTCATAGAATGTACAACACCAAGAGTGAACCCTAATATAAACTATGTGATAATGATGTGTCAATATAAATTCACCAATTAACAAATGTTAATGCACCTGCACCTCCTCTGGCGCAGGTGGTTGATAGTCGGGGAGGCTGTGCATATGTGGAGGAAGGTGGCATATGGGACAATGGAAATTCTGTATGTTCTGTTTAATTTTGCAGTGAACCTAATCTGCTGTTTAAAAAGGAGTCTATTAAGACAAAACACTAAAAATTTTTTAAGTACTATCTTTATGTTCTTATATAAATCATTGCTCACTGATACGGATACCCAAATCTAGTACTTTAAAAGTTTTTAAAATAATGAACTGAGACTTCATACCTGATTCCTAAATTTCTAGATGACCTGTCTGTTTTATAAGATAATCTTACATTAAAGGAAATTATAAAAAGGCAAAACATAGCAAATGCATTAAGATGTCATTTATGTTTCATTCCAAGATTATCTAACTTATGTGTCCAAAAATAAATCACATCATATTTTAATGTCTGAAAGATGTACCTTATATGACTCCTGATATCCATTTTCTTGACCTATCACAGTTAAGACATTTCTGTTGCATACCTTTTCTAATTACTTTTTCCTTTTACTGAGATAACATAGTCTTTAGGTTTACTGTTATTTCCTTATTTCCATTGGCTTTAATCTAAACAGAAAGATCACATAATCCATTTAAATTGCAACAATGAGAAATCCCATCTGACCTGAAGGATATTTTATTTCCTCATTGGTCACTTGAAAATACTGAAACTCTTTTTCTTTTTCATCATGGAACCTTATCATTTTTCTGGTTGTAAATATTGAAAGAGTATAATGAAGCAGAAGAAAACATCAGCAATAAACCAGAACTCCTCGGGCAAGACTGTTAACATTTTAGCAGTTTTGTTTAGAATTTTTTTGCATTTTCATAATTAAGAAAAGATCATATTCCTATCTTGTTTTAGAATATTATTGTAAAATTCTTTTCCATGTCATTATAAATTCTTCATAAACACCACTGTTAAAGGCTGAGGACCTCACAATAGAGTCAATAATTTATTTAACTATTCTCCATATTCTATAATGTTGCTGGGCATTATAATGGTGTGATGAATATCTTTTCACTGTAATGCCTCCCTATATTTCAAACACTTTTTACAGGAGTTTTTTCCTCAATAATACCCTACTGGCCTTAAAGAGAACTCACTTATACCTGTGATAAATACACCAAGAACACAGTTATCATATGATTTTTTTATCAAAGAAAAATATCACATAAATTGATAGCATTTTATCAAACTTATTTTCCACATAGTCCTGCCTTCCTTATTCTTCAACATTTAAGTTTCTTTCTCTTTCAGTAGCCTGTGTGATCATTTCTTTGTTCTCTAGTTTCAACTATAGTCAACATTATTGAAAAGTTTCTTTTAAAATTGGGAAAATTATTTTTGGCCCCATACCTACCCTATTAATCCCAAAAAGCATATGGAAAGAAGCAATGGAGAGGGAAACCGAAATCCTCAGAGAAATCTGATGTGCGTTGACAAGACAGGGAGAATTTGAGCTGAAGTATAACTATGGCCCCCACCTCATTCAGAGAGCATGACACATTCCATCTGCTCCCAGACGGGAATCATCATTTAGCAGTGAGGCCACAGGTTAGAAAAGTGAATGAATCCCCCAACTAGAACAAGTAAAGTCCCATAATTTGAAGGCTTTTCTAATTTGAGGGCCCTGGGCTGCTTTGGGGAATCCTATAAACATGTCAGTGTCAGATTTGGAGGGACTTAGCTTCTTTTTTCTTTGAGGCCAGCAGGACCTTCTGATTGAGAAGAGGAAATTAAAAAAAAAAAAAAATGGGCATCAACGTTCAGAGGCAGCGTGGAAGAGATAAGAAAAACAAAGCTTTGGAGTCAAGCCTATGAGCATCCAAGCCAGGCTAGGCTATAGACTATGTAGAATGTTTGATCTTGTACAAGGTTCTTGGCCACACTAAGTCTCAGTGTTGTCTCCTGGGTGATAACTAACTAAAATGTGTGGCAATGTGTAGAAAGTATGAAACAGCATATCTGGTACATGGTAGGGTTTAATAAGCACTGATACCCTTTTCTGCCTCCAAATTTCCTCTACTTCACTGAGTCCTTCTCTTTTCCATCTAGACTCAAGGAAGACTGAAATCAAAGGCATTCTGGACTTTTCCTAGGTTGTCCAGCCCACTCTACAGGGGGTGGGGTAAAAGAATTACACAAGTAAATATGGTATTGATTTACATTCACACATGAACTTTTAGAAATACACCAAGTGATTCTATTGCATAATTCAGGCATTTTTTGCATATAAAACCAGTTATTGCTTTTATAAGCATCAGTAGTGGGGAGGAAGAGGCATTTTTCAAACTTCCCATACATTTGAAACTGAGAAATTTCCCATGACACGAACTTATCTTTCTACTCTGTCTAGATCCCTGCTTTACTCAGTTGTCACTGATTTTATAGCTTGAGCTCTAAATTTCAATTAATTTAAAATACAATTAATTTTAAGACCATCAAATCCAGCTAAGTTTATAGCCATCTACTAGATTCACATGAATATTCATTTCCTCCAGCTCATTTATTAAAATCAATTTAAGAAAAATACAGTTTAAAAGGATTCTGAAGAAATTAAGGTATTTAACTAAAACAAAGAGGATATTATCCAGCAATGTTTTAAAAAGATTTTTAATAGTAGAATCTGCTTTCTCTTATTAATAAGTTTTTGTGACAACTGGGACTTTTTATTTTGCAAATTTAAAAACTAGAGCAAAATCTTGCCCTTGTTTTGATGTAGATGTATTATAGTTTTATCTATTTAAGTCAAAAACATTTTTCTGAGAAGACAAAATTTGGTTTATAGTTTGGTTGGGCTATAGTTATTGTCATTCTCCTGTGGACCCTAAATATACTCTAGGCAAGAAACTCTGGATTTAGAAACTGTCTATTAACCTAGTTTTATTTTACCTTAGTAGTTTTCAACTGTTTGCTATAGAACTTCAAGTACCTAAATGATGGAGTTACATCTGCTACCCAGATTGGGAAACAGATGACAGGACAGGCCTAATAGTGTCATTAGTTTATTTAAATATTGAATGAACAAAGAGGATTGCTCTATGTGCAAAGTGTGGCAACTGCTAACTAAAAGGTGTTATCCCAACGTCTACTTTTCTGTTGATAATTTTGTTTTTGCTGGTTCTTCTCTTGAAGACCATACCAACAGACACGCTCTAAAACATGTCCATTAATTCAATCTGTCTCTGCCCTTGGTTACTCCCTAACTGTTCTAGTATTTTACCCAATGTGGTAGGCAGAATAATGACATCTCAAAGATGTCCATGTTTTAATCCTTGGAACATGTGAATATGTTACTTTACATTGCAAAGGGGATTTTGCAGTGTGATTAAGGTTAAGGACCTGGAGAAAGGAAGATTATCTTGAACTATGCAGGTGGGCCCATTTGAATCACATGAGTTCTTAAAAGAACCCTTCTGTCTGAGATAAAAGTGAGAGAGGTCACCAAGAGACGTAACATTGCTGTCTTTGAAGATGGAAGGAGGAGGCCATAAGCCAAGGAATGAAGGCGACCTCCAGAAGCTGAAAAAGGTAGAGAAATGGATCCTCTCCCAGAGCCTGCAGAAGGGAACATAGCCCAACTGACACCTTGATATTAGCCCAGTGAGAGTCACTTAGGCTTCTGACTTACAGAACTCTAAGGTAATACATTTTTATTGTTTAAACCATTAAGATTGTGGGAATTAATTACAACAGCAAAAGAAAATTGATATCACTCATAAGAATTAATCTCATCGTAAAGAAAAAAAATCCTGTGGGCCACCTGCCTACCACTTTTCAGATGGATAATGGCATTCATAATTCTACAGTATCACTTTGAATTCTTTTCTAGTAAGAAAATTTGCACATATTGAATTCCTAACTTTTTGAGGCATGAAAGAGTTTGAGGTTATACATAAACCATATCCCCTATGTTACTTCTGGGTTTCTGTCATTCTATTTTACTCTCTCCTTCATAAGATGTCAAGGATGTATTACAACCAGAATGTACTTCTTACCTGTCTTGCTACATTCACATTGTGGTGCACATGAGAATGCTGAGATTAAAGGCTCAAAAATGAACACCTTAAAAAGAGAGCTGAATCTATCATTTCTAGCAGAAATGGAATCACAAGTATTTGGGCCAGAAGTATGAAATGTTTTGTTAAGTAAAAAAAGGCTCATTGATAAAACAACTTCTTTGTATTTTCTATAAAATCAAGAAAATTGTTCAAAATATAGAACAAGGCCTGGAACAGTGGCTCATTCCTGTAATCCCAGCACTTTGGGAGGCTGAGGCTGAGACAGGCAGATTGCTTGCGCATGGGAGTTCAAGACCAGCCTGGGCAACAATGGTGGAACCCCGTCTCTATAAGAACTACAAAAATTATCCAGGTATGCTGGTGTATGCCTATAGTCCCAGCTACTCAGGAGGCTGAGGTGGGAGGATTGTTTGAGTCCAGGAGGCAGAGGTTGCAGTAAGCCGAGATTGGGCCACTACACTCCAACCTGGATGACAGAGCAAGACCCTCTCTCAAAAAAAAAAAAAAGAAAAAGAAAAAATATATATATATACACACACACACACACGCGCACACGCGCGAGAGAGAAGGTGCAACAAAAAACCATTGTTTTCATTCTACTTACATTTTTAAACTACTATTTTTCTCATTCCTTCATCTCACAAAATACTTTTGTATTTATAAGAAAGTACTTCGAATTTATCTAAATAAGCATTAATCATCTTTATCAAATTTCTGGCTAGGACCAAATTTTTGAAATAAAAACAAAAATATAACTTTTAAATACATCCTAGAAAAAGTACAGGCAGGAAATTGGGCTTCAACATTTAAAATAGAATGGGAGGCTGAATGGTGTCTCATGCCTGTAATCCCAGCATTTTGAAAGGCCAAGGCAAGAGGATTGCTTAAGGCCAGGAGTTTGAGAGCAGCCTAGACAACACTGGAAGACCCTGTCTCTACAAAAAACAAACAAAAAAATACAGTGGGGAAAAAAATAAAGCTTTGTAAGTAATATCTATTAATACAGAGTTTGTGATAATTTAGAAGATATATTTAATCATGATTGAATTCTAAGGTTAAAAAGCAGCCAAAATCAGGGGTTTTAAAATAGGAGATGACATTGTGTAATGGAGGCTTAATTCCAAATATAATCATGTTCCATGAATATGTCATTATTTTTGACAACTAAAATGGCATTTTCTTTAAAAATCCAAAATTTTGACTTACTACAAATTTGTACAGGATTTTCACAACTCTACATTGGGGATGAACTTTTATTGCACATAATTAAAAAACAACAGAATGGTGAAACAAGTGTTTTATTTTTCAGTAGTTGTGTCTACAACATATGCATTTCTCCTTTAATCTGCAAGTATTTTTAAATTTTTAAGAATCATTCTCTCACTAGATAAGAGGAAGGAGACCCTCTGTTATAAAAGCAGTTGCCGGGAACTAACAATCTGTAACCATAACTATCTCGCTCTAATGGTAGGTGCAAAAGTAACTCTTATAAGGCATTGTCTTAGCCTGTAGTCCCCTTACTGCTAAAATAAAAGAATCACAGGACGTTGAGAGTTAAAGAGAACTTTAAAATTAATTTTTTCTTCTTGAGTCACTTAGTGTGTTTTTTAAAAAAATTATTGAAGTATAGCTGAAATAAGATAAACTTTATGTATTTACAGTGTACAGTTTGATTAGTTTTGACATCTGAAACCAGCACCACAATCAAGCTAACGAACATTTGCATTGCCCCCTAAACTTTCCCTTGGTATCTATCCCAGATCCCTCTCCCAGCCCCCTGCCCCAGTCCCCAGCTCCAAGCAACTACAGGCTGCTTTCTGTTACTATTGATAAATTTGCATTTTCTAAAATATTATGTAAATTATATAGTATGTACAAAATTGTGAGATTCACCAATTTTGTCCCATGTATCAAAAGTTTTTTATTTTTAGTATTTCTGAAGTTAATTATTTTATTCATATAAGGTCCCTTAGTGGGCAAATTGATGAGCTGAAATTCATGGTTATGTCCATAGTCACATACTTTGTAAGTGTATTAGTCAGGGTTCTCCAGAGAAACAGAGCCAATAGTCTACACATAGAGACCTAGAAAGAGGTTAATGACCGCTCGGCTGAGATGTATCGTGTGGGACTAAGAAGTTCCATAGTCTGCTGTCTGCTCCCTGGAGGCCTAGGAAAGCCAGGGTTGTCATTCTAACACAGGCCCAAAGGACTGAGAACCAGTGAAGCCAAGGGTGTAAGTCCCAATCCCAATATCAAGACCCAAGAGCCAGGAGCATCAGTGCTGAAGGGCAGAAGAAGATACACGTTCCAGCTTGAGAATGAATCTGCCCTTCCTCTACCGTTCTGTTTTATTTGGGCCCTAATGGCTTGGATGATGCCTGCCCACATTGCTGAGGGTGAGTCTCTTTATTCAATATACTGATTCAACTGACATTCTCTCTGGAAATGCCCTCATAGACATACCCAGAAATAATGTCTTACCCGCTTACCTGGACATCCCTTAGCCCAGTCAAGCTGACACATAAAATTAACCAAGAGTGTGCTTTACAAGATAACATTATTAAATTAATATAATATTATTCAAAAATGTTACCCTTAGCCTCAGAAATCCCACTACTTTGGCAACAAGCAAATGATCCTCAGGGTCAGCTAGGCTATGGCCATTACTACATGAAATGGGAAGGAAATTTTGAGAGAGAAGGAACAAAAATTACTCTGAGCCATTCTTGCTGGTTCCTGAGATACCTACAAAGGAAGAATTACAAAATTCTAATATAAGAAGACTTTATATCTTTGTGCTTTGTTATTTTAAGGATTGAGCTACTAAAATTAGACTATATGGGCAAGGAGCAGTTAAAAATACCACTTCCAAAAAAGCTTTTGGAAGAAGATGGGAATATGAGTAAGGGTTGGGGTAGGGAGTTGTTGGGGTAGGGAGTTTCTTCTGGACCACAGCCATCCCAGAATATATTGTGTTCCCTAAAGTGTGAAAGGTATATTAAAAAGAACAGCAATAGGGAGTTTCTTCTGGACCACAGCCATCCCAGAATATATTGTGTTCCCTAAAGTGTGAAAGGTATATTAAAAAGAACAGCAATACAGAGTGAAGCCAATTCTAGAATTACCTTTCTTGCAATTCTGGTATTGCAAACATATTTGCAATGTTAATTAAAAAAAAAAAAACAAATGCTTATTACATGGTCTGAACACTGAGCAATCTCATGAAACAGAGTTCTCTGAGAAGAGTCTCCAGGAAAGGACTAGACCAACATAGGTTAGTGTGGCAGTAAGAAAATACCAATGTTGGTCAGAGACAAGAGAAGGGAAAAATATCCTTTTCTTAATCAGTATTCTGTACACTGTTCTTCATTTGTTCTTTCATTGCTCCTGACCAGTAAAATCCAACCCTGGACACCTCATTGTTCATCTCCTTTGCAGGATTAACTCCCTTGACCCAGTGTATAAATACTGAAGTTCCTCTCTGCTCAACATGCAGCCCTCTTCTTTCTCTCTGGCAATCTCATTCAGTCCCAATGCCTTTAATTGCCACTTATACATGGTGACTCACAATTGTGTAACTCCAACCCAGATCTCCCCTCATAGCTCTAGAGGTACCTATCCACTAACCTACTTGAAAAATCCTCTTGAATGTCCCAAAGTCATCTGAAAGTCAACATGCCAACGAGAAAGTGTTGATCTTCCTCCTCAAAAGGATCCTCTTCCACAATTCCCCTATCTCAGTGAATGATACATCCCGCTACCCATGCATAGGGCCATCCTTGACATCGCTCTCTCCCTCATCCTCCTCCCACATCGAAGGCATCATCACTTGTTGTTGTCTTTACTCTCTAAGCACAGTCTCTTTCCATCTGGTCCACTTCTACCAATTTCTGCTGTTTCCATCCTAGATTAAGTTACCATCATGGACAATTTAAGCAACTACCTAACAAATCAACCCATATGTCTTCTAGTTTTTAAGATGTATTCTCTGAGCCAGAAGGATCTTTCAAAACACAAACCATCCCTTCCTACTCCTCAGAATATCTGAAATTCAATCATTTTTAAAATTCTTCCTACTAAATAGCTTTTAAATCTATCCACCTTTTTTCAATCCTAATGCCACTAAACTAGACCCTAACATTGTCATCACCTCTTTCCTAGATTATACCAAATGCTTTGAAATTTTTATCCTCATCTGTGGTCTTTGCCTTTAAAATCTGTGTTACAAGTGCAACCAAAGTGATTGTCCTAAAGCAAAAGCTTATGTCCCTCCCTTGCTTAGACCACTTAGTTAAAATCAAACAGAAAAATCAGCAACATGAAACTATGAATATACATAAATATCACTTTCATCTCATATGAGGCATTCATACATGAGACTTCCTAGTCCTAGAATATAAGATGTAAGAAACAAAAAATAAACAGGGTTAAACACTGTATGCATTTGTTAACAAGATGTAAAATGTATCACAAATGTTTCATTGATGAAATGATGGTCATTTCTGTGAGATGAACTTCCTGGTAAGTATAATCAACCAGACACAGGAGGAAAAAAAGTGCCTATGATCTGCTAAAGGGGTCTAAGCTGGGGCTAGCATCTGTAAATAGAAAAGTCCTTATTCATTCAGCAAATACTTATTGAGCAATTAGTCCATGTACATTAATTTGGCGGGCAATTTTTAGCATATGCAGAAGTGTAAGAAGTGGTCCCTACCCTCAAAGTCCCCACAATGTACTTGAGGAGCCAAAAATAATATGAGAAAAGTTTAAAAGCCCACAACCAGAAGATGTCACAGAAGGAAAAAATGAGGTAGGATAAAAGAGATTAAGAGGTGCATAAAAGCTTTGTAGCAAATACACAGAAGTAAGAAAGCTAAATGTTTAATTAAAAGTTGTAGATGAACTAGCCTATGAGTTAGGACAGAACTTTTGACTCACAGAAGCTTTTATCAACATTTTTGGTTGTATAGACAACTTGGATTTTGTGTTACAATCCAAGTACAGACAACTTGAATTTTGAGGGATAGTGGTATGTCATGACATTTAATATGATTTGAGGTTCCATCATATGTTTAGCAGTGGTCTTAACTCCCTAAAGATTTTAGATCTCCCTAACGGTATGTTAACTGAATGTTAGCCTGTGAATTTTGCACAGATAATTCACATATGGACAAACCACACAAATGATTCATCCAGACGATGATACCATAAAATATCGTTATTTAAAATATTTCTCATAAGATTGCAAGAAATTCTTTTAAATGAAAGGTCATTAAGCATCTTTATATCTAACTAGCAATCCAACTTGATATATTATTCCATAAATAACATCTCATCCAGTCATACTGCCTCAGGTTACAGCAAAGTTAGACTATACCAGCATGCTCTGGGTGAGTGAGGTAGTTGCAAGGAAAATGTCAAATACTGTTTCACGGACAACATTTTAGGAGCAAGAATGAGTCTGCTGGTTTTTTCCAACTCATATTTTATGGTGTCAATAGAGACAACAAAAAATCCCTATATGAGGTAGACATTTTGTCCAGAATTTCATGAAAAAAGCATCATATAAACTAGTTGATATTTTTGGTTGATCTCTAAGTTCTCATGTATTTTCAAAATAATGACTTGCACATTTATGCAATCCTCTCCAGATCCCAGCATTGCCAAAGTTAAAATTGTGTTTAGTTTTTTTAAAGGCAAACCATAAATTAAGTACTTTGACTTGATAAAAAGAAGTGCTTAGTTCAACTAATAATTAGCTGAAGGGTAATAGTTCAGCTATTAAGTGTATTTGCTGTCAAAAGATCAGCCACTTTCATTTACCTTTTTGCAATATTTCTCCATCTTTTTTGCCCTTTGTTAAATTTTAAAAAAGATAATACATTCTAAATGTCAAGACTGGATAGTATATTAAATATTTCAACATTTGGAAACACTAACACCCCATCTTTTTTTCCCCTTACAGTTCACACTAATTTGTCCTGATTTCATAACCAAGTAATTTAAACAGTGTAGTCTCTGTTCAGTCTTCAGAAACACCATTACAGTAGCCTTCATGTGTTACAGCACAGTTGGGGCAAAAGTCTTTGAAATGAGTGAAAGTGAATTTAAAGGGAATAACTAATTTCAGGAATACCAGCTGCCAAATGCTTCAACTTACCTAGTAACCACTATTCTCTAAAGTAGTCTTTTTCTTACTGTAGAACTTTTTATACTTTATCCAACAATCTCATATACATTATTTTATTCATCTTCACATTATCCTTTGAAAGAGGTAGTGTTATCTACATTGTTTCAAATGAGAAAATTGATCTGAATGTTAACTGAACTCACCAAACTAGTAAGAATTATACTAGATATGCTTTGTTGTCTGCAAGCTTTCCACCCAAAACTGCTAAATGGATCAGAAATGGATATTTCACCCCAAACCAATGAACACTTCATTAGCTTGTCCTGAGAATTTGAACTGAGACAAAAAGAGGCTATTGGCGGATGTCGGCTTTGGAAATGAAAGGTCACGCTATGGTTTGAGGGACCAAGAAATGACTTTGCAAAGTCATATCCAATATGGGCAAGCAAAAGAAACCAGTGAAGGAAAAATAAAGTTGACACGTTAAGATGAGAGGGAAGATGACATGAAGGGAAATGTGCAGCCTAGAAGAGAGAAAGAAAGGGAGCTCGTTACTGGATTTCTCTTCTGATCCACACAGGGTCTGGCTGTACTTTATTTGCTGATCTTAGATGACAGTCAAATTGACTACTGAAGGCTTACACTGAATCCTTTGGCTTAAGCTAGCCTGAGTGGGCTTCTGTCACAACCAGAGCTTCCTTAACTGAAGAACAGTGGTAGAGCCCTGACTTGAATCATTAAGCTCTGGGTTTATTCCCAATGCTCTTTGTCATGCACAAAATTGTGAATTTTCTCTTCCTTATAGAGTTCATTCACTAGATACTGTAAAGTGGCAGAATGCATTCACCTGGTATGAGTTTCTAATCAATCTATAGATAGATTAGATAGATGGAGTATATGACTTTATTAATATATGTAATAGAAATATTGTTATATATGGAATAACTAGGAAAATGATAAGTAATAATTGGAAATTAGAAAACAACATTTAAGAAAAATATATAAATGAAAGTCTTAGAAATCACAAGTCTCTTAAATAATCCAAAGCTATCAGTATTTTCAAGTGACCAGTAGGTATATGAAAAGATACTCAACACCACTAATCAGAGAAATACAAATCAAAACCACGATGAGATACCATATTTTCCTAGTCAGAATGGCTGTTTATTAAAAAGACCAAAAATTACCAAATTTTGATAAGGATGCAGAGAAAAGGGAACTCTTATACACTGTTGATGGGAATGTGATCTAGTATATCCACTATGGAAAACAGTATGGAGATTTCTCAAAAAAACTAAAAATAAAATTACCAATTGACCCGGCAATCCCAATACTGGGTATCTATTCAAAGGAAAAGCAATTAATATATCAAAAGGATACTGCACTCACATGTTTATAGCAATACTCTTCACAATAGCAAAGATATGGAACCAACCTAAGTGTCGACTGGCAGATAAACGCATAAAGAAAGTGTGGTATATATACACAATAGTATACCGCTCGGCCATTAGAAGAAGAAAATCATGCCTTTAAAGTAACATGGATGGAATAGGAGGTCATTATCTTAAGTGAAACAAATATTGCAGTTCTCACATGTGTAAGCTAAAAAATTTGAATACATGGAGGTAGAGATTTAAAAAATAGATAACAGAGACTGGAAAGGGTGAGTGGGGGAGAGGAGGGAAGATGAAGAGAAGTGGTTTAAAGAGTACAAATATACGGTAAGAAGAAATAAACTCAATGTTTGAAAACAGAGTAGAGTGGCTATACTTAACAAAAATCTATTGTACTCAGGTGATGGGTACCTAAAATACCCTGACTTGATCATTGCAAATTATATATATATGTAAAAAAATTTCTCACATACCTCACAAGTTTGTACAAGTAACAAATACATTATTAGTATTTTCTGCAACCAAAACAAAAACAAACAGACCTCTAACACAAGATATTAAAACAAAGTTTTACCAAAATTTAGTGAAATCGGACAAATATCAACCAAAGTCAATTTCTATGTTGCAGGCCAATGTGATGAGCAAGGAAACGTGCTGATATGTCTTCAGCACCAACTTATCATACATCACCTTTGAAGAC
Source organism: Homo sapiens (assembly GCF_000001405.40). NCBI lineage: Eukaryota > Metazoa > Chordata > Mammalia > Primates > Hominidae > Homo > Homo sapiens. Next base: position 71,325,374 of record NC_000009.12, read on the forward strand.
TGCTGGTATACATGTGACCTTTTATCACACACATGCTTATTAAATCCTAAGCAACTTCAAGAGAAAAGTGTTCCCCTATTTCACAGGTGAAAAAAAAATTGAGGCTCAGAAAAGCCAAGTGTCAACTCTAGAGTTACAGAGATTATAAATGATAAAATCCACTTTTACTCAGAGGTGAGAGAGGACACAACATGGTTTAAAGACAGCCTTGAGCATAACAGGTAAATAAATGTGTGAGTTAATGAAAAAATTGCTTAGGCAGGAAGAAGGAATGAAGGCAGTGATGCAGCCCACTAACCTACAAAACCTACAAAGGCATAAACTCCCTTCTTTCTTCTCAACGATCCTGACAATATTCTCCCTCTCATTCACACCCACCCACCCACACACACACACACACAAAGTGACGAAGGCTCTGCCACATGCTTCATTAAATGGGAACATTTAATTTTATGATTTTTTTTCTATTGGCACTTTTTCTACTCTGCTTATAACAATGTATTTTCCATTGCTTATCATAACTGGATTCACCTAGAGATTTTACAAATTTCTGGGAAGCTTGGGCAGAATCTAGGACTATCATTTCAGAAGATGTTTCTGCTACAACAGAAGTTTCTATTAAAGAATGGATTCTAGTGATGTGATATGAACATTGCAATGTATTTGATTTATATATTTCATCCAAATTTAGTAATACTTGCCCATGTCAGAAAATATTTTTACTTCTTAGATTTGAAAGCCTTAAAATACGGGCATTAAGCCTATTTAACCTAAGATTGTGGGGAAGAACATATGTAGTTATTGAACTGACAGAATGATGCTATCTTGTAGCAAACAAAATGTCCTACATTTCTAAGAAAGATGATATTTATTAATAATTTAGAAGAAATCAAGAAACATCAGAGCTAGAGAAAAGCCAAAAGACTACTGCATACATTTCCATGTTACAGATGAGGAACCTAAGGCCTTCCCAGGTGTCAGCAGGTGAGCAATACTTATCAGGTGCTCTTTGTATCACAAGTATGTATGTGTATATGCATGCATGTATGTTTGTATGTATGTATGTATTTAACTCTTGGAAGGCAAATAATTGTATTAATCTCTGCATTCATAAGCACCCAATAACTTACCTGGCTGAGCATGAGTGTGCTGTTAAGTGATGGTTGAATGAGTCATGAACTCATAAAATGCAACTGGTACTTCTCAAGCACAAGTTCTAATAAAGACAAGGAAGTAGATGACTGGTCTTTTAATCATGCAATATTCACCCGCATTGATACTGCCATTTAGTGTTCCTGATTTGCTTGCAAAGAAGCTCAGGGATACCCTTTTGTGTCAGAGAAGATAAACAGGAGACATAGGAGCCAGCTAGAATTTCCCTAGGCTCAGAAATACCTCCTTCATCCTCAGCAACTCTGGGGCCCTGATAATGAACCTTCTCACAATCTCCTCTAACACAGCAGAGGAGAAGCAGGGCTAGTGTCTCTGGTGCAGTTCCCAGGCTCCAATCTGAGAGTGCACGGAGGAGAGAACAAGCATCCTACATTCACTCACTGAGCTGTGTAATACACTGGTTATGCACTCACCTGTCAAGATGACATCAGGACCGTGTCTCTAGATAAGGCTGCATGGACTGATCAACCATGTGTGCTTTGTGCAGAGCCTCTACTCTTACAGAAAATCCTCCTCAGTTTCCGTAACTGGACACAGATCCAGATTAGTTGGTAGGATCTGCTGTTTGGAGTTAGGCTGCTCCTCCATCTTCCTTGGACCACGGCATCTGCCTTCTTGTGGTCTGAGGCAGAATTAGATTTTATTAAAGATACTTTAGATTTGATTTCAAGTTACAATTTTGTTCAAATGTTATGGGGAGCAAAATGTCACTGAAAAGAGGTTAGCTGTGAAAAGCAATGAACGACTGCCAATGCCATTGTGCTAGTGACTTAATGTGCTGGTGTTTCTGGGGGATGTCTAACCACCTGTCATGCTGGAACAGGCTGACTGATCAGCCATGCCATGCACTGTCTCCCCAAGAAATGTCCCCTTCAGAAGAGAGGTGGTGGTTTTCCAGGGATATAGAGAAGAATGTTATATGCACTTATGAGTCCCATTGAGAGCCTTTGAGACACAATCCACCAAGGAGATACAAAATATGAGATTAACCTAGGAACAGGGAAAACAGTGCAATACAAATCACGTAATGGTTTTCAACCTAAAAAAGTATACAGTGAATGAACTAGTGTTTCAAAATGTTTAAATAACATAGTCTGGTTTTTAATTCTGCATATCCGAAACAAAACACACACTGTTCAAAAGAAGTTTCCTTCCACTCTTTTCCTCCAACAGTCTCTGAAGTCCCTACAGAAGTCAACTTTTCTTCTGAAGCAATCTGTGCCTGCTAACATCTTCCTGAGAGGTTCTATCAACGTTTTAAAAATGTTTTAATGTGTTTATCAGGATACATTGACTGCTTCCAAAAAGGATGTAAGAGGAATAGTTTCCTGAGTGTCAACTATGTGTGGTACTTGGCATTAAGGAGCACAAGAATAGCAGTCCTCCAAGCGGTCAGTTTGCCTGCTCCACACCATTACTGGACTGGGTTCATTTGGGAGATGAACTGTTCTCTGGATATCAAAGAGTGGGAATGACTACAGATGGCATTAGCCAGAGAAATGATAGGTCATTTTTCTGAATTAAAAAAAAAAAACAAAAAAAAAACCCCAAGTGACAAGAGTGAAGAAGCCAAAGGGTCTCCAACCCCCTGTTTATATTTTCTGACCTCTCTGTTTTTTGTTTGTTTGTTTGTTTTGAGATGGAGTCTCGCTCTGTCACCCAGGCTGGAGTGCAGTGGCTGATCTCAGCTCACTGCAAGCTCCGCCTCCCGGGTTCACGCCATTCTCCTGCCTCAGCCTCCGGAGAAGCTGGGACTACAGGCGCCTGCCACCACGCCCGGCTAATTTTTTGTATTTTTTTTAGTAGAGACGGGGTTTCACCGTGTTAGCCAGGATGGTCTCAATCTCCTGACCTCGTGATCTGCCCGCCTCGGCCTCCCAAAGTGCTGGGATTACAGGCGTGAGCCACCGCACCCGGCCGACTTCTCTTTTATCTTCCCCACATATGTGGAAGCTCAACCTGTCCAGATTTGCCACTAAACCTACAAAAATGTCTGTTTTTTACTTTCCCAATTCTGAAAAAATCCTTGGTAGAAAGGGACATAGAAGACTGATTTCGATTCCCAGATCTGTCCCTAGCCACATAGCATAAGACAAGTCATTTAGTGTCTTTTGGTCAATTTCCTCATCCTTTCTGATGGGCATAGCAATACCTGTAACAAAACAATCGCTTATTTAAAAATTCACAATTTATATGGAACTGGTTTCAAAATACAAAAGCTCCTTCAACTGCTCTGATATTTTTATATTTTTATGTCTAATGTACTGCATTATAGCACAAGTCCCATTCGTATTATAACTGCTACCTTCAATGCTGTCACAGAAAGCAATGTATCCCTATAACCATTCCCAGAGGCTGACACCTTTTGTACTCACATATGGACAATGCTGAATGCCTGCAAAGTGTAATAATCAAAAGTGTAGACTTCATTGGATTCAAAATTCTATTCTGGTGTTTATGGGCAAGGAAGTTGACCTTCCTGAGCCTCGGTTTCCTTTTCTGTAAAAGATAGGTGACAATAGAACTATTACAAGGATGAATAAGATAAGGTAAGAAAAATGTCTAACACTACTGAATGTTACCTGCTGCTTGTTAACGTGGGCTTTGCAGCACACATAACAGTAACAGTAGCAACAATCCCAGAATAGTGATGTAGCTATGCTTAATTATCAACCGCCTTGACTGTTCACTCTTATTTCATGTGTGTTTATTTTGTCTCTCAAATTAGCACCTGCAAAGAAATGAGTAGGTTTTATAATTTTCTGTTTTGTACAGTATCTAAAATGATTCCAAGCATATATTCGACAGTCTGAATTAAATACCATTTTAACTATCTGATGATTCTTCACTATTTCCATTGGTCAATAAGAGTTGAGTATGGAATATCCCAAAGCCTTATAGGTGAGCTGAACCTCAGGAATACAGCAAAAAGTTCAAAGGGGCCATAAAGATGCTGCAGCAACTAAAGGAGCTCTACTTTATGCTTTATAAATTGGAGATATGAATTATATTGCATAAGGGAGAGGGGGTTACAGGTTACAATAAGTGTTGAAAACCACTGTCATGAGTACTCAAAATAATATGTAGCCATGAAGACAAATCAATATGAATCTTAAATATCTTGCATCAAGCTATTTATTATCTCTAAATTCTAGAGTTCTCCTCCTCTATATTCTTCCTGCATCCTTTATCCTGAAGAAAAGAGATATATGCCTGGCCCTAGGATTTGGGGGTATTGTCTAACAATGTAAAAACATGTTTTTATGATTCTGAAATTCTATTAAAGGAGGATTCTTGAGCACCTGCTATGTGAGAGCATCCAATAACTCAAACATAAGCACTCATGAACCCTTGTACAAATAAATACAGAAAATTTCTTGGAAGCATCATTTTCTAAGATTTAATTCACAGGAGTTGCGGGATGTAAGTTGGCAGACCAGAAAAGATGAGTGAGAAAAAAAGAACCCAAATTTAGAAGTACAATAGAAGAAAGCCAAACCACTAGAAATCACAGTCTGGTAGCAGCTGCAGCATAGTGCCCAGCATAGCACCCCAAAAATGTATTCCTTAGGCACAGTCCTGCTGTATCCTTCCTGCAGGCGGCTCTTGTGTTTGTCGGACCACACACAGGAACATCTCCCTAATCTTGGCTAATTAGAGCAGAAATTGCAGTCTGAATCTGTGAAAAACTAGATTGCAGATTTTTGTTAAGGTTACATAGTTTAATTACTTTCAGAAATACACAGTAACTCAATTAGGGAACCAAAAAGTTTTCAGTTCTGTGTAGGGCCTGCTCCAATGAGAGAAAAACACTTTTATAATCATTGTATAGATTCACACATAAATGGCACTGTTAAAATTCAGAATCCTATACTAATTATTTACACTAGAAAAGAGATAATGAGCATATTTATTGAATGCCAGCTACTTACCAGCTATTATGATACTAATGATCACAATATCCCTGAAATGTTAGAATTTCCTACTGCCAATATTTTTCTAATAATAAGAAATCAAATTCTTAGTATGCTATAGCAGAAAAAGCACAGATTACATTTCTGATTTCTCCATCTCAGAAAAGGAGGGACGGGGTGCTGGGTATATTAAAAACTTAGCATTTAATATACCCAGTGTGAATTAGTGTTTAACACTTAATATACACCATAGAGAGAAGAGATAAGGGGAATCTGAGTACAAGGCAGCAGCAGGGTAAGATCCAAGTATGTCAGATGACCATGAGAAGGATTCACACAGATACAGGAGGCAGAACCTACTAAAACTCCTAGAGTCAAAAGGGAACCACAGTCTTTCCTGGTGGGGTTTCCATAGCCTCAGGAGGGGCAGCAGCTGATAGAGTGCTGATCTGGCCTAGATACGTCTCCATTTGTTTTACAAGACTTGTCTGGGTCTCAAAAAACAGATTTTGTGTATCTTTAAATGACCATGAGAGCTTGGGCAAGCTGCTAAGATTCTTGGGATCTCAATTTTCCATTAATAAAATTAAGAAGACAAATTAGAACTCCAGAGTAGGTAACATAATTTCATATAGTTGATCTTAAAGAATATTAGTAAATTATTGATTACTTAGAAAATAATCATAAATGTGTGTTAATTATACCACAATAAAAATAATCCTAGGCAAAATTTTGGATAAATATATACAACTTCTTGTGAAAACAAGTATTACATAACAGAAACTCATTTTAAAAGTTAGATTGTGAAATCTGAAAATATGTGTTTAAAAGCATATGAAAACTTTCACTAATGTTCAAATAAGATAAACTAGCCACACATTAATTTTGCCTCGTAATAAATATCCTTCATGTTTATCTAAGTTATAATGCAGGCTCATAATAGATGGCACAGTAATAGTTGGTTTCCTGACATAGTTACTGGACATAGTTGCCTCATTTCTCATCTACATTTTATATGACTTATATTCTATGTAAAACATAATTATTCTATATTCTACATTATATTATAATCTTGCAAGAAGAACCCCAATATTTACTATTTACTAAGCATGCTTTTTACATTTCTTATCATTTAGTTTATATTCTAAAAATAAGGAGAAGAAGGAGGAGAAGAAAAAGGAGGAGGAAGAAGAGGAGAGGGAAGAGGAGGAGGAGGAGGAGGGAGAGGAGAAGGAGAAAAAGGAGGAGAAAAAGGAGGAGGAAAAGGAGGAGAAAAAGGAGGAGGAGGAAAAGGGGGAGAAAAAGGAGAAGGGGAAGAGGAGGAAGAAGAGGAGAGGGAGGAGAAAGACGAGGAGAGAGGAGAAGGAAGAGGAGAGGGAGGAGGAGGAAGAAGAGGAGACGGAGGAGGAGGAAGAAAGAGGAGGAAGAAGGGGAGGAAGAAGAGGAGGAAGAAGAGGAGGAAGAGGAAGAAGGTGAAGGAGAAGAAGAGAAAGGTGGAGGAGGGAGGAGGAGGAGAAGGAGGAGGGTTAAACTATTTACACAGGTTATTGTACAGCTATAGTATTCATAAAATAAACTTTCTGTAAACACAGTATGGTTAAGGAATAGAAAATTCTGGTTAATTGAACACACTGGTCAAATAACAAAATCAACGTATCTATCCACTACTAATAACCCCTTCACTAAGAAAACTACTAAGTATATTCAAATCTTGGATGATTTTAAAATATACTTTAGAATTTTGCTGCACTTTCGAGTTTTTAAATATTATTTGTAGCTATTACAGAAAAACAAGCTTTTATTCCACTATTTTATGATTTTGACTAGAAATAATGCTTTTTTTGGATACATCTTTGGCTAAAGTCTGTCTAACTGCCCCCAAAAACTTAGTCTAGGTCAGTGGTTTTCAATGTTGGGTGTGTGTGTGTGTGTGTGTGTGTGTGTGTGTGTGTTTCAGCACAGAACTCTTTGCTCCAGTGAAATCTAACACAGTTTGACAATTGAGCTAAGAGAGACGTTTTATTAATTTAAATAAACTCAGTTTTAAAAATGTATTTATTACAAAGCCAGTCATAAGAATGCAGTAGATTCTACTCTGATGAACCAAAAAAAAACAAAAATGTGAAATCAGGAGATAAAGAGAAAAGTTACAGTGTGACATCAGTTTCCTTACCAATTTATTCCTATATTTCATTTTAGTTGCACAATTTCATGAAGATGCTACTTCACACCATTGAGCATTCATATACAATTTTATAGGATTTCTTAAAAAGATCAGTGCAATGCCACAAGCTTCTAATTAACAACACATTTAGAAAAATTTTTAAATGTATGTGCAAAGTGGAAGCTTTGCCCAGAAAAAAACACAAATTAAGCTTTGCTGGTTTCTAAGTGTGACAACTTTTATGTAATATATTCTAGTAGGTTTTCTTAAACAGTTTTAAATCATTGAAATATCCATGTCAATAAAGTTCAAATCAATATTAGGAGAATTCCCACAGAACTTCCAAAACATGGTGTATTATAACAATATGCTTATATTCAATCTGGTCTCTTTCAAGTATAATACTTGGACTCCACGTGGTTATTTTGTCTCCCCAGGGTAGAGAAGGGAAGAATTTTGAACTGTGCAACAAATATTTCTATAAAAAAGATAGTGACAATGACACTCAACAGAGATCACAAACTCAACTGTGTATGGAATCCCAGCAGGGAACATGAATCCGTTAAGGGGACTGCAAGAAGTCGGCTCTGAACCAGAGAGTTCATGACCCACTTCTAGGGAACTGGTCAGAACTCAGCTCTAACAAGTGTCTGTGCTGTGAAAACTCAGCAGTACGAAATTGACTTCTCAAATAGCTCCCAATAGCATTCATGCCCTTGGATAATCCTCTCCTATTGAGTGTGGGTTGAACATAGAGATTTACTTCCAATGGGAGAGTAGGAACCAGCAAACATGACAAGATGGTATTTCCAAGATAAGCTCACAAAAGACGGCCATTTCTATGCAGCTAGCACACTATCTGGCTCTTCTCAATTTTGCTTTGATAAGGCAAACTGCCATGTGATAAGTTGCCCTGTGGGGAGGCCCCTGTGAGAAAGAACTGAGGAAGACCTTTGATCAACATCCTCTAAGGAACGGAATTCCTCCAACAACCACGGGAGTCAGCTGAAATAGTCCTCTTCCAGCAGACTCTTGTGATGACTTCAACCCTACAAGATAACTTGAGGGCAGTTTTGTGGGAGACTTAGAGCCAGAGGTCCAGTTATGCTACACCTGGATTCCTTATGCACAGAAATAGAGATAATAAATACTGTTGTTTGAAACAGTAGATACCTAATACAGAATGTGAACCGATTTTCTAAATTTTCAGGAGCAGTTGGAAATCCAGATTCCAGTGTGTGAAATCTCCTGTTTCTATTTAAGTTGAAAACCAATTCGTTTAATAGCTCAATATGTCACACAGAGGAAAATAACACATCTGAAGGTTAAAGGGAATTGCAAAGCTCCAATTTTCCATTGGTATGCTAATAAGGGAAATGCCAGAGATGATGACCGAAAGTGAGCATTCATTGATAAATCTGTGGAATGAGAAAGTCTTCTAAAATACAATGAAACAACAAACTAATTTTTCTTCTAAAGTATAACATGCCAACAGAGATGGTATCTTGAAAGGTAAGAAGCTCTGGTACAAGTAGGCACAACCACCAGTAATAAAATTAGAGAAAAAAATTATAACTAAGTAATTCACCAGAAAGAGACCTTGAACCACTCAAAGCTCTAATATTAAATCTGCCTAATATTTTGCTCATGTGTTTCTACAGAATACTAATAAGCAAGCAGCAGAGGAAAACCTAAGGGATTATTTTTCCATTTTTAAATGTGAAAGACTATACTGTGGTTAACATACATGAGTTGCAAACCGCTAGGAAAAAGAGACCAATTTCTAATACAAAAATGTACTCCTGGATATAAGTCATACTAAAACATTTTAAGACAAAATATTTCTATAAATTTTTGCCACAGAATTACCATAACATCCTCTGCTCTATTACAGATGATGGCTAATCCTGTCTTACCCACTCTCAACATTTCATCTATCATTTCTAAGAGAATGAATCCCAAATAGCCATTTCTATCTCTGGCCACATCCCTGAACTATAATCCTTTATCTCAAATTGTGTTTTCTCTTAGCTATCCTACTTCTTATTCAACAACCATCTTTCTCCCCAAATTGCCTCCTCCTGAACCATTCCACCATAGCCATTTCCATTTAGTTATGAAATCTGATTAGTTGTTCTTTAACTTTAACTTAATTAGCTTAAATATTACTTCCTTTATATTTTTACAGTAATGATGCTGGTTCAAGGCTTTACAAGTTAACTCCCTAATTACTGCATTATTTTCTTCTCTTCATCTTTTTCTTTCCAACTATTTACCTCATTGTTGGTTTATTCTCCATATACATACCAATATTGAGCTCCATAAAGAATCACTGAAGAGAAATCAATTATTGGTAATAATAAATGATGGAATTTTGCCCTACATTACAAAATGTCATCACCACTTAGCTTTTAAATGCCATAATGGAATGAAATGAACTAGAAGGTATTAGGAAGGAGATCACGGGTAACCAAAAAATTATGGATAAAAGCAACTGTAATCACTTTAATGAAGTGAAAGTATGTTAATAAGTTTGCAGGCATGAAACATGGTCATGGCTTCTTGGAGACCTGGAGTTAGCTCTCCTCCCTAGCAAGATTTTCTATTTAGCATTGACTGACTATTACAGATTTCAGTAACCCTAGACCCTGCCCTGAAACCCTGGGTAGGAGTTTGGCAAATAAAGTTCTTTCAGATTACAATTTTTTTTCAATATACCAGAAGACTATTTATACAAAACCAATATTAAGGAAATAGTGCTTCATAAAGAGAATAGCCATCTTTAAACTTAATGACTTGTGGTTAAATTCTTATACAGTGAGTACTTTTAAAATAGAACACGCCCTTATAATCTTCCTATGTGACTTATACATACTGAACACTTTAAACTTGAGCATCTCCTCATCACTGATATGAAACAATTCTGAATATAATTGCTGAAATTAAATTTCCTATTTTTTCATTTGAAATAATATAAGAAATCAAAACTTACCCTAATGTTTGGCCCCCAGGATCAATAAACTGAGTTATTTAAAAGAATACAGAAATAACCTTTTTAAAAGGAGTTATTTCCCACAGACTTACCATATATTGTTCAAATCTTCAAATTAATTTTGTAAACATAAAGAATGTCAGGTATGGTCTAACATCAAGTGGAATTTATTAGAATCTAACAAACAGTTTTATACTTCAATACTAAATATCTTTAACCCTTTTACAAGTGGGGAGATACGATCCTTTTTGGCATCTGACTCTGCATATGAACAGCATGAGCAGCAGAGAGATTTGCCAAAGTCAGAAAAATCATCATGGAGTCCGTGAGATTGATCAGTCCAGGAGAAAAATATTCAAAGGTGTTGCTCCTCCAGCCTACCAATCAATTCATTCAAAACAAACTATTAGCTTATTAACATATTCCAAGAAGACATCAGTGTCTTTTGGCAAGCTAGCCTGAAAAATAACCACAAAATAATAGAACTCATTCTTCTCACCTAGGAAGTAAGTAGGACAGTTTCATAACATATACATGCTCAGGGCAAGACTACAAACTGTCCGAAAAAAAAAAAAAAAGATAGCAGGTTGAAAGAGCTGACCAGCCCAAAATCTCCTTAAGCTGATAAGCAACTTCAGCAGTCTCAGGATACAAAACCAATGTGCAAAAATCACAAGCATTCCCACACAACAATAATAGTCAAACAGCCAAATCATGAGTGAACTCCCATTCACAATTGCTACAAACAGAATAAAATACCTAGGAATCCAACTTACAAGGGATGTGAAGGACTTCTTCAAGGAGAACTACAAACCACTGCTCAAGGAAATAAGAGAGGACACAAACAAATGGAAAAACATCCCATGCTCATGGATAGAAGAATCAATATCATGAAAATGGCCATACTGCCCAAAGTAATTTATAGATTCAGTGCTATCCCCATAAAGCTACCACTGACTTTCTTCACTGAATTAGAAAAAAACTACTTTAAATTTCATATGGGACCAAAAAAGAGCCTGCATAACCAAGAAAATCCTAAGCAAAAAGAATAAAGCTGCAGGCATCACACTACCTGACTTCAAACTATACTACAAGGCTACAGTAACCAAAACAGCATGGTACTGGTACCAAAATAGAGATATAGACCAATGGAACAGAACAGAGGCCTCAGAAATAACACCATACATCTATAACCATCTGATCTTTGACAAACCTGACAAAAACAAGCAATGGGGAAAGGATTCCCTATTTAATAAATGGTGTTGGGAAAACTGCCTAGCCATATGCAGAAAACTGGAACTGGACCCCTTCCTTACACCTTATACAAAATTTAACTCAAGATGGATTAAAGACTTCAACGTAAGATCTAAAATGATAAAAACACTAGAAGAAAACCTAGGCAATACCATTCAAGACATAGGGATGGGCAAGGACTTCATGACTAAAACACGAAAAGCAATGGCAACAAAAGGCAAAATTGAAAAATGGGGTCTAATTAAACTAAAGAGCTTCTGCACAACACAAGAGACTATCATCAGAGTGAACAGGCAACCTACAGAATGGAAGCCCATCGACAAAGGGCTAATATCCAGAATGTACAAGGAACTTAAATTTACAAGAAAAAAACAAACAACCCCATCAAAAAATGGGCAAAGGATATGAACAGACAATTATCAAAAGACATTTATGCAGTCAATGAACATGAAAAAAGCTCATCATCACTGGTCATTAGAGAAATGCAAATCAAAACCACAATGAGATACCATCTCATGCCAGTTAGAATGGCAATCATTAAAAAGTCAGGAAGCAACAGATGCTGGAGAGGATGTAGAGAAATAGGAACGCTTTTACACTGTTGGTGGGAGTGTAAACTAGTTCAACCATTGTGGAAGACAAAAGTGTGGCAATTCCTCAAGGATCTAGAACCAGAAATACCATTTTACCCAGCAATTCCATTACTGGGTATATACCCAAAGGATTATAAATCATAGTTCTACTATAAAGACACATGCACATGTATGTTTATTGCAGCACTGTTCACAATAGCAAAGATTTGGAACCAACCCAAATTCCCATCAATGGTAGACTGGATAAAGAAAATATGGCAAATGTACACTATGGAATACTATGCAGCCATAAAAAAGGATGAGTTCATGTCCTTTGCAGGGATATGGATGAAGCTGGAAATCATCATTCTCAGCAAACTAACACAGGAACAGAAAACCAAACACCACGTGTTCTCACTCATAAGTGGGAGTTGAACAATGAGAACACTTGGACACAGGGAGGGGAACATCACACACCAGGCCCTGTTGCAGGGTGGGGGGCCAGGGGAGGGAGAGCATTAGGAGAAATACCTAATGTAGATGACAGGTTGATGGGTGCAGCAAACCACCATGGCACATGTATACCTACGTAACAAACCTGCACATTCTGCACATGTACCTCAGAACTTAAAGTACAACAACAACAACAGAAAAAAAAAAAGAGCTTACCACAAACTTTGGCAGCGCTGCTCACTAAGTCAAAAGGCTTGGTAAAAACTTCAGCCATCCCTTTTTGAACCTTTGTTTACTTGAGGAATAAAAGTCACATCTAACGACTCAGAGATGTTCCTTAGAGTAAGCGCAAGCCTGATTTAGCTCTACTCCAACAAAACCTAAAACCAAGCCTTCAGAAGGCCAAGATGATCTGCCAGTAATTTAATCGCCTGCTGGAATAACGTTCAACGCTCTTCAGAGGGAAATGGCGGAAGGCAAAGCCTACATGATGTGTCATACGTAGTATGTCCAGCAAATTAGCAGAGAAACATGAAAATATGACTCAGTCTAGAGAAAAGTCAGCAGAAACAGACCCGGTTCCAAGGCAGATTTTAGAATTAGTGGACAAGAATTGATAAAACGGAAAAGAACCTATGATCAATGTTAAACTACAGGAAAAGATGAATGTATGAGTAATGAGAGATGGGGATCTCAGAAGAGATATGGAAAATGTAAAAGTAATCAAAATCCTAAAACTGATAAAAAGCAGTATCTGAAATAAAACATGTAACTAGCTGCAAAAAAAAGCCTTTGACAAGATTTAACACCCATTTCAAATAAAAATCCTTGATAAAGAGGAATAGATGGATACTTCCTTGCAGACACACACCCCTCCCTCTCTCAGTCTTAGAGTCAGCATCTTACTTGATAGAGAAACATTACTGGCATTTCTGCTAAAATCAAAAACAAGGCAAAGATGTCGAATATTCACCTTTTCAATACTATTTAACTGAAGGTGTTAACCAATTCAATTAGACACGAAACAGGAAGAAATGAAACTATCTCTATTTGTAGATAACATGATAGTATACCCAGGAATGGCTAGAGAACCAATGGTTAAAATGATAAAAGAATCAGATAATGTAGCAGATATAAACTTAGGATGCTAAAAAAGAATCAATACTTCTTACAGAGTAAGACAAAATGCAAGACAAAACTCAATCCACAATACCATCAATAAAAAAATACTCAAAAATGAACTTCAAACCCTTTATGAACAAAATTATAAAAATATCCTTAAAAGATATAAATGGAGACTTATATAAATTAAAAACACCCCTTGTTATTGTTTTAAAAGTCTCAAATATCAAGATGTTAGTTATGTCAAAGTTAATTCATAAACTTAATGTGATCACAATAAAAATCTTTTTTCTGGAGCTACACAAGTTGCAGTGCAGTTTAAATAGAAAAATTGATATGCAAGAATAACTAGAAAACAGTCAAAGAAAAGAGCTTTAAAGGAAAAATAGCTTTACCTGATATTTACATATGCTACAAAGCCTCCAAAAGTAAAACAATGTGCATACTAGTGCATGAATTGACAAGCCAATGGAACAGAGTAAGTTCTGAAATAGACTCAATAACATAGAAATTTAGCATATGATAAAGGCGGCCTCTTGAACTGCTGGGTCAAAGACACACTTTTAAATAAATCATGTTGGCATAATTATCATCTATTTGGGAAAAGATAATATTAGATCTGTTCATCATGCCATACATAGCGTATGACTCTATTTAGTACTCTAGAAAAGGCAAAGCTATAGGACTAGACAACAGATCTGTGATTTCTGGAGGCTGGGAGATGGGGAGAAAAGTTGACTCTGAGGGGGTAGCAGGAGAATTTTGGGGATGATGGAGTTGTTCAATATGAACTTTCCTGGTGAACACATGACTATGCATTTGATAAAATTCAGAACTAGACACAACAGACGTTTTTGGTATATAAATTTACAAAAACAGATTGTAGGTAAAGATGGAATTCAGACAGTGTCAAACAAATCTATCTGTATTATAAATAAATCTCATGGTCACACTGAGTAGATCCAGGGAATAAAACTGACCTAAGTAACTTTGAAAACAGGATTTTGTCTGAACATTGTAAGGCTAAAGACAAAAAGAAATCTACACAACATTGGATTGAAGTTGATGCATTTGTTTTTCCTGGGGCATGGTTTAGCATTTCTGCAACTATACGCATGCCAGGGTTGAACAAATGTGTAAATGAAATGCATTGCAGACAATGAGATCCAGATTTAGCATTGCCAGAGAAAGAAGTTACAAATAAGGAAAGAGAGAAGGCTAGAATAAATCCAGTAGTGCTGGGCTGGAGTGAAAGGTATCAGTATGGACTGATGGTTTTGTTATATATGCATATAGCTAAATACAGAGATCAGTATGTGTGTGAATGCATGGATTGGTGAAATGGTTTGGCTGTGTCCCCACCCAAATCTCATCTTGAATTACCATGTGTTGTGGGAGGGACACAGTGGAAGGTAATTGAATCATGGGGGCAAGTCCTTTCATGCTATTCTTGTGACAGTGAATAAGTCTCACGAGATCTGATGGTTTTAAGAAGGAGAGTTTCCCTGCACAAGCTCTCTTCTCCTGTTTGCTGCCATACAAAACATGTCTTTCACCTTCCACCATGATTGTGAGGACTCCCCAGCCATGTAGAACTTTAAGTCCAATAAACCTCTTTCTTTTAGAAATTGCCCAGTCTTGGGTATGTCTTTATCAGCAGTGTGAAAACCGACTAATACAGTTGGTATACGTACATATATTTCTTAGCTCTATCTATTGAATAGGACTAAAAGCAGTGACACCCAGTAGCAATGAGCATACCTAGCAAACAGATTTTTGTTTCTTACTACCATTTTCCAGTAAAAGAAACCAGGGCTCCTTGTAGAAGTGGTCATTCTAGAGGAAGAACAGGAAAACTATACAAGAGAACCCTGGATGATTTGGGGTGCCAGAAAGTAAAAGTGCCAAAACGCAACAACAACCATCACCACCACCAAAAATCATCAGTTTTTGTCAAAACGGCACAGAAGCCAATGTGAAAAAGCTCCCAAAGTTGGAACATCCTGTGCATTAAAATAAAAGATATATTATTGTAATAATACTATACCTATGAGTCTATATTGGTTACATAAATAACTGAATAAACTGGGAAAAGGAACTCTTATAAAAAAAATTTCAATTGATATATATAGGAAGAAAGAGGAAAGTAAAAAATTACCAGTGGGACACCACAGTAAAATCTGCTACAGGCAATATCCACTGATGAGTACTAAATGTGTCAACAAAAGTGTAAGCAGAAACAGGCTATTTGCATAAATCTCAAAGTATCCTACCCTAATATTTGTTAATTACAACAGGAAAAAAGTAACTTCATGGTGAGGAAATCTGGCAGATGCCACCTTAACCAAATGATCAAGGTTAACATCACTAGCAACATGACATGTACATCTGGTATGATACACTGAGAAGGGCATATCACTTCTGTGGTATCTTTTCCGATAATGCACCACCTCAACCTATTCACTGGAAAACTACAGACGAACTCAAGTTGAGAAACATTTTAAAAAATGAGTGACAAGTACCGTTCAAAATTGCTAAGGTTACAAAACTCAAGGATATATATTGAATGCTCAATAGGAGAAGGGTAAGACATGAGAACTAAATTCAGTGTAGAATCCTAGATTGGATCCTGGAAAAGAAAAAGAAACTAGTAAAAAAAAAAAAAGAAAAAACTGGTAAAAAAAAAAATCAAATAAAATTTGTAATTCAGTTAATAGTACATACCAATGTTAATTTCTTAGTTTTGATAATTTTCCTATGGTTATGTAAGATGTTAACTTAAAGGGAAGTGGAGAAAAGTATATATGAGGACATTCCACTTTTGTGTATCTTCTGCATTAAAAAAATGCCATAAAGTCAAAGAAAAATTACAAATTGGGAGAAAATACTTGCAATACATCACAGATAAAGAGCTAATCTCCCTAAAGTGTAAAGAGCTTCCAAAAATTGAGGCAGAGAGGATGAGCAAAAGACAGGAACAATCTATTTAAAATGGTTTAAGAATGGTCCTTATGCAGACGAAACACTTCACTCAGAAAAAATGCAGAGTAACACCACACAGAAACACTATTTCTCATCTATCAAAATGAGAAAGATTATGTTGGCCAGGCTGTGGGGAAACAGACACTTTTAAATATCACTTTTAAATATCTTCTCTTCTCCATAAAGTTTGGCACATTTGGAATGCCAAATGTGCCAAACTTTATGGAGAAGAAATTGGTGATATCTTTAAATAGGTGTATATATATATATAAATAAATATATATGCTTTTACTCTTTTATTCAGCAATTCTACCTCAAGAACTTTATCCTGAAAACACACTTTTGAAACACATTGCAAAAGCATTGAAAACTATGAATATGCCCAAATAGAAAAGACTGGTAGAATAATTATGATATTATATGATAAATATGAATAAATTATGATACAATTACACAATTGAGTATTATACAGCTATAAAAAGTAATTAGTAAACTCCATGAAGCGATATGAAATAATTTCCAAGATGTATTATTAAGTGAAAAATGTGAAGAGAAAAATAATACATATCCAAGTGCTGTCAAGGATGTGCAGCAACAAAAACTCATTCATTGCTGGTGAGAAAGTAAAATAGGTGACATTTTGAAAGACAATGCAGCAGTTTTTACAAAAGTAAATTAGGCTTACTATAAGATCCAGCAACTATGCTTCTAGATCTTTACCCCAATCAGCCAAACTACAACCACACAAAAACCTGCACAACATATTTGTAGCAGCAGCTTCATTCATAGTTGTAAAAAAATTGGAATGAGCCAAAATGTCTTTTAATAAGTGAATTTTTAAAAAGTAAGAACTGTGGTCCATCTGTATAATGGTTTACTATTCAGTGATAAAAAGAAATAAGCTATCAAGCTACAACAAAAATGAAGAATCCTTTAATGCCTATTACTAAGTCTATGAAATTTAAAAATATCTACAATAGTGTACCCTTTGTATAAGAAAGGTAAAATAAAAAAATAAATATGCTTATTTTTGCCAAAGGAAACACAAGAAGAATAAACCAGAGAATTATATAGGTTTTCTATAAGGGCTTAGAGTAGGGAAGGGAGGGGGGTAAAAGAGTGAAAGGATTAGGGAATGGACCCATACTTCCTTTAGTATATTTTTTAAGTATAATTTTGACCTTGAGAGCGCATAAATGTTGTATTTAGCATACAAAAATAAGTTAAAAAGGAAACCCAGAACTGAATGCAAACAAAAATAAATGTACTCAACTATATTTCACAATAATAAATAATGACACTGAAAAAGAAAGAACTAGTCCAAGGAGCTTCTGATCAAAGTATTTTGACAATACAACTTCACTATCAGTGTGGGGAGGGGATTCAAATACTTCCTGAACTTTTATTAGTAGGTTGGTTTTTGTAGTGGCATGGGGTGGCCATTCTGGGGTTACTTTATGTATATTATGTTGGACAATGAATAGATCTGTTGATATTGTTGAGAGCTAGGACACTCACATGGAAGAAAGGAGATACAAATATGGAATGAAAGAAAGCACAGAAGAATCCTGTGAGATTGGCTTGAAGTTATCTACATAAAATAATTACAGAAAGTAATTTCATAAAGAGAAAAGGGTAAATATATATTTATATTCTATCTCTGTCCACTGAAAGGGCCTCCAAGTAATAACATCTCAGGAGCAGCAAGCACTCTCAGAACCCAAATACTGGTTTCTAACATAGAATTTCCCATTAGAAGGAACAAAATATCCAGGAATCTTTGAAGAAATTGATTATTCCAGGTCTGATGTGGGGAAAATATAAGATGAGCCTGGGTCATCTTATTAAACCAGAAAGTAAGGAAGTTATTTTTAAGAATGATGGAGGTATTTCAAAAGGAATGGGGACTCATCATGAAGGGGCACCTACTGGCCATATCTGGGACAATTTGAGTATCAAAATAAATGATAACAATTATAACCTATTGCATAAAATAGGAATCTATTATTCCATGTTAGATTAGATTAGATTAGATTAGATTAGATTAGATTGATAGATAGATAAACTGAAGAGGAGGGAATCTTCATTACATAAGATGATAACTGATGAATGTGGAGTAGGTTGAAAATCTGTCATTTTAAACCACCACAGAAAAAATTAACTGGGGCAGCTGGGCACGGTGGCTCATGCCTTTAATCCAAGCACTTTGGGAGGCTGAGGAGGATAGATTACCTGAGGTCAAGAGTTCGAGACCAGCCTGGCCAAAATGGCGAAACCCTGTCTCTACCAAAAAATACAAAAATTAGCTAGGTATCGTAGCGCATGCCTGTAATCCCAGCTACTCGGGAGGCTGAGGCAGGAGAATTGCTTGAACCCAGGAGGTGGAGGTTGCAGTGAGCCAAGATCACACCATTGCACTCCAGCCTGGGAGATAGAGTGAGACTCCATCTCAAAAAAAAAAAATTAACTGGAGCGAGAAACATCAATGGATACTAAATCTACTAGGGAAAATGGATTTTTAAAAAACAGGATATTTGCATGACCTAAAAATATCTCTCACAAGTTGCTTATTAGTTGCTAGGAAAAAATAATAGCAATACAGTGGACGAACATAAAAGCTAAGACTATAAAACTTTTAGAAGAAACATAGGACAATATCATCACACCACTGAGGTTGACAGATTCAGATTTCTTAGCTAGGACTCAAAACATACTAACAAAAAAGTTATAAACTAGATTTCCTCAAAATTAAAAGCTTCTGCTCATCACATAACACTACTAATAAAACAAAAAGCAAGCCACAGCCTGGAAAAAATGTTCACAATATATCTGACAAATGACTTATAAACAATATATAAGGAACTCTTGCAATTCAATAACAAGAAAACAAACACTCAAATTAAAAAGTGGCAAAAGATAAAAAGTGGGCCAAGGATATGAACAGACATTGCTCAAGAGAAGACATTTATGTGGCCAACAAACATGAAAAAAGCTCATCATCACTGGTCATTAGAGAAACGCTCATCAAAACCACAATGAGATACCATCTCATGCCAGTTTGAATGGCGATCATTAAAAAGTCAGGAAATAACAGATTCTGGAGAGGATGTGGAGAAATAGAAATGCTTTTACACTGTTGGTGGGAATGTACATTAGTTCAACCATTGTGGAAGACAGTGTGGTGATTCCTCAAGGATCTACAATCAGAAATACCATTTGACCCATCAATCCCATTACTGGGTATATGCCCAAAGGATTACAAATCATTCTACTACAAAGACACATGCACACGTATGTTTACTGCAGCACTATTCACAATAGCAAAGACTTGGAACCAACCCAAATTCCCATCGATGATAGACTGGATAAAGAAAATGTGGCACATATACATCATGGAATACTATGCAGCCATAAAAAAGAATGAGTTCATGTCCTTTGCGGGGACATGGATGAAGCTGGAAACCATCATTCTCCGCAAACAAACACAGCAACAGAAAACCAAACACCGCATATTCTCACTCATAAGTGGGAGTTGAACATGAGAATACATGGA